>NC_000006.12:86398261-87023261 GCF_000001405.40 Homo sapiens | reverse complement strand
GCTGTGTTCTCTCTTGCTTCATATTATTGCTTTTATTCCTATTTTTCTTTTTCAATTAAAAAATTTCACAATGTACTTAAACTTACAGCAGGTGTTCAGTGTGTTTCGATTACCTAAAATTCTGCTGATGCCATCTCTCAGCCCCTCCCTTTGCTGTTTCTTTCGTATCATTATCATTGTCCTGGATACTCCCTTTCCTTTAAAAAATTGTAGGTATTTGACAATTCCACTTCCATATGAGAAGGTGCCCTCCTTACCCATTACATAGTTCTCCTTCTAAATTTATTTATTTCCTTCCTTCCTTCCTCCCTCCCCCTCCCTCCCCCACTTCCTTCCTTCCTTTCTTCCTTCCTTCCTTCCTCCCCCCTCCCCTCCCCTTCCCTCCCCTCCCTCCCTCTCTGCCTTCCTTCCTTCCTTCCTTCCCTTTTTTTTTCTTTGGCAGAGTCTCACTCCTTCACCCAGACTAGAGTGCAGTGGTGCAGTCTCGGATCACTGCAACCTCTGACTCTCAGGTTCAAGTGGTTCTCCTGCCTCAGCCTCCCGCATAGCTGGGATTACAGGTGTGCATCACCACAACTGGCTAATTTTTGTATTTTTAGTAGAGATGAGGTTTCCCCATGTTGGCCAAGCTGGTCTTGAACTCTTGTCTTCAGGTGACCTGCCCGCCTTGGCCTCCCAAAGTGCTGGGATTATAGGCATGAGCCACTGAGCCTAGCCTCCTTCTAAACTTCTTGAAATCTATAATCAGTGTATCCGTTCCAATTAAGTTCATCCAATAGATATATTATATAAATTATATGCCACCATGCTCTGTGCTAGGTGCTTCTAGGCAGCCAAAAGATGACTTTACTGAAGGAATTTCCCCTCAGAGTGATCCCTATTTATTCTGAAGAAAATAATTTAAAACCATTTTTGTGGTAAGGCTGAAAACCACTGTATATTCTCTAGGGTGTGGTCCTAGAGGATCCCTCTACGGGTACATTGGATATTACTGAAACCCTAAAATTATTCCCTATGTCCTTGCATAATTTTAGGGTTAAATGTCCTTGGATAATTTTAGGGTCCCAAGAATATCCAGTTTCTCCTTCCTACCATTTGAAATGTCTCCTTCTCTTATGGACCAGTGCCTGAGATTCCACCTCAACACCATTACTTGAGGACATGTGAAGTGGATAACATTCTTGCTTTCTCTCCAATTTAAGAGAAGCTCTCCAATGTATAAACTAGTTAAGGTCTGAAGGTTGTCCATCAATTCTTTTTAATTCTAAATCTGAGGTGGCTTAGGAGAGACTATACTTATAGTCTTTGTAAGGTTTTCCATCAAATAAGGATGTGAGTCAATCCTCTGAAGCATTAATACCATGCACACACTCCTCTTTGCTGATAGGCATTTTATTGGGCCCCTTTCTTAGTTACTTCTGTCAGTGTCATGGGAAACTCTTTAATCATTGTGGTGTTTTCATTTGCTGGCTTGACCCTCACTTTAATGTTGAGTAAATTCAAATTGGCTTTGAAACTTTGAAACCTTTCATTGCTCTTAATGAAATTTTGTAAGCAACGTTCACCATGCTTCACCTTTAAGTTCTCAAACAACTCCTAGTCAACTTCTAAATTAACCTTAGACTTCTGAGCATCCCATATTGATGCTGATACTCCTGAATTTCTCAGCAGGTGGTGATATTGGTATTTTGGGTGAGACAATCCTTTATTGAGTGGGACTGATTTATCTACTGCAGGGTTTAGACTTACTGAATGCTACCACGAAAATGCCATTACTATTCTCTATGGAGACAACTGATAATATCTACACACATTCCCAAACTCCCTTTAAAACTACTGTGTGGTGCTCAGACACTTTTATATCTCTAACCACTTTTCCTTCTTTTCTCCTTAATTATAGTCCATACTTAGGCACAGAGGTCTTCACCTGTTATGTGTGGCAGTCCTTGAAAACCGAGCAAGATTTGATCCCATTCTCATATACGATGGTTGTCATTTTCTCAGCACTTTTACTTAAAAAATTATCTTTATTTGTATTCTTGTCATAGTCATATGCTTCTTTTCACTAATTTTTTGAATGCTATCACTGCTTTTGCAAATGCTGTGCATAATGGAGTTAAAAGTTGTGTGTAGAAGACCTTAAAAACTAAGCAAAGGCAACACACACACATTAGTAGACCAAGACCAGTGTGATGGTTGAAGCTAAAATGCGTTGTGCTGGAAGCCAGTGCAATTGCTGGAACTTGTTTAGGAACTTACCTCATACGTAATTATCAGAGTTTGAAAACTGAAGTCCGAAAGTATAGGAGGCCTGTAGTGTTACCCAAAGCAGACCATGGTAGCAATGCTGATGGGGGTTCTTACTGCCACCTGTTGTAACTAAAGGACCTGTCAGCTCTACCAGGGAGTGACTTATATTCAAGAATTCTTTCACCAAGAATAGAAAGCTAAGAAGTCCTAATTTCTAATGGAGGCAATCAAAATGCCATCCCTAGGGTTTACTTTTAGCATACTAATGTTTGCATGAGAAACACTGATCTTATTAAAAGGTACTATTACTTCATTCAAGTTTTAGTTTAAAGGGGACAATAGTAGTCAGTGGCAGCTGGCACTATTGGCTCAATAAGCAAAGCAAACAATAGATTATTTTTCAACAGGTTTGGTTTATACCAGGAAATATATGCAACTTCTTTGCTAAGGGCAGAGGCAGCTGTGAGATAAATGTATTTAATTAGGATTTACCTAGTGATTAGGAAATGAGTTAATGAAAATAAGCAAGTAAAAATTATTATGTATCTGCTTTTTGCTTTTTATTTACTTAGACTCTTAAAACTTTAAAACTCTTATAATTGCCAAGAATTTTCAAAGATAACATCTGGAGGATGATGGGAAAGCAGTGTGAGTGGCTCATATACTTTCTAGATATTGCAGTCATAATAAATACTGAATTTTGAGCATAGGCACAATCTTGGTAAAATCACCTGTAATTTAGATGCCAACATCCTTGTACACAGATCACCCTTAGCTGGGCAGCCATGTGACTTTCCCAGTAATATTTGAGTTGCTCATACAGAAACCAATATCCCCTTGTGGCAGAGATTATTCTTTGTCTCCTTGTATCGAATCTCTCCTTTTTCCTTTCCCTCTTTTGAGAACAGCTTATCTGGAATCCTAATTAATAAAGAATATTCACTTATATTCAATGAGAAATTTATTTTCTTTCCATACATAAGTTTTTCCCAGAATTTTTCGAAACAAACCTGGAATGTCAGGGTAAGATTTGGAAAAAAAAAAAGGTCAGTATTGCATCATGGACTTTGGAAGTTTTGTTTTCTCACTGAGAAAAGATGACACATTTATATTTTCTCCTCCAGGGACTTAATTCCATTCACATTAACAGACACTGAGTGCCGACTGTGTGTAAAACATGGTATGAGTCCCTAGAGATACAGAGAGGAAACAGACACAGTCCCTGCCCTCAAGGAGCTCACAATCTACTAGGGAAGACAGCACAAATACACAAACAAATGCACTAGAAGATAGGATGCATATAGTATTAGAGATACAAGTGAAGTTATATGGGAGCATAGAGCTGGGAGAGAAGACTTCCATAGGGACAGGGAAGGAAGAAGTATCTCAGGAAGACTTTTTAGAAGAGACTGCATTTGAGCTGCATATGAAGATTTGGTGGAAGAAAGATGTGAAGCCATGGAGGCCAGGTTTCTGAAGCAATGGGATCAAATGTTAGGGGAGTTTAGAAAGCACAGGTAATACTCACATTTTTCTGGAGCATGAAGTAGGTGAAAAGAAGTGGTGAGATATAACTCTGCAAAGATAGTTTGGGGCCACAAAGTAAGAGGCCTTGAATGCTATACTATGGACTATTAATTTATTTTATATTGATAGGGAAAGAGTAAAGGATTTTGAACAATGCAATTAAAAATCTACTGTATGCTCTAAAATAGTGACTCAAACTTTAGCTTGTATCAGAATCTCCTGGATGGCTTCTTAAAACAGAGATTAATGGGCTCCACTCTTAGTTTTTGATTCAGTAGGTCTTGAATGGGGCCCTTGACTTTGCATTTCTAACAAATTCTCAGGTGCTGCTAATGCTGCTAGTCTGGAGATGCCTCAGTGAGAAACTCACACTGGGAGATGTGTGGGGGCCGAGTTGCAGGTGGGAGAATCCAGAGGCAGGTGGATCAAATAACATTTGATCTAGGGGAGAGGACCAACTTATTGGAGAGCAAGTGGCCTAAACACATGTTTCTGTGAGGTAAATGGACAAGACTTCAGGACTATCTGGATGTTGGAGACCTGAGGCAAAGAGAGAGAATTACATTCATCTAATAGGAATGATAAAAAGCATGGTAATTCTGTTATCTGAGACTGAGAAGGTAGAAAGAGGAGAAGGCTTGAGTGTGGGAAAATTATCTTGAGTTCAGTATAGAAAGGCTGTGTTTGAGGTACTAAAGAAATATTCATAGGGAGAGGCTCACCAGATGTAACTCATGGGTCTGCAGTTTGAGAAAGAGAAAGATCAGGACTAAAGTCACAAATTTAGGAGCCACAGGCATGAAACTAATTGTTGAAATGGCCGAAGTTGGGATGGAATATGGAGATATAGGAGGTGATTGCTGAGGACAAAACCTCAGGAGGAAGGAAAGGAGACAAAGAATAGATGAGGAGTTAGTTGGAGAACCAGGAGAGCAAAATATCCTGGAAGGTATGGGCTTAAACATGAAAGGGATGGTTAGCTGTTGTAACTCATGAGAAAATGACAGGTAGAGATGCAGAGAAGGACTATGGGCAAGTCTCCAATGACCTTTGGGAGATAAGTTTGGGGAGAACTAGGGCATACTCAGATGGAAAAGGATAGAAAAGTCAGTGGAAGGTGAAAAGTGGAGGCAGAATGAGTGGATTAATGATTGGAGAAACCCAGGTAAGGGAGTTAAGGGAGAGATGAAGTAGGAGCTTGATGGGGAAGTAGGGCCAGAGGAAGTTGATTTTTGTGTCCAAGGGACTTGAGCAAAGTAATAGGTGAGATTAAAGAGGAATGAGGAGGAAAAGTGTTGGGATGGGGAGGGAGAAAGGAAGTTGCAGAGGGAGGTTGGGTGTAAGAAGCAAGATTCTAGAAACGTTGAGAGGGGTTAGATTGAAGGACTAAAAACACGGAGGTGGAAAGGAGGCAAATCAATGTCTTCTCCCTACAAAGAAGAGTGAAGAGATGGGGAGAGGCTGTGGATGACAGACTAGGAGCAGAGGTTGAGAACGGTCACCTACTTAGGAGTATGCAAGAATGTACAAACTTTCAGTCCTCCTACCATCACTCTTGATTTTGTAATGGTGTACTCCTCCATGTGACTAGAGCAATCACTCCTTCTCAGGCCACACCCAGGGCTTCAGGTCCCACCTGCAGCCTCCTGGCCCCAGGGTACAGTCTGGCACAGAAGCCACAGGGATTCTGGGAGACGCAATTTCATTCTCATATCCTGATGAGTGGCCTTTGGTGTAAACACAGTTTTTCAACTTTTACTTTTTTTCCCCAAGAGCACAACTGGTAATTTTTTTTTTTTTTTTGAGACAGGGTCTCATTCTGTTGCCTAGGCTGGAGTGCAGTGGCATGATCTCTTCTCAGTGCAACCTCTGCCTCCCAGGTTCAAGTCATTTTCCTGCCTCAGCCTCCTGAGTAGCTGGGATTACAGGCACGTGCCACCATGCCTGGCTAATTTTTGCCCTTTTAGCAGAAATGGGGCTTCACCATGTTGGCCAGCTTGGTCTCGAACTCCTGACCTCAGGTGATGCACCTGCCTTGGCCTCCCGAAGTGCTGGGATTACAGGCGTGAGCCACCACGCCCGGCTGCAACTGGTAATTTAATGAGTAATAGTCTCCAATGAAGTTCTTCAGATAATATATTCTGTCATTTGATCACTGCACCTCATTAAGCTTCTTAAAAAGTTTCCCAAATTTGACATGTACTCCTACCTTTGTCCTGCTACAGTGAAAGTGTATATGGGTGGCTTAGCTGGGATAGATTTTAGAATTGGAGGAGGCCCAATGTGTCTGTCAGGTAATATTGCAACACACTGACCAAAGTAGATTTAGATGACTTGTTATTTGCTTTATGTTTTATATTCATAGTAAAAGACATAGAAAAGTGCCAGTGCATTTATTCCAGGTATTTCCATTTTAGAAAAAGAGGAAGTTTATTTAATCATGAACTAAAAAGGACAAGCCAGCTGTACTATTTTTACCTGAAATGAATAGGCTATGTAGTCACAGTGCTACAGCAAACGACTTTAGCTCAGGTCTGCAAGCAGTAGATGACAGCACATCACTTTCTTTTAATTCTTTATGTAGTCATGCAATTCCCACTGGAATATGTACGCAGATAGAGCCATAATCTCAGATTTAATGCCATGGAGGGCATTATCAGGTATTTAATTTATAAGTAATAAGAAATTCTGCAAATAAAGATATTTTTGGCATTCTTTAATTGCAGGGTAACTGAAATGGCTAAAAAAAAAAAACCCATAAAAGGTATTTAGTATTTCATCTTATTATTACTTCTACAAAATTTCTGTTTTTGTATGATAATGTTTATTTGAAATTATGTATCACAGATAAGACCAGAGGTAGAAAACAGCACGCCAAATAACAATCCTCAAACAAAACAGAACAAAACAAACAAACAAACAAGGAAACAAGACCACACATACTTACAAACTCTCCTGAACCAAGTATGTTCAAGAATTAATAAGTTGCACCCCTTACCCCCATCCACTCATGAGGCTCTGGAAAAAGTCGTGCCTTTTAGCTTTTTACAGTCTAAGTATGCTCTCGGCATCTAATGAGCTTTTTAAAAGCCAGCTTAAAGTCTTCATTAAAACTCGTATAGAGCAGAGGGTTGATCAGAGAATTCACATAACCGAGCCACGTCAGAAAGTCGGCCACTTCCGAGGACACGGTGTAGATGCTCAGACCCACAATCAACTCTTTGATGAAAAATGGCAGCCAGGATAAAATGAATGCACCCAGAATCAGCCCCAGGATGCGTGCTGCCTTCCGTTCCCTGGTGCTAGAGATCTGCTGACGTTCTCCTGGGTGATCTAGATCATTGTCGAAGGGGGGGATCCTGATGGAGGCATGGAACTTTTCAAACTCTGTGGTAGGGTCTGAGGTGGAGAAGTCAGACACACAGAAAGTCTGTGTAAGTTTACAACTTGCAAAAGAATTCTGGCTATCTGTGCTTCTGTTGCTTAAGTGCCGACTTGATCCCCTTTTCTGGTAAAGGCTCTTGGCCGCGTGGTAAATCCGGTAATAGAGAATCAGTATCAAAGTCAAGGGGATATAAAACGCACCCAGCGTGGAGTAAATGGTGTAGATAACATGGTCGTGCTGGATGGTGCACTGACTAGGGGGAGGGCTTAGGCGGCGGTGGCTTCTCCAGAACAGAGGGGGCATGGAGATGAAAATGGAGATGGTCCAGACGGTAAGGATCATCAGCGCGGCCCTCTTGGCCGTCCTCTTCCTGGCGTATTCAATAGCATTGGTGATGGCCCAGTACCTGTCCAGGGCAATGACACAGAGGTGGAGGATGGAGCAGGTGCAGCAGGTCATGTCCACACTCAGCCACACCTCACAGAGGAAGTACCCAAGCTTCCAGCGATCCATGACAATGTAGATGATGCTCAGGGGCATGACGAGCACTGCCACCAGGAGGTCCGTCACGGCCAGAGAACAGATTAGGTAGTTGGCAGGCTGGTGGAGCTTCTTGGTGGTGCCAATAGCCATGATCACAGCCAAGTTCAGCAACGTGGTGAGGGTGGTGATGACCACCAGAGTCATGCAAATGAGCATCTTCTCAGTGATGGTCTTGGGTCTTATAGCCATGCTGGCCTCTGTGGTACAGTTTGTGATGTTCATGTTTCCCTTGTTTCAGTCTACACTGTGGAGAAGCTGTTGGTTATTTTCCTTTGGCTGAAAACTATGTAGCCTCGAAGGTTTCTCACTTGTAAGGAGGCTATAATTTGTTCAGCTATGTGGTCTCTTGTGTTCCATTTTCTGTTGGTAAAGGGAAGGGCCACAGCATTTCTTCTGAGTGAAGGTTCCTGGAAAATATTATGCTATTGGTTAATGAATGAGAAAGCCACACTTTTCCTGGAAAACATGAAAATAGTTTGATATTTATAAATTCTTTATAAATTTTAATTTTCTCTTTCCTGTGGAACTTGAGCTCATCGTTACATTGTTCCTCAAAGGATACTTTTTTTACTTCAGGGAAGTTTTCAAACTGTTTTTTTTTAAATTATACTTTAAGTTCTGGGATACATGTGCAGAACTTGCAGGTTTGCTACATAGGTATACATGTGCCATGGTGGTTTGCTGCACCCAACAACCAATCATCTACATTAGGTACTTCTCCTAATGCCATCCCTCCCCTAGCCCTCCACCCCCCAACAGGCCCTGGTGTGTCATGTTCCCGGCCCTGTGCCCATGTGTTCTCATTGTTCAACTCCCACTCGTGAGTGAGAGCATGTGGTGTTTGGTTTTCTGTTCCTGTGTTAGTTTGTTGAGAATATGGTTTCCAACTCATCCATGTCCCTGCAAAGGACATGAACTCATCCTTTTTTATGGCTGCATAGTATTCCATGATGTATATGTGCCACATTTTCTTTATCCAGTCTATCACTGATGGGCATTTGGGTTGGTTCCAAGTCTTTGCTATTGTGAATAGTGCTGCAATAAACATACATGTCCATGTGTCTTTAGAGTAGAATAATTTAAAATCCTTTGGGTATATACCCAGTAATAGGATTGCTGAGTCAAATGTTATTTCTGGTTCTGGAACCTTGAGGAATCGCCATACTGTCTTCCACAATGGTTGATCTAATTTACACTCCCACCAACAGTGTAAAAGCATTCCTATTTCTTCACATCCTTTCCAGCATCTGTTGCTTCCTGCCTTATTATTATTATTATTATTATTATTATTATTATTATTATACTTTAAGTTCTAGGGTACAGGTGCACAACATGCAGGTTTGTTACATATGTATACATGTGCCGTGTTGGTTTGCTGCATCCTTTAACTCGTCATTTACATTAGGTATTTCTCCTAATGCTATCACTCCCCCGTCCCCCGACCCCACGACAGGCCCGGGTGTGTGGTGTTCCCTGCCCTGTGTCCAGGTGTTCTCATTGTTCAATTCCCACCTATGAGTGAGAACATGTGGTGTCTGGTTTTCTGTCCTTGCGATAGTTTGCTCAGAATGATGGCTTTTTAATGATCACCATTCTAACTGGCGTGAAATGGTATCTCATTGTGGTTTTGATTTGCATTTCTCTAATGACAGTGATGATGAGCTTTTTTTCATATGTTTGTTGGTTGCATAAATGTTTTCTTTTGAGAAGTGGCTGTTCATATCCTTCGCCCACTTTTTGATGGGGTTGTTTGTTTTTTTCCTATAAATTTGTTCAAATCGTTTTTGACAAAAACATCACAAAATTTTAAATGTACTTTGCCACCCCAATTAATTTCTTATTTATATTTATTCTTTTATACATGTTTATATATAAAAAGGCTTTTTTTTACATTTGAAAATATATATTCATATTATGTAACATTAAACATTCTGGGGCCGTTAAAGAAAAAATTATATTGCTTATAATAAGCAGCTTTCAAATCAGATTTTAAACTTTCACAGTAAATATGCTGGCGTGGTGGCTCACACCTGTAATCCCAGCACTTTGGAAAGTTAACTGCAATAATCAGAGCTAAAAATGGATACATCCTATGAGGAGTTGATGGAGGACCTTTTTGGGGATTTGTAACTTTAAATTTCCACTTTATTGTGACATAAAAAATATCATGAGTCCAAGGCCATATTTAAATTGTTTTTCATAAAAATTACAAATAGGAGAGAATTACTCTAAACCAAACTGGTTAGTGTACGCTGCTCCTCATTTCCAGGGATACTCTAGAGCCTCTGCTTTATACCATCCCAGTGAAGGTCAGAGCACCAGGGAGATGAGGTTATAGGGATGATAGATGTTAAGGCCGACTTTGGCATATTATTCTTCTGGGGCTTTGTCCTTTGCAGCAGATGAAGAGGGACAAGAATCTCTTTCTCATCCAGGAAGAGTTTCCAAAGCACCTAAGCATTATCAAGAAGGAGGAGTCAGCTGGCACCTGCTCATCTTAAAAATTATCTTAAAGAGGGTTTTATATTTTGGATCTGGTTCCTCCATTAGAAAACTGACATTTCACTTCATAAGTCCTGATTTACTTTAACCTAAAAAGTGTGCCTGAGTCAGCGGTTTTGGAGAGAAAGCTTGGAGTGGTGACTACCCACATGGACTCTGAATGCTGACCCTGCCACTTGTCAGCTGCAGTGTAATCCTAAGCATGTTCTTTAACGTTAGCCTGCTTCAATTTCCTCCTCTTTAAATCAGGAATAATGACATCTTTCTCTAAAGTAAGTAGTGTGAAGATCAAATGTGTTAATACACGTAGAAGCTGAGAACAACGCCTAATACATAGTAAGTACTATGTAAGTGTTTGCGGTCATTTGTTATACTAATTTTCCCAGTGATTTTTGCATTGGGTAATGGAGACAGATTTCATCCCACAAACTCTGATGTGTAATAAAAGCCTATTAAAAATAAGTCAACTTAATTTTGTTCTTTCTTTTTTTTCTTTCCAACTTTTATTTTAGGTTTTGAGGGTACAAGTGCAGATTTGTTTCATGGGTAAACTGTGTGTTGCAGGGTTTGGTGTACAGCTTATTTCACCACCTAGGTAATAAGCATAGTACCCAAAAGGTAGTTTTTCAAATCTCACCCTCCACTCACCCTCTACCCTCATGTAGGCTCTGGTATCTATTGCTCCCTTCTTTGTGTTCATGTGTTATTCAATATTTAGCTCCCGGTTATAAGTGAGAACATGTGTCAACCTAATTGCTGCTTCTAAGCTTCTCACTTCTCATGCTTGAGACTTTCTCTAACCCCAACCACACCCCCAAGTCTCTGGAGGATTATTTAGGGCCAAGGCATTGAGGTTTGGTTGGGGAGAGGGGTTTCAGATGTTGCATGCACAGAGAAAGTCCCTGGTAAGATATTTACTGTCCCCCACTCCTACAGTTCTTTCAGATCCCCAGACTGCTTCCGTAACACGCTTAGGAAATGTCCTAAGGTTGGGAACCCCATGCCTAGCCCCTAAGTCCCTAGCCACACCATGCATGTATCCCTTTTTAAAATATTATAGACTCTTCAAGGCACTTCCAGAACTTCTGGCCCAAGTCTTAGACCCCCAGGATCTTTTCTGTTCCTCCATTTTGCGCGGGAAAGGTATGTAGACCATTGGAGAAATTCCTTTCTTCCTTCATTTTTTTTTCTAACCCTTTCAGCCACCTATTAAAAGCTCTCTTTTCCTTTTTTACTTATTTACAAATCTTTTATTAATAAATCTCCTATGGGCTTGGCTTTTGAGAACATAAATAGGGATTACTGTCTGATACTTCCGCTTTCTGAAATATCTGTGAGGTAAGGAAGCATAAACCAGGCCACATGCTTGACTGAAGGAAAGGGAAAAAATAGAAAATAGCATCCAGCCATACATGTAACATTTCTTGTTGACATATTCCCCTTTCCTAGCATTCTTAGAGTTATCTGAAATATGGGACAAATATCCTTACCACAAAGTTTTGCTAAGACTTTGAATTACCAGAAAATATTATATAACGTCTCAACCATTAAAAGTTTAACATGCTGGTGGACCTGGAGCATTCCTGATCAACTCATTTACGTTGCATGTAACCACCATCATTTAGAGAATATTTTCCTGAACTGCTTTGAAGGAACCCAGGGTATACTTGCCTTTCTCTATTTACTTCCCAGCATTTTCCCAGTCAACCTGTGTTAAGTACTGACTTCTGTCCATTCCTAGACACTTCCAGATACCACTTCCCTTTGATAAGTCATTCCCTCCTGCTGCAAGGTTTCTGTTTTGCACATGGCCTCTAAACTGATCCAGGAAAACTGCCCTCAACTCTGTCAGCTTAGCCACCCTCTCTCCTAGCAGCATTTCCTGGCTCCACATGATGTTCTGGGCTGCAATTGCTTTACCTCTTGCCTACCAAAAATTCAGAGGTCACATAGTAGCTATTGCAAATGGAGTTGAAGCTGTCTAAAGTCAATGTATTAAAAGTTTAAGCATCTTAGACCAATAACTACTTTAAAGAAACCACAGAGAATCAAGAAACATGTTAAACTACCTTTTGATTATGCAATCATTGGAATCCAAACTGTAAAAAAATTCACGGGTTAAATCACCCAGTTTCTTAAATAAATTGCAGACAAGGAGGGCGATAAGAAGTGTGGCGTATAGGCCGGCGAGCGCCGCCCGGGAGGCAGCGGCTGGAGGAGCGGACGGGCCCCGCGGGGCCCGAGGGCAAGGAGCAGCCGCCTGCCTTGGCCTCCCAAAGTGCCGAGATTGCAGCCTCTGCCCGGCCGCCACCCCGTCTGGGAAGTGAGGAGTGTCTCTGCCTGGCCGCCCATCGTCTGGGATGTGAGGAGCCCCTCTGCCTGGCTGCCCAGTCTGGAAAGTGAGGAGCGTCTCCGCCCGGCCGCCATCCCATCTAGGAAGTGAGGAGCGCCTCTTCCCAGCCGCCATCACATCTAGGAAGTGAGGAGCGTCTCTGCCCGGCCGCCCATCGTCTGAGATGTGGGGAGCGCCTCTGCCCCGCCGCCCCATCTGGGATGTGAGGAGCGCCTCTGCCCGGCCGAGACCCCGTCTGGGAGGTGAGGAGCGTCTCTGCCCGGTCGCCCCTACTGGGAAGTGAGGAGCCCCTCAGCCCGGCCAGCCACCCCGTCCGGGAGGGAGATGGGGGGGTCAGCCCCCCGCCCGGCCAGCCGCCCCGTCCGGGAGGGAGGTGGGGGGGGTCAGCCCCCCCGCCCGGCCAGCCGCCCCGTCCGGGAGGTGAGGGGCACCTCTGCCCGGCCGCCCCTACTGAGAAGTGAGGAGCCCCTCAGCCCGGCCAGCCACCCCATCCGGGAGGGAGGTGGGGGGGTCGGCCCCCCGCCCGGCCAGCCGCCCCGTCCGGGAGGTGAGGGGCGCCTCTGCCCGGCCGCCCCTACTGGGAAGTGAGGAGCCCCTCAGCCCGGCCAGCCACCCCGTCCGGGAGGGAGGTGGGGGGGTCAGCCCCCCGCCTGGCCAGCCACCCCGTCCGGGAGGGAGGTGGGGGGGTCAGCCCTCCGCCCGGCCAGCCACCCCGTCTGGGAGGTGAGGGGCGCCTCTGCCCGGCCGCCCCTACTGGGAAGTGAGGAGCCCCTCTGCCCGGCCAGCCGCCCCGTCCGGGAGGGAGGTGGGGAGGTCGGCCCCCCGCCCGGCCAGCCGCCCCGTCCGGGAGGGAGGTGGGGGGGGGTCAGTCCCCCCGCCCGGCCAGCCGCCCCGTCCGGGAGGGAGGTGGGGGAGGTCAGCCCCCCTGCCCGGCCAGCCGCCCCTACTGGGAAGTGAGGAGCCCCTCTGCCCGGCCAGCCGCCCTGTCCGGGAGGGAGGTTGGGGGGTCGGCCCCCCGCCCGGCCAGCCGCCCCGTCCGGGAGGTGAGGGGCGCCTCTGCCCGGCCGCCCCTACTGGGAAGTGAGGAGCCCCTCTGCCCGGCCACCACCCCGTCTGGGAGGTGTGCCCAACAGCTCATTGAGAACGGGCCAGGATGACAATGGCGGCTTTGTGGAATAGAAAGGCGGGAAAGGTGGGGAAAAGATTGAGAAATCGGATGGTTGCCGTGTCTGTGTGGAGAGAAGTAGACATGGGAGACTTTTCATTTTGTTCTGCACTAAGAAAAATTCCTCTGCCGTGGGATCCTGTTGATCTGTGACCTTGCCCCCAACCCTGTGCTCTCTGAAACATGTGCTGTGTCCACTCAGGGTTAAACGGATTAAGGGCGGTGCAAGATGTGCTTTGTTAAACAGATGCTTGAAGGCAGCATGCTCGTTAAGAGTCATCACCAATCCCTAATCTCAAGTAATCAGGGACACAAACACTGCGGAAGGCCGCAGGGTCCTCTGCCTAGGAAAACCAGAGACCTTTGTTCACTTGTTTATCTGCTGACCTTCCCTCCACTATTGTCCCATGACCCTGCCAAATCCCCCTCTGTGAGAAACACCCAAGAATTATCAATAAAAAAATAAATTAAAAAAAAAAAATAAAAAGAAGTGTGGCGTATAGACTAAAAGGGACTCAAAAGACACATAAAAATAAAAACAAGCAAACCAAAACTATCATTATCAGGGGTATATATTTGAGTGATGTAACTTTCAAGGAAGCTTAAACATAAGGAGAGTGGTTATTTTTAGAGGAGGAGACACGATTGTGATTGAGACACAGCTTCTGTGTTTTGTCAAGTTATACTTCTTGATCTGGGTAGTGGTTTGCAGGGGTGATCATCTTATAATATTTTAATAAACTATACATTTATTTTAATTTAAGAGGTTTAAAAAGGTGCTTTTAAATGTAAATAATAATTCAGCCTGGAATTCTGTTTCATGTGTTAATCAGCAAGCTGCATTTTATACTCTAAAATTAGTGCCTGTGAACCTAATTATGAAGGACCTCTTGTCTCTAGGAAGAGCCAACACTCACCTTTCCCCACAGAGAATGGCTGCTTTTGGACATTGATGTACATGGCATGCTCAGTTCATTTTTAATTTCACCAATTTAGCTAATCTATTGGTTTTCAATAATTGTTAATTCACCATAAATATTCTTTCGTCTCTTCTTTGATTGTTCTCATTTTGCCCAAATTACTTCCAATTATTTAAAGAAGTCTTCAATATGTACCATGTACCAATTTCTTCTTTTTTTTATTATTTCAGGAATGTCAACTTGCCCTCATATTAGTAATTTTATCTTTCTGTTTGTTAAATTTACTTTCTCAGTCTTTGAAAATACTTTTCTTTGCCTCTCCAGGGAAAAGGAAGGGTGGATACTCTGTTTCCCAATTAGATCTTCAGTAGAAGCAGTGGGAGGATGTAGAGGAGATACTGCAGCGTGGGATTCTTTATTCTCTTTTTCTTTTTTTATTTATTTAAATTGTGATTGGAATATGACATGTGATTATTACAAGGTTATTATATTCATAATAACAAGAAAACATTACCATTTTATAATCTCAAAACAGTGCATAGAGTTTTAGGAGATGTTTATATACTCTGGATACAAGTCTTTTGTTGTCACAATGTTTTGTGAACATTTCTTCCATTCTGTGGTTTGCCTTTGTATTTTTTAATGTTGCTTTTTGACAAGTAGAAGAGTTTAATTTTTTTTTTGAGACAGAATCTCACTCTTTCACACAGGCTGGAGTGTAGTGGCATGATCTTGGCTCACTGCAACCTCCGCCTTCCAGTGTCAAGCGATCCTTCTGCCTCAGCCTTTTGAGCAGCTGGGACCACAGACATGTGCCACCCCTTTGGCTAATTTTTGTATTTATTATAGAGACAGGGTTTCACCGTGTTGCCCAGGCTGGTTTTGAACTCTTGAGCTCAAGTGATCCACCACCTCGGCCTCCCACAGTGCTGGGATAACAAGTGTGAGCCACCATGCCCAGCCAGAAGAGTTTAATTTTTAAAAATTTTAAATTTTTTGTGGGTACATAGTAGATGCATATATTTAGGGGGTATATGAGATATTTTGATACAGGCATACAACAAGTAATCATCACATCAAGGTAATGGAGTATTTAATACCTCAGCATTTATTCTTTCTTTGTGTTACAAAAAGTCCAATTGTACTCTGTTATTTTAAAATTTAGAATAAATTATTGTTGACTATAGTCACCCTGTTGTGATATCAAATGCAATATCTTATTTTTTCTATCTAACTATACTTTTGTACCCATTAACCATCCCCATTCTCTCCACCCCCTGCAACTACCCTTCCCAGCCTCTGGTAGCCATCATTCTACTCTCTACCTCCATGAATTCATTGTTTTAAATTTTAGCTCCTACAAATAAGTGAGACTGTGTGAAGTTTGTCTTCCTGTGCCTGGCTTATTTCACTTAACATAATGATCTCCAGTTCCATTCATGTTGTTGAAAATGACAGGATCTCATTCTTTTTTATGGTTGAACAGTACTTGATTGTACATATGCACTACATTTTCTTTTAATTTTTATTTTTATTTTAAGTTCCAGGGTACATGTGCAGGATGTGCAGGTTTGTTACATAGGTAAACGTGTGCCATGGTGATTTGCTGCACCTATCAAGCCATCACCTAGTTATTAAGCTCCGCAAGCATTAGCTATTTTTTTCTAATGCTCTTCCTGCCTCCTTCCACTCCCCCCGCAGGCCCCAGTGTGTGTTGTTACTCTCCCTGTGTCCATGTGTTCTATTGTTCAGCTACCACTTATAAGTGAGAGCATGTGGTGTTTGGTTTTCTGTTCCTGGGTTCATTTGCTGAGGATAATGGCTTCCAGCTCCATCCATGTCCCTGCAAAGGACATGATCTCATTCCTTTTTTATGGCTGCATAGTATTCCATGGTTATATGTACCACGTTTTCTTTACCAGTGTATCATTGATGGGGATTTGGGTTGATTTCATGTTTTTGCTGTTGTGAATAGTGCTGCAGTGAACATACACATGCATGTATCTTTATAATAGGATAATTTAGATTGCTTTGGGTATATACCCAGTAATGGGATTGCTGGGTCAAATGGTATTTCTGCTTCTCGATCTTTGAGGAATTGCCACACCATATTCCACAATGTTAAAGTAATTTACATTCCCACTAACAGTGTAAAAGCATTCCTATTTCTCCACATCCTCGCCAGCATCTGTTGTTTCTTGACTTTTTAATAATCACTGTTCTGACTGGTGTGAGATGGTATCTCTTTGCTACCACATTTTCCTTATCAATTCATTTGTTGATGAACACTTAGGTTGCTTCCAAATCTTAGCTATAATTGTGCTGCAATAAACATGGGAGTGCAGATGTCTCTTCAATATATTGATTTTCTTTCCTTTGAGTATATACTTAGCAGAGGGATTGCTGAATCATATAATAGTTCTATTTTCAGTTTTCTGAGGAACCTCCAAACTGTTCTCCATAGTGGTTGTACTAACTTACATTCCCACCAACAGTGTACAAGGATTCCATTTTCTCCAATTCTTCACCAGCATTTGTTATTGCCTATCTTTTGGATAAATGCCATTTTAACTTGGGTAAGATGATATCTCATTGTAGTTTTGATTTGCACTTATCTGATGATCAGTGATATTGAAGACCTTTTCATATACCATTTTTATGTCTTCTTTTGAGAAATGTGTATTCAAATCTTTTGCCTGTTTTAAAATCAGATTATTAGATTTTTTTCCAATAGAGTTGTTTGAGCTCCTTATATATTCTGGTTATTATTCTATTGTCAGATGAGTAGTTTGCAAATATTTTCACCCATTCTGTGGGTTATCTCTTCACTTTGTTGATTGTTTCCTTTGCTGTGAAGAAGCTTTTTAATGTGACAAGATCCAATTTGTTCACTTTTGGTTGCCTGTGCTTGTGGAGTATTTCTCAAGAAATCTTTGTCCAGACTAATGTCTTGGAGAGTTTCCCCAATGTTTTCTTGTTGTAGTTTCATAGTTTGAGGTCTTAGATTTAAGTCTTTAATCCACTTTCATTTGACTTTTGTATATGGTGATACATAGGGGTCTATTTCATTCTTCTGCATATGGAATGCTGCCAGTTCTCCCGGCAGCATTTATTGAAGATATTGTTCTTTCCTCATGTATGTTCTCAGCACTTTTGTCAAAAATAAGTTCATGGTAGACGTACGGATTTATTTCTGGGTTTTCTATTTTGTTTCATTGGTCTATGTGTCTGTTTTTATGCCAGCACCATGCTGTTTTGGTTACTATAGTTCTGTAATATAACTTGAAATCAAGTAATGTTATTCGTCCAGTTTTGTTCTTATTGCTCAGAATGGCTTTGACTACTCTAGGTCTTTTGTGGTTCCATGTAAATTTTAAGATTATTTTTTCCATTTCTGTGCACAATGTCATTGGTATTTTGATAGGGATTGCCTTATAGCCATAGATTGCTTTGTGTAGTATGGATATTTTAACAATATTTATTCTTCCAATCCATAAACATGGAATATCTTTTCACTTTTTTGTGTCCTCTTCAATGTCTTGCATCATGTTTTATAGTTTTCACTGTAGAGATCTTTTATTTCTTTGGTTAAGTTTATTCCTAGGTATTTTATTTTATTTGTAGCAATTGTTAATAGAATTACTTTCTTAATGTCTTTTTCTGATTGTTCACTGATGGCATATAGAAATGCTACTGATTTTTATTTGTTGATTTTGTATCCTTGACTTGATTGTATTTGTGTATCAGTTCTAATAGTTTTTTGGTGCAGTATTCAGGTTATTCCAAATATAAGATCATATTATCTATAAACAAGGATAATGTGACTTCTTTTCTGATTTGAGTGCCCTTTCTTTCTTTCTTTTGTCTGATTGCTCTAGCTAGGACTTCCAGCACTATGTTAAATAACATTGGTGAAAGTGGGTATCCTTGTTGGGTTCAAGATCTTAGAGGAAAGACTTTCAGTTTTTCCCCACTCATTATGATACTAGCTGTGGGTCTGTCATGTGGCTTTTATTGTGTTGAGGTATGTACTTCTATACCCATTTTTTTTAGGGTTATCAATCATGAAGGGATGTTGAATTTTATCAAGTGCTTTTCAGCATCAACTGAAGTGACCATATGGTTTTTGTCCTTTATTCTGTTGACATAATGTACCCTATTCATTGATTTGCATAATGTTGAGCCATTCTAGCATCCCAGGGATAAATCCCACTTAGTCATGATGAGTAATCTTTATTGTGTTCTTGAATGTGGCTTGCTAGTATTTTGCTGAGGACTTTTCCATCAATGTTCATTAGGGATATTGGTCTGTAGTCTTCTATTTTTGATATCTTTGTCTGGGGGGTAATACTGGCTTCACAGAATAAATGTGGAAGTATTTCCTCCTCCTCTATATTTTGGTATAGTTTAACTAGAATTGGTATTAGTTCTTCTTTAAATGTTTGGTAAAATCGAGCAGTGAAGTCATCACATCCTGGATTTTCCTTTGCTGGGAGAATTTTTATTACAGGTTTTATCTCATTACTTGTTATTAGTCTGATCAGGTTTTGGATTTATGCTTGGTTCAATCTTGGTAGGTTGTATGTGGTTAGGGATTTATCAATTTCTTCTAGGTTTTCCAGTTTATTGGCATATAATTGCACACAGTAGCCTCTAACGATCTTTTGAATTTCTCTGACATCAGTTGTAATGTCTCCTTTTTCATCTCTGATGTTATTTGGATCTTCTCTCCCTTTTCTTAGTTTGACTAATAGTTTGTCTATTTTGTTAATCTTTTTAAAAAACCAACTGTTTGTTTCTTTGTTTTTTTGTATTTTTTGTTTCAATTTCACTTATTTCTGCTCTGATCTTTATTATTTCCTTTTTTTCCTAATAATTTTGAGTTTGGTTTGCTTTTGCTTTTCTAGTTGTATAAGACATATTATTAGGTTGTTTATTTGAGGTTTTTCTACTTTTTTCTTGTAGGCACTTATTCCTGTAACCTTTTGCTGTATCCCACAGGTTTTGATATGTTGTGTTTCTATTTTCATTTGTTCAAGAAACTTTTCAATTTCTTTCTTTTTTCTTTTTTTTTTTTTGAGATGGAGTCTCTCTCTGTTGCCCAGGCTGGAGTGCAATGGCGCAGTCTCAGCTCACTGCAACCTCTGCATCCCAGGTTCAAGCAATTCTCCTGCCTTAGCCTCTCAAGTAGCTGGGGCTACAGGTGCATGCTACCATGGCCAGCTAATTTTTTTATTTTTAAGTAGAGATGGGGTTTTGCCATGTTGGCCAGTCTGGTCTTGAACTCCTGACCTCAGGTGATCCACCAGCCTTGGCCTCCCAAAGTGCTAGAATTACAGGCTTGAGCCACTGTGCCTGGCCTCAATTTCCTTCTTAGGCCCTTCATTGGCCCACTGGTCATTCAGAAACATGTTTAATTTCCATGTGTTTGTATGGTCTTTAGAATTCCTTTTGTTATTGATTTGTGGTTTTATTCCATTTTAGCCAGAGAAGATATTTGATATCATTTCAATTTTTTTGAATGTTTTAAGGCTTTTTTGTTGTCTAACATATGGTCTATCCTTGAGAATGATCCATGTGCTGAAGAGAAGAATACGTATTCTGCAGCCATTGGAGGAAATGTGCTGTAAATATCTATTAGGTCCATTTGGTCTATAGTGCAGATTAAATCTGATGTTTCTTTGTTGATTTTCTGTCTGGATGATCTGTCCAATGCTGAAAGTGGGGTGTTGAAGTCTCCAGCTATTACTGTATTGAGGTCTATCTCTCTCCTTAGCTGTAATAATATTTGTTTTATATATCTGTGTGCTCCTGAGAGGTGAAGCCAGCTGGGCTTCTGGGTCAGGTGGGTACTTGGAGAACTTTTCTGCCTAGCTAGAGGATTATAAACCCACCAATCAGCACTCTGTGTCTAGCTAAAGGATTGTAAACACACCAATCAGCACTCTGTAAAAATGCACCGATCAGCACTCTGTGTCTAGCTAAAGGATTGTAAACACACCAATTAGCACTATCAGCACTCTGTAAAAATGCACCAGTCAGCACTATGTGTCTAGCTAAAGGATTGTAAACACACCAATCAGCACCCTGTAAAATGGACCAATCAGCACTCTGTAAAATGTACCAGTCAGCAGGATGTGGGTGCGGACAAATAAGGGAATAAAAGCTGGCCACCCGAGCCAGCAGTGGCAACCTCCTCGGGTCCCCTTCCATACTGTGGACACTTTGTTCTTTTGCTCTTCACAATAAATCTTGCTGTTGCTCACTCTTTGGGTCCACACCACCATTAAGAGCTGTAACACTCGCCACCAAGTCCATGGCTTCGCTCCTGAAGTCAGCAAGACCACGAACCCACCAGAAGTAAGAAACTCCAGACACATCTGAACATCTGAAGTAACAAACTCCGGACACACCATCTTTAAGAACTGTAACACTCACTGTGAAGGTCCATGGCTTCATTCCTGAAGTCAGGGAGACCAAGAACCTACCGGAAGGAATAAATTCCGAACACACTCCAGTGTTGGGTGCATATATATTTACAATTGTTATATCCTCTTGCTGAATTGACCCCTTTAATCATTATATAATGACCTTCTTTGTCTCTTCTTATAGTTTCTGTTTTGAAATCTATTTTGTCTGATATAACTATAGTGACTCCTCATCTTTTTTGGTTTCCATTGGCATTGAATATCTTTTTCCATCCCTTTATTGTCAGTGTGTATGCATCCTTATAGATGAAGTTGAAACTGACCCAATAGTCTCATAGATAGTTCTTTTTTGATAGACATAAAAATTGATCCTTCTGGTCTTAAAGCTTGAAACTTGTATTTATTTTTGTCTGAGTTCCTTCCTCAGGAAATGACCTTCAGGCCTCTCACAAAAAGTATTAAAGAACTGAAACTCACCAGATCACTACATCCAGACAATAAGATGCCAGATGCTTCATTTGTCATGATTGCTTCCTTGCCCCTCTCTAATTCTTGCTTTCTTACACATTGTTACATTTCTTCCTTGCTATATAAACCCCTAGTTTCAGTCAGTCAGAGAGATGGATTTGAGACTGAGCTCTCATCTCCTTGGCTGCAGCACCCAATTAAAATCTTCTTCCTTGGCAATACTCATGGTCTCAGTGATTGACTTTCTCTGTGGCAAGCAGCAGGACCTAGACAGAAGCCCTGGTGTTTCAGTAACAAAGTGTGTTTCTTGTAGGCACCAGATTGTTGGGTCTTGTTTTTTAAATCCGTTCACCTACTCTATGTCTTTTGAGTAGAGAGTTTAGTCCATTTACATTTAGTGTTACTATCCGTAAGTAAGGACTTACTCTTGCCATTTTTTGATTTGTTTTGGGTTGCTTTCTGGTCTTCTTTTCCTTCCTTCTTTTCTTTCTGTCTTCCTTTTGGCAAACGTGATTTCCTCAGGTGGTATGTTTTAATTTTATGTGTTTTCTTTTTTGTGTCTTTGTTATATATTTTTTGATTTTTGGTTACCATGAGGCTGGCAAATAATCCCTTACAGCCCATTATTTTAAGCTGATGATAACTTAAAACAGACTAATTTCATAAATAATAAACTAATAAGCAAAGAGAAAACTAATAAAAATGCTACACGTTAGCTTTATCCCCCTACTTTTAAACTTTTTGTTGTTTCTATTCATAGCTTATTAACTGTCTGTTTTGCAAAGTTGTTGTAGTTATTATTTCTGATAGATTATCTCTTAATCTTTCTACTCAAGATATGAATAGTTTACACACCACAATTATAGGGTTATAATATTGTGTTTGTTTGTGTACTATTTCCAGTGCATTTTGTACATTCAGATGATTTATTATTGCTCATTAATGTCCCCCTTTCAGATTGAAGAACTTCCTTTGCATTTCTTGCAGGACAGGTCTGGTGTTGATGAAATCCCTCAGCTATTGTTTGTCTGAGAAAGTCTTTATTTCTCTTTCATGTTTGAAGGATATTTTTGCTAGATATACTATTTTAGGATAAAAGTTATTTTCTTTCAGCATTTTACATATGTCATGCCACTCTCTCCTGGCCTCTAAGGTTTCCACTGAAAAGTCTGCTGCTGGAGATATTGGAGCTCCATTGTTTGTTGTTTCTTTTCTCTTCCTGCTTTTAGAGTCCTTTCAAAAATCTTTATCCTTTGGGAGTTTGATTATTAAATGTTTTGAGGTGGTCTTATTTGGGTTAAACCTGCTTGGTGTTTAATCGTCTTCTTGTACTTGAATATTGATTTATTACTCTAGGTTTTGGAAGTTCTTTTTAAAAATAATTTTATATTACAATTGTTTTATCTTCTAGCTGAATTGACCCCTTTTTCAGCAGTCATTGATCTGGGAAAAAAGAGAGGTCAAGGTCCCATAACTGGCAAACTCAAGTTGGTTGGAGATGTGGAATTTTAAGGAGTCAGGAAAAAAGCCAGTTACATCATTCCTGTTACTGGGGGTGTTGGTCCCATGACAGAGGGAATGTTAATGGAAAATACCATTATTGCTGCAAAAAAGTACTGAGGCTTGATAAGTGGGAAGTGCTGAAGTCTAAAGAGCTTGAAATAGCCACACATTAGCTGTTATGTCTTCCGTGTCATGAGCAGCACCCCAGCCCATCTGAAGAAGCAAGTTAGGCCAGAAGAAATGATATATTTTAAAAATTTATTCTAGTGAAATGGTTTAAAATGGTGCTTTGTATTTATTGAAGGCTTAATGGGCAGGTGTTTGTGTAGATAGTAGCACCTCACCAGGGAGCACTCCAGTATCATGCAGGGTCATGTAATCTAGCCAAGCACAGCTATTAACCTAGTGATTAACATGGGAGATGCTCTCACACTGAGAATGGATGCTGAACTTTCTCAAGCTACCTCAGGTAAAAATTTGCCTTTTCTAGGATTGCATTTCCCAAGCGCTATTCCAATAAGAGTTGATACTCATTTTAGGTTCCAAATCTTTTGGGTTCAACTGATCAAACCAAAGAAAAACCATTGGTAGAGAAAATCAGGGAAAAGGTGAAAAGGAAAAGATGGTGGTAACTGAGTAGAAAAAAATTACTCTAATAGTTTTTCTAAGGTGCTTTTTGTGGCTTAGTCAGTCACATGGGAAAATGTTTAGGATTGTTCCTTGCTATTAGTCCTCATTTTATGTATGTTAGCCCTCAGTGAGGTCTCCCCATTTTAGTTATTTAGGATTAAAAGCCTTGTTTTATAAATTATTCATGTGTATTGTCATATTTGGCTTTTGCTATATACTTTAACCTCATTTTTAATTTTTTTGTATTGTTAGAGGATATCTGTATAGTTTATTTGGTATATCTTAAAACCTATTTTTGAAAAACAAAACAAAAAAACCCCAAAACTGGCCCGGCATGGTGGCTCATGCCTGTAATACCAGCACTTTGGGAGGCCGAGGTGGGCAGATCACTTGAAGCCAGGAATTGGAGACTAGACTGACTAACATGGCGAATCCCCGTTTCTACTTAAAAATAAAAAAAATTAGCCTGGCGTTGTTGCCTGTTCCTGTAATCCCAGCTACTCGGGAGGCTGAGGTATGAGAATCGTTTGAACCCAAGAGGCAGAGGTTGTAGTGAGCTGAGATCACGCTACTGCACTCCCGCCTGGGTGACAGGGCGAGACTCTGTTTGAAAATAAACAAATAAGTGAAAACAAAACAAAAAAACAACCCCCCCAAAACAATATTCCTTTCATATCCTTTTAGCCTATACTATCTATAGTAATATTCCTTCTTTCATTCTTAATCTTGGTAATTTCAGTTTTTTCCTCTTTTTTCTTGATCAGTCTAAGTAATAATTTTTCAATTTTATTGATCTTTTTAAAGAACCAGCTTTCGAATGACTTAATTTCTTCTATTATTACCTATTATTTTATTCCTTTCAGTCTTTATATTTATTATTTCCTTCCTTTTACTTACTTTGGTTTAATTCACCACCCTTTTCCTGGTCTCTTAATGTAAAAGCTAAGATAATTAGTTTAAAACATTTTGTCAGTAACAATATAAGCACCTAGAATTATCCATTTGCTCTAAGCGTTATTTTAGCTATATCCTACAAATTTCAGTATGTTGTATTTTCGTTGTTAGTAAGAAATGTTTTCTAATTTCATGATTCCTTATTTGACTTACACAATATTTAGGAGGGCATTTATTAACTTAAAATTTTTAGAGATTTTATAGATTCTTTCAAAACTTATTTTTAGTTCTATTGTACTCAGGCTCATAGAATATATTCTGCATGATTTTAATCTTTTGAAGTTTGCTGAGACTTATTTTATGGCTCAGCTTGTAGTCTATCTTGGTGATATTATGCTTATGTTTCAAAATAATGTGTATTCTGTGATTGTTCCACACAATGTTCTATAAGATAATTTGCTTGATAGTTTTGTTCAAATCTTATATACATCTATCAGTGTTTTGTCAGCTTGTTCTGTCAATTATTGAGGAAATTGTGTTAAAATCTCCAACTATAATTGTGGGTATGTCAATTTCTCCCTTTAGTTCTGTCAATTTTTGAGTCATGTATTTTGAAGTTCTGTCATTAGATATATACATACACATTTAAGATTTTTTTTGATGAATAGTTCTTATAACATTATGTAAATCTCCATTTATCCCTGATAATATTCTCTGTTCTGATGTTTAGTTTGTATAATATTAATATAGCCATTCCAACTTTCTTTTGATTAATGTTTGCATGACATGCCTTTTTTAATCCTTTTATTTCTAACCTATTTATATCTTTATATTAAGTAGGTTTCTTATAGATAGCCTGTAATTGAATCTCGCATTTTTATCCAGTCTGACATCCTCTGCTTGTTAATTGGGATGTTTACATTATTTACACTTAGTGTAATTATTGGTATGCTTTGGTTTAAGTCTACCATCTTTTAACTTATTTTCTATTTGTCCAAGCCTTTTTTGATTCATTTCATTAGCATTTTGTAATTTTTAGCATACAAGTCCTGCATATGTTATGTTAGATTTACACCTAAGTATTTTATTTTATTTTAGAATAATTGCAAATGGCATTGTGTTTGAAATTTCGGTTTTCACATATATATTTTTAGGATATAAAAATATCTTTTATTTTGGGTATTGATCTTGTATTATGCTACCTTGCTGAACTAACTTATTAGATATGAGTTTTTTTGTAGATTATTTGAAATTTTCTTCATAAATGATTATGTCATTTGAAATATGAACATTTTTATTTCTTCTTTCTCATATGTATGTCTTCTCTTTTTTATTCTCGTCTTATTTTAGCGGTTAGATCTACCAGTACTATGTTGAATATTAGTAGTAAGAGCAGACATTTTTATCTTATTCCCTATCTTAGAGAGAAAGCATTTAGTTATTCTCTATTAAGAATCATGTTAACTTTAGGTTTCATGTCAATGTTCTTTATCAAGTTAAGGAAGTATTCCTCTACTACTACTTTTATGTGAATCTTTTTTATAATGAATGAATGTTAAAATTTGTCAAATAATTTTTCTGTGTTGATTGATATCATCATGTGATTTTTCTTCTATAGCTTGTTAATCTGGTGGATTATACAGCCTTGCATTTCTAGAATAAATCTCGCTTGTTTGTGCTGTATAATTCTTTTTATATATTGCTGAATTCTTTTGATAATATTTTGTTAAGGACTTGAATGTCTATATTCATGGAAGATATTGATCTCTAACTTTTTTTTTACTGCCTTTGCTTGGTATACCGGCTTCATAAAATGAGTTGGAAAGTGTTCCTTTTCTATTTTCTGCAAGAGATTGTGTAACTGGTGTTAATTCTTTAATCTTTTGATAGAATTCTCTAGAGAAACAATCTAGGCCTGGAGATTACTTTTTCAGGAGTTTTAAGATTATTAATACAATTTTCTTAGTAGTTATAGGCCTATTTAAACTGTTTGGGTGAATTGTAATAGTTCACGCTTTTTGAGGTATTGATCAATTTCATTTAAGTTGTTATATTTACATGTACAGAATTGTCCTTAGTATTCTCTTATCTCTTTCATATTTGCAGGCCTGTAATGATATTCCCTGATTCATTACTGATACCAATAATTTGATAACATTTTACTGATATTACTGATATCAATAATTTGATAACAAAATAACAATCTTTTATTTTTCTATGTCAGTTATAAGGTTTGTCAATTTTATTGATCTTTTAAAGAAAAACAACCTTTCATTGATTTTCTCTATAAAAATTTAAAGTATTTAAAGATTTCTCCTGAGTTGCTTCTTTGGCATATTAATTATTTAGAAGTGTGTTGTTTAGTTTCTGTTTAGAGATTTTCCTGTTATACTTCTGTTGTTGATTTCTAGTTGGGTTCCATTGTGGTCAGAGGACATACTTTGTGTTAATTTAGTTCTTTTGAGTTTTCTGAGGTCTATTTTATGGTCCAAGATAAGGTTTATCATGGGGCCTTGAAAAGAATGATTATTCTGCTGTTGTTTGAAGTGTTTTATAAATATTGATTAGATCTTGTTGGTTGATGGTATTTTTGGTTTCCTTTATACTCCTTTTGATTTTCTGTCATTTTGTTCTGTCAGTTTTTGAGTGGGGTATGGAAGTCTCCAGTTCTAGTTGTGGATTTGCCAGTTTCTCTTTGCAGTTCTGTTAAATTTTGCTTCACGTATTTTGCAGGTGCTATTTTGTTTATGAACATTTAGAATTGCTATGTCTTCTTGGTGGAGTGAGCTTTTTATCATTATGTAATGTCATTCTCTTTCTGTGGTAATTTTCTTTACTCTGAAGTCCATTTTATCTGATATTAATATAGACACTCCTACTGCCTTTGATTAATCTTTTCATGGCATATCTTTTTCTACTCTTTTACTTTCAACCTACCTAGTTACATTTAGAGTTTTTTGCAGACAGCATATAGTTGGGTCATGTTTTCTTTTTTTTTTTTTTTTCTTTTTTTTTTTTTTTTTTTTTTGAGATGGAGTCTCACTCTGTCACCCAGGCTGGAGTGCAGTGGTGTGATCTTGGCTCACTGCAACCTCCGCCTCCCAGGTTCAAGCGTTTCTTCTGCCTCAGCCTTCCGAGTAGCTGGGATTACAGGTGCCTGTCACCACGCCTGGCTAATTTTTGTATTTTTAGTAAAGATGGGGTTTCACCATATTGGCCAGGCTGGTCTTGAACTCCTGACCTCAGGTGATCCGCCCACCTCGACCTCCCAAAGTGCTGGGATTACAGGCTTGAGCCACTGTGTCTGGCCGGGTCATGTTCTCTTAATCCACTCTTCCAATCTTTGTCTTTCATTCGTATGTAGACCTTTATTTATTTATTTATTTATTTATTTATTTATTATATTATAGAGATGAGGTCTTGCTATGTTGCCCAGACTGGTCTCAAAGTCTTGAGCTCAAGTGATCCTCCTGCCTCGGCCTCCCAAAGTGCTGGGATTATAGGTGTGAGCCACGGCTCCGGGTCGGTATGTAGACCTTTTAAAATTCAATGTAATTATTGATATGTTAATCCTTAAGTATGCCATTTTATTTTTTGGTTTTCATTTGTTTTCACTGTTTATGTTTTTCTGTTTATTTCTCTCAGCTCCTGTGGGTTACTTGGGGACATTTTAAAGGGAATTCATCATAATTTACTTTTAGTGTTTTTGGATTTACCTCTTTGTAGAGCTCTTTTAGTAGTTGCTCTAGATATTATATGATATATACACAACTTATCCCATCTGTTGGTGTTACCAGTTTCCAGTTCAAGTGCAGTATAGAAACCTTACTTCCTTTATATAATTTTACCCTCTTTCCATTTATAATAAAATTATCTTAAATATTTCCTCTACATCCACTGAGAACCACATCAGACTGTTACAATTTTGCTTTAACTATCAAACATAATTTAGAAAACAAGAGGAAAATGAAAGCATATTTCATTGATTCATATTTTCACTCTTTCTGTTTTTTTCCTTTTTTCCTGATGGTCTAAGATTTCTCCTTATCATTTCTGTCTAGAGAACTTTCTTTAGCTATTCTTTTAGTGTAGATCTTCAGGCAAATTCCCTTAGTTTCCCTTCACCTAAGACTGTATTGAATCCTTCATTAGTGAAGGATATTTTCTTTGCATGTAGAATTCTGGGTTGACAGTTCTTTTCTGTGAGCACTTGAAAAATGTTGTGCCAGGATTTTCTGGTCTCCATGGTTTCTGCTGAAAAACCTTGTCATTCAATTTTTTTTTCTCCTGATAGGTATGGTGTCATTTCTCTTTCACAGCTGCAAGATTTTTTGTTTGTCTTTAATTTTCAGAAATTTAACTGCGATATGTCTGGTGTGATTTTTTTGACTTATTATATTTGTGGTTTGCTCAACTCTTTGAATCTTTTTCTCTATCTTTTGCCAAAATGGGACATTTTTAGCCATTATTTTAAAAAATACTTTTTCAGCCCCGTCTTCTTTCTCCCTTATGAGACTCCACTGACATGGATGTTAGATCTTCTGTTACATCTCACAAGTCCCCAATACTCTGTTGATTTTCTTCTGTTTATTTTATTTCTGTCATTAGATTAGGTAATTTCCATTTTTCTATCTTTAAGTTCACCGATCTTTTCCTCTGTTTTCCATGCTGCTCTTGAGTCCATAAACTGAGCTCTTTAATTTCAGTTATTGTATTTTTTTCCATTGTAAAATGTCAACTTGGTTCTTCTTTATGTCTTCTATTTCTTTGACAAGATTTTCTGTTATTTTATTTGTTTCAAGTGTGCTCATAATTCTTCACTGAGATGTTTTTGCTATGGGCTTCAAAAATCCTTTTCGTCTGCAGATTTTTTTTTTCTCATTTAAGTTAAATTTTCCTGGTCTTTGATATGATGACTGACTTTTTATTACAACCTGGACATTTTGGGTATTATATTATGAGACTCTGGATCTTCTTTGAATCTTCTGTTGTAGCAGTCTTCCTCTGACGTTGCTCCAGGGAGAGAAGAGGAGTGCTGGATGATTGCTGCCATGCAGTGGTAGAAGGAAAGCAAATTTGGCCTTTTCTGGCAGGGGAGGAGATAGAGTCACTTTTTTTTTTTTTTTGGGTAGTGCTTGGTAGAAATATAGTGGCTACAGTTAGTAAAATTTAGAACATATTCTGCTTCTCAGACTCCTACACGAATAATAGTTCACTTGCTCTGTGAAGAGCAAACATCGTTTTTCCTCTCATTCTGCAGCCTGTTGTCACCACTCCACACCTGGCTGCTGAAGGCATTTAGTTTTCCCAAGGTTTCTTTAACTGTCCTCCTTGGATTTCACAATGCATTGGTTATAAAACCCCACCATTCTCCAGGCAGGAGCTTGCAATGAGATACATTTATACCATCTTTTTTTTTTTAAATAAACTTTTTATTTTGGTAAAATTTTATATTTATAGAAAAGTGTAAAGATAGTACAGAGAGTTCTTATATACTGTCACCCAGTTTTACCCATTGTCTGAAAGTTTTCTTCTTGCTTGGCTGTTCCTTTTCTGGTTCTTCTTTTGGAGAATGAACTTTGAGCATAAGTGGTATGTGCTACTTCCAGGTCTTGCACAAAAAAACCTTTAATGTGCTCTTAATCTCCATCTAGCTATTGGATGGAGAGGTCTCTGGGGACCTAGGGGAGGGCAGAGACATGGGATGAAAGTATTTTGGGTCCCTGAATGGACGAGTGGGATAGAATATTCTTAGCCACACCCACCACTGACTTGCATTGAATGGTGATATGAGTGAGAAACATTTCAATATTTTATTGTGTTAAGCCACTGATATTTTGGAACTAATATTACTTAAGTAACACATCAATTCTCCTTGGGTAAGTTACTTAATCTTTGGAAGCTTGGTTTTACAATTTGAAAAATGAGGATAATTATACCTACCTTACACATTTATAGAGAGAATTAAATGGGACAGCATTTGCCAAAGTGCTTGCACATTTCCTGACACCTAAGAGATACTCAATAAACATTTGTTCAGTCTGTTGTTTGCTGAACATGTTTATATGCTGATGGATTTGTTATCTACATATTGAACTCTGAAGTATTTACTCGTGTTTGCGTCTTTGAATGTTTAGTCCATCCCTTTTAAATTTATTCTTCAGCCATCAAGGTGATAAAACAAAATGTGAACCTAATATATATTGACCAAAGTATAATGCATTTGTCAGTCCAGTTCACGTCGTTCTTTGGTAAACATTCATAGTAGGCTTGAGAACTTGAATTGAAAAACTGTTTTTAATAACCTCCATACCACATGTATTACAAGCTATGCCCAGGCCTTCCTTGGAATTTTTGGAAACACAACTCTATGTTTCTATAGAAAGATGAGGAGAAAAAGGGCAAGTTATACAAGTAATTTTCCCTATCTACATAAAGCTTTTGTAGAAAGCAGATACATTTCTCTTTACCCTTTAAATCAGTTGCATTCATTCACAAAGTCATTTCGAAGGGATTATTGTTTAGAAGGCAAATCCAGAAAAAGGTGTTAAAGGCAAGCGGGTGGTTGAGATTTTTCTAATGAGACTAAGGGTTGTAAGTGGGATGGGTAGAGGGGGACAGTTTGGGTAGGAACTGAAACCTTTGGAATTGAAAGTAGAGGATGGCCTGAGTGGGAAAAGGAAGTAATTTAGAAGGCAGGGTGGCAGAAAGGTGATGCAAGTGATTGGCAAAATGGTTTCACCACTTTTGAGATGATAATATGAAAGTCAGATGTAATATCCTGCACAATTTACAAGGAAAATTTAGAGAAATGTCTCCAATTTGAAGAGTTTGTATAAAACATATGTTTGCAACTGGAGTCTATTCTACTATTAAACATAATCATTATTGGACAGCCGCTACACATTTGTGTTTCTGTGAAATCTGGTTTACTTGTTGGTTTGAGCTTTTACCTTCCTTAACTCTTTGTTTAGAACATATTCTGCTTCTGAGACCACTACACAAATAAGACTTAGTTTGTTCTTCACTGAACAAACATCACTTTTCCTTTTATTCTACAGCTTGTTGTCACCACTCCACCCCTGGCTGCTGAAAGTATTTAGTTTTCTCAAGTCTTCTGTCTTCCTTGGATTTGGCAATGCATTCACTATAAAACTCTACCATGCTCCAGGGAAGAGCATGCAATAAGATACATTTGCACCATCTATTTTAAGAAATAAACTTTTTATTTTGGTAGAAATTTATATTTATAGAAGAGCTGTAAAGAAAGTACAGAGAGTTCATATATACCCCTCATTCAGTTTTACCCATTGTTAACTTCTTGTATTACCATGGTACATTTTTCAAAATTAAGAAAAAGACATTGGCTCGTTACTATTAACTAAACTTCAGATTTTATTTGGATTTAATAGTTTTTGCATTAATGTCTTCTTTCTGTTCCAATTCAGGACACCACATTGTATTTAATTTTTCTTATCTCCCCAGTCTCTTCTGGTCTGTGACTTTCTAATCTTTGCTTGTTTCTCATGACTGACTGTCTTAAGGAATACTGGCCAGGTATTCTGTAGAAAAAAATGTCCCCCTGATCTCAGTTTATCTGATGTTTTCCCTCATGTTTAGACTGGGGTTATAAGTTTTGGTGAAGAGTATCTCAGAAGTCAAGCCCTTCTCATTAGATCATATTAGAGAACATGATATTCACTTGACATTACTGGTGGTGTTAACTGTCATCATTTGGTTAAGGTAGCATTTGCCATGATTCTCCACTATAAAGTTACTATTTTTCCCTTTCCCTGCTCTATTTTTTAAGAAGTGAATCACTAAGTCTAGTCTACCTCCAAAACTGAGGAATTAAGCTCTGCCTTTTGGAGAGGGAGAATATGAACATACATTATATGGAATTCTGAAAGGAAGATTTATCTCTTCTCCCCTACTTTATTTGTTCAGTCATTTATTTATATTGATATTTACTGTGCATATATTTATGATTCAGTCCCAAGGGGGCAGTAGCCTTTAGTTCTGGGGAAATTATTTTATAAATACACTATTGATGCCTATTTATGTTTATTTATATAAGTATGAACTCATGGCTATTTATTTTATTCTTTGGGTTATAATCCAATACTAGGTTATTTATTTTATTGCTCAAGTTGTTCCAGTTTTGGTCACTGGGAACTCTTTCAGTTAGTTCCTGCTGAACCATTTCTTTTATTAGACTGTTTTCGTTTGTCCTGTATAGACTGGCAACAACACCTCTTTGAAAGGTGATGGGGAAAAATGATCTGTCTTGTGAAATACAGATAAGGTTTTAGTCAATACAGAGTCTCCATTGAAGGCAAATACATCATTTTTATATGAAGGACACCTGTAGGGTGTTATTTACTTTTCAGCTGAGAATAATAAAAATGAACTTTATGAAATGCCTATCATTTAAGCTAGCTGGTGCTTGAGGTTGTATTAGCATATTTTAAAAAAATGAAATGACTTTCTTTTGACCCAGCTTAATAACACCACTGAAGTAGGAAACTCCTCAGAGAAGAACTGGGCTCCCTCCTGTGCTGTGCACACATTTGCCTTTTGAATCTTTTGTAGTGCAACATGCTTTTGTGGCAGACCCAAGGGAATACACATGGAAGCTGCCTGCAGGGCTGAGGTTTCCTACTAGGCTTCCACTTAGTGCCATCTATCTAAGCTTCCACCTAGTGCATTGCTATCTCAGACCACTTGATACTGTTCCAGCCACCTCAAAGGGCATGTTCAAGAAGGAGATTTGTAGGTATCTTTTTTTTTTGGCTCAACTTACTGTAGGTTGAAAAGCAAGAGATAGTATGTTGTATAAAAATGGAGGAGTGAAGAACAGAATCCTCCTGCAAATGTGTCTTAGATACATTAATGATTGGTTGTGTGACTCTGAAAAAGACACTCCTTGCTTCAGGTCTCTGTTTCCCTATCTGTAAAATTAGCACCTCATTATTTCTGACCATCTTTTGGGGCTAACATCCTATGGTTTTTATGCTACAGTCAGTGTTATGGTAATTGTTATTACAGTTTGTAACTTCCAGAAATTAATGGCAAATAGGTTAGGAAGGAACTGGTTAGAAACTACTGCTTTTTCAACAAGGACCAATAATGTATCCTCAGGTGACAATGTTGTCTATTATTTTCCCCTGGATATTTAATTGAATTTTACAAAGTCACAGGAATCCTCCAATACCAGTTATTTGATTCCTAAGGCACTCTTTTCTTCCAACAACCACCTATGTCTGCAAAGTATAAATAGCTCATCATTTTTTTTATCATGATTTTGTGATAGCTTCTTAAGTTGGTGCAGAAAACATCTTCCAAGACCACTTCTCATCAGGGCATAAGGCACTGCACACTTTCATTCAATATGTTCAAGGTAGAATTTGGTGATTTGGGGACCGGTACTCAGGAAGACAGGCAAAAAGGAGAGCTGCTTGGGGAGAGAAGATCTGGGGCTGGCTTCAGGGAGAAGGACATCTGGGAGGCAGTGTGGTGTCGGGGTAGGGACAGTAACCTGGAGGATCCCTTAGAACAGATGGCTGCCTTGGGTAAGGGGTATGTGCATGTATTTATCATTCAGTTCCAAGAAAGAAGTAGCCTCTAGTTTGGGGGAAATTATATTTAAAAACGTGTTGTTAATGCCCAATAAAAATGTCAGTGATTCATCACACTTATATGGCACTATTATTTCCCAAATTTACTTTCACTTTAATTTCCTGGCTTAACATTAATTCCTGGTTTTAACTTTGAACACGTAGTCTTTCTATCAAACATACACACTTACACCTCAACTTGGCTCTTATGTTGATATTTAGTCATCTTTCTCTTTTCTTGGCTTATTTTCTACTCTTTGGTGACAAAACAGGAGAAAATAGTTTTTCACCAAACAGGAGAAGAAGTGGTGTGTGGTTTCTCACATTTATGCATGTTTTGGGACTTCCTTCATTTCAGGTTATCATTTCAAGGATGCTTGTATAGACAGCATCCTTGGAGGATAGATATAGAGAAAGGGAGTCATGCTTACTGTTTATTATGATAAAGATAATACTCCGCTTTGGAATAAGGAGTAGGCATGCTTTCTGCCTACTATAAATGATTTAGGTTTTCTAAGGTAAGTTTGCAAACTGTAATGCAACCCACTGCATGCACAAGAGTCATCCGGCCCTCTGCATCCATCATTCTGTGGGAATTCGGGCTTGGGAAGTTGCTGTAAGAAAATGTTCATACCCTGTCTACTGCTATTACTGTGAGTAATAAAGTCCTTTTACTCTGATCCAGGAGTCTTCTGTGTTCTGCTGGCTTTCATGAAATTGGCATGCTAATTTGTTAGCTTACAAATAGGGTAAAATCTCAGATTTTCAGAGTTAGTTCTTTGCAGTGTACTTCCCGTGGTAAACTCATAGTGGGCTGCATAGAACCACTAGTTTCAGGGCATGGTCCTCTTTTGATCCATACCTACCTCAAGTTTGATGTGGTACCAAAGAAGGGTCTGATAACTTAGATTCTGAAAGAATGAGATTCAAGTATACATTTGGTCACTCTCTAGCTTTGTAATGTTGGCAAGTCAATATTTCTGTGTCTCTTTACCTTCTCTTTTTAATGGAGATGACCTACTTGACAAAGTTATTGTGAAGATCAAATTAGATAATATGGATACCTGTGCTATTCAATATAGCAGCCATATATAGTGCTATGGTTTAACTATGTCCTCTCCGAAAGTCAGGTGTTGCCAATGTGTTAGTACTAAAAGGTGGAGCCTTTAAGAGGTGATAGGGCCGTGAAGGCTCCTCCTTCATGAATGAGATTAAGACCCTTATAAAAGGTTTCACACATTTGGTGAGCTTGCCTCTCTGCCTTCTGCCATGTGAGGACACTGTATTCTTACCCTGTGGAGGATGTAGCTCTCACCAGACAACCAAACCTGCTAATGTCTTGATTTTGGAATTCTCAGGCTCCAGAACTATGAGAAAATAAATTTCTGTTCTTTATAAATTACCCATCTTGCTATTTTGTTGTAGCAGCACAAAATGACTAAGACACATGGCCAGTTAAACTTAATTATAGTAAAAATCAGTTCCTCAGTTATACTAGTGCTAATTTTCAAATGCTCAATAGGCACATGTGATTAGTGGCTGCCATATTGGATTGAACATATATATATATATATGTTTCTATTATTGCTCAAAATTCTGTTGGGTAGTGCTGATAAAGCTCCTTATACATTACGGAGCATTAGAGAAATATAAGTTAGTTTTCTTTTTCCTTTGCTATTGAAGGGAGGTTGGATGAGATCAGCTTATCTGCCTCACTGCTAACTTGTGGCAAGTTTTAAGACTTGTGTGCCTTGGAGAGCCCTAGCTTTTTATATACAGTATAGTAAAAAACCTAAGAAAGCTTTAGCAACAGATGCAAGACTGGGAATGACAACTAAGCCTTATCTCATCTCATGTTTCAGTGATTATACTGACACTGTGTTGGGCTAAGATTGCACATGGGCTCAGCATGAGAATTGCTGTGAATTGATAATTGGTATTTGCCATGGCTGTGGAAAGGGGTTGGGGAGCATGCATTCTATATATTTGCCATATTTGTTCTATATGTGTTTATTTACTTTGTATTTGGTTGTCTTGCCTCAACAGTAAATGTGTTTTGCTTTCCCTTTGTATAAACATATTTTCTGACTTCCAAGTTTCCAATATTTACTTTGTCAATTTTTGCCTCCTTTTCTTTTTCCTTCCTCAATAGTATGGTTATGAAAGAGGCCAAGGGGACTTTGCTATGTTTCTTCTTACCCCCCGTGAACTTTCTTAGTTGCTAAGCTCTCATTAACTACAATCCCTTCTAGAATAGGGTTAATCAAATTTCACTATTTCTTAACAAAGTGTTGAAAGGGTCTATGGGGATTAGTAGCACTAAGCAGAATTTGATAGGGTACTAATATCTCTGTAAATATTATAGGATTATATTTATTTTTCTTAACTGCTACAAGTGAGGTACTTCAGATATAATGGGAAATGCGAATAGTCTCACCTCATATAAACTTCAACTCATGGGTGCTTACTGATGGAGTGCTGGGCTGAGTATTTGGAGGTGGTGTTCAGATTCAGCAGAAGAAAGTTACGACTGATTAGTGCTCACTCACTAGCAACTAGCCTACATTGATATCTGAATGTCAGAACTAAGATATTTTATTTTCCTAGAATTTAAAAAGACTGCCTTCAAATGTCTTGAAAACTGTCATCTTCGTGAAATCTAATTTCAATCTTAGCTCTGCCTAGAGAAAAACAAATTCTTTCAAACACCATGAGTATGAATTCAAGCTCTTACAAAAACACTGATAGAATTGTGACCCTATATAATACTTTAAAAATGTTTCTAAGAAGCATAGCAAGGTAGTGATATAAACTTTTCTCCTGTGAAAAAAAGCATATATAGTAAATAACAGTCCTCCAGATATTGGAAATAGTAAACATTACCAGAATTTGTTCTGTAAAATGTGAAGAATGCCATCATAAATTTTGAACTAATAGTTTTGCCAATTCTCCAGATGTTTAGGACTGACAGAATAGATAATGACAGTTTTCTGAGGTGAAGAGTCTGTGGAGAAAAATATCTCATATTTACTACACAAAGTAAGAGGGGATGACAGAAGGAGAAATGTATAGAAATAAATGAATTCCAGTAAATTTAATCTGTGATAAAAGTCAGAAGCATTCAAATATGAGACAGATAAGAGCACTGCATGCCTCCCATCTTGACCTGACAACATATGGTTTCCAGAGTCAAGATATGCTTTAAAAATTTCACCTTGTTGCAATGTATCCTGCAGCATTTAAAAGAAGCAAGTTGATGCACACATTGAATTTTATTCAGTTCTCCAAACCTGGGTAGATACTGGTAATTGGGGCTAAAGGATGGCCATGGTCCTTGCCCTTGAGGTGCTCACATTCAACAGGGAAGGCAGATCTGAGTGAAGCTGGGCTGTTAAGAGGACCCATCACCCAGTTAATTTATCTTTCACAGCCATAGTGGTTGTCCTGATGCTGTCTCTGCTGACTAGCGCTATCCTAGTTCCTTTGATTTGGAACACCTTCCCTCATATCTTCTGCTTATCTGAGCCTTGCTTTTTTTTCTAAGGCACTCAAATTCCATCCCATTTGTGAGGTCTTTTGGGACATTCCTTACACTTAATTAAATATCTGGACCAAGTTGATACCTTAAAGGGCTAGGATATTATAAAAATATTTTGATGTTCCCTATACACATAATTAAAAAATGTTAATCATAAGTATAAAGAAATCCTACAAAGTTCTTACCTTTATTTTGATGAACATTTTAATGCTATTTAAGGACACATCAGGGATCAAATTGTTTCAAAAACTTTCTTTTTTTTTCTGTCTCTAGTTTTGGCGCTCCTACATTGGAATCCTAAAAATATACTTGATTTGCTTTGAGGTAACCCAGCACTGCTCAGGCCTGTCTCCTATATGGGATTGAGAGCACCATCTTCATTTCCTTAGTTTACGGCCCAGCAAGTGCCAGCCGGTAGATGTTTAGTAAGCATTTGCTGAATGACAGCGTGAATACATTATAGTTCTTTATTGTCACTTGGCCTATGCTGTCTTTGATTATTACCACAGCATCCAGAATAAAATAGGTGTTGATAAATTCTTGCTTGATGGTGTTTGTGGTTGTGATGAATAGTTGTAGACCAAAACTTGTGCTCCTTGTCCCATAGTTTAGGTTTAAGTATATTTTCTACACACTCCCCCTCCCACCACCTTGCATCTTAGTTTGATTTTATGATTATTTCACATCAATGAAATGTGAGCAAAAGTGATGTGTGTTACCTCTGGGCCACAGTTTTTAAGAAACAGGATGTTTCTCCATGCTTTCTTCTTCCACTGGCAAAATGCAGAAGATTATGAGACCCTGTGGGACCACAAGAGGCAAGGAGTCTGTTTCCCAAATCACCATGTAGAGAAAAGCTACCTCCCAATTAGGAGTTCCAGAGTTGGGCCATTATCTGAGTAAGAAATAACCTTCTGCTCTGTCAAGCCTCTGACATTTCAGGGTTTATTTGTTACAGTACTTAGGGTTATTCTAACTGATAAATTCTTGTAATTAAGTTCTTAAAATCAGCATCCCTGTTTTTTCTTGTTGGTGGCTCTCTCTTGCTGCTGGTTAGAGTACAGTATTAAAACCCAAGTCATGGGTAAATTCCTTACACAGGCCAGAAAGAGTTGCTCTAAGCACTGAAGCTCAAATGGCTGTGCTTTGGTTTTTAAGAGAGGTCAATTGAAAGAATGTGGATTGATCAGTTTAAATCTATGTATTCATTTTGTGGAAAACATCCACATGAGAGTAGAATTATATGACCTTTCGCCCAAGAAGACAGTATTATATTTTACACACAGGTAAAATATAATGAAATATATGAAATATAATGAAACCACTGCTGCTTTTGTTTCTTAAGTCTGAAGATGGTGGCCTTTTGAGTTCTAAATAAATATGCCTAGTTGTAGAATGTATTTGGGAAATGAGGTTTGAACTCAAAAGTGAAAGCCATCAAACCAAAGGCCACAGCAACTAGGATGCAGTTTGGAAAACTTTTCTAGAGTACCTCCAAAAATAAATGTAAATATAGGTTAACATAAATTTGAATTTAATCAGGGGGATTGATCACAAAGAGTATTAGTTAAGTGAAAGTCAAATAATTCTAGGAGTATATATATTTTAAAATATTATTTTTGTAATTCAGGATATGGTCTTTGACTTTCTTCAGTTTTATATATTGGTTATTTTTGAAAACTAATTGTTTAGTAAAATGAATAGGTTTATTCAATCAGTTATAAATAGAAAAAAAGATCTGAATAAGTTGTACATATTTATGGGGTACATGTGATGTTTTGATACATGCATATGATGTATAATGATCAAATCTGGGTGATTGGGATATCCATCACCTTCAACATTTATAATTTCTTTGTGTTGGAAACATTCCAAATCTTCTCTTCTAGCTATTTTGAAACGTACAATAAAAATTATTAACTATAGTCACCCTATTGTGGTATCAAGCTCTAGAAGTTATTTCTACTAACTGTATTTTTGTACCCATTAACCAACCCCTCGTCATTTCCCCTTTCTCATTACTTGTCCCAGCTTCTGGGAACCACCATTTTATTCAGTATATTCACGTGACTCAATAATTTTAATTAAGAGCTTCACATTTTCCTCAACATCTTTCAGTCACTAAAACCTCCTTTTCCTAGAACTTGAGGTATAAATGTTCTTCAAATGAATATCTTTAAATTTTGATCAGAAGATAGTGATACCATGATCAGAAGATAGTGATAGTGATATGTATGTTTCTAACTTAGCAACTCTTAAATAATCACTTTGAAGAAATGATTTCTTAGGGAAGAATTTTCTTTCTGGGATTTGCTAATTTCAGTTGAAACAATGAAGAGTTACATGTTAAGTTAGATCTGAAAAATGATTCTCTGTGTTACAAATTGTAAATGGCTCAAGTTAAGAAAGACAAAGAGAAGAATATTTGTATTAATAGCTTAAGATAATCAAACCTGGCTTATTTATAGAAAACAAGAGATAAATTTACATTATTTCTTTTATATGTTAAATATGTTTCTGAATTTGCAATGCATTCTGCCATCCTTAAGGAAGCTCCTCTTTTGCATGGCTTCAGGAGCTCTCTTTTTCTCTCACTCCCTTCTCTCCCTTTCCTCTTTCTTTAATCAGATAACATAGACTTCACGCTGGATGGTTTAGGATGTGAAAATTGCATGGTAAGTAGAATGTAATTAAATTATATGGGCTGATAATGAATCAGTAAGATGCTATATTCCACATAGACTTGACTGGCTTTCATTCAAATTACCCAGTCTCATCTTACTATTTTTAGAACTTTCCTACTTTATAATCGTTCTTTGTTTCACTTAGTTCCTCTGGAGAGGGAGCTCAGGATCTTTTCATTTTTGCATAGTCAGATTCCAGACTGGTGTTTAGGACCTTAAAGATCTTTTGTCTGGAAGAGGAATAGGTAATTTAAGCTGAAGACACAAGTCAGGCCCACCAATCTGAGCAGGTACAGTGCACACCACAGTGCCTGCCCCAGACCCCTCTTCAGGGCTGACCCATTCCTGGATTCTCACTCCTCCTCAGGCATTCTTCTGTCACTTCCTTGCAGGTGTATCGCCTGAGAGCACATCACAACCAAAATTCTGCACACAATTCTCCATCTTAGAATCTATTTCCAAGAAACCCAACCTAAGACAAAAGGAGAGTGGGTTAGGGCAGTGCCTCCCCTTAAAAAAATTCTCAAAGCCCAGTAAAGGTATAAAATTATCTAAAGCACATTTAGAAGGTGAATGTTCTCTAGAGACAGTTGAAGTAGGGAGTAGGGTGTTTAGATAATTGGGTAATTATGGTGGAAGGGAAGAGGAGGTAGATGCCTACAGGAAAATATGGTCTATAATTTAGAAGAAAGACAAGAGATAGAAGTTCTAGTGCGTAAAGACAGGTCACATGGATGTGTTGCTTGCCCTGCTATGGAGCTGGAGAATACTGGCAATTGAGGCCAGGCCCAGCCCACCTGGTTCTTATTCTCCAGGGAATAGTAGATATTGCTAGAGGCACATGTGGAGGGCTAAGGGTTCAGATACATCACTCAAGGGAGAAATCAAAGTTAAGTGAACAGCTTCATTTTCTGTGAAAAACCAATGGAAGTGTTTGAGAGATAGTGAATATGTCTGGCCAGAGTTGCTGGAGACACTAGGGTAACAAGGATAGAGGCATCAGCTTTAGAATCTTAGGTTGAAATCCTGACTCTTTCCCTTCCTAGGTAGTGTCTTTGGTTAATTTACTTGATTTCTTTGAGACCAGTAAATTGGAGATAATATCAAAGGACAGTTATGAGAATTAAACAATATATGTAATACACAGTGTGCAGTAGGTATTAAATACGTAGCTAATTATTTATTTGTATGATGCAAGAATGTTGTACAAATACCCATGTGACAGCTGGCATGGAATACCTTGGCCTCAGCAGTGGCTCCATAGCTCCTTCCTCCATTCCAGGACATTGAAGATGATAGTAAATAGAGTTTCTCCAGTGGACCTGAATTACAATGTACAGATCTATTCTAGGGCATGAATTATCTTCTTCCTTTCTCACAGCTTTGTGGAGTCATTACTTGGACATGTAAATATTTACCTGCGAAATGGTAAGCATAATTTATGCAATTCACGGAAATCCTAAGGTTCATGTGAGGCTGTAACTCTTAGACCCACAGAAAGTCACTGAGGATTTGTTGTATTTTAATGTCATCTGTTGCTTTCCTTATCTAATATTTAATTTAAAGTAGAGTAGTTAGCACTCTAGATAAGTTTAAAACAAAGCTCTTTTCAAACCAGAGCAGTCAGTAAGCAGCAAAGTGGATGTTCCCATTAGCTATGCTGATCAGGCACAGGCATGGGAACCACAGAACTTAAAGTCGGTGGATATCTGAGCCTCTGTTGCCTCAACCCATTACTCCTTTGAAGAGTAGTTGGAGGGGTGAGGGACTTGCCAAAAGACCTACAGCTGCTTAGTGAAAAGACAGATCATGACCAGTGTCTTCAGAACTCTTTCCACTGCACCAGACAACCTATGCAGTCCATCCCTGAAAAGACACAGACATGATGAGCTAGTGGTGGCCTTCCAGGTGCATGTACACACGGACTGTCAATTGATCAGTTCAGTACATTATACACACCCACCCACACATACTCCTGGACACAGTTTAGGTTCATAACAACTCAAAAGGGAACTGTGAATCTCATAGGAATTAGTATAATTTGGAGATGGAATCAAAACAATTGTTTCCAGTTTACATAAACACTTTACTCTTTAAGAGGAATAAAGTACTGCCAAAGCTATGAAACTAGAAGAATATTTTTGCCTGAGGGGAAAAATTAGCTTTACTATCAGAAACTTAATGATTATAAAATAAGTATTTGTTTATATCCGTAAAGTTGTCAACATAGAGTATGATGACTAAAAACTAGCATTAACTAAACGGAAAGGATTCTGAAATACACATCTTTGCCAAAAATGTGTATCAGAGCTACTGTGGAACTAAATATCTCTATTTCTTATTGAGAGTCCCTCCTGTACTGTTATATGGGCCGTGTCTGAGTTGGGTGGTGCCTGTTTGCCTTGTCACGTCCCTCTTCATCCATGACCCTGTTTTGATTCTTCTCTTTTTTTCTTTTTTTTTTTTTTGAGACAGAGTCTCGCTCTGTTGCCCAGGCTGGAGTGCAGTGGCTCGATCTTGGCTCACTGCAAGCTCCGCCTCCCGGGTTCACACCATTCTCCTGCCTCAGCCTCCCGAGTAGCTGGGACTACAGGCGCCCGCCACCATGCCCGGCTATTTTTTTCTATTTTTAGTAGAGACAGGGTTTCACCCTGTTAGCCAGGATGGTCTCCATCTCATGACCTCATGATCCGCCCGCCTCGGCCTCCCAAAGTGCTGGGATTACAGGCGTGAGCCACCGCGCCTGGCCGACCCTGTTTTGATTCTAAAGGACTGATCTTGTCAGCTAAGATAATCCAGCTTCCACCCCCTCAGCTCTTGTTTGGATTTGGTCAGTGAGAGGCTTTGGCAGGCGGTCAGATTATGGGGAGAGAGTGAGAATGGGGTATTTATTTCCGGGGCTCCTTTCCTGTGGTGCTGCAGGTGGACCGTTTCTGTAACCTTCCACCTATGATCATAGCTCCTGTCAGGCATCCTTCTACCACCATGACTCTCAATAGGCTAGCTTCGGCATAGAAGCGGTAATGGCTTCTCCTGTTGTCAATCCTAGGCTCTTTCACCATCCCTGTGGCTTCCCTTAATCCCATCTTTTACTCTTTTGTAAATAGTACTTTCATTAAAATCTCTTCAATTACCTTTTTTTTGGATTGTGTCTTAAGTTTCCTACAAGTACTTTGATTGATCCAGGCATGCACCTAATTTGTACCCACACAGCAATATATTGTCATTACATGTCTTAAAGTCTCCAGGGACTTCTTATTTACTTGTTATGTTTTCCAACTATACTGTAATAGACTCAAATATATATACCACCACTTTGCCATATCCAAGAGGCAGTCACCTTATATCTGTCCTCTCAACCAGGCCAAAACTTAAAAAATACGTCTTATTTCATTTCTTCTCTTTTCCTCTTTCACGGTAATTTCTCTGACCATCTATAGTTACTATTTGGCCTTCAGAAATAGTTTTTGAGTCATGGACTCCTTTGTGAATCAGATGAAAATATAATTCCCCTTTTCAGAAAAGTATATACACATACATAACAAATTTGCATATGATTATGGTTTCTCCTATTGAACTGGAAGTTGATTTTGTTCAAAGAATATTTTCTTCATGGGAAAAGCCATGTAAATTTAGTGGTGATTTTCAGGAAATAATCAAGATGAATCTAAACTGTGCAAAAAAATCAAAATAAAATCCTAAGAGTAAACATTAACTCTGTACAAATTAAGCCATCTGATGTTAAACTTGAAAAAGAGACTGACATAGCAATGTGAAAATTATCTTGGACACTCAATTGATTTTGACATTTTTATTTTGATGGCAGCTGGTACTAAAACCCGTGACTCAAAGGTACATTGCTGTCAAAGAACATCAGAATTCTCCAAGACTCTCTTGGGTTTAATTTGTGTAGCATCATTTCCTTTTTCTTCAAATCAATGAGGTTACCTTGCAAAGCTGGCATTACCAATTCTCTCTATGCCAGGAAGGAAAGGATTATGAGGTCATGTTTAAGCTTTAAAATTATCTGAGCAGAAGAAACCTGCATGGGAACTATTCAGTGTTTTCAGATTTCTTTCTGCAGGGAAGCTGTGAAGGCCTAACCTGCAGAAACACTTTCACCAGCACCTCAAAGTTGGCATGCATGTCTGCTTGCAATTTCAGTTTTCAGACAGGAGGTTGGACTTGATTTGATCAATTAGGATATTTCTGGCTGCAAGTACAAAAGCCCAAGTCAATGACAAATTATACAGTAAAGAAATTTATTATCTCACATAACAGAGAGTCCAGAAGTAGAGTCAGCTTTGGTCAGGGTGGTGACTCAGTGATCCATAATGTTATCAAGACATAAATGCTTTCCATATTTCTGCTCCATTAGACAGCCTGGAATTCAGACTGGTTCTCCTATGGTTACAAGTCACCTACCAGGAGAATCTGATGTAACGTATGTTCTTAACATTGTAAAAGAGAGTTCTTCCCCTAACTATGATTGGACCGATGCAGGCCATGTAATTTCTCCTCTACCTATATAACAGTAGCCAGAACAGTGTCATGTGCTGACTGGTTTCAACTAAGGAGGGACAATTTGGCAATGAGATTTGTTTTCCTCAGTCATTTGGTGAGTGGGGGAAATAATGTACAAACTAAAATCAGGATTTCATTAGGAAGGAATAAAGTGAAATGAATGTTGGGAAAGTAACTAATGTGCCCTACTGATATTTTCAGTAGTATCTATAATAACATCTGTAGGAAGCATATAGAATGATTTACTTCAGCAAAAAAGATCTGCTAATTAAACTAATCATGGAATAAATCTTCATCAAATTGTTCTGTGAGTAAAAGACACTATCAACAGAGTAAACAGTCAACCTACAGAATGGGAAAAAATATTTGTAAATTACGCATCTGATAAAGGAATTTAAGCAAATCAAGAAGCAAAAAACAAATAACCCCATTAAAAAATGGGCAAAGGATATTAACAGACACTTCTTAAAGGGAGTGATACAAGCAGCCAACAAACATAGGGAAAAATGCTCCACATCACTAATCATCAGAGAAATGCAAATCGAAATGATAATCACAATATGATACCATCTCACCATTCTGAGACACCATTTCAGCCATTCATTCAGAATGGCTATTATATTAAAAAGTCAAAAAACAACATATGCTGGTGAGGCTGTGGAGAAAAGGGAACGCTTACACACTGTTGGTGGGAATGTAAATTAGTTCAGCCACTGTGGAAGGCAGTTTGGAGATTTCTCAGAGAACTTAGAGCTACCATTAGACCCAGCAATCCCATTATTAGGTATAAAACCAAAGGAAAATAGATCACTATACCAAAAAGATGCATGCACTCATATGTTCATTTCCTCACTATTCACAATAACAAAGACATGGAATCATCCTTAGGTGCCCATCAATTGTGGATTGGGTAAAGAAAATGTGTTACATATACAGGGAATACTATGCAACCATAAAAAGAATGAAATAATATCCTTTGTAGCAACATGGATGGAGCTGGGGGCCATAATCCTAAGCAAATTAATGCAGGAACATAAAACCAAATCCATATGTTCTCACTTATAAGTGGAAGCTAAACACTGAGTACCCACGGACACAAACGTGGGAACAACAGACACTGTGAACTACCAGAGGAGGGAGAGGGGGAAGGGGGCATGGGCTGAAAAACTACCTGTTGGGTACTAAGCTTACTCCCTGAGTGTAACATACCCATGTAACAAACCTGCAGATGTATACCCCACACCTATAATAAAAGTTAAGAGGGAAAAAAAGAAATTGGCACCATACCGAGGTTTTCATACAGTATTAAAAAGTGTCACAATAAAGGTAGTTAATAGAGCATCTTAAAAAAATTGTTCTAAGAAGTGATATTCTTTTTCTGTAAAAGGAGCAAAATTTTCCCTTAAGTTTTATTGTGTTTCAAAAACTACTTTTTGGAAATCCAGCAAACTTAGGTCTATAATGAAGAATACGAAGAGAATAACTTCATATTAAAGTATGTTTTTGAATTCAAAGTGATAAAAAGGCAATGATTTCATAACCTGGATTTGACAAGATCCTAGCATTAGACAAGACATTTTTCTGGATCGTTGGTAGGGGATTGAGTCAGACACATTGACGTGATGAAATGTGTAGTTTCTTTCTTTATAAAAGCAGCAAAATCAGATGTGATGCTAATAGTGCAGGCGTTCCATTTATACACATATCAATATTTTTCTTCAACAAAGTTTTGGTCAACCAAGAACTCTTTCACCATCTTGGAGATGTTGATGTGTGGTGTCCAAAACTGATGCTCCAAACAGCAATTCTTTAAAGATGTCAGGAAACAAGTATGTAGACAAAAATTCAGAAGTTTGGTTCTCAAAAAGTGTATGAACCAACAGTTTCTCCATTACTTGCTTAGACATGTCAGTGATTTTGGAGTAGGTAACTTTATTTTTTATTTTGACAGTAGCACTGCTTTGGGGCTGATAATAAAGTTGGCACTCTTTGCCATGGGATTTGGTGGCTAAGTCAGACTCTCCTGAATGCCACTCCCACTACTTTCTTTTCACATTTCTCCCATTTAGCATCCCACCTGTGGTTTTTCTCTCCCAGATCACCTCTTTCCATTTCCCTTCTTGCTACTTTCCTCATTCCCACCTTTTCTTTTTCTTATTTACTCATCCCTCTCCCTCCTGTTTTCCATAACCTCTTCCTTGTATTTCCTTTGTTTCTGTCATCAGTCTTGTGGAAGAATCTTTCCAGCAACAGAATACAATAGGCGGTGTTTTCCATGAAAAATATTAGTACTTTTAGTATCCTTTGCCGATTTTGATCCACAGAGGATTGAGCAACAGTGAAATAAGCTTTCATGGTAAAGGAATGGGAGAGAGAGAGAGAGTGTGTGTGTGTGTGTGTGTGTGTGTGTGTCTCAGAGAGAGAGAGAGAGAGAAAGAGAGAAGGTGAGATTTAATAAAAAAACTAATACACTTTTTCCCTTAAACAATGATTATATTGATGACTGGTCTGGTCTCACAGGCAGAAAAGAAGGAAAGGAATCACTTTTCCATGAGTGTGTTTCACGTATGCTAATAAATTAAGGTTTGGCCAAGGACCTTAAGGTATTAGGATGTTCCTAGACTAAAAATCCTACCAGTATCTCTTTTTTCTTTAACTAAAAAATTTTATTATTTGTAATCAGAGTGAGAGGATGTCCATGTACGGGCATCCTGGTAGAGTGAGGAGGGTACACATATAGGATAGTCCAAAGTGGGTAACAGAGCCCAAGCAGGGTGACAAGGATATCACAGGGGGTGGGTGGCCTGGCATGGAATTTTCAGGGAATGCACAGGCTTAGGAGAATATATAGATGGAGCGGTAGGGGAGAGTGACTTGAACATGGGTTTCAGAGACTGAACATACAGGAGAGGATGTCCATGTGCAATCATGACCTGAGTGGAATAAGGAGGATATTTATGTGAGAAGTTGATAGTTCCAAAGATGGGAGACATATATGGAAGTGTTTAAGTAAGTAACTATGTTAAGGATAATGGGAGCCAGGTTTTTCACTATTGGAAATAGGAATTGCATATATGGAAAGGGAGAAAGCTGGAATAAACTCAATGGAGTTGGAACCTTTGAGTGTGAACTCATGATTTTCAGTATCTACAGGTAGATAATAACTATTGATGTAAACGTGTGGATTTATACATGTGTGCACTTCCATACATTCCCATGATTTTAAGTTTTGTGCACTGAGCAGTCTTCGGAGCAGTACCACCCCAAATGCAATAAAAACTCCTAGGACTCAGACCTTGGTTTCTAAATACCATTCTTCAGGGAACCAGGAGTCCTTGTAGAACTATGGATGAGTCCAGGTTGGGGGAAGAGAAAATGCGAATGATCTTGGAACATCTTGTAACATAAAGCAAAGAAATGCTCAAAGAATGGTGAGGATGTATCAAAGTACACAGGAACCACTTTGAAGGGGTTTCTGCTGGCCAAATCTTGTCAATTTCAGGTTAAAAATAAATAATGATAGTAATGGATTAGAGCTTATAGAATAAAATAAACAGTGAGTCCATACTGACAAAAGATAAGTGAATGAATAAGTTAAAAGTTTCAAAATATATCTCTACAAAATATCATTAATTACCCAGGGGAAAAGAATAACTTCAAAGTTGAGAAGACTGGAAGAAATCATCTTAATCAAGCAATCAAAGTGAGCATAACTAATAATAGAACAAATTGCAATCATGCACCATTTAATAAGAACAAATCATCACTTCTGTGATATTTCTACTGAAGGTGCATAAACTGGATCTAGTCATGAGGAGACACTAGAAAACCCAAATTGATGAGTACTCTGTTAGTCTGTATTTTCTAAATTGTCAAGGTCATGAAATTTAAGACTGAGACCCCATTCCAGATTGAATGAGATTAAAGAGATGATAATTAAATGCAACACTTGATTCTGAACAGGATTCTTTTGCTATAAAGAACATTACTGGACTGAGGAACAGATGGCATTAATATTTCAATATTAATTTTCTGATTTTGAAGTTTGTACTGTAGTTATGTAAAGAATGTCTCATTTCTTGCAGGAAATACACACAAAAGTATTCAGCTGTGATGGAGCATTAGGCTGGCAATTTACTCTCAAGTGGTTTAAAAAAGTTCTCTGTATTGCAATTTTGATTGTTTCAAAATAAAAAAATATATACATACATGAAAAAGGTAAAAACATAAAAATCAAAGGAGGGAAAATTACTTCCAGCTGTGGGTATAGAAGGGTTTTGTGGAGAAGGAGATGTTTGAATGGGAACTTGAAGGATAGAAGGATCTGGTCAACCAGAGGTGAAGGAGACTTATTCTAGGCAGAGAATACACATGGGCCGTGTGGACTTGTGACTGGCCAGTCGGTTCTCTACCCTCAGAAAATAGAAACTGATGGAGAGTCTAAGATGGGCTTCAGCAAGGCAGTTTATTGCGGCTTTCACCTGGAGCAGAAAGGGAAACTACAGCAGAAAGAGATCTGCTGTTGGCTGCCTGAAAGTGGGTTAGCTTGAACTTGTATTCTTTCTAAGCTCTCTTCCAGGTAACATTATTGCATGTTTGCAGTGGTCTGTTGGCTGCACCTGTGCGGTCTCTTGTCATGCTTCTTTATATGTCCTATGTCTCATTAGTATCTTAAATCTCCTTCCTGGGCTGTGATTTTTACTATTAAAATGAAGCAAATGTTAAGTTAGGGTGAGCTAAGACCCTACAGAACATATGTATTTGGGGCGGGTCTTTTGGAAAGTCTCTATGCTGATGGCCAGGACATTTGTGGTTACAGTGCTCTATCTCTTTTAGGTCTGATTGGTAGATTTTATGAGAGTTGGTGGCTGCAAGGTTATGGAGCGGGGTATAGCTGTAATCAGCACAGCAGTGGGGAGAGATCCCCTCTCCTGCGTTCCCTGTCAGCCTCAGACTTACTGAATTTCCCACTCAGCTACACACACAGACACACACACAGACACACACACACACACACACACACACACACACAGCCACTGCCTTTGTTCTGGCTCATTATTTCTTGCTCAGACTATTGCAACAGCCTCCTAATAGGTCTTCCAGCTTCCAGACAAGGAGCATAGAACCTACAGTGGAGTTAAAAGCCAAGGATTTAAAAGGAGAAGGTGGAGGGTAGAATGAAGATACAGTTTTTACCCCCCAGGAAAGTAAATCCTCCTACTAAATAGTAAGGAGGTATCCAACCTTGCTAGAGAATTTCTATATTATAGACTAAGCTGTGAAATACAACTGTAATAAAGAACTAGCTAACTAGAAACAGCAGTGGTAGAACGTGCTTCTGTGTTCAAGCCTCTTTTTAGAAACCATCTTGTAAAGAGGGCTGTTTACCTAATCTGCCTGCTCTGGGAACTAGGATCTAGTTATGAAAACAGAATTTGTTCTGATAAAAGTTATACAGATTTATTACAGAAACTCATTATGATTTGGCAGGTTGAAAATGAGAAGTAAAAATCATCTATATGGCATAACCCCAGTAATCACTGGCAGATTTTCTTCCAGAGTTCCCCCAACTCGCATACACACTCATACAGATATCTGGGATAATTCCCTGCCTTTTTTAAGACTTAAAAACAATTATATTATAATTAGCTTGTTTGGCTATGAAATAATCTTTGAAATATTATTTTTAAAGTCACAGATATGCCATTATTATTAGAAATTTAGAATTTTTCCACCTGTAATAAATAGTGCTGCAATGACATATATCGTTTTGTTTCTTTATTTTTTAATATAATTTCTCAAATTGTAATAGAGTAAAATGCTAAATATTTCAAGGCTTTTCATACAACTTGGAAAACTGCCCCATACAACAATATTTCAATGTGTACAACCACCAGTTGTAATGAGATGAGAAGAGCCTTGTAAAAGTTGGTTACTTCACTCAGTTTAGGTAACCTTTTTTTTCCCCTGAAAATACCCAAACAATACCTTGAAGTATTCTGCATGACCTTTAACCCCTGCATAGCTAAGAATGTAAGGGATGAAAAAATGCATAAAGAATTTTTAATACATTTTACTGACAGAATTTAAGCAGCATTAACTTATGAATAGAATGAATAATGTTTCAGCCATTATTTGTGCTATTTTAAGATGGCAATTGAAACATGAGAATATTCAAGTGATATAAAATTTTACACTTAATGAAAATCCCACCAACTAAAGTAGGTAAGATTGCTTTTAATTATTGCAAAATAAAAAATTATAATGCTCTGTTTAAAATCATAATAATGCAATAGAACAAACATTTTCTTATATTCAGTTGACATTCACCCCTCAATTATCTGCTTGTGGGTTATCTGCCTTGTAGATTACACTAAGTAAATTTTAAGGACATTTAAAAATGGTTTCTAGAAAACCAGATACTGTATGTTCTTACTTATAAGTGGGAGCTAAACATTGGGTATACATGGATACAAAGATGGAAGTAATAGACACTGGGGATTCCAAAAGACTACCTGTGTTCGCTACTTGGGCGATGGAATCTCTAGAGTCTAAATCTCAGCATCATGCAATATTCCCATGTCAAAACCTGCACATCCCCTCTGAATCTAAAATAAAATAAAATTAAAAAATAAAATGATTTCTGTTCATGTCCAGCACAATAATTATCTTTTTCATCACCCAGTTAACATATGCTCAGACAATCCAAACTCATTTTTTTTTTTTTTTGCCACTGGAGGCAAAATGAAATTAGCAAGGAAAATTTACTGCTGAACTCATCATACAACAAGGTCTCCAAACACATATCAATGACTTTTGATTATCCACAATTTTACGTTCTCTCATTAGCAGAGGCAATTGGAAGCTAAATGAAACAATTTTATTTGCGGAAATCAGAGTAATTGCTCATATCCATGATGCCTTTCTTTTAGAGTTTAGAGAGTTCATGGTTTTTATAATCCATAAAGTTTCTGAAGAACAGTGAGGCTACAGGAGAAAAGGTGTGAAATAATCAGTTCTAACAGAGAATAAGTATTTGATATGTGCTGTTATATTATTATCATTTTACTTTTTTCAATTTGAAAACAGTTACTGTTTACTAATGGATTAGATTATAAAAATAATCATGGTAGACACCTTAGTTCATTCCCATAATAGGCCTGTTGATCTGGTCTTCTCTGTTGCCAGCATCTCCACCTTCTACAAAATGAGTGGTCTTTTCTTCATTCCTCCTCATGGAGAGGATAATTTGGAGGGCCACAGGAAGTTATTTGCTTCTTTGAAGTGTTTTCCAACAGTATAGATCTCATGAATCAGATCCTCCAAGCAGATGATGCCATATTTGCCAAGAGATTGAGCAAAGTGTTATCTGTCAAGGCGATTAATTTATTGACTTTGCCATAACCACTGTTGTAGATTAGCTCATTTACTGACTTCAGGTTTGGGTACCCTGATGCAATATGTGGCTCTACAAGCCTCAGTATGTTAACTGAAGGCTTGTTGAGCTTCACAAAGGTTCCACTGAAGATCCGACAAAGGTGAAGAAGCTGCAATAATACCTTTCAGAACACCTTTGTGTGCACACCATTGGAACTTCTGATCCTGATGACAAATGCCAGTTTGGATTCTGCAGGTATATAGAGGTTGCCAGCTTTTCTTGCCATTCTGGCCATTCGAATCTCCATTCTGTCCATCTGTGTATATTTCTTGTGAAAGTGCTTCAGTTTTTCACAGATAAGCTTTCTCCTTGCCTTTACAAGCACCTTTTGGGCAAACTTCTTTCTCAGGTGCTTGATCTTCAGCTCTGCAAAACTTCTTTGCTTTTTCTTGAGGGTTTTTGGCAAAGCAGGAACCTTCTTCTCTTTGGCACACTCCTTGGTTCCGGCAATAAAAGAGGGTATCATCACCATTTTAATATCAAACCACAAAGCGTTGCCATTTTACAGGTGAGCAAACCAAGGATTTGGGCCCGGGTCAGCCTAGATTTGAATCCAGATTCTGCCATCAGTCAACTCAGTGATCTTCCATAAGTAGAATATCCATACCTGGAAGCAGTTGTTACTTTAGGATTTAAAAGAACTTTGTCGTATTATTTATTCCTTTTTCTTCCCTGTATATTTATTGAATGTTGCTGTGCTCCAGGAATGGAGCCCTGGGAATACAATAGCATTAAGACACAGTTTCTTCCCTTAAGAAACAACCTTCAGGAGCTGTTAAGAAGTTGCAGTCGTTTTCTAGAAGTGACAGAAAATTGAGCTTAAAACAATGTGAAGAAAACCAAGGAATTTATTAGTAATGAAATAATCCAGGGATGATATTGGTTTCCAGTTTGATCCAGGGCTTCAGATGGCTTTCCCTGTCCCTCCATTTCTTGGTTCTACTTCATTTTTGGTCCACTCTGTAGACCCCCGTTGTTGTAAGATGACTTCTGGTTTGAGTTTTCATTCAGGCTCCCCAGGCCAAGTTCCACTGTGTCACATTAGCTCTCCTTGGGCACATGCCAATCCCTGAACCACTCACTGGGGTGTGGCTGGGGTGTGGAGAGTGACTCGTATCAAGCAGCTTTGCCTAGGTCACGTGTGGGACCTCAGGGATGGGGTCAAGTCAGTGCCATCAGAAGCACGTGGGCTTAGTGTAAGAGAAGAAGTCATCCAGAGAGAAACTTGGTAACTGACAGAGATGACTAAAAGCTGGGAGTGAAGAAAAATGTCCACAACAGAGGTGAAAGAGACCAGACAATACAATGCACAGAATGCTGCAGGGACCAAAAAAGGAACACTTGATTCATTCTTTGCCAAGTCTTGGAAGTACATGGCGGAAAATAATGTTCAAGCTGAAACCTGAAAGATAATTAGTGAGAAATCTACGCTGGGCTAGAGAGGTAGGTAGAGACCAGACCAGAAAAGTCCTGGAGTTCATGTGATGCAGCTTGAACTTTATCAGGAGGGCAGTTGGAGTAGGTGTCCTCTCATTACCTTTTATATCATGAAAGTATTTGTTTTGGAGTTGTCCCTACTTTTTCTCTGACATTTTAATCTTATTTTTCCTCTGTTCCTATTTGCTCTCTTAATTCCAACTAGGCACCCCTCCTGCTTCCTGCATATTGCTGTTTCTGTGTTTCTTGCCCCACACATCTGCTTGGATTCAGTAGGTTATTATCAACCATCAACTCTAGTGAATTAACCTAGGGGAATGTCTGCGTTTCTAAACTGAATAATGATGGCATTTACAAAGCACTTCCCCTACAAGGGAATTTAGTATATGACAGAAGTATTTCAAACTCATGGAAGAAAGTTGAATTATTCATGAATAGAGTTGGGACCACTTAATAGTCATCTATTAAAAAAATAAAGTTAGATCCCTACCTCATAATAAAATAAATACCAAAGGTATTAACAATTTACATAAAAAATCATAAGTGAAAACTAGGAAGTTTCTTTTTAAAAAATAATCTTGTGTTAATAGAGATGTTTATGAACATGAAACAAAACTTAGAGGCCACAAAAGATTGATTAATACACTAAGTTATTAAAACTAGATAACTCTGTAACGTAAAAATACCATTAATGAAAACGAATGCCACACTAGGAAAAATATTTGCAATTCAGATTATGTATTAAGGACTAATTTCATCAATATTAAAGGAGTTGCCAAAAACCAATTCAAAAAAGAACACCCACCTATAAAAGAACTGAAAATATAAATAGAGTTCACAGAAAAGGAACCACTAATGTTTTTGTTAAACTATGAACTAATGCTTAAGCAATCTTATACTTAGAAGGAATGCAAATGAAACTACCATGAGATTCTGCTATTCACTCATCAGATTATGAAATATCTCAAATTTTGATAACACATTGTGTTGGTGACAGTGTGGGGAAACAGGCACTCATACATTGCTGCTAGGAATTGCAGCCAGTATACATTTTCCAGAGGGAATTTAGCAGCAACTACCAAATTACCAAGGCACATACACTTTGGCTCAGCAATTCCACTTATAGGAAATTATCTTACATATATACTTGCAGAGGTGTTTCTACAAAGCTACTTATTTAATTATTGTTTGTAATAGCAGAATTTTTCAGAAACAAAAATTGTGACAAAATTTCTATAAATATGCTTTAATAACAGACCAGTTAAATAAATTGTGGTACACTTATATATGGAATAGGATGCAACCATTAAAAATAATAATGTAGCATGAAATAATCTCCAAAATGTAAGAGAAAATAGGGTGCAGAACAGTGAACATAGTGTGATACCACATGTGTAAACTGTATGTTAGTAAACTCATTTATTATCTCGATTGATATGCAAAAACATGATTACAGTGACTGCTTTCAGGGAGGGAAACTGATAGCTGAAAGCCAGGTGAGAGGAACAATTCTTTTTTGCATATACTACCTATCCAAAAAAACTCTCCCCTCTCCTTCAGTATGACTGCCCTTTCATGCTCCAACAAATCAGCTGATGCTTCTCTTGAAATAAAATTACCTCTCTTATTCTCACATCTTCCAGAGACTATATGCCAAGTTATATAATGAGATAGGTTTATAAAACACTTCGTAATGTAAAAAACACTGAACACAAGAAATAACTATTATTAATACTATTATAATATCTTGAATTTTGTTAATTTGACAAGTGGAAATTTGACATGGAAATGTTGGAGTAGAAAAATAAATTTCCCTGATCCTAAGCTTTCCTCTCTTTCGCATATTTAATCTGTCCTCGTCAGAGTAAGAAACACATCCTCCCAAAGTTTGGTACAGTGCTTAGCTCACTGTGGGTGTTTAACGAATGTTAAATAATAATAATAATAGCTATTTATGGATCATTGCACTACTTGATAATACTTTCTCTCCATTGAATCACACCTTTTAGCAAGGCATTTTAAAAATGTATTCCTAACTAAATAAAGGTGCAATAATTCACAGTGAGAATTGATATTTATATAAACAAGAGAACTGGCACAAAATCAATGATTTAAACTGCAACTTTCCAATCCCTTCTTGGTGGCATTAATAATGGTGCCCTTTTGAAATGTCTTTTCTTCTTTCAAATACCACATTATAATTGTGATAGGTTGGCTAGAGGGTATAGTCTTCCCAGTTGCTGTTTTTTTCCCTTGCCTTTGCTTTTATGTTTTGTGATATGCCATGGGGGAAGGGCATCAAAAGGAATAATAATCTAATTTTAACCTTTAATTGCACTTGCTCTTTAGCTATGTGTCTGGTTTCACAGTCTTTCTGCTTATTATACTATATCACTCAGCCATGGCACATGGGTACATGGGGGCTGAGATAAAAGATCCCGAGGTCCCCTTCAATTCAGAAGCTCTGTGTTTCTCTAGAAAATATGTGCATTTTATGTGCCTTGTATTGTCTCTGGTTATGAAGAATTATATCTGTTCAATAAACTTGAATAAAATATTAACCCTTTAAAATAATAAAAATTCTTTAAATCTTTTAAGAATATGTCCATGCAGCTGAGTTTCAGAAGCCCTGGTGTAATGAAAACGCACATTTGTATCTTCAAGCCTTCAGATATGTTGGTTATCCTTACTTGAAATACCTTTTCTCTGCCTGGCAAACTCCATCTCAGCATTCCATACTCAGACTGAGCATCACCTCTTTTCTGAATCAGTCCCCAACAAACACATGTCAGCAAGTTCCTTCTCAGCTCCCACACCGTCTTACACACCCCTGTACTTACCTCCTAGACTCAAGGGATGGGAAGGACAGATCCTACCTCAAAACAGGAGGAGATTCAATCTCATATTGTAAGAAGATAATGTGTGAGAAAAGATCTTGCTGTGGGAATCTTGGAAAGTCTCCCACAATTGCCCAAGATTCCAGAGCTGGAAAGAGGTAGAGATGAGATTCCATCTGTCCACTTTGGCTCAGGACCTGTATACTTTGCATTATCCACAGTGCCTCAGTCATTGGATGATGCTAATAACTGGATGGAGAGTTTCCTTATTTGTAAGTCTGTTCATTTAAATAACATTAACTTTCCTAAAATATCTCAATTATTTCCTTCTTACTTTTCTCTTTCTTCTTATGTTATAACATTTTACCTTGGACTCAATCACTTAACCTGACTTTATTTTCAGCTGTTTTCCTTCTTCCCTCTTCTTAGTAATATTATTTCCCACCCAGATCCTGTATTCATTTTTTTTTCGGAGTCTGAAAAATTTGAAACCACCCATCCTTTCATTTTATACCACCCTCCAAGAAAGACTGGATCAACTAGAACAACTTAGATATAGGGGAAGACCATCTATTTTTTTTTGTGGGTGTTAGAGAATTCCTATTTCTTTTTTATTTCCATAGGTTTTTGGGGAACAGGTGGTGTTTGGTTATATGAATAAGTTCTTTAGTAGTGATTTCTGACATTTTGATGCATCCATCACCTGAGAAGTATACACTATAACCAATTTGCATTCTTTTATCCCTCAGCCCCCTCCTACCCTTTCCCCCGAGTCCCCAGAGTCCATTGTATCATTCTTATGCCTTTGCATCCTTATAGCTTAGCTTCCACTTATGAGTGAGGACGTACAGTGTTTGGTTTTACATTCCTGAGTTACTTCACTTAGAATAAGGAAGACCATATATTTGCTATCATTCCTTGAGCTATTTACTTATAGCAAGTTTGGTGTGTGTCTGTGTGTGTGTATGTAGACCCCTGGATGGACTGGTTTGGCTCTTGGCATTGACTGGGAAGGTGAGGCCTGCAAGAAGCCTGCAAAGATAGTGGTCTTCAGCCCTGACTGCACATTAGAACCACCTGGGAAATTTCTACAAACTCTTGATGACTCAAACCTATTCCAGAACGATTAAATCAGAATTTATGTGGGTGATGGCTAGGCACCGGTATTAAAAAAAAATACAGAACTTCCCAGATGAATAAAACGTGAAACCAAATTTGAGAACCACTGTACTAAGAAGTTCTAGTGTTCTCAGTTGAGAATCATTGAGAACCTCTGAACTGGAACTCATAGAAAGTCGGGGGAGTGGGATAGATTCCATGCCAGGAGTGAGAGCCTCATTATCAGGTAGGAACACTCCTGCAGAGACGGTGAGACTCTGAGAACTGCTTCAAGTCAATGGCTTGCTCTGTCAGAGGAGCAGTGAGCATGCCCAGGATGGACGGAGGAGCCCCTCAGGTGGCTTCAGTGAAGGAGGTGGAAAGCCCCGGGATGCTGAGTCCCTCAAGTCAGATTTGGTCTGGAAGCCCACATATGGCATGGAGTGGAGGCAGTGATAGGGAATTTGACCTATAAAGATGAGGGAAATGAGGCAGAAGGTGATATTCATTGAGCAGATTTGGTTCTGAAGCAACAGCTCGAACAACAAAATCTGTGGGTGAATGAAGTTCAATAAATTTGAAGAATATATCTCTAAATATGTTCCTTTTTCTTTCTTTTACTAGTACTATGTTGTTTCATTTATTAATTTAAAATTATTGACTATAATTTTATGTGCAAGTTATAATTCCTATGATTTAAATAATTCATTATTGCAAGGCATTAAAATATAAGGAACCTTAAGAATTAATAAACATTAGCAATTTGTAATTACTCTTTCATTGAGTTCTTCAGTACTGTGGATCATTATTTTAAGATGATTTAAAAAATTTTCAAAAACTTTGTTCAAACTGTAACTTATTTCTGTTGTAAGGAGAAGTTTACAGCTTAGACAAAGTTTACAACTTTACTGTTATAAAGAGAGGTTTAACTTAGACAAATGTAACCACCCATGCTTGAAAGAAAATATAAAGGCAGAGAAAGAGAGAAAGAATTTAAGTACTGCAGACAGTTCTGCTATATCACTAAATGAGTATATCACCTGCTATCACATTTTCCTTGTGTCTCACACTGAGAGCATCTTGCCACAGAGTGTGATTCTTACATTTATTGCATGGATGGCATATTTAGGCATATATATTACTTACTAAATATAGCCACAACATAAAACTATGCACATATTCATGCACTTAGTACTTTATGAGCAATATGTAGGATTTTTAAGGATAATTGTAAATATTCCTGATTTGTCTTATGTGTTAGTAATGCAATCTGCCCCATGCCCCCAGATACGATTCCAACGCATATTTTTTCAGTCATGCAAATGGCTATATGAGCTTTCTTCACGGTCACATGATGATTTTGTTTTTCAAACTAGAAGACTGGATATTGTCAGGAAGACTTCCCTAGCATACCGTTGCTCCAGGGAAGGTGCCTCTCTTCTTCTCCATAGCACCCAGTGCAACTTCTCTTCTAGGGTTTTCTAGAATGATGTCCTGAACTGTAGAGTAATTTTTGCTTGTCTGTTTGTCCTACCCCTAAGACCATGGGGGCTTTGAAAATAGAGTCTGTTTATTGTGTCTCCAGGGCCTAACAGAGAGTTGGGCATATAATAGGTGCTTAATAAGTATAGTCCTGCATTGCTTAACATCAGGGACATATTCTAAGAAATGTGTCGTTAGGCAATTTTGTCCCTGTGTGAACATCACAGTGTACTTACAGATCTAGATGGTATAGCCTACTACATACCTAGACCATGTGATATAGCCTATTGCTCCTACGCTACAAACCTGTATAGCATGTTACTGTACCAAATAATGTAGGCAATTGTAACACAATGATATTTGTGTATTTAAACATAAAAAAGTACAGTAAAAATACAGTATGCAAGATAAAAAAATGGTACATCTGTATAGGGCATTTACCATGAATGGAGCTTGTGGGACTGAAAGTTACTCTGGGTGAGTCAGCGAGTGAGTGGTGGATGAGTATGAAGGCCTAGAACATTACTGTACACTACTGTAGACTTTCTAAACACTGTACACTAAGGCTACATTAAATTTATAAACAATATTTTCTTTTCTTCAATTATAAATTAAACTTAGCTCATTGTAACATTTTTACTTTATAAGTATTTAAATTTTTTTAACTTCTTGATAAAAAAACACCAACATGGTGAAATCCTGTCCCTACTAAAAATACAAAAGTTAGCCAGGTGCAGTGGTGTACATTGTACAGCTGTACAAAAATATTTTCTTTTTTTATATCCTTATTTTATAAGCTTTTTCCTATGTAAATTTTTTTGTTTATTTTTTAAATTTTTCTGTTAAAAATTAAGACAAAAATATACACATTAGCCTTGGACTACACAAGGTCAGAATGATCAATATCACTGTCTTCTACCTCCACATCTTGTCCCACAGGAAGGTCTTTGGGGCAGTAACATGCATGGTGCTGTCATCTCCTATAATAGTAATGCCTTCTTCTGGAATACCTCTCGAAGGACCTGCCTAACGCTGTTTGTCAGTTAACATTTTTTTAATGAGTAGAAGGAGCACACTAAAATAACAATAAAAGTATAGTGTAGTAAATACATAAACCAGTAACAGAGATCACGTATTATGTACTATACATAATTGTATGTGGTATGCTTTTATTTTTATTTTATTTTTTATCTTATTTTTGGAGACAGGGTCTCGCTCTGTCACCCAGGCTGGAGTGCAGTGGCACAATCTTGGTTCACTGCAATCTCTGCCTTCCAGGTTCAAGTGATTCTCCCACCTCAGCCTCCTGAGAAGCTGGGACTATAGGCATGCACCACTACACCCGGCTAACTTTTGTATTTTTAGTAGGGACAGGATTTCACCATGTTGGGCAGGTTGGTCTCAGACTCCTGGCCTCAAGTGATCTGCCCACCTCAGCCTCCCAAAGTGTTGGGACTACAGGTGTGAGCCACAGCACCCAGCCTGTGATATGCTTTCATATGACTGGCAGCCCAGTAGGTTTACACCAAATCACCACAAACACATGAGTAATGCATTGTGCCATGATGTTAGGATGGCACTAGGTAATAGGAATTTTCCAGCTCCATCTTATGGGACCACCATTGTATATGTGGTCTGTTGTTGACCAAAACATTATTATGTGGTGTATGACTGTATTTATAGAATGAATAATTATGTTAATCTCTTCATGTCTACATCTGACCATTCTCAAATAGCTGATAAGATGATTTGCACTGCATCTCTGACATTTCTGACCCAAGCAACTCCAGGAAAATGTTTTTTTATTTTCTTCTTTATGTGCTCCAGGATTGGGGATCATACTACCACATTTTATAAACTGTTCCACTGTACCTAACCAAAAAATTCTCCTTAATGTTCAAACAAAAATCTTACTTGCTTTATTTCCCTTCCTTTTTTACCATGTTCCTCAATGCCAGTCATGAGCTGTACACCCAGTGCTTGATCTTGTGCCACAAGTTCATGCATTTGTTACTTATCTTCCCTGCTGTGGATGTCAGCCTGTGACTTTGCTATGACAGCAGAGGCATGCACGTAACTAACTAAGTGCTAAGAAAATCTGGAGTAACTGGAGGGCTCAGATTTAAAAGGGATTACTCAGATGAAGTTCTGCAAAGGAGCTGAATTTAGACTAGGTTAAAAATGTGAAATCTGTTCTGATCTTCACTCGCCACTCATTTCTGACATGAGAATTCATATAGCTAGGCATGCATTTTTGTGTGCACATGTATATTTGCATGTGCATATGTGTGCATTACAAAAACCAAGAGCAACATAAAGGTTATAGTCGGTGCTCAAAGGCATGACCTCATCCCTCTTCTCCTGCTCAGCACACTGCTTCTGTTTCTTCACCGAGTCAGAGCTTCTTAACAGCCATGGAGACACCTCTGGCTAACAATACACGCTGACGCACTTGGCAAAAGAGGGGCATGGAAGTGAATCATTAAATCCGCTGATAAGGAGGAGAAAATTAATTAGAATAGCCGGATACTCAGGAAGGGAATAATAAAATTTTATACCAAGCTTGGGCAAATTAAACTCATATAATTGATTTTATACATTTTAGTGTCATTCAAATGGGATGTGTAAGAATGGGAAAGACTTAAAGTCTGGTAAAATAATTAAATTAAAAAAATTCTTTTTCTTACGAACCTGACATTATGAACATATATTTTCTTTTGTTTAATATGGGATCCACATTCAGTAGGTAAGCATTATAATTAGCTATGACTTTTAATTGTAAAGGCATGAGGAGATGATTTTAAAACAGATGAAAAATCCCATTTGACTTCCATAGCAACAAGAGATTTTCTGAAACAGTTGAGCAGAAAAAATATCAAAAAAGAAAAACTGACTCCCCAAATATTGGAAGCTGATTTGAAACCAAAATACTAAAGCATATAATGGTATTTGGAAATAGGACCAGGCTCTCTTGATAGTTCCTAGCTTCATTTTTATCACTGGCACAATATTATTTTCTACTTATAATTAGATAAACATACAGTATATGTGTAAAGCAATTCAGAATCTGTATTCAGACACACTATTGTGGGGGAAATCAATTTTTTTTAAATATGGGTTTTCCATTCTTTAAGTGGTAGAAATAAAACTAGCAGTAGTAGCAGATATTTGAAAGCACAAGGGTGCTAACACATATTAGGCATTAGGAGAGGGATCTGAGGCCACATGGCCAGCAGAGTGTCTGAGATTAGACATCCCATGAAACTATAGGGCTAAAGGAGAATCAGAGAGGAAACTGAGGCTTAGGGTTACGTGACTTGTCCCAAATGATCAAGAGAGGTGTTAAAATCTAGAATTCAGGTTCTCCGTGCCTAGCTCAGCCTTTCTTTCATTTAACCTCACTTTCCTGAAGTGTTTGCTCCTGATTCACTTCCCCCACCCACTACAGCTCAATGGATCTTGATTGAACAACCGGGATAACAGAACATTCACCTGAGCTGTGTCATAAATGGAGTCTAACTGGTGAAGTTCACCAGGTGGAATAATGTAAACCCCAAATATAAGCTTTTCAAACTTGCCTGGTTTGAATGTGTCCCCAAAATTCATATGTTGGAAATTTAATCCCCAATGCAACAGTGTTGGGTGGTAGGGCCTTGGAGAGGTGTTTAGGTCAGGAGGGGTCTGCCTTTATGAATGGATTAATGTCAGTATAAAAAGGGTTATGGGAGTGGGTTTGCTCTTTTCTGCACTTCCGCCAAGTGAGGACACAGCATTCATCCCCCTTCTGTCCTTCCACTTTTTGCCTTGGGATGGTGCAGCAAGAAGGCCCTCACTAGTCACTACATGCTGGCACCTTGATCTTGGTTACCCAGCTTCTAGAACTGTGGGACATACATTTCTATTCTTTATAAATCATCCAGTCTTCACTATTCTGTTAAAGCAGCACAAAACAGACCAAGACACCTGCTGAATTTTATCCTGAATTATCTGGATAACTTTCCCAGTGTGCCTCTTCAGTTTGCTTATTTAGATAGTCTGCATTTCAATGTACTTACTTGTACATTGAGTAGAATTGGCTGACTTCCTTACTAGTATGAGGAATATAGTGGCACTAAGGAAGAGTGTCCCTACAGACACAGCTGGGGATTCAGAGACGCCTTATCTTTGCCTGCAGCTTTATCTATATGCGCTTGGCTGATATGGGGCTATGAGGAAAGGGCTCCTATGGCTGAACATGAAGTGATCTTCTGATACTTGCATAAAAGAGGATTAACAGAGATTCAAAATTTGTCAGGATGTTACACAAAACTTGCCCCTTCTTTCTCACACAATGTCTGTTTCTAATTTTTTCACCACAGGATACTCTCTGTGTTACCTACACAGCTAAGGCTCCAGCTGAGGTTCCGTCATCCTGCCCATGATGATGAATTTTGTGTTTCAACCTGGCTAGGCAATGGTACCCAGATTAGTCAAAACACTAGTCGCTGGAGTGCAGTGGCAGGATCTCCACTCACTGTAGCCTTGACCATCTGGGTTCAAGCATTTCTCATGCCTCTGCCTCCTGAATAGCTGGGGATTACATACAGGTGCCATGGCGCCTGGCTAACGTTTGCATTTTTTTTTGTAGAGACAGGGTTTCATCATGTTGCCCAGGCTGGTCTCGAACTCTGAGCTCAGGTGATCCACCTGCCTTGGCCTCCCAGAGTGCTGCAGTTACAGGTGTGAGTCACAGTGCTCAGCTGAGTGTTTTTTCTTCTTCTTTTTTTCTTTTTTTAAGATGAGATTAACACTTAAATTCAAAGTGGACTTCAGGTAAAGCAGATTATCCTCCACAATGTGGTAGGCCTCATCCAATCAGTTGAAGGCCTCAAGAGAAAAAAGACTGAGTTTCCCCAAGGAAGAGGGAATTCTGCCTCTAGACCGTCTTCAGACTTGAGTTGCAATATCAGCTCTGCCCTGGGTCTCCAGCCTACCTGCCTACCCTGCAGATTTTGAACTTGCCAGGCTCCACAACTGTGTGAGCCAATTTCTTAACATCAATCTCTCTCTTTCTGTACACACACACACACACACACACACACACACACACACACACACACACGTGCAATTGGTTCTGTTTCTCTGGAGAGCCCTGATTAATACATTGTCTTATGCTGTGTGGGAGCTGGGCCAATATCTGGTTGGTAGACACTTCCTGTTCAGAGTCTGGGGCTGCTAGGATCTTCCACCAGGCAAATTTTCTCTTAGATCTCTTGAAACAAATGTCTTCTCTAACAAATAAGAAATAGTACTTTGGAAGCAGATGTAAAACTTGGGCCCACTGCCATTTTTGCTTGCAGCCCCTGCTCCTTCAGAGTTTTATAGCAGACAATAATGGCACAAGGGCATTTGTCTCATTCATTCTTATATTTATTCAAATATTTGTTGAGCATCTACTCAATGCTCGATTCTCCTCTAGACACTGGAGATGAAAACTGAACAAGATTGATGAGACTCCTGCCCTCATAATGCCTGTATTCTAGCTGGGAGAAAACAGAGGCCAACAGATACTTATTAATTTTGGATCGTAGCAAGTATCATGAGGGAAAAAACAGAAACAGGAACAGACTGGAAGATGAGAGGGCACTTTAGACAGAATGTTTGGGGTCATTGTGAGGAGCTGGCATTTGAGTATAGGCACATGGGCTTCTCCCATGGGCTCGTAAATTAAAAATGCCTCTATTGAGGCCAAGGTGGGCAGATCACGAGGTCAGGATATCGAGACCATCCTGGCTAACACAGTGAAACCTCGTCTCTACTAAAAATACAAAAAATTAGCTGGGCATGGTGGCGGGCACCTGTAGTCCCAGTTACTTGGGAGGCTGAGGCAGGAGAATGGTGTCAACCCAGGAGGCGGAGCTGGCAGTGAGCCGAGATCGCACCATTGCACTCCAGCCTGGGCGACAGAGCGAGACTCTGTCTCAAAAAAAAAAAAAAAAAAATGCCTCTATTGGTCAAGGAATGCATGCCTCCTGCCCACGCCCAGTTAAAAACAATTTTAAAAATTAAATAGTGTGGGGATATAGCCTGAGTTTAAAAAATTTTACTATTATGGAAGTATATATGACTAAAGGTGACAGGCCCCCTCTCTGCTCACACTCCACTCACCTTCCATAGGTTACCAGCATCCACCACTGTGCTCCTGTAGGCTTTTGCCCATGCATTTCCATGCACATGAGATCTCGATATGCAAGCTATTTTTTACTTTACTGTGCCCTTTTTTTCCATTTAACAATATCTTTGAAACCTTTTCATGCAAATGCATAAAAATCTTTCTTTTCCTCAATGGGAAAATAATTTATTTTGTAAGAAATTGTAAAACAAATGGAAAATATTAAACATTCAGATACATTGATTCAGAAGATAGGTGGGTGGCACTATGATTTTTCTCCAGTGCCAAGTGACTGAGATGTTGGGGCTCAGGTATTCATGGACAGTCCCTTAAAAGTTAAGAGGTAAGGTGAAATATGACAGTGTAAGGGAAAGCTCATCTGAAATTCTGGGATTTAATTCTAACAATGTTTCATAAAAAAAAGATGGCCTTGGCTAGAATATATGGTAAGAAACTTTCAAATGTCCTAATAAATAGAGGTTATCGTACAAAGCTATTTGGAGAAAAAATAGATGTCTTATTTTATTGCCTTTTTAAAAGGTTAAAATAAAAAATTCTTCTTAGATTAGAATTATCTGAAAGATGTTGCTCAAGTAGTCACCTCAGAAGGCAGGGAAAAAATGAGCCTTGAACAATGTTGACTGCTTATTGTTTTTGAAAAGTCTCACAAATGCCAGCAAAAATGCCCCTGGGCTGGAGCCTAGATGCCCCAAACCATCTGCTTCCAAGACTTCTTAAATTTTGTTGGGTAGGTTTTACTAAGCTGTTTGAGTGCCATAGGTTTGTTGGATTTCTGAAGATTTGCTGTTTCAATAATCATGCTAAATCTCACATTGTTTTCTATACTAAACGACAAGGTTAACATGTAATAGAACTTAGCCATTGAACCCAGTGAACACCAAGAAAGGAGCAAACAAACAAATAAACAAAACCTAACCTTATAGTCTTCTAGCATGGCCAAATAGTATGCTAAGCATATTCACATACCTTTTATCATTTTATTCTCATAAGACTCTGAAGTTAGTGGAGTTGTTCTTATTTAAAAAACAGAAAGTGAAACATAAAAAACTCCATAAATAATGTGTGCAAGATCATATGGCAAGCAAGTAGTAGCCCAGCTCTGACCAAGAAAATCAGGTTTTTATTTTTTTAAATTTTTTTTCTCAATCAATTTAGAAGTTTATTTTGTCAAGAATAAGGGCATGCCAATGACACAGCTTCAGGAGGGTCGGAGAACATGTACGCAGATGGTTGGGTTACAGCTTGGTCTTATACATTTTAGGGGGTCAGAAGTTACAAGCAGACATCAATTGATACATATAAGGTGTACATTGGTTTGGTCCAGAAAGGCAGAACAACTCAAAGCAGTGATGGTGGCAGGGCAGCTTCCAGTTATAGGTGGATTTAAAGATTTTCTGATTGGCAATTGGTTGAAAGTGTTAAGTTATTATCTAAAGAACTGGAATCAATATAGAAAGGAATGTCTGAATGAAGATAAGGGGTTGTGGAGACCAGGGTTCTTATTATGCAGATGAATCCTCCAAGTAGCAGGCTTCAGAGAGATTAGATGGTAAATATTTCTTATCAGACTTTTAAAGGTTCCAGACTTTTAGTTAGTCTTTCTGGGATCAGAAAAAGACCTGGAAAGGGAAGAGGATTCTTTATAGAATGTAGATTTCTCCCACAAGAGACAGCTTTGCAGGGCCATTTTAAAATACATCAAAGAAATATATTTCAGGGTAAAATACTTTCTATTTCTTTTAGGGCCTGCTATCTATGATTTTGTGATATACCTTATTGCCACAAAGAATCTCTTTGGTCAGTCTTGAGATCTCTGTTGTAGTGTTAATGCTGGTCCATTGTGCCCCAATTCCAAAGAGAGAAGGGTATAATGAGGTGTGTCTAATCCCCCATTCCCATCATGGCCTGAACTAGTTTTTCAGGTTTACTTTGGAATGCCCTTGACTGAGAGGGGGTTTCAGTCAATTGGTTGGGGGGGTCTTAGAATTTTATTTTTGGTTTACAATATTGAGATGTTGCAGCAACAAGTGTAAATTTATCATCAGTTTCTCAGCTTTTTGAAAACCATATGTTAAAATGTATTTCATTTTAAAATACGTTTCCTTTGGAACACACATACATACACACACACACACTCTCTCTCACTCACTCAAGCCTACACATAGCATTCTGTTATGTAAAATGTTATTTTACATTTGAGATTGAACACTGTATTAGTTGTCTATTGCTGTGTAACAAATTACCACAAATTTAGCAGCTTTAAACAACATAAATTTATTATCTCACAGCTTCTGTGGATCAGAAGCCTGAGCATGACTTAGCTGAGTCCTTTGCACAGGGTCTCATGAGCAGGCAGAGGTAAAATTCTACATGTGGTCACCTACATTTCCAAGGTGGGATTTTACATCTGTATGATGACACTGGACATGAAATGACCCGTGCCACTTTATCTCACTATCAAGTATCTGTGAGAGAAGTTCCATTTCTCTACATGTACAGAGCATTCTAACGTTTTTAAGGTGCTACCGCATGCAGGCGTCTCATTTGATCTGATAACAAACATACAGAATAGCAGTGACAGAAAATACATGAAGTCTAAATTTTGCAGGAGACAAGCTGACAGGGAGGTGGACCTGCCTGAGTTCACATGATTGGTAAGTGCAAATGGGAAGATAATCTGCATGGGAACCATGTCTGCTTTCAATGGTTCTGTAGAAAATAAGCCATGGTGCCAGTGAAGAGATTGCCCTGACAAGACCGGCAGGGAGACGGAAGCCTTGCTGAACCTCTGGGAAGTGTAGAAAAGTGTGGTAAAGTCATAAGAACTGGGATCAGGGAAGCTGTTGAAAACCAAGCATATTGTCAGGGAGCAGAGGGTCGATTTGCTCTGGGGTACAATGGGTTCTTTTCCCAGATACATCTTGAGATGGTGCTCTGGAATATTTCTCTCATTAGAGGTTGTTTCCAAGATAAGAAGGAGAAAATCAAATGAGAAAGAAATCTGCTGCAGACCAAATTTGACTTCCATTAAATATTGCTTTCAAGCTTTCTAGAAGAATTAAGAGTATCTACGGGCACTTCAGACTCAGAAAAAAATAGAAGAAAATGACAAGCTTGTTTTCAATTTTTCTTGCATTTTCCTGGCACTGACTTGGTAACAGAATACTGACTTCATTTGGAGAGTTGAATTTTTCAGGGCATACGGGCTTTGCCATTACATTCTGTGATAGAAAGCATCTCCTGAGTCTCTCATCCTCTGAGAAGGGTCCCACACCGCTCTCTTCTGCAGAGGGGCCTCACAGTAACCACGTATCTATTCTGTGGCTCCCCATCCAGAAATAGTGGATGAATTGGGATGAATCACTGCCCCAAATCTGGGACAATCAAATCCTCTGTTTTGGGAATTGAAATTGGTGCTAAGAGATACTATTCAGCTGTCTGAGCAGATCACTTGAACTGAAGACATGCACACTGGGGATTTGTGGGGCAGGCCTCTAGGGTCTTATATACATACCTTGAATAAAGTAAGTTGAATAAAGTAATTGAATAAAGTAAGATGTCTTAGTGAGAGAAGCAGAGTAAGAGGCCATATGATGAGAGGCAGACAGACAGCCTGAATAAAAATGGAAATATCTCAGGCTCTGCCAGCTTTACAGTTCACAGTTCTAGCCCCTTGTGGTGTCTGGCTATACAAATTATCTTTGACTTCTTCATAATATCCCTTGTTGTAGACTGCAAAAATGTCCCTACTACAGCTCCTGCCATCAAGAGGTGAATCTATGATATGGTTTGTATTTGTGTCCCCACCCAAATCTCATATTGAATTGTAATTCCCAATGTTGGAGGAGGGGCTTTGTTGGAGGTAATTGAATCATGGGGGTGGATTTCCCTCTGCTGTTCTCATGGTAGTGAGTGAGTTCTCACGAGATCTGGTTGTTTAAGTGTGCAGCACCTCCCCCTTCACTTTCTTGCTTTTTCTCCAGCCATGTAAGATGTGCCTGTTTCCCCTTTGCTTCTGCTATAATTGCAAGTTTCCTGAGGACTCCCCAGCCAATCTTTCTGTACAGACTATGGAACTGTGAGTCAATCAAGCATCTTTTCTTTATATATTACCCAGTCTCAGGTAGTTCTTTATAGCAATGTGAGAACAGACTAATACAATCTGTTTTCTGTTCCTTGAGTCTGGGCTGACCTTATGAATTATTTTGACTAATAGAATGTGACAGAAATGGAATCATGTGAGTTTTGAGTTTGAGTCTCAAGGACTTTGCTGCTTTCTTCACTGTACTTTTAGGAACCCTGTGAAGATGCCTAGTGTAGCATCCCGGATGTTGAGAGCCACATGGCCTAGTCCCTTCTAACCACTGATTCCTTTGCACTAGCTGACAGCCTGCCGACCCTTAGAAATGTGAGAACACAGTAGATCATCTGGCTTGTAACTGACCTGCCAGCTCATGCAGAGGCAGGAAAAATCTCAGCAGAGAAAACTACCCAGACAATCTCCAAAATTGACTTAAATAAAGAGAAAACTACCCAGATAATCTCCAAAACTGACTTAAATAAAGAGTGCCATTTTATGCCATTAAGTTTTGGGGTCATTTGTTATGAATTAATGTATCCTGGAACCCTTCCAGTAAACTCCTCCCAACATATTTTTTCCTTAAGCTAACTTAAAGTCTGTGGTTTTGTATCTGTGTATGTTTTTACTCACAACCAAAAGGATCTCGACTAAGAGAGAAATTGCATCAATAGAGAGAGCTACAGTTAACAAAGCTATGTAAAGAATATGAAACTGGTTGGCTGAGTCAGTCAAGGCAGCATGCAGAGAGGTTCACTTTATTTGCATTATATTGTAGTGAAGTACTTGATTTAGGAAGGAACCCATCCCAACAATAATGGAAGCCCATAAAACCTATTTATCCTACTCTTCACCTTTCTTGCAATCCTTGTCTTGCAGGATGCAATATATTCTCTGGTCTGGTAACCAATGTATGATGTTGCTGTGAAGATTTTTGCTTCTTGTAATCATTTTTTGAGTGGGAATGTTTGTGGTTTTACTGATAACTTTCTAATTTTACCATTCAATCATTATGTTGCAGAATAAAAAGAGAAAGCTATTTTTCTGAACAAAATGAAGCCTAATCTACAGAAAAGATGGACTATTCTGGGGATCATTCACTTTGAGAAGAGGGGCCCATTGATGACATTTTAGGATTCAGTTGCTAGATATGATTGATTGGATTATCCCCTTTAGGAAGGGGGTGAATGAGAGTGTAGTTCAGTGTAAGATGGTTAAGTCATATATGGCAGGGAGACCTTTTAATAAATGGGAAGAATGGTAGGGGTGTGTGTGTGTGTGTGTGTGTGTCTGTGTGTGTGTATGTGTAAGCCAAAAGGAAGAAAAGACAACTTTTTTGGGGTGTCTGTACAACACAGATCCCCCTTTTTCTGCATACTGTTCCCCTCCTGCTAAGACTAGATTCCCAGCACCTATGTTTGCACCATTGTTGATGGGCTAGGGATAGACAGCTAACTATAGCTGGGCCAAACTCCCTTTTTTTCTAGGAATTTGAACTGTGAGTGAGAGATGCTTGTTGGTTTTCTCTGTGAGTTGTTTGAATCTCGAAATTGAAACTAAGGAGCTATGGGACACCCACATTTAGCCACATGTGTGTAGAAATATTCAAAGCCAGTCTTGGAGAGAAAAAAGGGAAGAGAAAAATAAGGTTCTAGATTCCTGATAATTTCCTAGTAGCTAACTCTAGCTCTTGAGTTTCACCAAATATCCTGGCATCTTCTAACAAATTCCCTTCATGATTAAGGATAATTTAAAGTAGGCATCGTGTACTTGTAATCAAGAGAGTGTCAACTAAGGAAAGTTCACATCAGTGAGGAAGCAGTTATTATGAGTTTCTTAACAACAGTATAAAAATATATTTGCCAAGGCCTGGCTGCATCTAGCTTCTAGTTTATTTTCTGGTACTGTTGCCAATTGTCAATCTGGGGTCCAAATATACTGTGTGTTACTTAAAATTCAGGTGACATTCTTATTTGCATTATTCATTTATACTACTAGAACAAAAATATTTTTCTGCTTCTTAGGGGATATTTCAATAGACATATATATTTTTTTCTTTTAGTGAATTAAGTTTCGAATATATCCTTCATAAATCTGTAATTCAGTTTTCAAAAATGAGTATAAATATCAGTTAATACAAGCATGTTTTGTAAGGGAAACATTATCATCAGTTCAAAATATTATATCTGCTTGACAACAAATGCTCCTTTATCCTGTCTTTTTCCCTAGTGGTAATTGTTCTTGGAGTTTATAAATCAATAGAGTCACAGTTATTTACATAGGAAATAGAAAAGTTGCATCTTTTAAAGAAAAATATCAATTTAGATTTACTGATGATGCATAAAGTCTTTCAGAAGTCTAGTTTGAAAGTTATGCCATTTAAATTGATTTCTTACTTTGGAATCTAGGCAAAAAATTTAAAAGCTCTTCATGAAAAGAAAACAAATATTTCAAAGGCTGTGTTGGTAAAGTACGTAGTTAAAGGCTGATAAGAAGAGTTTCAAGCTAGCTTGATCAGTGTAGACAAGATAATACACTCAACCAAATAATGCATCCCGCCAAAACAGTTAGGAAGAAATTATCCGTATTAGTGATCCTCATTAACCAAATTAATTCTTGAACTGGTTACTCTTGTTTGTGTTATCAGCATCATGAGCCCTTTGATCATGACAAAGACTCACTATGGAATCTGAAAGAATGTCAATAATATTATCAAAATCATCATGACAAGGAAGGTTCTGCAATGAGGCATTGAACACTCCTCCCCAAATGGTGCTGAAAAATCTGAGCACTGGATCAATAAAAAGTTAAAAATAGACAAACCTTGCTTTATTATTAGAGAAGATGATCACCTTTGGAGAAGGGATGCAGCTCAATTTCAGTGTAGAAAAACAGATTTGAAAAAATCTTCCCAAGTTTGCCCCTGTTATAGATTTTTGGTTTACCCCAATGTGTATGGGCATTGTCATAGCATTTTAACCCCCAAAGGCACTTTTTATAGAATTTGGTCCAATTTACTCATCTAATGACAAAACTGAGGCCCAGGAAGATTTGATAGCCTTCTTAGGGTTATGAAACCAATTGGACACAACTTTAGAGCCAGTGATGAAGCAGGTCTTATTATTTTTGAGTGCTTATTATGTGGCAGGTACTATGCTAAGAATATTGCATACATTTTCTCATTTTGATTCTGACAATCCTATGATGTTTGTATTATCATTACATGATATTATTCTTATCACAGATAAGGAAACTGAGGCAGAGGGTAGTTAAGTACCTTGTTCAATACCTTTGCAGCCTAGAAGTGGCAGGGCTTTGTCTGAATTCCAACCTAACTGCTCCAAAGCTTAGGCTCCCACCCATTCCCCTAAGGCCATGGACCTTCCCACCACACTGTCATTCCTTCCGTGCACTTCATCTCTATCAGAACTTTGTAAGGCCTTACACAAAGGTTCTCTACTCAAAGAACAGTTTGCATTTTAATAACAGGCAATGTAGATATCTGAAAATATTTTTAAATAATAGAAGTTGAAAGGCAGCCTGGATGTGAATAGTATGACATTAAATATAAGATAACATGTACTTTTTCAAGAATAGTGAAATTTTGTATAATTCAAGGGAAATAACCTGACTCTTAATATTTAACAATGATTATGAATTTGAACATAATATTCTTGTTTAGAAAATGTTTTATTCACTCTGCATTCAGGTATTAGACTAACTTGTGATGGAAAATTTCACTATGCAGCTGTGTCTTCATTTGCCATATGCCACGTTCTCTCCAAGCCAGACATGATGAAATCTGATTTACATTTGGGAGAGACCAGCTGCCTCCCCAGTAAATACGTTCACTCAGTGCTTGGTTAGGTAACGGGAGCCTACTAACCAAGAGCCAAATGATTCAAGCATTCTGCAAAGAGCAACTGGTTTAATAGGAAGGTATATTAAAAAAGACAACAACACTGTGAAAGGTGCTAAATAAAACACAGTGAAAGGTATAGTTACTTGTTAAAGTAGAAATTATAATAATAAAATGTATTTTAATTTTAATTAAAATTAAATAAATGTAATTAAACTTATTATAATAAAAATCATAATTTTTAGTTACAAGTTGTGATAACCTATAATCCTACAGTAGCATCTGGTTATTGCTAGTAACTTAAATCTATTTTCTGGCCTCCTGGTCTACCTCAAAACTTTTGATAGAAATGTTCAATTATGTGGATGGAAACTTCTGAAAGCTTAATACTCAAATATATCATAAAGATGACGATAGGCTTAGCTCTTGAGAAAGAACAACAAGCAGAGAAAAGAGAAGACCTAAATTTGAATTTTAGCTTGGCTGCTAAATCTCTGCATGAGTGAAATAGGTCATTTACTCTCCTGCATTTTCTTTCTGCCTTCAAAATAACAACAGCAGCAGCAGCAGCAGGGACACACTTACGTAGTAATTAAAATATACCAGATACTGTTTTAAGCACTTTTTCACATATTAACTTACTTAACCCTGCAAAAACCTCTCTGAGGTGATAAGTATTAGCATTATTTTCATTTTATAGGTAGGGAAGCTGACTGGGGAAAGGTCATATAACCTTCCCTCGTTACACTGTCAGTGATGGAACTAGGATTCAGTTCCAGAATCTGTCTTAACTACAACTCATTTTCATCAATTGAGAGGGTAAAAATCTCTGGATTATTAAAGACCTTTTAAAAGACAAATGACAGAAATCTTCTTAAATTGGCATAAGTGAGAAGGAGACTTTACTTGCTCATGAAACTTCAGTGTCAAGTGTAGATCAGGCACAGGTGGATCCAGAAACTTAAATAATATACCCAAGAATCTTTCTCCATCTCTGGGCTCTTCCTTCCTCCATGTAAAGTTTTATCCTCAGGAGGCACTCCCCTTATGTTGGGTCCCTGCAGTTCCTGGCATGTATCCTTAAATCTCCAAATCCAATGTAGGTGATGGCACCTGAACACCTCTCAACTGAGCCTCATTGATTCCAATTGGTCTGCTTGGATCACGGCCTATCCCTGAACCAATCACAGTGCCCTGGAGAACAAGATGTTTGGATGGGCCTGGGTCCCATGTCACTCTTGGAGCCAAGGGTGCATTCAGTGTGACCTGAACGATATGGGCCAAAAACGACAGATGGCCACCCCAATTAGATTGTTACTTCAGCAATTTCCAGCATTAAAAGCCTGCAAATTTCTGCCAGTGGGAGGTGAGAGGAAGTGGTAGGGAAGAGGGAAGAGAAGACTGTGGTGTATATATTTATACTTGGATTACCAAACCTCATTTCCCCCTAGTGACTTCAAGGACTCCTTTGCTACTTTTACTAAGATAACTAGAATAATGAATGACAAAGACTTATGTAAAAATTTTCTTTTCATGCTATAATTTTACAGTATAAAAACTGACAACCACCTAAAAGTCCAATAGTAATGACTGGTTAAATAAGATATAGTATATCCATACAACAATATTATATACTTATTAGAAATGATGTTTTCAAATAATAATTACATGTGAAACTTATTAAATAGATAATGTTTGCAGCCATAAAAAAGAATGAGTTCATGTCCTTTGCAGGGACATGGATGAAGCTGGAAGCCATCATTCTCGGCAAACTAACACAGGAACAGAAAACCAAACACCACGTGTTCTCACTCATAAGTGGGAGTTGAACAATGAGAACACATGAACACAAGGAGGGGAACATCACACACTGGGGCCTGTCGCGGGGTGGAGGGTAAAGGGAGGGTGAGCATTAGGACAAATACCTAACGCATGCAGGGCTTAAAACCTAGATGACAGGTTGATAGGTGCAGTGAACCACCGTGGCACATGTACACCTATGTAACAAACCTGCACATTCTGCGTATGTATCACCAAACTTAAAGTAAAATTTTTTAAAAAAAGGAAAAGAAACTACTTCACAATTGTTGGAATTGATTTAAAAAATCTGAATTCAATTATTAACTATATTTCTTACAGTTCATCCAAATTCCACTTTGGATATAGTCAATATTTACTAATTTATGTTGTTGAATCAATAAATGGAAATATCATTTAAAAAATAATGTTAATTAGAGAAAGCAGAACACAAGAAAAGTATATAACATACTCCTGATTTCATTGAAAAAGAAACCACTCTTTTCTCCCTATAGAGAGGGAAAGCACTAAGGCAGAAATTCATCAAAGTATCAATAGTGGCTGCCTCTTGGTGGTGGCAATAAGAGTAACTTTAACTACATTTTTTATACTTTTCTGCATTTCCAAATTTTCTACAATGAACATGTGATATACTTATAAGCAGGAAAAAAAATCCCTTAAAGTGGTTGAGTGGAGGAGTTTGAACTTTACTTGTTTTGTATCTGCCAAATTTATGCCAATTTACAGTGAGAGAAGAAATGTAGATAACACAAGAATCAAACAAAAAGAACTCTTTGAGATAACCAAGAGTTGGTTTTATTTGCCTACTTCAAAAGGTTGTTTTGTGAGTTCTTAAGTAACTATAAATATTTATACAGGTGTTGCTACAATGCCAGAAAATTAAAATAATGAGGATAATTATTTATATTACAAAATATTAATGATATCACAAGATCACATAAGCATTGTACAATTCCACTAGATACATGGAAACCTTCTCTGTGCATTTTTTTTTTGAGACAGAGTTTCGCTCTTGTTGCCCAGGCTGGAGTGCAATGGCGCGATCTCGGCTCACCACAACCTCCGCCTCCTGGGTTCAAGCGATTCTCCTGCCTCAGCTTCCTGAGTAGCTGGGATTACAGCCATGTGCCACCACGCATGGCTAATTTTGTATTTTTAGTAGAGACAGGGTTTCTTCATGTTGGTCAGGCTGGTCTCAAACTCCTGACCTCAGGTGATCCGCCTGTCTTGGCTTCCCAAAGTACTGGGATTACAGGTGTGAGCCACCGTGCCCGGCCTCTGTGCATTTTAATTATGGTTCAGTTTCTAAAAATTCTGTTTGCAAGCCACTTTTCAGGGCAGCATATCTAATGTGTTCAGCAAGATAAGATTAAACCATATAAAGTTATTGTAAAACTTGGGGTAGCTGGATTTGATACATACACTTAAAACACAACTGACAAAAATCATATCTAGTTACTTCAGTTGTCCTCAAAGGACCATGGAGTAGAAGCTGAAACATATAGTCATCTTCATCATTGTCATTATGACCATCATCTCATTTTTTTAGATTTCAGCATAATTTTATATATAGCCATGCATCATACATTCTGAGAAATGCATTGTTAGGCCATTTCATCATTGTGTGAACATCAAGATGTGTACTTCCACAAACCTAGATGGTGTAGCCTACTGCACACCTAGGCTATGTGGCATAGCCTATTGCTTCTAGGCTACAAAGCCAGACAGCATGTTACTGTATTGAATACTGTAGGCAAATGTAACACAATAGTATTTGTGTATCTAAACGTAGAAAGGGTACAGTGAAAATATGGTATAAAGATAAAAAATGGGATACTTGTGTAGGGAACTTATCATGAATGGAGTTTGCAGGATTAGAAGCTGCTCTGGGTGAGTCAGTGAGTCAGTGTTGAGCGAATATGAAGGCCTAGTACATTACTGTACACTACTGTAGACTTTAAAAACACTGTACACTTAAGCTATACCTAATTTGTAAAAACCATTTTTTCTCTCTCCAATAATAAGTTAACCTTATCTTACTATAACTTTTTTACTTTATAAACTTTTTAATTAGGCCGGGTGTGGTGGCTCATGCCTGTAATACCAGCACTTTGGGAGGCCGAGGCAGGTAAACCACCTGAGGTCAGGAGATTGAGACCAGCCTGGCCAACATAGTGAATCCCCATCTCTACTAAAAATACAAAATTTAGCTGGGCATGGTGGCACATGCCTGTAATCCCAGTTACTTGGGAGGCTGAGGCAGGAGAATTGCTTGAAACTGGGGAGGCGGACGTTGCAGTGAACTGGGATCACCACGCCACTGCACTCCAGTCTGGGAGGCAAGAAAGAAACGTCATCTCAAAAAAACAAAAACAAAAACAAAAACAAAACAAAAAACCCCCAAACTTTTAAATTAAAAAAACCTTTTTGACTCTTTTTGTAATAGCACTTAGCTTAAAACACATTGTATAGCTATACAAAAATATTCTCATTATTTATAACATTATTTTATAAACTTTTTTCTATTTTTAAAACTTTAAATTTTTTCTTTCCTTTTCACACTTTTTTGTTAAAAACTAAGATACTCACGCCTGTAATCCCAGCACTTTGGGAGGCTGAGGCGGGCGAATCATTTGAGGTCGGGGGTTCAAGACCAGCATGGCCAATATGGTGAAATCCCGTCTCTACTAAAAATTCAAAAAATTAGCTGGGCATGGTGGTGAGTGCCTGTAATCCCAGCTACTAGGAAGCTGAGGTGGGAGAATTGCTTGAACCTGGGAGGCGGAGGTTGCAATGAGGTGAGATTGTGCTGCTGCACTCCAGCCTGGGCGACTGAGACTCTGTCTCAAACAAACAAACAAACAAACAAACAAAACTAAGATACAGACACATTAGCCTTAGCCTACACAGGCTCAGGATTATCAGTATCACTGTATCTATTTACACATCCTGTCCGTTGGAAGGTCCTTCGGGGCAATAACATGCATGGAGCTGTCATCTCCTGTAATAACAATGCTGTTTTCTGGGATACCTTCTGAAGGACCTGCCTGAGGCTGTTTTACAGTTAAACTTCTTTTCACTTTTTTTTTTTAATTAAGTAGGAACACACCCCAAAATAATGATAAAAAGTATAGTACAGTAAATGTATAAACCAGTAACAGTTGTTTATTATCAAGTATTATATACTATACATAATTGTATGTGCTATACTTTTATACAACTGGCAGCACAGGTTTGCTTACACCAGCCTCATCACAAGCACATGAGCGATACATTGTGCTACAACAACATTGCAATAGCGATGATGTCACTAGGCTGTAGGAATTTTTCAGCTCCATTATAATTTGTGGGACCACTGTCATATATGTGGTTTGTGGGTGACCAAAATATTGTCAATGTGCTGCATGGCTGTCTATTATCTATTTTATCCTGGTAAGTCTGTTATTATCATCACTTTCATGAGAGAACTAAGGTATGAAACAAATAAATGGCTTTTCCAAGGTCACACACACAGCAAGGTGTAAAATTCACATCTCTTAATCATTGATTTGCTGTTCTTATATCACTATCTATAAAGTGGAACTGGATTCTCAGCATTAATAAAACTAATAAAATCTTGATATTGTATAGAGCTTTATATTTTACAAATTCTTTGACAGATTATCTAATTTCAGTCTGAGAACATTACTATGAGATAAAACCACGAGGTGATACTGAATTGAGTCTTTATCAAACAGCTTCTGATGTCTTATATTGTGGCAGGCAGTATCTCAGGTGGCTCTCAATGATTTGGTTCCTGTAGGTATTCCTCCCACTGTGTAATCCCTTCCCCTTGAATTAGGCTGAAACTAGTGACTTGTCTCTAATGAGGAACACAGCAGAAGCCATGGGATATCACTTCTGATATCAGGTTACAAAAAGACCTTGGCTTCTATTTTGCTATCTTTCAATCTTAGCCCTTGCTCCAAGGACAGCAAGCTGCAACATCTGCATGAAGCACTCTGTTTTGTTAGTAGCCCTATAGAGAGGTCCATGTGGTAGCAAAAGAACGTCTCCAGCCAGCAGCCAGCTGGGACCTGAGGCTTGTCAACAGCCACGTGAGCGAGCTTGGAAGCGTTACCTTTCCCCAGTTGAGCCTTGAGATGTCTGCAGTCTCGGCTGAAACTTTGCAGCCTGTGAGTGACAGACCTGAGCCAGAGGACCTAGCTAAGCCATACCCAGATTCCCAACCCATGGAACTATGATCATAGAGATAATAAAAATCTGTTGCTTTAAGCCATTAGGTTTTGGGGTAATTTATTATTTAGCAATAATGAATACACACATTTAATCCTCATAAATAGCCCTATGACATAGTACTGTTATGTGAGCCCCAACAAATGAGGAAACTGAGGTTTAGAGATGTGAAAGCAGTTAATGAATGGCAGAGCTGGGATATGAACCTGGCTTTCTGGACTCGAGAGCTTGGGCTTGAGCCCCATGCTGTGTTACCCCCTAGTAGTATAACACAAGGTGCAGTTTGACATCACAGGTGACAATGAATCACAATAGCATATTCTGTTTTGAGAAACTTCCCTGAAAGGAGGCTGAGGTAGACAGGGCATGTATTATTGTCCCCATTGTAACGATGACAGACCATGCAGCTCATACAGCCAAGAGAATGGGGTATTAACCCAGGCCTTCTGACCCCAGGTCCGTAGAGTTGGGCCTGTGCTTCACTGCCACGCTGGCACTGTGGCACTCACTGTACATTCAGCAAGCCCTGAGGAAGCTGGCGGGAGCTTAGCTGACATGCACAGGGTAGGTCAGTTTGTTCTCTGGAGAGCATTCCATGAGATGCAAATATCTTCACACAGGCCTGGGTTAATACCCCATCCTCTTGGCTGTGTGTAGACCCTCTCACCCTTAGATTCAGACTCATTTTACTAAACAGGCAAAACATAGCTACAAATTTCATGTATTTTAATATAACAGGACTATGTGGTAATAGTAACAATACTATGTAATCATTAACTGTTAATTAAATGCATGCTAATGGTACATAAGTCTGAGAAAGGGTACTCAGTACACTTAATGCAATGTGAGAGATTATCTCAAAGCCAATGGGACCCGGCTGGACATCTTTTGTGCTGGAGAAATTACTCCATCTGCATCACAAGAGCATTGCCTCTGTCACCAAGCTGAAAGTAATCAAGTCTTGTGAGCTTTGAGACTTTTGCTTCCTCTAAAGTCATTTTTCATCCCTTCTTGGTAAGATGCTTCATTTATATGTAAGTCACCAAACCCTGGGGTCAGTACAGTCTGGTTCTCCAATGCCTCGGACATAAAGTAAAACCTTGATGGTCTTAGAAACAGGCTTACTGTATTGCAGAGAGGGTGAGGAGATTACATTGTTTTACCAGTTTACAATCTATGAAATAAAATATGCTTGCCAATATGAATGCATCTTGTAAATGATGTATTTGCTAATTATAAATTAAGTTACATATTTAATCCTTGATTTTTTAGAGCATTGTGTAAGGAATTGAATTAGGTTCAGAAGGAAAGAATGGTAAGAAAGTTAAAATGGCTCAAATGAAAGCATAATAAAAGAGGAAATCATGCTTCTTTCTTTGAATGTTAAATTATGATGAACTATATGGTAGGATAGTGTTTATGGATGACTGTATATCAAATTCTTGTGTTAGGTAACAAATACTTCCTTGACTAGGGCAGAGTTCAACATTAAAATTAGGACTATGTAATAAAGTTTAAAATGTAAGGTACTTAAGTAAGTATACAATTCTTGTTTACTTACAGGAAAGAATTAATTACAATGACAAACTACACTGTCAGAAATCATATAAGGATAAATATTACTGAATTCAGAGGGATGAGTTTGGAATGTGGAATCCTTTTCTGTAGGTTCTTCTTCCTCCATCTTCCTCAGATGAGGTGGGCTTTCCTTTCCCATTTTTCTTGGATGCTAACAGCATCTTTTATACCTCTCAGGCATGTTTTCTGCCCAACAGTGTACAAGCGTAATATAAATCCCTATGATTATATTGTCGCTAACCAGGCAAGCTATTGTAGCTAGCCACCTTACTGGGTTCTCTTATTCTTTCTAATGGCATTTTTATGTATCCCCTTGAATTTTCCTAGTAGCTAATTATTTAATCTGTCATTAATAATAAAACTTTTCCCTGACCAATATTTATAACACTTCCCTCCTTCCCTCCTTCCCTTCCTTCCTTCCTTCCTTCCTTTCTTCTTTCCTTCCTTCATTCCTTCCTTCCTTGCTCCCTTCCTCCCTCCCTAATGGGGTCATTAGGAGGATCTGAGAGTTTTAGAACTGCTAGCTGCTGCTGCTGGTAGCTATTTCTCAAAATATTTTCTTCTTGCTATAAAATGCTTTCCTTCTCATACCAGATTTCATAAAGACCTTCCATCTGGTCTGCACTGATAACTAGAATCCAGAGATGCTCATTCCTCTTACAACTTGTAGTTTAAAATGATCCAGATGCAGAAGGATTAGGTTTCATAGCTTCTTCTAAAGGATTTTGTCTTCCTAATCCTACAACTGCATGTGTTGAGAATTGATCAGCATGAGAGAGTGCTAACAATAAACCTATTAAAGTGTCCAGTTTTTCATTTGACGTGTTTTAGGGGAATACAACAATGGGATCAAAACACTGACATCTATTCAGGTAAGGACTGCAGTAAACCAGATAATCCACAGTGCATGAGACAAAATAAGAGAACTAAAAATGAAAGACAAAATTATAGTCAATCTGTATTAGAAAGAGGGTTCTCAAGAATTTTATCAATTTGTTGTGATCCGGGAATATGCCAATTGATTGAGTGATCTCTATAAATTCTGGTTCTCAGTTTCTTAATCCACAAAATGTGGGAACGAATAAAAAGTAGCTGGGATTTTGATGAAAGTCCTTTCATCACCAGGAAGATGAACTTTGGTAAGTTGACTGACCTAAGCCCCAAATTTTAGGGGCCACAATACTGGTTCTAGAAAATGATTCAGGGAGGAGAAAACAAGAGAGAAGTAAGTCACTCTAAAGTGCTGCTGCCCCATTTCTCTTCCCTGTTCATCTGTCCCCTCGTCACTTGTGACGGCACACTCATCTTCAATGTTTCCCTGGGGTTTATGTTCATATAATTTCACATGTAATAAAAATCTGGTAGGTGCAGAAGAAAGGAGCATAAAGCATGAGATGCTAAACTCACCTCTGCCTTGAGATGGCCTTGATAATTTACGGCATAAAAAGTAAGTTCCTATTTGGTAGAAATTCAGCTTTTGATCAGTCTCAAGCTTATTTTTTTGTGTAAATAAGCTTGTAGAAATAGAGGGAATGCTTTCCCACATTAGAGCGTTAGATTTGATCTTTCACTTTTAAAGGGTAGTGCAGAAATAGAATTCCAGGGTGGGCAATCAAAACAAACATGAAAAAAATGATCTGTGTGTAAAAGTGAGATGTAGGGAATTAGACTTGAGTAATGAGAAGATGACACAAAAGTTCAGGGCCTGAGGCTTTCTGCAAAGAGACCTACTTTCTTTTTCTTTCTTTTCTTTTCTTTTTTTGAGACAAGGCCTTGCTCTGTCACCTAGGCTGTAGTGCCGTGGCACAAACTTGGCTCACTGCAACTTTGGCTTTCTGGGCTCAAGCGATCCTCTCACTTCAACCTCCCAAGTAGCTGGGACTACAGGTACACACCACTATACTTGGCTCATTTTAAATTTTTTTGTAGAGATGAGTTCTCATTATTTTGCTCAGGCTGGTCTCGAACTCATGGGCTCATGTGATCCTCCTGCCTTGGCCTCCTAAAGTGTTGGAATTACAGGTGTGACCCATCATGCCTGGCTGAGATCTACTTTTCATTTGCAGCCTTGGTATCTTGGTGGTGGTGGGGGTAGCATATTGAGCCCACCTGGGGAATGGGTGGTGCTTGAGCCAGGTGGGGACAATGTGCTGTGAATGATATACCTTACTTCCCTCTTCAATAATAACCCCATCACGCAGCAGGAAATTGAAATATATTGCAGTGTTACCTGAACTAGAGGTGTGTCCTGGATTTTGTCTCTTCCTAGGCACCACTTCTGAAAAACGCTGACTTCGTTATCTTCCTCAAAAGAATGGAAACTTATTTACATGATTGTTGCTGACCAGGCATCGATAAGAAGAAATGGGGAGCAAATATTTTGTATAGACACCAGAATGGCTAATAAAGGTGACATCACGCTGAGTTGCAAGGTAGGCACCATTCCCTTGGGCAAATGTTGAGAGACATGAGCCATCGTTTCCATGCACTTGGTCTGGGACTAGGCCTTGAATGAAGTCATTATGGCAGAAGAGGAAAGAATGAAAACTTGATTTTACTATGCTTGTGATGCTGATTTCTGTGGAATTTAAAACTTGTTAGCTGGTGGATACACATTGTTAATTTGAATACTCTTCATTATAAAAATAATCTGCTAAGTTTTCATCCCTGGAAATTGTTATGAAAGCGAAAACAAGCACGTAAGGGAATATTTGAACATGCATATACCTAATGACCAGAGTCATGGCTACACTTTAAAAGGCTCCTTTCTAGCTCTGTTACTAGAAGTCTCAATTGAGATCTATAGCAATCCTTGGAGCTTCTGCAGCCCATGTCAGGTGATGATGACACAATAGTTAAGTTCTATCAACAATGATGAATCAGGATTTGAGTGAGTTTCTCTATATAGCTCTCTTAGTGATGAAATACCTCTATGCAGCAAAATAGTTAGTGGTGAGGTGCTATGCAATTTTAGAAATAAGCAACATACTCTGTTTTAAATATGATACAGAAACTGAGCTGAGTCCCACTTAGGAGGTGGGCTTCATCATCACAACTCCGTGGGCTGGAGGCTAAAGCTCTGAAGGGAGGAAAAACAGAGGCAGGCATATTTTGTGCATTTGTTAAATGGGCCTCAAATGCCTCCATTCATTTATTTGTTGAAGACAGGGTCATCTCATTTAATTCAGCAGGAAAGCAACTGTACCAGAAAGAGAAAAGCTGTCTCAATCTTCTCTGTATTTCAAAGGTATTTCACATATGCTCCTCATGAAGGAGACCGCACAGGGAATCAGACCCACGTGCCTGCTTTGCCTCTCTTGCGCAGGATTAAGTAAGGGAAGCCCCTGATTCACAAGTGCATCCTGGCTGTTTAAGGTTATGCATATTGTGTCTGAATGTACAACTATGATAAATATATATTCTGGAGCAATGTTAAATTCAGCTTAGGACGATGTACTGCTTAGAGCTTTGAGGGAAAACATAAGAATGATAAAATGAGCCTAAATTATTTTGGAAAAAACACTGCTCCCCCAACCCATTTGACGATCTATTATTTCCTCCTGGGCTGCTCCCTCCCCAAGAGATTTGGTGCAGGAGGCAAGGAAGGACAATAAGAAAGGTTAGGAAGAAACACCTTGGGATGCTGACACCATCTGCCTTATCCTTCTAACTCAAGGACAAGCAGCGTTGGGTTGAATACAAGGTCCTTTCTTCCAAAACTGGGCACAGGCAGAAATATACATATAGATGCAAAACCACTATGATCCTGTGATAGGAGCTGGAATCACTTCCCTTTAGACTCAATTTCCTTTCCTTTTCGTTAGGTAGGGGGTCAGCCTCTCACCTTGCAGTATTGGGTGGAGATGGCTTAAGACCAAACTTCTCATCTTAACTCTTACTTCCAAGATTTATTTTGTATTTTAAAAAAAATGAGCCTGCCTCATTACCTCCACACCTGGGCATTTTGTTTATCAGGACTGAGCACAGTATTATTTTCTGAGGGCTGGAGCAACAGTGCAGTCCTTTCTAATCAAAGGTTTTTTAATCAGCTGGCTTTGAAATCACACAGTTCTTCCGGGGTCCCTGGAGCACACCACCTCCCTGTGATTTCTACTCAAGTTTTCCCTGGCCCCCCCCAGCACCCGTTCCATACCTATTTAATCTTTAAGCTGCCTCTAATCCTTTTGCAAGGAAGCAGGATGAAATGCTCAAACCACAGTTATACACAATGTTGATTCTCAGGTTCACACATTTGAGGAATTGTTTGAACAAGAAATGCTCTCTGTACTATAATCCAGGGTGCAGGCACGGTGCCCGGGCGACCCTCAGTCTCCCTCCGACACCCCGCATCCCAACTCCCGCCGCCTTTGCGCCTCAAAGCTGGCAAACATCCCCAAGCCAGAGCTGGAGTACCTGGAGTGGGTGGGGGTAAGAAGGGAAGCCAAGGTCGTCCCGGAAGGTGTGCGCCCCTCACCTTGTGGACGGTGCGTGCAGCCGCGCCGCACTGGGCAAACCGGCACGTCCAGCTGGCTCCAGAAGTCTCACTCGGAACCCGCTCCTTTTTCTCCTGAGCTGGATCAGAGCACTGCTTCTCTCAACATTCGATTCTGGAGTACGTTGAGCCCAGGGCGTTCTCCCCGCCAGCGTCCTTGCCCGCGCCAGTGCCCGCCGGGGTGCGGCGAGACAGAACCTGGGAGCGCGGCGCGCCGGGCAGCCCGAGGCACCGCTGGTGGCAGGCGCTGCGCTTCGCCGAGTCTGGGCGCCTGGACTGGAAGAGGAGGCGAGAGGGAGAGAGCGGGGAAGAGGAGGAGGAGGAGCAGGAGCAGGAGCATGGGCAGGGGCAGTCTGCTAAATCATCTACGCAGGTCGCAGCCTCCCGGGACACCGTGAACGGAGAGGGGGGTGGTGGGTGTGGGATGAAAAGATGAGCCCGGGTGTGAGGCAGGTGGTATTGTGAACTGGAGGTCGCAGCTCCGAGGTACTCCAGGTCTTGCTTAGGTTATAAAAGAGAAATTCTGGAGCTGATGGCGCCTTAGGGCTCCCGGTTGCAGACACTAGAGGGCAGGGCTGTCCATGTTATAAACCGGGCCAGCGGGGTTGGAGGTGTGGGCAAGGGACTCACCTCCTGAGCCCCTTGCCGGCCACAGCCCTGGCGGAGAAGGGGAAAATAGATACAACAAGGGGGCAGACCCTACTCCCTTCTTCTGTAGCGAGCCTGGGTTGAGGAGGGAGAGGAACGGCGGGAGCAGTTGACGGGTTTGCACGCTTTCTCTACGCGGTTCCAATGGCAAACAGACCCTCTGGAGGTGCATTTCTTAGCCCTCCTCCAGGGGAGATTACAGTCAACATCCACAGGATGCCTCAAGGAGAGAGATTACAAGGAAGGGGTGAGGGAGAAGTGGACGAAAATTGGGGTGGGTCAAAGTGGAAGGGGGGAAGAGAGGTGGGGAAAGCAGTGAAGAAAAGGAGACGGAGAGTGGAGTGGTTGGGGCTGAAAGACCTGCTGAAGCAGCCTTGCCATTTTTTTTTTTTTTGAGGGAAGTCTACCTGGGCGCCATCTCAGGTTGTCAGAGGGCTTTGTGCTCTTCTGAGGGTGCCAGGGGCTGTTCTTTTTGTTGTTCTGCTGCCGCAAGGTCAGAAAAGTTAAGCTGGGAGGGACTTTGCAGAATCCTGGCATTGCTAAAAGAAGCTTCCTTACGGCTGGTTGGTTATTCTCTGTGGAGAACTTGGGTGACTCAACATTGAAGCCTAACATGGATTGAGCCCCTGCCATTGTAAAAAAGAAAATCAGATTGTTCAAACTAGCCATAAAATGAACTAGACAATCTTATGGAGACAGTATGATCTGTAGACAGCCTGATACACAAACCTTAGAGTTGAAAGGACCTTGGAAACCATGTAGGCAACTTGGGTAGCTGCCCCAAACACCTGCCTCACACTTTTCTTTCTGGTTTGTAGCCTTATGGCTGATTTGAAAAACACTTTAAGTTATTTATTTATTTTTTGAAGTTTGACAATTCTAAACCAAATGAAACCCTTCTTCAGTTCAAAAAGCGAGCCTGTGTGCCCTTCTCCTGCCTTCTAGAGCGCCTCTCAAGGCCAGCAGGGGTTGACTGATGGATTATCAGGGGAATTTCACTGAACAAGAGAAAGGAAGGTTGGTAAACTATAGTCTTAAATTGTGATTTGCTTCTGTTAATCCCATTAAACTGAGAATAGGCTTAAGTAGACTGAAGTCTAACAGGAGGATGAGGTGGAAATATGTTTTCCTACTAAAGATGACACATCTTGAAGTTTGTTTGATGATAAAGGTGTTATGTAAAAATAAGCAGAACAAGAATCATTCCTCATTTTAAAAAAGAATCTTATAGGACTGAAGATATTTTAGATATCCCAAGAGAGTAAGTAAGGACATTGTTCTACTCTTGCAAGTTTGGAGTTCCTCCAAAATATAAAGGAAATATGAGTTTGTTAAATTGCTTTATTTAAAATTGATTTACCTATTTTTTGGTTATTACAACATAAGGAACTATGGAAACAAATATTATACACTTGGAAACTTTCCTGAACATACCTCAGAATACCCGCTTTTTGGCAGATGTTCAGCTTTATGAAGTGTCTGATTATTTTCAAGCTATTAATTAACTTCTGGCATATATTCTACCAGTTTTAATAAAATCAATGCTCTCTTAATCAAGAGCTGCTAATTCAATTTGTATTACCCATTTGAGTTTCCAGTGGCCTCTATGAGTGCTTTAAGATTGCAGGTATATGTAAATCACATCCCCATTTCATAATAGAGAATTCCTTGTCAGTTAGAAAAACTATAAGGATTGCCTGGAGCCCTGGGCATCTGGCATAAAAAAGTCATCAACTTGCAGCGGGAACTCAAAAGTCACTATGAAGAAATTAACTTATCAAATCCACTCATTCATTAATTCAAAAAATGTTGGTAAATATCTACCACGTTTGAGGCATGGGGCAACTTCTAGGACTAAAATAATGAAGGAACAGTTTATTCTCTCAGTGGGAAGACTAATTCCCAAACTAGTAAATCCATTCCAGAGTAACAGTTTGGAGAAGGGGTAAGTACAGGATGTTATGGGAGCACAGAGGAGGGCAATCTAATCCAGGTTTTAGGACCAGGGAGTAATTTCTGGAAGTGGTACTGACAGTGGTGATGTGTATAGATGGTGGGGTGGTTGATAGTGGTTGGGAGAGGGAAAAATCATGAACAATGGATTCCCTCTATCTCCAAGACAATCCTAATTACATTTGTTAATTTTTCACTTGGATGCTGGAACTTCACATTAATAGATGAGGAAGCAAGCATGCACATGGTACATTTTTCTGCTAGAAGTAAGACTACAAGTTTTGTGAGGCAGGAGCTGTTTATAACTTGTTCATCACACGATTACAGAGAAGAATCAAGATTCTGGTTGACATTGTCTGTCATTTCCTACCTCCACCACGGAAGTGGGAATGAAACATGAAGGGAAGGCATTATGGTGGCGAGGGAGCTCACATTTCTGAGCTCACACCATCCTAGGTGCTCTCCATACATGATTCCACTAAACAATTTCAACAACCCTGTGACATGGTTCTCTCATTTTACTGTTGATTTCAAAGACTGAGCTTCAAATTGCATTTTATGTCTGTGGTGTGACAGAGGCTAGAGGGAGAGAATGAAATGTTTATAGGTAGGTTTCAACATTTGTCAGCTTTCAGGAAGTTATGCTATAGTAACCAAGCATAACCCCCAAATCTCAGTGGCTTGCTATGGTAGAAGTTAGTGGCTTGCTAATAAAAGTATTAGCTGTGGATTGTCTGCAGCTCCATTTGGGGATCCAGACTGATGAAGCCAGGCCATTTTTATGGTAGAGGGAAGAGTAACGGGGGAACATCACAATGGTTCTTAAAGCTTCAGCTGAATTATAAGATAAATCACTTATGCTTACATTCCATTGGCTAACCCAAATCATATGGCTAAGCCAGATGTCAACTGAATAAAAAGCAGGTTTCCTCCACTAGGAAGGATTCCAGGGAGGGCTTCTGTAAAGATGGGCCTGGGAGTCACAATATTTTGTGAATAAATTATTAAATTGACAACAATCTCCAGCAATGCTTTTGAATGAAGGCATTTTCACTATAAAATGTTTTATTTGTTGATACTATTCGCTGTGTTCACCGACCTCACGATACAGGGAGCAAAATAATGAATTTAGGTTTATTAGCTTAATCAACTAGAATATAGCTTAATTGGTTAGAATACATCATCTAGATCTAAACTGTTCAGGGAACAGTTGGCAAGGTGGCCTTGCACTGAGAAAAAGCTCTACTCTCTGGCCGAAAACTGGCTCGTACTCCTTGTTGGCATGTGCTAATATTTGTTCCCAGGAGGAAATAATTAAGGCAGACTTGGTAGAATAAAACCTCAAGCTCTAGTGGTCTTGACAGTGGTTCATGATCAACACATTTTTTTTCATCAAAAGTAATCATGAGAAGCAGCTCACTTACTCATGAGTAGAAATAGTTGATACATTTTCGATAACTATTTCTTGAACACCTCCAACCTGGAAGTTTGAAAGAGATATAGGACTTGGTCCCTTCTCTAAAGGAACTAAAAACCCAAGGTAGGAGAAGGCATTTACATGAATGACTACATGAAAGAGCTGAAGGAGCAGAGAAGCCTCTACGGAGGAATTGGGGCTTTGGAAAGATGTGTAGAGTCTGAGTAGGCCCTCTTGGTGTAGGGCTAATTTTTCTGTCTTCCTGCCCTCCAGTGCATGCTTCTCTTTGCTCCAGGGAGCTATCACTATGTGCCATGCATGTGCATCTGGGGACTCACCAGCCTAACCCTTTTCTCAAATGGACAGGCCAGAAGCCCTGTGTTATGACCATGTGGGCTAAACAATTATGTCCCTTTGCCCCTGTGTTCTTTTTTATTTTTCAGTTTTATGAATTTTTTATTTTTGTGGGTATATAGGAGGTATATATATTTTTGGAGTACATGAGTACTACAAGCATGCCATGTGAAATAAGCAAATCATGGAGAATGGGGTATCCATCCCCTCAAGCATTTATCCTTTGAATTACAAACAATTAAATTATACTCTTTATTTTAAAATGTACAATTAAGTATTATTGACTATAGTAACCCTGTTGTTCTATCAAATAGTAGGTCTTATTCACTCTTTCTGTTTTTTTGTACCCAAGTTCCTGTATTATTAAATAAATAACTTACAAGTGGAAACCATGAAGACACAAAAAACAAGCAGTGTGTAGATCAAGGTTTGGTAACTGGTGTGAAGGACAGGGGTGGCTGCTTTTGAAAGTGACACATCTATTCATGCATAGGCATTCTTGTAATGGAGAACTCCTTTGTTTCTGCCACTCTTGAGTCCTAGTCAAAGCTGTCAGTCCTTGTTATGTGTTCATAGGTGGCATTTGGTGATTTGGGAGGTGATTCGTCGATGTTAGGGCAGCGCCCTGCTTTCACCGTTCTGCTTGACAATATGTAGGCTGTTCATCAAGCATTCTGACTCTAGAGTGAAACTTCAGGGTTCAGATACCAGCTCCACTACTTACAGCAGAGTGACCTTAGGCCAACTTATTGTACATTTGTCTCAGTTTGCAACATCTCTAGAATGGGGATGATAAGTCTTGTACGAGGGTTTCTCACATGAGACAGTGCATTAAAGTTCATGGCACAGTGGCTGGCACACAGTAAGTAATGGGTGTTAGCTATTACTATGATCTTTTCCTTTTTATTTACTGTGTAAGAAGTAGATTCATTTCTCAGATTATTTTTAATGTCTGTGCCTCTGGTTTCTGGCTCTTTTCTTCCAGCCTGCATATAGAGCTTTTCTAGCCTAAATATTCCCTGTACCCCTCTCTACTCCCCGCTTTTCCTTGAATCTCTCTCTCATCTATATTATCTTTGCCTCTATTTACCATTACCATTTAATGTCATGAAAAGAAAAAGAATTCTTGGTCAGCATTTCTTCTTCCTTACCTCTCACTCGTTCCTCAATAAACTGAATATAGCTTCTGACTTAGTCATGCTACCAAATTTTTCTTGGGAAAATCATCAGTGACTTTGTATAATAACTCCCAAATTCAGAGGTTGATTTTCAGTTATTGTCCCCTTCATCAGTTTTAGCATTGCTTACCACAAGTCTTTCTTAAACTCTCTCTACCTTTGTAGAATGCACCTCTGCTGGTATTTCTATCTCTTGTACCATTATGTTTCAATTGCCTTTCCTGACTTTTCTTTCTTTGAGTTTAATTTAGGTATTGCTGCTTATACCTAGAACCTCTAATGTCAAAAATTCAGCAGACCCAGCCAATACTAATAATGAGTAAAAAGCAAACGAGTAAATGGAGGTAAGTGCCTGGATAAGAAGACTGAAGCATTCTTCTTCCTTTTTTTTTAGTGGAGAGAATTGGACAGAAGGTTCTAATGTTTATCTGACATTATAAATGTAGTAGAAATGTAAAGAAAACTTTGAAAAAGGAATTAACTGGAGGATAATTATCTTAGGTGAAGTAGTATAATCTATTATAAGAATAAAGTAATTTTTAAAAGGGAATACTGGCTGGACTTGGTGGCTCACGCCTGCAATCCCAGCACTTTGGGAGGCTGAGGCAGGCAGATCACTTGAGGTCAGGAGTTTGAGAGCAGCCTGGCCAACATGGTGAAACCCCATCTCTATTAAAAGAAAAAAAAATACAAAAATGAGCCAGGCATGGTGGTGTGTACCTATAGTCTCAGCCACTTGGGAGGCTGAGGCATGAGAATCACTTGAACCCGGAAGGCAGAGGTTGTGGTGAGCCGAGATCGCACCACTGCACCCCAGCCTGGGCGACAGAGCGGGACTCCATCTCAAAAAAAAAAAATTACCATAAAAAGACATCTAAAAAGCATAGAAAAGATAGCACAAAGAGAGGTCTTGAATATAGACAAACTTAACCCAGGATAGTAAGGTAACACAAAGCAGTGAAAAGAATAATAAATTGTGTGGCACTGTTCACAATAGCAAAGACTTGGAACCAACCCAAATGCTCATCAATGATAGACTGGATAAAGAAAATGTGGCACATATACACCATGGAATACTATGCAGCCATAAAAAGGATGAGTTCATGTCCTTTGCAGGGACATGGATGAAGCTGGAAACCATCATTCTCAGCAAACTAACACAGGAAGAGAAGACCAAACACTGCATGTTCTCACTCATGAGTGGGAGTTGAACAATGAGAACACATGGACACAGGGAGGGGAACATCACACACTGGGGTTTGTTGGGGGATGGAGGGCTAGGGGAGGGATAGCATTAGGAGAAATACCTAACGTAGATGACGGGTTGATGGGTGCAGCAAACCACCATGGCACATGTATACCTATGTAACAAACCTGCACGTTGTACACATGTACCCCAGAACTTCAATAATAAAAAAAAGAAATTAACAAAAAAGAAAACAATTCAAAATCCTCACATCATATGTAAATTACAACAAAATCCAAAGGGTGAAATAGTTAAATGTAAATAATTCAGGACAACAATAGAGAAACATTTGGGTATATATTCTCCAATATTTTGATAAGGAAGAACTTTTAAGCACTAGGCTTGGTATTTAAGGACATTTGGATCAGTAATTCTTTCTCCTTTAGCATCCAGAATTATAGAATTTTAATCATATTCATCATAATCTCAAGGCAAAACACACGAGAATACTTTGTTATTTTATACTAGTCTCAAGTTCTTCCTCCAAAGCTCCAGTGTAGCTTGTATTTGTTTCCCTTGTCTCTCTAGGATGGCAAAGTAGAAAATGCTGTTTCTCTTCTGCTAGCCACATCACTTCCCTTTTCTTGATTCTTATTCTGGAGATTTCTCTTCTCTGATTACTTTCAGCCCTAAAATACCTATTCATTGTCACCTCTAACTTTTCCCTCCATTCATATGCTACAATAGGCTGCACTATATTATACACTTTACTGTTTGGCAGTGTGCTTGGTATACAGGAGGTGCTCAATAAATACTTATTGAATGAGAATTTTCCAACCATATTTTAAAATCATTTTTTAAAAAATTGGCCTTTGAGTAGAGGTAACAATAATATATTATATCGTTTTAAATAGCTAGAAAGAGGATACTGAATATTTCCAACCACAAATAAATGATAAATATTTGAGATGATGGATATACTAATTACCCTGATATGACCACTATGCATTGTTTGTATCAAAACATCATTATGTACCCCATAAATATGTACAAGTATTATTTGTTGATTAAAAAATAAAATTAACCACCTGCCAAAAAATGGGCTTTCAAGTATTATTCTTTAGCTATTCTTTTGTTCATTCTTTTATTCATGAAGTAATGGAGAGCTGCATTAAAGTAATGGTAGCAGAGATCATGAAAAAGGTTAAGTATAATTCCTGATTTAGACAACTAGATAGAAGAAGTACTAGAGTTAAATTTTGAACCTCTTAAATTTGAGGATGCTGCAGGCCACCCAGCATAGTATCTGGTCAGCAGCTGGAGCTAGAGATAACTTTTTTTGGCGGGGGGGGGGGTCCCTAGGAATTGGCCCTTATGTGCATTTTGTGGTCTAGCTCCTCAAGCTGCATATCAGCATGATTATCCCCAGGATATTCTTTTATTCATCTCTCTGAGTTTTGTTGTTCTTTAACATATTTTTAATTTTTCTTTTTGGGCCTTGTTTGCCCTTAAATCTTTTCAATTTATTACTCACCCAAAGCTATTCACAACTCAGAGAAAGAAAAATGTTCCTTTGATCTTTAATCCCTTGTGGCTTTTTCTAGCTGACCTGTATGAGGGAAAAAGATGCTCCACTCTTTTTCTTGGCCTTGGAAGTTTTCCCTCTTGTATGAAAAAGGAGACTTCGGTATTGCCAAGACACTGCTCCCACTGGCCTGGCTCTTTAGGCCTTGTCATTTAGCAGCTGTAATGACCATGTGCAGTGCACTTTCTTACCAAAGCCCCAGAAAAACATCTGCTATCTGTCAGACTTGGCTTCTGCTGGAGAATTATTTAAACCTTTGTTTCTTTTAAACTTCCCCAACACATTTGGTACACAATAAATATTGAAGAATTAACAAAACATGGTAGAGTTTTTTTTTCCTACAGGAGAAAAAAACATGTTGAGCAAATACTAGGTACTTTACATATGTTATATTTAATCATCACAATCAAAACAAGTTTAGGAGATGGACATTATCATTTCCATTTTACAGACAGAGGAAAGGAGGAGTGCAGGTGTAAATACTTCGCCTGATGTCACACAGGTAGAATGTGGCTTAGCTGAGGCTTGAACCTGTGTCTGTACTAAGGCCTGTTCTTTTCCATCCCATTGCAGTGTGTTCCAGGATGGGCTAATAGAGCTCCAGGGAAAGCTGGGTTATGGGAGTGAGTGGACTGCACGTGGGAGGAAGGAAGAACTCAGGGTCACTAAAGGAGCAGCTTCCTGACCTGGGAGTATTTGGCAGGGTGAGTACATGTGGGGTAGACAAATCACAGAGTTCTTTAAAATGGGTTTATTATTTGTTTTTATTAATAATATTGTTAGTTTGTATAGAAACTTAGAATTTTCAAAGCACTTTCCCTATCTTCATAAAATCTGGCAATTCCAAATCATTTTCTAAGAAACATACTGTTTATGAAATAACATATCAGGTGATGATAACACTGTTACTTTATAGTTATTTATTATTTATTTTAATAATTTATTGAGGGATAATTTATATAACATAAAATTCACTCATTATGCATGTACAATTCAATGATTTTAGTACATTTCTAGAATTGTGCAGCCATCACCACAGTCTAGTTGTAGAATGTCTCTATCACTCTAAAAAGTTTCCTCATGCCCATTTTTGGTGACTCTCTACTCCCAAAACCATCCTAGGCAACCACTGGTATGTTTTATTTATTTATTTGTTTGTTTGTTTATTTATTTTGAGACAGAATTTTGCTCTTGTTGCCCAGGCTGGAGTGTAATGGCACGATCTCAGCTCACCACAACCTCTGCCTCCCGGGTTCAAGCGATTCTCCCGTCTCAGCCTCCCGAGTAGCTGGGATTACAGGCATGTACCACCACGCTCGGCTAATTTTGTGTTTTTAGTAGAGATGGGGTTTCTCTGTGTTGGTCAGGCTGGTCTCAGACTCCCGACCTCAGGTGATCCGCCTGTCTTGGCTTCCCATAGTGCTGGGATTATAGGTGTGAGCCACCGCGCCCCACCTGTTTTCTGTTTTATAAATTTGCCTTTTCTAGGCATTTCATATAAATATTCAGTCTTTGCGTCTAGCTTCTTTTACTCAGTGAAATGTCTTTGGATTCATCCATATGAACCATGTATCAGTAGTTCCTTTTTTTCAATTGCCAAAATGTTTTCCATTTATGGATATGCCATACTTTTAAAAATCATTCATCTGCTTGTGAACATTTGTATAATTCTTTCCCTTTAAATAGTACTTTGTAATTTACATATCACTTTGACATTCATTATATTAGTTGATCCTCACGAACCATGGGAAGAAGTGAAGACAGGTTGTTATTCTCACGTTATGACAATAGGATGATAATAGAGCCTGGCATTTATTGAACTCTTTCTATTTGCAGCACTGCTATAAACATGTTTCATGTATTGGCTCATTTAGTCCCTGCATCATCCTTGTGGGGAAAAGGCTATTATTGTCATCATCTTTTATATTGGTAGGCTGTTATGAAGAGGTTAAGTAACTTTCCCAAATCTGCAGCCAGTATGTGGCAAACTGGGGTTTGAAACCAGGCAATCTGGAACCAGCATCGAGGCCTAGAGAAGTTAGAAGATGACATGTTGAAGCCCTTTTAAGTGGTTTTATTTTCTTTTTCTCTTCATACATAAGTAAATGAAATTTATTTTTTAATTTATTTTATTTTTTTATTTTTATTTTATTTATTTTTATTTTTATTTTATTATTATTATACTTTAAGTTTTAGGGTACATGTGCACAATGTGCAGGTTAGTTACATATGTATACATGTGCCATGCTGGTGTGCTGCACCCATTAACTCGTCATGTAGCATTAGGTATATCTCCTAAAGCTATCCCTCCCCACTCCCTCTACCCCACAACAGTCCCCAGAGTGTAATGTTCCCCCTCCTGTGTCCATGTGTTCTCATTGTTCAATTCCCACCTATGAGTAAGAATATGCGGTGTTTGGTTTTTTGTTCTTGCGATAGTTTACTGAGAATGATGATTTCCAATTTCATCCATGTCCCTACAAAGGACATGAACTCATCATTTTTTATGGCTGCATAGTATTCCATGGTGTATATGTGCCACGTTTTCTTAATCCAGTCTACCATTGTTGGACATTTGGGTTGGTTCCAAGTCTTTGCTATTGTGAATAGTGCCGCAATAAACATACGTGTGCATGTGTCTTTATAGCAGCATGATTTATAGTCCTTTGGGTATATACCCAGTAATGGGATGGCTGGGTCAAATGGTATTTCTAGGTCTAGATCCCTGAGGAATCTCCACACTGACTTCCACAAAGTTTGAACTAGTTTACAGTCCCACCAACAGTGTAAAAGTGTTCCTATTTCTCCACATCCTCTCCAGCACCTGTTGTTTCCTGACTTTTTAATGATTGCCATTCTAACTGGTGTGAGATGGTATCTCATTGTGGTTTTGATTTGCATTTCTCTGATGGCCAGTGATGGTGAGCATTTTTTCATGTGTTTTTTGGCTGCATAAATGTCTTCTTTTGAGAAGTGTCTGTTCATATCCTTCGCCCACTTTTTGATGGGGTTGTTTGTTTTTTTCTTGTAAATTTGTTGGAGTTCATTGTAGATTCTGGATATTAGCCCTTTGTCGGATGAGTAGGTTGCGAAAATTTTCTCCCATTCTGTAGGTTGCCTGTTCACTCTGATGGTAGTTTCTTTTGCTGTGCAGAAGCTCTTTAGTTTAATTAGATCCCATTTGTCAATTTTGTCTTTTGTTGCCATTGCTTTTGGTGTTTTAGACATGAAGTCCTTGCCCATGCCTATGTCCTGAATGGTAATACCTAGGTTTTCTTCTAGGATTTTTATGGTTTTAGGTCTAACGTTTAAGTCTTTAATCCATTTTGAATTAATTTTTTATAAGGTGTAAGGAAGGGCTCCAGTTTCAGCTTTCTACATATGGCTAGCCAGTTTTCCCAGCACCATTTATTAAATAGGGAATCCTTTCCCCATTGCTTGTTTTTCTCAGGTTTGTCAAAGATCAGATAGTTGTAGGTACGTGGCGTTATTTCTGAGGGCTCTGTTCTGTTCCATTGATCTATATCTCTGTTTTGGTACCAGTACCATGCTGTTTTGGTTACTGTAGCCTTGTAGTATAGTTTGAAGTCAGGTAGTGTGATGCCTCCAGCTTTGTTCTTTTGGCTTAGGATTGACTTGGCAATGTGGGCTCTTTTTTGGTTCCATATGAACTTGAAAGTAGTTTTTTCCAATTCTGTGAAGAAAGTCATTGGTAGCTTGATGGGGATGGCATTGAATCTGTAAATTACCTTGGGCAGTATGGCCATTTTCATGATATTGATTCTTCCTACCCATGAGCATGGAATGTTCTTCCATTTGTTTGTATCCTCTTTTATTTCATTGAGCAGTGGTTTGTAGTTCTCCTTGAAGAGGTCCTTCCCGTCCCTTGTAAGTTGGATTCCTAGGTATTTTATTCTTTTTGAAGCAATTGTGAATGGCAGTTCACTCATGATTTGGCTCTCTGTTTGTCTGTTATTGGTGTATAAGAATGCTTGTGATTTTTGTACATTGATTTTGTATCCTGAGACTTTGCTGAAGTTGCTTATCAGCTTGAGATTTTGGGCTGAGACAATGGGGTTTTCTAGATATACAATCATGTCATCTGCAAACAGGGACAATTTGACTTCCTCTTTTCCTAATTGAATACCCTTTATTTCCTTCTCCTGCCTAATTGCCCTGGCCAGAACTTCCAACACTATGTTGAATAGGAGTGGTGAGAGAGGGCATCCCTGTCTTGTGCCAGTCTTCAAAGGGAATGCTTCCAGTTTTTGCCCATTCAGTATGATATTGGCTGTGGGTTTGTCATAGATAGCTCTTATTATTTTGAGATATGTCCCATCAATACCTAATTTATTGAGAGTTTTTAGCATGAAGGGTTGTTGAATTTTGTCAAAGGCCTTTTCTGCATCTATTGAGATAATCATGTGGTTTTTGTCTTTGGTTCTGTTTATATGCTGGATTACATTTATTGATTTGTGTATATTCAACCAGCCTTGCATCCCAGGGATGAAGCCCACTTGATCATGGTGGATAAGCTTTTTGATGTGCTGCCGGATTTGGTTTGCCAGTATTTTATTGAGGATTTTTGCATCAATGTTCATCAAGGATATTGGTCTAAAATTCTCTTTTTTGGTTGTGTCTCTGCCTGGCTTTGATATCAGGATGATGCTGGCCTCATAAAATGAGTTAGGGAGGATTTACTCTTTTTCTATTGATTAGAATAGTTTCAGAAGGAATGGTACCAGTTCCTCCTTGTACCTCTGGTAGAATTCGGCTGTGAATCCATCTGGTCCTGGACTCTTTTTTGTTGGTAAGCTATTGATTATTGCCACAATTTCAGAGCCTGTTATTGGTGTATTCAGAGATTCAACTTCTTCCTGGTTTAGTCTTGGGAGGGTGTATGTGTCGAGGAATTTATCCATTTCTTCTAGATTTTTTAGTTTATTTGTGTAGAGGTGTTTGTAGTATTCTCTGATGGTAGTTTGTATTTCTGTGGGATCAGTGGTGATATCCCCTTTATCATTTTTTATTGTGTCTATTTGCTTCTTTTCTCTTTTCTTCTTTATTAGTCTTGCTAGCGGTCTGTCAATTTTGTTGATCCTTTCAAAAAACCAGCTCCTGGATTCATTAATGTTTTGAAGGGTTTTTTGTGTCTCTATTTCCTTCAGTTCTGCTCTGATTTTAGTTATTTCTTGCCTTCTGCTAGCTTTTGAATGTGTTTGCTCTTGCTTTTCTAGTTCTTTTAATTGTGATGTTAGGGTGTCAATTTTGGATGTCTCCTGCTTTCTCTTGTGGGCATTTAGTGCTATAAATATCCCTCTACACACTGCTTTGAATGTGTCCCAGAGATTCTGGTATGTTGTGTCTTTGTTCTCGTTGGTTTCAAAGAACATCTTTATTTCTGCCTTCATTTCGTTATGTACCCAGTAGTTATTCAGGAGCAGGTTGTTCAGTTTCCACGTAGTTGAGTGGTTTTGAGTGAGTTTCTTAATCCTGAGGTCTAGTTTGATTGCACTGTGGTCTGAGAGACAGTTTGTTATAATTTCTGATCTTTTACATTTGCTGAGGAGAGCTTTACTTTGAACTATGTGGTCAATTTTGGAATAGGTGTGGTATGGTGCTGAAAAAAATGTATATTCTGTTGATTTGGGGTGGAGAGTTCTGTAGATGTCTATTAGGTCCGCTTGGTGCAGAGCTGAGTTGAATTCTTGGGTATCCTTGTTAACTTTCTGTCTCATTGATCTGTCTAATGTTGACAGTGGGGTGTTAAAGTCTCCCATTATTATGGTGTGGGAGTCTAAGTCTCTTTGTAGGTCACTCAGGACTTGCTTAATGAATCTGGGTGCTCCTGTATTGGGTGCATATATATTCAGGATAGTTAGCTCTTCTTGGTGAATTGATCCCTTTACCATTATGTAATGGCCTTCTTTGTCTCTTTTGATCTTTGTTGGTTTAAAGTCTGTTTTATCAGAGACTAGGATTGCAACCCCTGCCTTTTTTGTTTTCCATTTGCTTGGTAGATCTTCCTCCATCCTTTTATTTTGAGCCTATGTTTGTCTCTGCATGTAAGATGGGTTTCCTGAATACAGCACATTGATGGGTCTTGACTGTTTATCCAATTTGCCAGTCTGTGTCTTTTAATTGGAGTGTGTAGTCCACTTACATTAAAGTTAATATTGTTATGTGTGAATTTGATCCTGTCATTATGATGTTAGCTGGTTATTTTGCTCATTAGTTGATGCAGTTTCTTCCTAGCCTTGATGGTCTTTACAATTTGACATGATTTTGCAGTGGCTGGTACCGGTTTTTCCTTTCCATGTTTAGTGCTTCCTTCAGGAGCTCTTTTAGGGCAGGCCTGGTGGTGACAAAATCTCTCAGCATTTGCTTGTCTGTAAAGTATTTTATTTCTCCTTCACTTATGAAGCTTAGTTTGGCTGGATATGAAATTCTGGGTTGAAAATTCTTTTCTTTAAGAATGTTGAATATTGACCCCCACTCTCTTCTGGCTTGTAGAGTTTCTGCCAAGAGATCTGCTGTTAGTCTGATGTGCTTCCCTTTGAGGGTAACCCGACCTTTCTCTCTGGCTGCCCTTAACATTTTTTCCTTCATTTCAACTTTGGTGAATCTGACAATTATGTGTCTTGGAGTTGCTCTTCTTGAGGAGTATCTTTGTGGTGTTCTCTGTATTTCCTGAATCTGAACGTTGGCCTACCTTGCTAGATTGGGGAAGTTCTCCTGGATAATATCCTGCAGAGTGTTTTCCAACTTGGTTCCGGTCTCCCCGTCACTTTCATGTACACCAATCAGACTTAGATTTGATCTTTTCACATAGTCCCATATTTCTTGGAGGCTTTGTTCGTTTCTTTTTATTCTTTTTTCTCTAAACTTCCCTTCTTGCTTCATTTCATTCATTTCATCTTTCATCACTGATACCCTTTCTTCCAGTTGATCTCATCGGCTCCTGAGTCTTCTGCATTCTTCACGTAGCTCTCGAGCCTTGGCTTTCAGCTCCATCAGCTCCTTTAGGCACTTCTCTGTATTGGTTATTCTAGTTATACCTTCGTCTAAATTTTTTTCAAAGTTTTCAACTTCTTTGCCTTTGGTTTGAATTTCCTCCTGTAGCTTGGAGTAGTTTGATCTTCTGAAGCCTTCTTCTCTCAACTCGTCAAAGTCATTCTCCGTCCAGCTTTGTTCCGTTGCTGGAGAGGAGCTGCGTATCTTTGGAGGAGGAGAGGCGCTCTGCTTTTTAGAGTTTCCAGTTTTTCTGTTCTGTTTTTTCCTCATCTTTGTGGTTTTATCTACTTTTGGTCTTTGATGATGGTGATGTACAGATGGGTTCTTGGTGTGGATGTCCTTTCTGTTTGTTTGTTTTCCTTCTAACAGACAGGACCCTCAGCTGCAGGTCTGTTGGAGTTTGCTAGAGGTCCACTCCAGACCCTGTTTGCCTGGGTACCAGCAGCAGTGGCTGCAGGACAGCGGATTTTTGTGAACCACGAATGCTGCTGTCTGATCGTTCCTCTGGAATATTTGTCTCAGAGGAGTACCCGGCCGTGTGAGGTGTCAGTCTGCCCCTACTGGGGGGTGCCTCCCAGTTAGGCTGCTCCGGGGTCAGGGGTCAGGGACCCACTTGAGGATGCAGTCTGCCCGTTCTCAGATCTCCAGCTGCGTACTGGGAGAACCACTGCTCTCTTCAAAGCTGTTAGACAGAGACATTTAAGTCTGCAGAGGTTACTGCTGTCTTTTTGTTTGTCTGTGCCCTGCCCCCAGAGGTGGAGCCTACAGAGGCAGGCAGGCCTCCTTGAGCTGTGGTGGGCTCCACCCAGTTGGAGCTTCCCGGCTGCTTTGTTAACCTAAGCAAGCCTGGGCAATGGCGGGCCCCCCTCCCCCAGCCTGGCTGCCGCCTTGCAGTTTGATCTCAGACTGCTCTGCTAGCAATCAGCGAGACTCCATGGGCGTAGGACCCTCCGAGCCAGGTGTGGGATATAATCTCGTGGTGCGCCGTTTTTTAAGCCCATTGGAAAAGCGCAGTATTGGGGTGGGAGTGGCCCAATTTTCCAGGTGCCGTGTGTCACCCCTTTCTTTGACTAGGAAAGGGAACTCCCTGACCCCTTGCAGTTCCCGAGTGAGGCAATGCCTCGCCCTGCTTTGGCTTGTGTATGGTGCGCTGCACCCACTGTTCTGCACCCACTGTCTGGCACTCCCTAGTGAGATGAACCCGGTACCTCAGATGGAAATGCAGAAATCACCCGTCTTCTGTGTCGCTCACCCTGGGAGCTGTAGACCGGAGCTCTTCCTATTTGGCCATCTTGGCTCCCTCCCTAAATGAAATTTCTAAATTTATTCATCAGATCCCAGAAAATTTTAGAGAAATTAGACACCATAGACATTAGTGTACAATGTACTTCTTTATGTACAGATGAAGGATGAGAGCTTTTTTATGTACAGATGAGGGTTAATGTACAGTGTACTTCTTTATGAACAGATATGGACTGAGAAAAGCATGGTCCAGAGTCACATGCCTGGTCATTGATAGGGCCTGGATTAGAATCCAGTTCTGCTGTCTCCAAAGTTAGTACTTTTGTCATTAGCTTGCTTCTTAAAGATTTATGCAAAACCTTGTACAAAGATTTATACCAAATATAATGGGCATATTTAGGATCCTGGGAGAGAGAAAAGGGATGAGCCTGTATTGAGGGGAGGGCACTGAAATGGGAAGAAGCATGAAAGACATATACTTGCTTTTTCTGAGCTTGGTGTGCAAAAAATGCATGTGTGACAGGGCCCAAACTTTCTTCTGTTGCAACAAATCCTTGGATTCACAGGTGACTGGGCCAGTATGAGAATTCCACATAGATTCTGTGTCTGTACAGAGGGAATTGGCCACAATCTTTCCAAAAAGGCTTGGCATTGAAAAAAAAAAAAAGAGGTTTTTAAATTTAGCTGTTTCAGCTTTTGAAAACGATTATCAACAAGTACTTCCTCAAGTGAGTCTCTGGAAGGAAAATGGATCAAGTGAGTTTCCCATGAGAGCTTCTCTCAAAATTTTAGCTCTAGGAACTTCAGTGATCATAATTGCAGTGCTGTTTGTGGAATCCTGCAGTATTTTACCTTTCTCTTTGAATTAATGACTCCTTCCTCTCTCCTCACCTTGTGAAGAAGGGTCCCTGGTGTTATAGCTGAAATGGTCCCAGCCTTGGGATATGGTTTAAGCCTCAGGGCTGTGTTGCATATGGAGGGAGGTGTGTACACCACCCAGGATTGGGAGAGATTGCTGGTAGGGAACAAAGGCTGCAGAGCTGCCTCTCCCCAAACTCCAGGCTCCACATACACCCCAGCTTCAGCCGATTGCTTGACATCCCAGGCTCCAGAGACATAAATTCAAGGCTTGGTTTTGACCTTCTCATATTCCATTTTAAAAATATTTTTTAAAAATTATACTTTAAGTTCCAGGATACACATGCAGAATGCACAGGTTTGTTACATAGGTATACATGTGCCATGGTGGTTTGCTGCACCCGTCAACCCATCATCTAGGTTTTAAGCCCTGCATGGATTAGGTATTTGTCCTAATGCTCTCCCCTCCTTGCCCCCACCCCCGACAGGCTCCAGTGTGTGATGTTCCCCTGCCTGTGTCCATGTGTTCTCATTGTTCAACTCTCAATTATGAGTGAGAACGTGCAGTGTTTGGTTTTCTGTTCCTGTGTTAGTTTGCTGAGGATGATGGCTTACAGCTTCATCCATGTCCCTGCAAAGGACATGATCTTATTCTTTTTTATGGCTACATAGTATTCTGTGGCCACATTTTCTTTATCCAGTCTATCATTGATGGGCATTTGGGTTGGTTCCAAGTCTTTGCTATTGTAAATAGTGCTGCAATAAACATACACGTACATGTGTCTTTATAGTAGAATGATTTATAATCCTTTGGGTATATACCCAGTAATGGGATTGCTGTGACCTTCCCATATTCTTTTCTTATGAAGGAAAGGCCTATTCAGAGACTTGGGTTACTCATGAAAACTATGGGTTTCAAATGTGAAGGTAAAAAAAAAGTAAATAGATTAATCCAGAAAGAAAGTTTGAATACAAATACCTGAAGATCTATAACAGACCTGTTGAGAATGGATGCAGTGACTTACCAAGGGTTTTGTCTTGCTCTCGTGCATATCACCTGATTGACTGGAGGGTGGTGGGGGGGAGTTTCTTGTTCTTCAACAGAAAATTTCCACACACTGATTTCAATTCAACAGCCTGACTACTTTAAATTTATTTTACTTGTAAGAAAAAGGGTGGATAGGGAACAGGCAGCTTTGGGAGGAGGAGGAGAAAACACTTGAGGAGGGGATTTCATTTACTACCCTCTATTATTTCTGGATACCCTGGAGCAGTGGTTTCTAAACCTGGCTAGGCATCAGAATCATCTGGGGAATATGAAACAATGAAATGAGACAAAACAGAATCAGAGCCCACCCTAAACTTACTGAATCAAAATTCCTGAGACTGTGGCCCAGGAATTTGTAGTTTTTGAAGCTCGCCCAAATAATTCCTTAATCTGTTAAAAAGAAAATCAAAAGATTGCTGAAGACTCACATGCAATGTGTTTTCAAAATGGTGATTTTGTCTTAGGACAGGTTTTCTCAAACCGTTCATATTATGCAGCCCTTCCTTTACTCTGTCAAACATTCAGTGGTTGTGTTAATGTGCTCGGGCTGCCATAGCAAAATATCATTGAATGAGTGGCTTCAACAAAAGAAATTTATTTTCTCACAATTCTGGAGGCTGGGAAGTCCAAGATTAAGGTTCCAGGAGGCTTTAGTTTCTGGTGAGGGCTTCTCTTCCTAGCTTTTAGATAGCTGCCATTTCACTGTGTCCTCACATGGCAGAGAGTGAGCTCACTGGTATCTCTTCCTCTGTTATAAGGATGCTAGTTTTATTGGAACAGGGATCCACTTTTATGGCCTCATTTAACCTTAGTCACCTCCTTAAAGGCCTTATCTCCAATATAGTCACATGGAGCTTAGGGCTTCACCATATGAATTTTGGGGTGGGGGGCATGCACAATTCAGTCTATAACGGTGGTCTCCAAAGCCAATCTTGCTGTCAACAAATGAGATTGTCGACAACAATAACAATAAGACACACACATACACATAGAGTGTTTTCTAGCTTTTTTTCATTACTGTTTTCTTCATTACTTTGTTCTTTTCTTAGTATTGTTTTAAAGTTTTCAAAGGGAAAATTTAAAAATCAATAACATCAAGAATCAGTGGTCTTTAAAAAGTGTCAAAGTGATACAATCAATTGTTGAGCAGGACATATCAGAGAAGTCCTAGTAGTCTAGAATAATGGAGTAGATCGACTGCCTTTTGACTCTTGGACAGTTTCACAGACCTATATACTTTTATAATTTGTTTAGTAATTAAAGTTGTCATTTTGTAATTCAAGTAAAATGTTTTAAAATTAGCATATAATTAAAGATTATTTTATGAATTTCTTTTTAATAATAACCGTAATATACATGTCATAGGGTTGGGTTCCTCCTTCTCGTGCCTCACCCAATTTCAGGAGCTTAAAATATACCAAATTATGGGTAACTAAGGAGGCCTTTTAAAAGCAATTTAAAAGGTGCTAAAAAAAGAGACAGAGGCTTCCTTTTGTTTTGAAGCATAATTATAAATGGGATATGTCAAGAGAAGGTCTGCTTGAATAGTTTGAAGGTTCATCTTATCTCATAGATAACCCAGTCTGGGCCAGACCCTAAATGGAGCTCTTCCCACCCTATCCCACCCCACCTCTCTCATATCTGGAGATGCAGATGAGAAAAGAGATGGGCAAAACTGCTTTGAAAACTAAGAAGAGTATAAATAGGCTTGACCTGGTACAGTTGGTAAGCAAAAGGGGGTAAATGGACTTTGAGATTTAAAGGAGAGGAAAAGAATGAGAAGTTCAAAAACAGATGGGTTGTCTTACTGAGGAGAAGAAGTTGGCTATTTGAAGTGGCTTAGAGGCTCTAAACTGAAAGCTCCCTCTTCCTACCAGGTCTATGGAGAAGCTTCCAATGGAGAAGTTGAGTAATTTGGAGGCATGCCTCCCAAATACTCCCTGGGACCTCGAGTGGGAACACAAAAGTAAAGGACTGTTCTTCTGGACTTCTTTTGCTTTATTTATTGTTTATTATGCATGTATGTATTTATTTAGGTTATTGAATGAGACCTCCACTCTCTTTCGCTATTAAATGCGTAACATAGGTTTACATTATAAGGACAAGTTGTGACTTGTTTTCTTTTAGCTAGTGAGTCACCACTTAATTCTTTAAGTTAATTATGTAAAGAAAGCATGATTTGTTGAAATGGATTTTATAATGACATATTATGTTATGCTTGGTTTAAAATATTGACTAAAATTTAACTATATGTTGTGACCTAAAAATGGATCCCAAAGGCTTTCATGATTGATGTTGGAATTCTTGCATTTGTATTAAAAAAAAACTCCCTTATATTTTTGTGCATGCATGTGTGTGTGTGTGTGTGTGTGTGTGTGTGTGTGTGTGTGTGGACGGGGGCGTTTTGCATCTTAATAATGAGATAGAAAGAAAGGTTTAGGCTGTTATGTGCAACGCTTTTCTCTGCAAATAACTCAATGCTGTGAGAGTGGTTATTCCCAATAAGTGAGGGATCAAAATGAATTTAATATCACAATATTTTCTTGTTCAAACATTAGCTTTTGCTACATTATAGACATTTTGATGGCTAGATGAGTGCAAACTATGCATCTGAAAAAACTTAAAGACAATTTAAAACTCTCTTGGGATATGGTGGCTAGTTGTTTTCAGTTCAGTAAGAAAGCAACAGAATGACTGTGATGGTCATACCTGACATTCATCAATCACCATTTGTATGCATCTGATAGGGCCTGGAGGCCTTCAGACAGATCTGTTCTTAAGTACAAAAATTTAAGTAGTTGTTTTGCTTATTGATTTAGGGAAAGTAATAATCGAAACAGGAATCATAGCTGTCTTTAAGGACGTGAAACCCAAGAATGACTTCATGAAAGAGAAAATGATGAGCCAGTGAAATTTGTCAGTGTGATAGTTGTAAGAAGATAGAGGCCTGGCACTCTAGGAGACTGGTAATGCTTCATCAGTCATGAGAAATAAATTTTCTGTTACTTTAGGCTTACAGCAGGCAAAAGAAGTACCAACCAAAGCAACTTATATAGAACTTGTATTCTAAGTGTGTGCACCACTTCACATGGATTTTTTTTCCATTTAACTTTTCCAAGGACACCCAGAGGAAATTCTTGTTATCTTTTATTAACTTCATTTTATGATAAGGAAACCAAGGCCAAAAAGGGTAATACATTGCTCAAGGTCATATTGCTAGTAAGTGCAGGAGACAGCTTTCAAAGCCAGACATCATGACTCTAGAATACGAGCTCTATGCATATTCCAAATGTCATTTAATATGTAAATGGAATGTCAGATTTTATTGAGTGCATTATATGTGCTGCAAAGGGCATGGGGCAAGTTCCAGTGTGTCACTCGGTGCAGGTGGCACTAATGAGTGGCAAGTCAGCAGTTGTGACACTCCTCTTATTTTTCTAGTATTCTGTGCTTGGCCTATGCTTCTGCAGGGGATCTCTACTTCCCATTGCTCTACGTTTTAATGGGGACAGAGTATGAGATGCCTGGTAAAATAGGAGAAAAATGGCTGTTTAAGGCATGTTGGGAATTGTCAGCTGCCCAGAACCTAGAGACTATTGGGGGTATCTGTCCCATGAGAAGTCAAGTTCTGGTGCAGTTCCTCTGACTGGAAAAAGGGAAAGCTATTGGTTTCAACTAGCTCATTGCTGACTGTATTAGTTTCCCAGGGTGCTATAACAAAGCAACACAATGGGTGGCTTAAAACAACAGAAATTCATTCTCTCACAGTTCTGAAGGCCAGAAGTTCAAATCAAGGCATTTTCATATGATGCTTCCTCCGAGACTTTGGGCAGAAGCTTCCTTGCCTTTTCCTAGCTTGTAGGGTGGCCAAAAATCCTTGACATTCTTTGATTTGCAGCTGTGTCATTCCAATCTCTGCCTCTGTTGTCACATGACATTCTCCCTATGTATCTCTGTCTTCACACGGCATTTTTCTCATCTTGTAGGATCACTAGTCATATTGGATTAGGGACCACTCTAATGACCTCATCTTAATTTGATTACATGAGCAAATAACTTATTTCTGAATGAGATCACACTCACAGGCGCTAGACACTGTGACTTTAACATATCTTTGTAGGGGACACAATTCAATCAATAACACTTGGCAACCCAGGAAGAGCTCCTAGGGTTCTGCACCAGACAATCGTCTTTGTCTCCTTGTTAACACAGCATGGTAACCTGCTAAGAAAACGGTCCCATAATTTAGACAACGTTATTAGTCAAATAAATCTTTAAACTAAAAAAGAAAATGTCCAGTTAATTTCTGCTTGAGGGCTATGCTTTTTTTTTTTAGGAGTAGGAAAAAGGAGGAAAAATGATAATCAGAATTATCATCTTCTTTATAAGCTAGGACCAGGTTGGTTAAGTGCCTGAGTTCAGAAGGGTTTTTCTATATCTATGAGAATACAAATGCAGGAATTGTGGAGTTAAAATTCTTGTTCTTAGTATAACCTTGGACATTGATCTTGATGGTACCACTGAAAGGTTTCCTCCTTATTTTTAAGCTTTTACCAAGTCTCTGCAGTGTGCAGGAGTTCCAACAGAACAAATAAGATACTGTCCATCTTCAAATGACACTCACCCTTGTTTTCTCTTCAGAGGTAGAAAAATACCAGCAAAAACTATCTTTGCCTTTGGGCAAACATAGTTTAAAAGGATATAGTGTACCAAAGAAAAGAAAGGTAAGAGATAAACAGAGAGAATGAGAGAGAGAGAGAGAGAGAGAGAGAGAGAGAGAGAGAGAAATCCTAGCAAATAGTAACATTGCTGTTGTATTCATGTTAGTATATCCTGTTGCTTAGAGAGGTACTGATAATATATTTTTTGTTTCATTATTTTTTAGTACTTTTTTTAACACTTGAGTTCATTTTTGCTTCTAATCCCCTTTCAAAGCAAGGCATAATGTTCTTTGTCTTTGACTCAAGTTCATAAGCTGGCAGATCAAATTTATAATCCAGAGCTGATGGTTTAAAGGCTGAGATAACTGCACTGATGTGGAAGGTTGTTTGCTAAACCACCTGAGACTGTACCACATTTCACGATCACCTTGTCTAAAATTCAGAGGAAATTCTAGTACATTACCAGGCAAGGTAACGCAATCTGATGGACATAAATGAGAATGAGTAAAGACAATGTTTTGTGTCCTGTCTCTATTAAAGCTTGCAGAGAGTATATTATACAAATTGATGAAAAAAATTCAAAGTTGCTTAGGAAGCTTAGAAGAGCCTCTGTCTGTGTTTATTTTGGCATTTTCAACACATTCATAGTCACTTAATTATGTATTTGGGCAGATTTTAATCTCGATGGATGAGTCACAGATCTGACTCTTGTTGCTCCTTGATGCATTCATGATCTACCATGAAACAATTAGGGAAAGGAAAAAGGAAAGGTTTAAAAAGTTCTCAAGTGGCAAGGATAATCCATCATATGTGACCTAAGTCTTCAAATTGGTATTAGTCTAATTCTGTAGAAATACAAATAGAAGAGTTTTTCCAAACAAGCAGAGTTGACTCCGTTTTACCCCTGCCATCCCTGACTGCTGGTGAGCACTAAAGGGGCTTGCTAGTTTAGTCATCAACTTACTGCATTTTGCTTATTCACTCTCCTTAGTTGAACTTGTGCTGTTTCTTGAGTCCTGGCTGACTCCCTGGTTTAGTTTGGGGCATTGCTATATAACTCTTACTAAAACAGTGTTTTCAAACATCACCCATTGTTCTCTAAGAACCCTTGTTACTTATAGGACAAAGTTAGAATGTTTTTACTTTGTACTCAAGTCCCTACCCAACATGTCCCTTCATTTATGCCTGAAGCTTCAGTGAAACCAGTCCAGCTTTCTATGCACAGGCCACAGGACTTCTCACAGCCTTTTGTGTATGCTGTTTATACTGCTTGAAATAATCTTCAGTTAATTTAAATTCTACCTATCCCTCAAGCTTCACCTCCTTCATGAGGTATGTAAGAGCTATCTCTGAATTCTAGCTTTGTGATTATCTAACCTAAGTAATTTATTTGAAAAGACATAGACGTATTTTACATTTTTTTCTTCCCTTGACAAGTATCAAAGACCAGCATTAAAATATTTTGACTCAGAAAGTATTAAAGGTTATGAGGTAACATTATGTTGGTCAGAAGGGTAACCCAGAAGACTGCTTCTGATTGAATTAACTTGTCATTAGTCTAGCCAACAGCAGCTAGACCTCCTAAGGAGAAAGAAAACCAACAACAGATTTCCTCCCTTTCAGCACTTCTGATATAACTGCTTTAGGGTAGACTATTGAGTGCTAGTGAGCAGCTGGTTTTTTCTCTCTAAGATAGAAGTCAAGGGGGCAGGGACATTTTTCAAGGTTGTAGTCTTGGGCTGCTGCAGTAGCTTTATATGCATTTCAAAAACGATGATAGTACTCTGGCTTTTCTATAGATACATAATTCTAAAGCCTGAAAAGTCTCATTTTTAAAAAAGTTTTGGCTTTGGTGTTCTCTCCAATGGTTTAATTCAGCTTCAAGGCTGATCTCTTGAGGACACTTGAAATAATGGTTCCAGTGGGAAGTCATAATCTCGATCTGGTCGTTTTACAGACACCTCTTATTACTGCTTTTGTCCAAAGTATGAAAACAATGGTTGCTGTTGTAATTTGGAGGCTTCAAAATGGTTCTCTCTTTCAACTTTGATTGCAGCCCACAGGCAGAGAACAGATTTAAAGCTGTGTTCTCTTTAATTTCAGTTTGCAGACTTGATAATTATTAAGTTTATTTCTCCCTCACAGATTTTGCTAAAAGTGACAAGAAAGAGCCAAGAAATTGACCATTATTAATATGCTATTTTCCCTGACACTAGAGCCTCTATTCGTAGTACATGGACATTCTTCCAAAAAGCAGAGGCAGTATTGACCCAGTATTGTGCTATTCCATTATAAAGGTCACCAGCTTTTGAGCTTGTTTGCCTCTGCCTAGCTGTGATGCTTTTTCTTTTCAACTTTTATTTTAGATTCAGGGGGTACATGTGTAGTATTATTATTTGGGTATATTGCATGATGTTGAGGTTTGGGGTATGAATGATCCCATTGCTCAGTTACTGAGCATAGTGCACAATAGTTTTTCAATCCTTGCCCCTCTCACCACCTCCCCATTCTAATAGTCCCAATTTCTATTGTTGCCATATTTATGTCCATGACTACTATGTTGATCTTTATGTTTAGCTCCCACTTATAGGTGAGAACCTGTGGTTTCAGTTTTCTGTTCTTGTGTAAATTTGCTTAACATAAAGGCCCTCAGCTGCATTCATGTTCCTGCAAAGGACACAATTTCATTCTTTTTTTATGGCTTCATAGTATTCCATGGTGTGTATGTACATTTTCTTTATTCATTCCACCACCGATGGGTACCTGGGTTGATTCCATTTATTTGCTATTGTGCATAGTGCTATGATGAACATGTGAATGCATATGTCCTTTTGGTAGAATGATTTACTTTTTTTTGGATATATACTTAGTAACGGGATTTCTGGGTAAAATGGCAGTTCTAAGTTCTTTGAGAAATCTCCAAACTGCTTTCCTCTGTGGCAGAACTAATTTACGTCCCCACTGACAGTGTATAAATATTCCCTTTTCTTCACAGCCTTGCTAGCAACTGTTTTTTTTTAAACTTTTTTAAAAAAACAGTTTTTTTTTTTAGGTTCAGGGGTACACATGCAGATTTGTTATATAGGTAAATTATGTGTTATGGTGGTTTTGTGTACAGATTATTTCACCACCCAGGTAATAAGCATAGCACCTGATAGGTAGGTTTTCGATCCTCACTCTCCTCCCTCCCTTCACCCTAAGGCAGACTCTGGTGTCTGCGGTTCCCTTCCTCCCACATGTACACAATATTTAGCTCCTACTTATAAGTGAGGACACGTGGTATTTGGTTTTCTGTTCCTATGTTACTTTACTTAGGATAATGGCCTCCAGCTCTAATGTTGCTGCAAAAGACATGATTTCATTCTTTTTTTATAGCTGTGCAGTATTCCATGTGGCATATGTACCAAATTTTCTTTATCCAGCCTACCACTGATGGACATTTAGGTTGATTCTATGTCTTTGCTATTGCGGATAGTGCTATAATGAACATACATGTGCATGTGTCTTTACAGTAGAATGACTTATTTTCCTGTGGCTATAGACCCACTAATGAGATTGCTAGGTTGAGTGGTAATTCAGCTTTGATTTCTATGAGAAATTGCCCAACTGATTTCCACAATGGGTGAACTAATTTACAGTCCCACCAGCAATGTACAGGCATCCCCTTTTCTCTGCAACCTCACCAACATCTGTTATTTGTTGACTTTTTAATAATAGCCATTCTGTCTAGTGTGAGATAGTATCTCACTGTGGTTTTGATTTGCATTTCTCTGATGATTAGTGATGTGGAACATCTTTTTGTACGTTTGTTGCCCACTTGCATGTCTTCTTTTGAGAAGCACCTGTTCATGTCTTTTGCCTGTTTTTTAATTTTTTTTCCTGTTTGTTTTTTTTGAGATGGAGTCTCGCTCTGTCGCCCAGGCTGGAGTGCAGTGGTGCGATCTTGGCTCACTGCAAGCTCCGCCTCCTGGGTTCGCGCCATTCTCCTGCCTCAGCCTCCTGAGTAGCTGGGACTACAGGCGCCCACCACCACGCCTGGCTAATTTTTTTGTTGTTGTATTTTTAGTAGAGACGGGGTTTCACCGTGTTAGCCAGGATGGTCTCGATCTCCTGACCTCGTGATCCGCCCGCCTTGGCCTCCCAAAGTGCTGGGATTATAGGCGTGAGCCACTGCGCCAGACCTTTTTCTGTTTTTTTTTTTTTTTTTTTCTCATTCAGTTTAAGTTCCTTATAGATTCTGGATATTAGACCTTTGTTGGATGCATAGTTTGCTAATATTTTCTCCCATTCTGTAGGTCGTCTACTTATTCTGTTGGTAGTTTCTTTTGCTGTGCAGAAACCGTTTAATTGAATTAGGTCCCACTTGTCAATTTTTGTTTTTGTTGTAATTGCTTTTGAGGACTTACTCATAAATTCTTTTCCAAGGATAATGTCCAGATGGTGTTTTCAAAGCTTTTTTTCTAGAATTCTTATAGTTTGAGGTCTTACATTTAGAGCTTTAATTCATCTTGAGTTAATTTTTGTATATGGTGAAAGGATGGGGTCTAGTTTTTTTTTCTTCTGCATATGGCTAACCAGCTATCCCAGCACCATTTGTTGAATAGCTATTATTTTTGTTGACTTTCTTGAAGGTCAGATGGCTGTAGGTATGTGGTTTTATTTCTGGATTCTTTATTCTGTTTCATTGATCTATATGCCTGCTTTTCTACCAGTACCATGCTGTTTTGGTTACTGTAGACTTATAGCATAGTTTGAAGTCAGTTAATGTGGTGTCTCCAGCTTTATTCTTTTTGCTTTGAATTGCTTTGTCTATTCATGCTTTATTTTGATTTTATATTAAGTTTTCCTAGTTCTGTGAAAAATGATGTTGGCAGTTTGATAGAAATAGCATTGAATCTGTAGATTGCTTTGGGCTGTATGACCATTTTAATGCTATTGATTCTTCTAGTCCATGAGCATGGAATATTTTTCCATTTGTTTGTGTCTAATTGATTGGCTTGCATATGTTGAACTAACCTTGTATCCCAGGTAAAAAGTCTACTTGATTGTGGTAAATTAATTTTTTGATGTGCTGTTAAATTCTGTTTGCCAGTATTTTGTTGAGGATTTTTGTGTCAGTGTTTACTGGGGACATTGGCCTGTAGTTTTTGAGAAAATACTCTTATTTTTAGGAGATGCACAGTGAAGTAGAGGTAAAGTAATGATGCTTATAATTTATCTTGAAGCAGCTGAGTAAAAAGTTAAATACTGTAACATGGTCATCTATTTATCTATTGGTCTATCATCTATCAATCTATAAAATAGTCTGTCTTTCTATCTATCTGCTATCTATCTTTCTGAGAATAAGAGGAAGCCAATGTAGCAAATTGTTAAGAATTGATTAATTTAGGTGAAGGGTATGTGGTTGATTATTGGCTTATTCTTTCAACTTTTAAGTACCTTTGAAAAATAGCTGTAATCTAAGATTTAGGAAATATTAGCAGGTTGACAGAAAGCAGGAAACTATTAAAAATGCTTAATTCACTCAGAATTTTCTGTGAAATGACTATGTTTAACTGCTGCTCTTTTTTCCCTAAGAATTGATCATGTCTTAATATCCGCTATGTTTTATTGTTAAATTATCTGTTCCCCCAGCTAGGAATGAGCTCTGTGGAGCAATAATTTTGATTTTCAGCTACTAATATCCCCCAGTTCCTTGAATGGTACCTGGCACTGTTAGATGCTCAAGAAAAATATCTATTGAGTAAAATAAAAAGAAAGAAAATACAGGCAAGAAAATAAACTGGAATTAACACAAGGTTCTTTCTATCTCTGAATCTTTTCTTTAATCTTTAATAATTCAAAATAATATAATTGGGCCATGCGCTAAACACTTCTACCCCTTATTTTGAGTACTTCTCTGGTATTATTTCTCTGATTTTTAAAATGTAAGGTCTTTAATATTTTACTTTTAAATATAAAAATTTAACATAAAAATATACATATTAAAAACATTACTTAGTGATAGAACATGTAAAGGCAGCAATCCACTATCCATTGCCACCTCCATGAAGAAGCAATAATTTTTAACTCCTTTATTTGCTTTATTTTCAGTGGTTATGTTCTTATTTACAATGATATGCTTATGCTATTATATTCTTATTTTTCAAATTGAGAGAGATGACTTATTGACTTCCTGTTTTCACTGGTAAAGATTTATCTGTTTAGGGACACCTCCCTCCCCTCCCATAGCCTTCCACATATATATACATATATGTGTACATATATGTAGATATATATACACACATAAATGTATATATACATATATGTATATATGTCACTTAAAGTAGGTATAGATATAGCTACTTCAAGATACATCTACTTTAAGTTATCAAAAATCAATATTTTCTTAAATACATTCATTTATTATATAGTTTAAAATTTTTCCTAATGTTTCTAAGTGTTCCTTCTTGTTTTGTCCAATTTCCATCCATGTACCTTTACATTTTTCTAAATTTTCTACATTTTGTATGAAAACTTATTTGACCTCCTCTCCTTTTTTCCCTGAAGGCCTGTTTTCTTTTGCTCTTGACTGTTGGCCTGATTGTTCTCTAGATTTGTTGTTCAGCTGCATATGGGGACTTCCCTTAGCCATTTTGTTAGATTGAACCATTTCAAGTTTCCTTACTTTTCTCTTTATGGTTAGCTCTATTATTTTCTTGAAGTATGTTGTTTAGAAATTCTTAAATTAACCTAAGCAGAATTTATTTAAATTTGTACATTTACAAATATATATTTATTTTATCTTACATTTGACTGATAATTTTGCAGAGTAGAAGATTAATTGCTGAAAATAATTTTCTCTCATATTTCTGAAGGTTCTGCTTGCCTGTCCTCTAGCAACATCCAGTGTTACTAATGAGAAACCCCAGGTCATTCTCATTCTTTGTCAAGTAACCTATATTTTCTCATTTGTTGTATTCAAATCTGGCATTATATACATTATAAAATTTCTAATAATGTGCCTCAGGTCTTTCTTTTTAACTCAGTTTTTTTAAATCAGTATTTTGGAGACTCAGTGGGAATTTTCAGTCTAGTGACTTTTCTATCTCTGAGAATTTCTCTAGTATTATTTCTCTGATAATTTGCCTCTTCCAATTGTTTTTTTGCTTCTGATACCCCTTTTAGCTGAAAGAATCAACATTCCATCCTTGTTTCATAGATGCCATATATTGACTACCTCCGAAGATTTAATCTATGGTATCAGAGAGCATCTTTTCTCTTGAGCCTCTCAATTTTCCTTGAGAAGGTGCCCTCTTGAGAATGGACACCTGGCTCCCAGGATTTTATACCTAGCGTGTAGAAGGTAAGGGGGAACACGAATGTTTCACATATGAACTTTTAACCAAAGCCCCTGCTCCAGCCCTGTGCCTCAACTCTACCTTACTTTGAATCTGGCTGAGCATTCACAAGATTTGATGAGGAAAATTGTCCCTCTGTAAGCAGTTTTGTTCATGTTTTTCTCCATTTTGATTAATCAGTTTCCAGAACCTTCCAACTCCTTTCCTTCTTCCAAATGTATTCTGAAATATATTTTTTGCCAATATCCACTTTCTTGTCTCTTATAACCTTTCATTTCTTGTTTTTATTGCCCTTATTTTTTTCTTTATTACAAATTTAGTGGAATCTTATACATATATTATATTTTGAGTTGTAATTCTATGTTATGTTACTTATTTTGTTGTTTAACTTTTTTCAGCTGTGGCCATTGGAAACTCTTTCATGTTGGCTCCTATGTCCAAGATCAGTCATTGGGTGTGCTAATTGCTACTAGGTTGTCTTTGCTTCTAGGCCTTCTCTGAGGACAGAGCTAGGTAACACACATAGGCACTAACCCTCGTATCTATATAGATGTATGTACACATATTTATAATTGTTATTATGTCTATCCATCTGTTTTTATATTAAGCTAAAAATGAGTTCATACTGATATCACTAATTCTAATCCAGCACTGCAAGATTCATTCTAGTCAGGGCAGTTTTTAAATAGTGCTGAGCTCATTAAACCATTCTACTCAAAGCCTCTCTAAGTTTTAAGAGAACACCAAAATTATTGTTGTCAGTTTGAAATTAATTATAAATCTATTTTATTACATGTTAGAACTATTTAACATGTTTCTTTTTATTTTGAGTACTTAACAAACCAAAAATGTATGTCTATTTTATGGGACTCAGGGCACTTTGACTTATTTAAAATTATTATGAAAATTTGTAGTTTACAGTTGTTTGCATTGTTAATTTAAGTGAGGCACAGATCCTTAATCTCTTTGTTTAAGCAAGGAATATTGCAGTTGTAGGTTTTACTACCTTCCTGCTTAAGGGAAAAGAGCTAAGTAGCAATAATTCTGTTCTGACTTTACAAAGAAAATTTACATGCATTTGTACCTTCTAGAACATAATGGTGTCAGGGTAACCAACCCTTTGAGCTTATCTAGGAGTAAGGGTTTTCCTGGGTTGTGGGACTTTCAGTGCTAAAACTAGAAAGGTCCTGGGCAAATAGGGAAGAGTTTGTACAAATATTAACTAGGAAAACAACTTTTTAAGGCAATCAATTACGATAGATTGTTTAGTTGCTAGAAGTTACTTTTACAGGGCATAGCAATTATCTTTGAAGCCTAAGTGTTTTACAAGATTTATTTGTTAGTAATTATGTTTCTATGTTAAATTTTATGTCACAAAACTAAATCTGCTTTTCTGCAACTGTAGTGGAGAGGAAATGTTATTTTCTTATTATCATTTGAATTATTTTTATTAGGAATTCAAATGACCTATAGTTTCAAGGCAAAGTGCTGGAATTCTATTAGTAAACATTAATAAAGAAAAGGCTGGCTTGAGAAGCTCAATCACGCAATGCAGAAAGAAAATGGGGCAGGCAATATCTTGCATCAGCCCTGTCCCTTAATTATAGGCATTTAGTCATATATGTGATTGATTTAATGCTAATTCCTTGACAGACACTGAACACCTATTATTATCTTGTTTCTGAGATTACAACTTACTTTTTGAGCTTGTTTAATAAATGTCTTTTCCACGATCATATCACTGCAAAAATGGCAAATATCAATATATTGTATATTCAAATCATTTCAAATTATATTTTAATTTTAAAAACCACTGATTTGCATCCATCTTAGACACAGTAATAAGGAAACTCTTTCATGGTGAAATGATTGTATCTCCTAGGAATGTGGAGGAAAAAAATGGGTGTAGGAAAAAGCTGAAGGAATTAAATGTGGGAACAGTGACCCCTTCTCCTCTCCAGAAGTATATGAGGATGGCACTGTGCCTGAGAGTGCTGGTGAGCTGTAGTAAAAACTCATCTATACAAAAATACAAAAATTGGCCAGGTGTGGTGGTGCACATCTGTAGTCCCAGCCTCCTATGGGTCTCAGAATCCTGACCTCAAGTGATCTGCCCGCCTCAGCCTCCCAAAGTGCTGGGACTACAGGTGTGAGCCACCATGCCCGGCCAGATGTTTGTTGAGTAACTGGAGAACATAAGGCTAGGAAGGACATTTCTCTGCTTTCTGATCACTGGGAGTCTACATATCTGATCTTCTAATTCTATTATGTTTTCTTTTTTAGTTGTTATTCAACATGAAAATGCTGATGAATCCATACTTGTTACACATAGATCTTAATATGAGGTGTGTCAAAAAAGATGACTACGTTTATGAGAATGAGCAGAAAAAGGAAATAAAATGTATTCAGGAAAAATGCTGATTTATATTTATTCTTTTATTAATTTTTAGTTCTTATGTACTGTATAATTAACTGGTTTGTTTAGAACTATGCACAATCATTAATTGGAATTAACTTAGGGTCCTTTAAATTTACTTATGCAGTTTCTCTTCTATTATTAAAGATTACTTAATTCAATTAGGTTTCAACTGTAAAATCAACTGGTAACTTAGCAACCAAATTTGGGTATTTTCCAGATATAGATAAACAGTGTTACAGGACAAAATCTCTAACTTTCTTGAAATAACAGTAGATTAAGGACAAAAAAACTTTCAATTAATAATCATTTATGAATTTATATGACAGATGCTGTATATGCTCAGTATCTAATTTTCTGCAGTAAATGTTATTTGCCTTATTCATTTGACATCTGTCTAATATATTGACTAGATATGTCAGAGATGGAGGGTCCACTCTACCTGGTCCCCCTCTCTTACTTTTAATAATATTTTAATAACAGACCTCTTGAGTCTTAGTTGGGCACATGGCTGCTCAGTTAGATATAACATTTCACATATTTCACAGACTCTCTTGCAGATAGCTGTGGCAGAGCAACTATATTCTGGACAACAGGATGAGAGCAGCAATGATTTGTGCAACTTCTGGGTCTTACAATATGATCTTTGTCATAATTCAGGTAGTTCTAATTAATTCATTTGAAATTTCTTTAAGATATATTATTCAAATCTATAATAAAGCAGGCTGACTCAATTATTCTCATTTAGTGAGATATTTGGTGTACTTACAATCATTCTAATACACTCAAATATATTTCTATATCATACAATATACATTATGCTATATACATTATATATACAGACTGTCTTCTACATTGTTATTAGAGAATAGTATGTATGTATGTATATATGTACTATTATATAGCTAATAAGAATAAATGAGTGACTACATATACCCATTACAAATAATTTCATTTTTACTAGCTTCATGTGCTAAGGACCATATAAAGAAATCTGTTGGTTTTCTATATGGTCCTAGATATTACTATCTTTTTTTAAAATAAATTTTAATTAAATAAAATAGTGATACATGATATAATGTGTAATACAGATTGTCATAAACAAATTTCTCACATAAGAATACTTCATTGTGATTCCTACGCTATCATAACAATGGTAAAGTTCTGTTTTTTTTTTTTTATTATACTTTAAGTTTTAGGGTACATGTGACATTGTGCAGGTTAGTTACATATGTATACATGTGCCATGCTGGTGCGCTGCACCCACTAACTCGTCATCTAGCATTAGGTATATCTCCCAATGCTATCCCTCCCCCCTCCCCCCACCCCACAACAGTCCCCAGAGTGTGATATTCCCCTTCCTGTGTCCATGTGATCTCATTGTTCAATTCCCACCTATGAGTGAGAATATGCGGTGTTTGGTTTTTTGTTCTTGCGATAGTTTACTGAGAATGATGCTTTCCAATTTCATCCATGTCCCTACAAAGGACATGAACTCATCATTTTTTATGGCTGCATAGTATTCCATGCTGTATATGTGCCACATTTTCTTAACCCAGTCTATCATTGTTGGGCATTTGGGTTGGTTCCAAGTCTTTGCTATTGTGAATAATGCCGCAATAAACATACGAGTTCATGTGTCTTTATAGCAGCATGATTTATAGTCCTTTGGGTATATACCCAGTAATGGGATGGCTGGGTCAAATGGTATTTCTAGTTCTAGATCCCTGAGGAATCACCACACTGACTTCCACAATGGTTGAACTAGTTTACAGTCACACCAACAGTGTAAAAGTGTTTCTATTTCTCCACATCCTCTCCAGCACCTGTTGTTTCCTGACTTTTTAATGATTGCCATTCTAACTGGTGTGAGATGGTATCTCATTGTGGTTTTGATTTGCATTTCTCTGATGGCCAGTGATGATGAGCATTTTTTCATGTGTCTTTTAGCTGCATAAATGTCTTCTTTTGAGAAGTGTCTGTTCATATCCTTCGCCCACTTTTTGATGGGGTTGTTTGTTTTTTTCTTGTAAATCTGTTTGAGTTCATTGTAGATTCTGGATATTAGCCCTTTGTCAGATGAGTAGGTTGCGAAAATTTTCTCCCATTTTGTAGGTTGCCTGTTCACTCTGATGGTGGTTTCTTTTGCTGTGCAGAAGCTCTTTAGTTTAATTAGATCCCATTTGTCAATTTTGTCTTTTGTTGCCATTGCTTTTGGAGTTTTAGACATGAAGTCCTTGCCCATGCCTATGTCCTGAATGGTAATGCCTAGGTTTTCTTCTAGGGTTTTTATGGTTTTAGGTCTAACGTTTAAGTCTTTAATCCATCTTGAATTGATTTTTGTATAAGGTGTAAGGAAGGGATCCAGTTTCAGCTTTCTACATATGGCTAGCCAGTTTTCCCAGCACCATTTATTAAATAGGGAATCCTTTCCCCATTTCTTGTTTTTGTCAGGTTTGTCAAAGATCAGATAATTGTAGATATGCGGCATTATTTCTGAGGGCTCTGTTCTGTTCCATTGATCTATATCTCTGTTTTGGTACCAGTACCATGCTGTTTTGGTTACTGTAGCCTTGTAGTATAGTTTGAAGTCAGGTAGTGTGATGCCTCCAGCTTTGTTCTTTTGGCTTAGGATTGACTTGGCGATGCGGGCTCTTTTTCGGTTCCATATGAACTTTTAAGTAGTTTTTTCCAATTCTGTGAAGAAAGGCCTTGGTAGCTTGATGGGGATGGCATTGAATCTGTAAATTACCTTGGGCAGTATGGCCATTTTCATGATATTGATTCTTCCTACCCATGAGCATGGAATGTTCTTCCATTTGTTTGTATCCTCTTTTATTTCCTTGAGCAGTGGTTTGTAGTTCTCCTTGAAGGGGTCCTTCACATCCCTTGTAAGTTGGATTCCTAGGTATTTTATTCTCTTTGAAGCAATTGTGAATGGGAGTTCACTCATGATTTGGCTCTCTGTTTGTCTGTTGTTGGTGTATAAGAATGCTTGTGATTTTTGTACTTGATTTTGTATCCTGAGACTTTGCTGAAGTTGCTTATCAGCTTAAGGAGATTTTGGGCTGAGACGATGGGGTTTTCTAGATATACAATCATGTCATCTGCAAACAGGGACAATTTGACTTCCTCTTTTCCTAATTGAATACCCTTTATTTCCTTCTCCTGCCTAATTGCCCTGGCCAGAACTTCCAACACTATGTTGAATAGGAGTGGTGAGAGAGGACACCCCTGTCTTGTGCCAGTTTTCAAAGGGAATGCTTCCAGTTTTTGCCCATTCAGTATGATATTGGCTGTGGGGTTGTCATAGATAGCTCTTATTACTTTGAAATAGGTCCCATCAATACCTAATTTATTGAGAGTTTTTAGCATGAAGCATTGTTGAATTTTGTCAAAGGCTTTTTCTGCATCTATTGAGATAATCATGTGTTTTTTGTCTTTGGCTCTGTTTATATGCTGGATTACATTTATTGATTTGCGTTTATTGAACCAGCCTTGCATCCCAGGGATGAAGCCCACTTGATCATGGTGGATAAGCTTTTTGATGTGCTGCTGGATTCGGTTTGCCAGTATTTTATTGAGGATTTTTGCATCAATGTTCATCAAGGATATTGGTCTAAAATTCTCTTTTTTGGTTGTTTCTCTGCCCGGCTTTGTTATCAGAATGATGCTGGCCTCATAAAATGAGTTAGGGAGGATTCCTTCTTTTTCTATTGATTGGAATAGTTTCAGAAGGAATGGTACCAGTTCCTCCTTGTACCTCTGGCAGAATTCGGCTGTGAATCCATCTGGTCCTGGACCCTTTTTGGTTGGTAAACTATTGATTATTGCCACAATTTCAGATCCTGTTATTGGTCTATTCAAAGATTCAACTTCTTCCTGGTTTAGTCTTGGGAGAGACACATACGTGTCGAGGAATTTATCCATTTCTGCTAGATTTTCTAGTTTATTTGCGTAGAGGTGTTTGTAGTATTCTCTGATGGTAGTTTGTATTTCTGTGGGATCGGTGGTGATATCCCCTTTATCATTTTTTACTGTGTCTATTTGATTCTTCTCTCTTTTTTTCTTTATTAGTCTTGCTAGCGGTCTATCAATTTTGTTGATCCTTTCAAAAAACCAGCTCCTGGATTCATTAATTTTTTGAAGGTTTTTTTGTGTCTCTATTTCCTTCAGTTCTGCTCTGATTTTAGTTATTTCTTGCCTTCTGCTAGCTTTTGAATGTGTTTGCTCTTGCTTTTCTAGTTCTCTTAATTGTGATGTTAGGGTGTAAATTTTGGATCTTTCCTGCTTTCTCTTGTGGGCATTTAGTGCTATAAATTTCCCTCTACACACTGCTTTGAATGCATCCCAGAGATTCTGGTATGTTGTGTCTTTGTTCTCGTTGGTTTCAAAGAACATCTTTATTTCTGCCTTCATTTCGTTATGTACTCAGTAGTCATTCAGGAGCAGGTTGTTCAGTTTCCATGTAGTTGAGCGGTTTTGAGTGAGTTTCTTAATCCTGAGTTCTAGTTTGATTGCACTGTGGTCTGAGAGATAGTTTGTTATAATCTCTGTTCTTTTACATTTGCTGAGGAGAGCTTTAATTCCAAGTATGTGGTCAATTTTGGAATAGGTGTGGTGTGGTGCTGAAAAAAATGTATATTCTGTTGATTTGGGGTGGAGAGTTCTGTAGATGTCTATTAGGTCCACTTGGTGCAGAGCTGAGTTCAATTCCTGGGTATCCTTGTTGACTTTCTGTCTCGTTGATCTGTCTAATGTTGACAGTGGGGTGTTAAAGTCTCCCATTATTAATGTGTGGGAGTCTAAGTCTCTTTGTAGGTCACTCAGGACTTGCTTTATGAATCTGGGTGCTCCTGTATTGGGTACATATATATTTAGGATAGTTAGCGCTTGTTGTTGAATTGATCCCTTTACCATTATGTAATGGCCTTCTTTGTCTCTTTTGATCTTTGTTGGTTTAAAGTCTGTTTTATCAGAGACTAGGATTGCGACCCCTGCCTTTTTTTGTTTTCCATTTGCTTGGTAGATCTTCCTCCATCCTTTCATTTTGAGCCTATGTGTGTCTCTGTATGTGAGATGGGTTTCCTGAATACAGCACACTGATGGGTCTTGACTGTTTATCCAATTTGCCAGTCTGTGTCTTTTAATTGGAGCATTTAGTCCATTTACATTTAAAGTTAATACTGTTATGTGTGAATCTGATCCTGTCACGATGATGTTAGCCGGTTATTTTGCTCGTTAGTTGATGCAGTTTCTTCCTAGTCTCGATGGTCTTTACATTTTGGCATGATTTTGCAGCGGCTGGTACTGGTTGTTCCTTTCCATGTTTAGCACTTCCTTCAGGAGCTCTTTTAGGGCAGGCCTGGTGGTGACAAAATCTCTCAGCATTTGCTTGTCTGTAGAGTATTTTATTTCTCCTTCACTTATGAAGCTTAGTTTGGCTGGATATGAAATTCTGGGTTGAAAATTCTTTTCTTTAAGAATGTTGAATATTGGCCCCCACTCTCTTCTGGCTTGTAGGGTTTCTGCCAAGAGATCCGCTGTTAGTCTGATGGGCTTCCCTTTGAGGGTAACCTGACCTTTCTCTCTGGCTGCCCTTAACATTTTTTCCTTCATTTCAACTTTGGTGAATCTGACAGTTATGTGTCTTGGAGTTGCTCTTCTTGAGGAGTATCTTTGTGACGTTCTCTGTATTTCCTGAATCTGAACGTTGGCCTGCCTTGCTAGATTGGGGAAGTTCTCCTGGATAATATCCTGCAGAGTGTTTTCCATCTTGGTTCCATTCTCCCCATCACTTTCAGGTACACCAATCAGACGTAGATTTGGTCTTTTCACATAGTCCCATATTTCTTGGAGGCTTTGCTCATTTCTTTTTATCCTTTTTTCTCTAAACTTCCCTTCTTGCTTCATTTCATTCATTTCATCTTCCGTTGCTGATACAGTTTCCTCCAGTTGATCGCATCAGCTCCTGAGGCTTCTGCATTCTTCATGTAGTTTTCGAGCCTTGGTTTTCAGCTCCATCAGCTCCTTTAAGCACTTCTCTGTATTGGTTATTCTAGTTATACATTCTTCTAAATTTTTTTCAAAGTTTTCAACTTCTTTGCCTTTGGTCTGAATGTCCTCCCATAGCTCAGAGTAATTTGATCGTCTGAAGCCTTCTCCTCTCAGCTCGTCAAAGTCATTCTCCATCCAGCTTTGTTGTGTTGCTGGTGAGGAACTGCGTTCTTTTAGAGGAGGAGAGGCACTCTGCTTTTTAGAGTTTCCAGTTTTTCTGTTCTGTTTTTTCCCCATCTTTGTGGTTTTATCTACTTTTGGTCTTTGATGATGGTGATGTACAGATGGGTTTTTGGTGTGGATGTCCTTTCCGTTAGTTAGTTTTCCTTCTAACAGACAGGACCGTCAGCTGCAGGTCTGTTGGAATACCCTGCCGTGTGAGGGGTCAGTGTGCCCCTGCTGGGGGGTGCCTCCCAGTTAGGCTGCTAGGGGGTCAGGGGTCAGAGACCCACTTGAGGAGGCAGTCTGCCCGTTCTCAGATCTCCAGCTGCGTGCTGGGAGAACCACTGCTCTCTTCAAAGCTGTCAGACAGGGACATTTAAGTCTGCAGAGGTTACTGCTTTCTTTTTGTTTGTCTGCGCCCTGCCTCCAGAGGTGGAGCCTACAGAGGCAGGCAGGCCTCCTTGAGCTGTGGTGGGCTCCACCCAGTTAGAGCTTCCCAGCTGCTTTGTTTACCTAAGCAAGCCTGGGCTATTGTGGGCGCCCCTCCCCCAGCCTCACTGCCACCTTGCAGTTTGATCTCAGACTGCTGTGCTAGCAATCAGCCAGACTCCGTGGGCGTAGGACACTCCGAGCCAGGTGCGGGATATAATCTCGTGATGCGCCGTTTTTTAAGCCGGTCTGAAAAGCGCAGTATTCGGGTGGGAGTGACCCGATTTTCCAGGTGCGTCAGTCACCCCTTTCTTTCACTCGGAAAGGGAACTCCCTGACCCCTTGCACTTCCCAAGTGAGGCAATGCCTTGCCCTGCTTTGGCTCACGCACAGTGCCCACACCCACTGACCTGCGCCCACTGTCTGGCACTCCCTAGTGAGATGAACCCGGTACCTCAGATGGAAATGCAGAAATCACCCTTCTTCTGCGTCGCTCACGCTGGGAGCTGTAGACCAGAGCTGTTCCTATTCGGCCATCTTCAAAACTAGACTTTTTGATATCACTAAAAATTGCTCTGCTCGACCCTCATAGTAGGTTAGCATGGGCTTTGTAAGTACAAAAAGTCTCTCTTTGTAGTTTAAGGGTGATGTCTTCTTTTTCTGCTGTGACCTTTTAATAAGAATCTCTTCCAAAATAATGTTAAAATTCATCTCCATCTTCTGATTACTCCTCCTGCCACTGAAGATCCCAGTATTCTGGCTGAAGCGTGGCTGCTGCGCGGACCTGGGGAGACTGCGAGGTGCAGTCTGCACCGTGGAGTCCGGAGCCTTGCGCCCATCTCCCATTTCTTGAGGAGCATCAGTGTCTGGTTCAATCACACCTTCTTTATCAATTTCTAGATCACTTTCCTCACTTGATGGTTCGTCTGCCTTTAAGTCTTCCTCCACCTTCTTACTGTCAGGTTTTTCTTCCTTGGTATTTTCTTCTGATTTAGCTTTCTGAGTAGCAGGTGGTACTTTACCTCCCATGCTCTCCACCCACTCCCTCAGGAAGTGCATTTCCTCGGTGTGCAGAATGCTCGGATCCTGCTTACACATTTTCACAAAGGCCCGAAGCTCGTTCACTTTGCGGGCGTCCATGGTAGGGAGGTGGTGGGCAAAGCTGGGGGGCTGTGGCCTGGTTCCAGGCCCAGGTGCTGGCTCAGCGTGACCGCGCAGAAGGGGGCAGCTCTGGATGCCCTTTGTTTCTTTCTGTTGTCTGATTGCTCTGGCTAGGGCTTCTAGTACTAGGTTGAAGAGGAGTGGTGAGAGTAGGCATCCTTATCTTGTTCCAGGTATCAGAGGAAATGCTTTCAACTTTTCCCCATTCAGTATAATGTTGGCTGTGGGTTTGTCATAGATGGCTTTTATTATGTTGAGGTGTTTCTTGTATGCCGATTTTGCTGAGAGTTTTAATCATAAGGGATGCTGGATTTTGTTGAATGCTTTTTCTGTATTTATTGAGATGATCATGTGATTTTTAAAAAGTTCTGTTTACGTGGCGTATCACGTTTATTGACTTGCATATGTTAAACCATCCCTGCATCCCTAGTACGAAACCCACTTGATCATGGCGGATTATCTTTTTGATATGTTGTTGGATTCGGTTAGCTAGTATTTTGTTAAGGATTTTAGCATCTATGTTTATCAGGGATTTTGGTCTGTAGTTTTCTTTTTTGGTTATGTCCTTTCCTGGTTTTGGTATTAGGGTGATGCTGGCTTCATAGAATGAATTAGGGAGGGATCACTCTTTCTCTATCTTGTGGAATAGTGTCAAAAGGATTGGTACCAATTCTTTGAACATCTGGTAGAATTCTGCTGTGAATCCATCTGGTCCTGGACTTTTTATGTTCGTAATTTTTAAATTACCATTTCAATCTCTCTGCTTGTTATTGGTCTGTTCAGGGTATCTAATTCTTCCTGATTTAAGCTAGGAGAGTTGTATTTTTTTTCAGGAATTTATCCGTCTCTTCTAGATTTTCTAGTTTTTATGCATAAAGATGTTTAGTAGCCGTGAATGATCTTTTGTGTTTCTGTGGTGTCAGTTGTAATATCTCCCACTTTGTTTCTTATTGAGCTTATTTGGATTTTGTCTTTTCTTTTCTTGGTTAATCTTCATAATTTTATCAATTTTATTTATCTTGTCAAAGAACCAGCTTTTTGTTTCATTTATCTTTTGGTATTTTTTTTTGTTTCAATTTCATTTGGATCTGCTCTGGTCTTGGTTATTTCCTTTCTTCTGCTGGGTTTGGGTTTGGTTTGTTCTTATTTCTCTAGTTCCTTGAGGTGTGACCTTAGATTGTTTGCACTCTTTCAGACTTTTTGATGTAGGCATTTAGGGATATGAACTTTCCTCTTAGTACCACCTTTGCTGTGTCCCAGAGGTTTTGATAGGTTGTGTCACTATTGTCATTCAGTTTGAAGAATTTTTTAAATTTCCATCTTGATTTGGTTTTTGACCCAGTGATCATTCAGGAGCAGGTTATTTAATTTCCACATATTTGCATGGTTTTGAAGACTCCTTTTGGAGTTGATTTCCAGTTTTATTCCACTGTGGTCTGAGAGAGTGCTTGCCATAATTTCAATTTTCTTAAATTTATTGAGGCTTGTTTTGTGGCCTATCATATGGTCTGTCTTGGAGAAAGTTCCACATGCTGTTGAATAGAATGTGTGTTCTGCAGTTGTTGGATGGAATGTTCTGTATATATCTGTTAAGTCCATTTGTTCCCAGACATAGTTTAAATCCATTGTTTTTTTTTGTTGACTTTCTGTCCTGATGACCTGTTCAGTGCTGTCAGTGGAGTGTTGAAATCCGCCATTATTATTGTGTTGCTGTCTGATTTCTTAGATCTATTAGTAATTGTTTTATAAATTTGGGACCTCTAGTGTTAGGTGCATATATGTTTAGGATTGTGGTATTTTCCTGTTGTACAAGGCCTTTTATTATTATATAGTGTCCCTCTTTGCCTTTTTAACTGCTGTTGCTTTAAATTTTATTTTGTCTGATATAAGAGCCACTCCTGCTTACTTTTGGTATCCATTTGCATAAAATGTCTTTTTCCATCCCTTTACCTTAAGTTTCTGTGAGTCCTTATGTGTTAGGTGAGTCACTTGTAGGCAGCAGATAGTTGGTGGGTGAATTCTTTTCCATTCTCCAATTCTGTATCTTTTAAGTGGATCATTTAGGCCATTCACATTCAATGTTAGTATTGAGATGTGAGGTAACATTCCATTCATTGTGCTATTTGTTGCCTGTGTACCTTGATTTTTTGTTTTTGTTTTTTAACTTGTATTTTTGTTTTATAGGTCCTGTACGATTTATACTTTAAAGAGGTTCTGTTTTGATGTGTTTTCAGTATTTGTTTCAAGATTTAGAGCTACTTTTAGCAGTTTTTATACTGGTGGCTTGGTAGTGGTGAATTCTCTCAGCATTTGTTTGTCTGAAAAAGACTGTATCTTTCCCTCATATATGAAGCTTAGTTTTGCTGGATACAAAATTCTTTTGTTTGAGGAGGCTGAAGATAGGGCCCCAATCCCTTCTAGCTTGTAGGATTTCTGCTGAGAAATCTGCTGTTAATCTGATAGGTTTTCTTCTTTAGGTTACCTGGTGCTTTTGTCTCAAAGCTCTTAAGATGATTTCCTTTGTCTTAACTTTAGATAACCTGACAATAATGTGCCTAGGTGATGATCTTTTTGCGTTGAACTTCCCAGGTGTTCTTTGTGCTTCCTGTATTTCAGTGTCTAGGTCTCTAGCAAAGCTGGGGAAGTTTTCCTTGATTATTTCCCCAAATATGTTTCCCAGACTTTTAGATTTCTCTTCTTCCTCAGGAACACCAATTATTCTTAGGTTTGGTTGTTTAACATAATCCCAGACTTCTTGGAAGCTTTGTTCATATTTTCTTATTCTTTTTTCTTTGTCTGTGTTGGATTGGGTTAATTCAAAGACCTTGTCTTAGAGCTCTGAATTTCTTTCTTCCGCTTGTTCAATTCTATTGCTGAGACTTTCCAGAGCATTTTGCATGTCTATAAGAGTGTCCATGTATGTGGTCAGTTTTGGAATAGGTGTGGTGTGGTGCTGAAAAAAATGTATATTCTGTTGATTTGGGGTGGAGAGTTCTGTAGATGTCTATTAGGTCCGCTTGGTGCAGAGCTGAGTTCAATTCCTGGGTGTCCTTGTTGACTTTCTGTCTCGTTGATCTATCTAATGTTGACAGTGGGGTGTTAAAGTCTCCCATTATTAATGTGTGGGAGTCTAAGTCTCTTTGTAGGTCACTCAGGACTTGCTTTATGAATCTTGTTGCTCCTCTATTGGGTGCATATATATTTAGGATAGTTAGCTCTTGTTGTTGAATTGATCCCTTTACCATTATGTAATGGCCTTCTTTGTCTCTTTTGATCTTTGTTGGTTTAAAGTCTGTTTTATCAGAGACTAGGATTGCAACCCCTGCCTTATTTGTTTTCCATTTGCTTGGTAGATCTTCCTCCATCCTTTTATTTTGAGCCTATGTGTGTCTCTGCATGTGAGATGGGTTTCCTGAATACAGCACACTGATGGGTCTTGACTGTTTATCCAATTTGCCAGTCTGTGTCTTTTAATTGGAGCATTTAGTCCATTTACATTTAAAGTTAATATTGTTATGTGTGAATTTGATCCTGTCATGATGATGTTAGCTGGTTATTTTGCTCGTTAGTTGATGCAGTTTCTTCCTAGTCTCGATGGTCTTTACATTTTGGCATGATTTTGCAGTGGCTGGTACCAGTTGTTCCTTTCCATGTTTAGTGCTTCCTTCAGGAGCTCTTTTAGGAGTTGTCACCTTGTGCTCTTTCAGACTTGACTTTTTGAGGTAGGCATTTAGCACTATAAACTTTCATCTTAGCACTGCTTTTTGCTGTATCCCAGAGGTTTTGATAACTTGTGTCATCATTATTATTAATTCAAAGAATTTTTAAATGTCCATCTTGATTTCATTGTTAACCCCAAAATAATTCAGGAGCAGATTATTTGTATAGTTCTAAGGGTTACTTTTGGAGTTGATTTTTAATTTTATTCTGCTGTGGTCTGAGAAAATACTTGATATGACTTCAATTTTTAAAAATTTATTGAGATTTGTTTTGTGGTCTATCATATGGTCTATCTTGGAGAATGTTCCATATGCTGATGAGCATGTATATTCTGCAGGTGTTAGGTAGAATTTTCTGTAAACATCTGTTAAACCCATTTGTGCCTGAGAGGCAGAGAGCTTTCTTGCTGACCTGGTCTTATCAGGGGGAAGGGTTGGATCCAACTCCAACTCAGTTCCACTGCCAGATCAGCAGGAAAGCTATCTACCTCTCAGGCACACTCCTGTCCCAGTGCTCTGGCTATTCATATCAGACAGGCACCTCTTTTTGTCTGTAGGAATGTTGATGTTTCAAGTAGAGAGCAATTGTGACTCTATTTCTCGTGCAAGCCTGAACCTGGAGGATGCTCCTCCTGTAGGTATGCGGTCACCCTGATATGTTCCAGAAAGGCTGTCTATAGTTGCACCCACACTAAGCTCCTGTGATAGAAGCCCCAACTGTGCTTGTGGTTGCGCACCAGGGAGGAAAGACATCCACTTCTCCAAGTCCCTTCATGTGTGCTAGGGCTGTCTGACTGTTGGATTAGAGCTGCAAAGTTTCCCTGCTGAACACAGCACTGCAATTGTGCTTCTGCTGAAACTTCCCACAAGCAGAAAGAACTGGTGCTGAAGGCCTGCTCTGTAGATTCTTTTGTCCTACAGGGTGTTTTCATGATGTGGTGTACTCCCCCTTCCATAGGAGTGGGAGTCCCTGGGAGCCAGACTACTGTGAGTGTTGTTGCTCCTCTGGATCTAGCCACCCAGTGAAGTTGCCACACTCCAGGTTGGTGTTGCAAGGGATCCACTGATGTGACTTCTCCTCAAGTCTCATTGATAATCTTAGTGTGTTGGCTTTCTCAAGTGCTGGTTATAGTAGTAATGAACTGGTCATGTGGACAGACTCAGGACCTCCTGGTTAGTCCAAGTGGTACAGGCAGTGGTGATAGCTGAGGTCATGCAGCTGTTTTCTCCTTCCTGGGCACAGTGTTATTCTACTAGGAGATGCTATAATGGTCTTTGTTGGTTGTCATCCAGCCAGTAGGTGGCACTTGCTAAAGAGCACCAGCTGGGGTAGTAGCAGTGGGATTTTTGCTTGCCTGCGTTGCCCTGGGTGGGTACTTTATTTCCTCAGGCAGTGGGTAAGGCCATAGAGCTCCCAAAAGTTTCTGTCCTTTGTGTTAAGCTACAAGGGTGGGTGGCAGGGCAAAGCCAGGTAGGGGCTGGGTCAGGTGGGTTTGCTTTCTGAGTCTCCATGTGCAGGGCAAGCAGCAGCCTCTGTGGGTTTTGGGGGATAGGGGTGGTTCTCAGGCCACTGGGTTGATGTTCTAGAGGGGAGTGTTGCTGCCTCTCCTGCACAGACAAGCTCACACAGAGAGTGGGGAGTAGCAGGTGGCAGTCAGCCCCACACGGATCCCATACACTTGGCAAGGCAGATCATCTCCTTCAGTGTTCCACTGGCAGCAGTGAGCTACGTTCTAGGCAGCCTGCACACAGAACTCGCAACTGCCCCAGGTCAAAACCTCTCCCTGTAAAGACAGCAACCACAGATTTCAGGCCACATACTTCCCAATCCACCTGCAAAGACTGGTGCCCAGCTTCTGCACTCACAGCTGCAGTCCACTTTTCACTTGTGTCCCCTCTTCCCCCAGCCCCCACCCATCCCTGGCCAAAGGAGTTTGTCCCCACCTGAGGTTATATCATGAAACCCAGGTGGGGGCTTCTTTCAACCTGTGACCACTACCTGAAATATTTGGCTGACTTCTGAAGGGTCTCCTATGATGACCAATTAGGAATGGCTTCCCTTGGTCTGTGCTGGAGATTGAGAGTACCCTCAAGGTTCTTCCCACTGGTTCTCTTACTTTTATATTCCAGGACTCTCCTTAAGTCAGTTTCTGTGCTCTATAGGGTTAAGGTCTTCCCCCATGGCTTGGACTTTCAGGCTCCCCCATAGGGGTGTATAGTCTGGAGGCAGTCTCTCCCCCTTTCACACTCTGGGGACTCACAATCCTTCACTTGAATTACAGTATAGGCTGTAGCCTATCGTTTCCTTCAAAGGATCTGTGGATTCCTTTGGTTTTCCTGTTTAGTTCCTGCATTGCTTCTTGAAAAAAACAGTTCACAGTGTGAATCTCTACATGCTACTTTGTCCTTCCAAGTGGGAGAAGTATGCTTGCAATGCCTCCATCTGCCACTTTGCGCGCACACACACACACACACACGCACACACACACACACACACGGCACATCTTTTAAGAAGGAAAAGTAAGGCCTTCCTATAACTTCCTGATGTTTTACTGGCCAGAACATTGTCACATGGCCACCATTTGCTGCAAAAGGATGTTTTCCAAAGTAAGTATTTTTCTGGATGCTGGCATCATTGCTGCCTTAAAGAAAGCCAGCTATTTCCAAGGAAGAAGCAGAGAAGTAATGTCTGCCATATTGGATGAACCAGCATAGAGAAGAGAGAGACTGAGGGGACTGGTGGGTCCATGCTCCATTTAGAAAAGTCTGGCTGCCATTATTTAGTGTTCTAGTTTTTCTAATCTTTTCAGAGAATGCAACAGTATAGATTTCTGTGAGAAATTTTCCGATTTCTAAAACATTGTGCAGATCAAATAAAATATTCTACCTGTCAAGTACAACCAGGTCGTGACCTTTGATTTAGGTCACTTAGGCTCAGGTTTATGAGATCAGACTGTGAATCCCAGGTGTTCTCTACTCTGCTGTATACTCTTTGTGGAACTGTGAAGTTGTCTGCCACAGATACAGAGATCCTGAGCATTTTGATGACATGCATAATACCTAGTACAGCCCAGTCCCTCCTGCTTAGAGAGCAGCATTTCTCTCTTATGTTTGTCATTCACATGGGCATCATTTCTGTGGCATGCTCTAAAAATGACTCAGCCTCTTGTTTTCTCAGTCCCAATGCCTGCTAGGAAACTTACCTACCTTTCCCAAATTTCAAGTAGCATTCTTTTTCCTATGTGTGCTTACCCAATTGACTCATGGTGGCAGCTGAATCTTCAGCAGTCTGATCTCAGATGTTGAAATGCACCAAAGGCCTTGAAGTAGTCCCAACTTGTCTGCCATTGATCACCTTCTTCATCCAGAGATCCTAATTTCTTAAGAAATATGATATCCATGGAAGCTGAGTTGCTAGAAGGCTTCATTTCTTCAGCTTCTTCAGTTTAGTGAACCCATCAAGAATTCTTAGAGTAGTATTCATTATTTCTCTCTGGCTCTGTGTAAATGTCTAAGAATGGCCACTTTGTATCTCTGTACCCTGTAATTGCAATATTCCTTCTGCCAGAGTAAAGGTGTTCCTTTTGCACAAATATGCAGTGAATATTTTGTCTGAGGCAAGGTGAGTATTGCACTTTGGCTCTAAATCTCTGATGGCTAGTAGCTGTCCAACTATAACACAAACAAGGCCAACCATTAAAGCTCACATTCGAGGAAATCTGGCATTTTATTCAAAAAAACCCCAAAATTTTGACTGCCTGCCCTTGAGAAAACACAAAGCCATTGTTTCATGTTTTTTCCATTTTTCTAGTTGTTCATGGCAGGGGGATAAATTCAGTAGTCCTTGTTTTTCCATCGTGGTCAGCAACATTGGTCAAAACCCAGAGTATATAGAGCTGTTTCCTGTCTTATAGTAGCAGCTCTTTTCCTCCCAGAAGTAGCTCTGTTATTTCTACTCTAAATATCATTAACATTTCTAGATTTTCTGGCTTTTCTTTTTCTTTCTACTACCTTGCCCAGTACCTCCATCAGTGTAATAAAAAGTTGAATAGCTGCTCAGACAACATGGGTACCTTCAACTCAGCAGGCGGAAGCTGCTGGGAGTGAGGCTGGGGCTCAGCCTTGGGGAGAAACAATATTTGTAATACTTCTTGTTGACTATCTGTCTCTGCCAGGAGGCGACTTGGTGACTTTAATTTCTATGAGGCTAGGGACCATGCCAGTGGTATTTACTTCTGTATACTGGATTCTTTGCTTATAAAAGGAATTCAACATGTGTTTTGAATGAATACATGTGGTAGGATAAGTGAATTAGTTGTATGCATAAATGGAGTTCCGGCAGAAACCTTCGAGAACCGCGTGTTAATGCTTTTTGAGGTTTTTGTCTTAGAAACACTATAACTTACAGATTAAAGCTTGCAATAATATTTCCTACACTAAAAACAATTCTAAGTTAATTGTTATTGGAGTTTGAGTTAATTTCTGATCTTATTACAATTATGCACTTCTTCATGAGAATAAGTTTTTTTGTTAATCACGTTTGGTAGAAGCATTAACATTTATTTGCTCACTGGGGAGACTATTTTATAAATATTCACAGACTTGAGACCCTAGTGACCTAAGAGGATGTCTAGCTTATAATTATGGAGTAGCTTAGCCACAGGGAGAATCAGGCTGATTGACAATTTTCAGAATTGTGTACTTAAACTCTGGCTTTGGAGAAGGAAAATGAAATATATATAAGGAAAAGGAATGTTGCTATTTTGAGTAAGTAAATGAGTCTCGGCAAGAAAGAAAAATCGTTAGCATTGCAAAAATCTACTTAGCTTACAAACTTCCTGTAACATTTACAAGACCCTTGAGGATTTGTTGTTTGCCTTTTGTAGAGGGAGAGAGAAAACTCAGGCTTTTGCAGTCTGTATGGCAGGCAATTTGAATATGTTATGTATTACTACATGGTCTCTCAGATGATGATATAAATAAAATTCGTTTCCAATGTAGAACAATATTCCAAATGCCCGGAACATTATAATCAAGCAATCACATTTGATTTTTTTTTTTTTTTTTTTAGGGTGAAGCAGGCACAGTGTATTAGATAATGAATACCACAAGAAATTGATGTCTTTCTTAAAGAACTTACAATCTTATTTCCTTTCAGACATGAGATGGTTAGATGATAAGACCTCACACTTATCAAATAGGTTCACATTTAAAGATGTTTAATAATTTGTGTCTATTTGCATTCAATGCCTTTAATGGCAAGCCTGAGCTTTTTTTTTTTTTTTTTGAGTGATATTTGTCCCTCCAGCCTTCTGCCTAACACTGGAGCTGGTCCTGTCTCTGTGCTACAGAAAGGCTAGATTCATAAGGTAGGATTACAACATGTTTGTATTGGAAGGGACCTTAGAGATAATCTTGTCTCACTCCTTCTCTGAGAGGTGGGGACACTGAGGTGCACAATGCATGGCAGAGGTTGGACTGGGTTCTTACTGAGTCAGGTTCTACCTGGGACTCCTGCTCTGCTTGTCTCTCCCTTTCCTGCCACACCTCAGGTTGAACTTCTAACCAGACACCAAGATCTGTCCATTTTATACCCTACACCTGTATGAATTCCATCTTTCCATTTGTTTTGCTGGTGTCATTTGATAAAATTCTGTCGTTTCTTACCTGGACTAAACAAAGAGCTCCTGACTGGCCTCCTTTGTGAAAACCTTTTAGTAATTCCCCTTTCCCACATAATTAAATTCAAGCTTCTTAGCATGATCTGTGAGGCCATGTGTGGTCTGGCCCCTGTTTACCTCCCCCAGGCTTTCACACTTTTGGAAGCAACAGTACCAGACTACTTGTGGTTTCCCAAGACCACCATGATGTGTCTGGCCCCTGAGCCCAGCACAGGCTCACAATGCCCCCTCATCTATGTAGCAATTCCCTATACAGCCTATGAAACTCTGGATAGGATGACTTCTCTAGGAAGCCATGAGACACACAAGCTCAGTATCTTTTTTCATCCTCTGTGAAGTTCTGTGCCTCCTACACGCTTACTATGACAACAATGATATTACCTGAGAGTATTTATTTGCTTTAGGTCTGTGTTTTCTTCTAGTACATAATGCTGTTTTCCTTGTAGTGTAATGGTTCTTGAGCATTTTTGTGTTCTTTTCTTAAAATTTAATGTCTTATGTGGTCGATATATGTCATTATATGTCCACATAGCTAGTTAGGTGGCCTGAAAATAAGTCTGTAAGTGAAGAATTATTCTAACTATAGGCAGGGTTACTTGGTGACAAGGGCTCTAATCACAATAAACTATCATGTGGCTAAAGACTGTAGTTGTATATTTTTACTTCGTGAGAAAAGTGATGATTATCAAAGATTAAGATAAGGAAAATTTCTAATTAGGTATTTGTGCTGGAGATGTGATATGTGAATATAAAAAAATTGATCATCAAAATATATTTAGAAAATGTCCCTCTTTACCTTTGGAATTATAATTATAATATGAGTGTCATTTAATGGGAATGAGAGATATATTATTTTTGAATAGACTTGCCAGGAATATATTTAATTTATTACTGGTCATGGTACTTTGAGCAAACTAGCATTTAATTAAGTTCAATAGAGATAAAATAATAGATTTTTAATGCCAACCAATGAAAAAGCATGACCTGAATTATCATTAGACAGTTTAGAGGCATATAAATATAAACTTAAAAAATACTCACTTCTGAATTTGAACTGACACTATACTTTGGAGCAGTGTTTAGTGTACCAAGTAGCCCACAGCTTTAAAGAATATGTTACATTTTCCAGTGAAATAACATAACTGAATATTTTTGAAATTTGAAGATATATATATCTCAGTTGCACTAGAATAATTATGTAGAAATTCTTTAATTATCAATTATACTTATAGATAATAGCACATGTAAAATAAGGACATATACTTGAAACACACTGAGTGAAAATTTAAGTATTATCTTAAAGAGACAAAAGTTAAATGGGCTAACTGCATGGCTAAATTAGATGTATGACAGAAATAGACTGGACATGGTGGTTCATGTCTGTAATTCCAGTGCTTTGGGAGGCCCAGAAGGGAAAATTTCTTGAGCCCAGGAATTCAAGACCAGCCTGGGCAACATAGGGAGACCCTATCTCTACAAAATTTTTTTAAAAATTAGCTCTGTATGTTGGCATATGCCTGTACTCAAGATTTGGTGGGAGGATCACTTGAGGTTGAGGCTGCAGTAAGGCATGATCGTACCACTGCACTCCAGCCTGGATGACAAAATGAGACCCTGTCTCAAAACAGAAACAAAAATGAAAGCAAACAACAACACCACCACCAAAAAGTCCTAGCCAGAGCAATTAGGCAAGAGAAAGAAATAAAAGGCATCCAAATAGGAAAAGAAGAAGTCAAGCTATCTCTTTTTGTGTACAACATGATTCTCTATTTAGAAAACCCTAATGACTGCCAAAAAGCTCCTGGAACTGATAAATGGCTTCAATGAAGTTTCAGGATATGAAATCAATGTACAAAGATCAGTGACCTTTCTATACACCAATAACATTCAAGCTGAGAGCCAAATCAAGAATGCAATCTCATTTATAATAGTCACACAAAAAATAAAATACTTAGGAAGACGTCTAACCAAGGAGGTGAAAGGTCTCTGTAAGAAGAACTACAAAACATGGCTAAAAGACATCATGAATGACAAAAACAAATGGAAAAATATTCCATGCTCATGGATTGGAAAATTCAATATCATTGAAATGGCCATACTGCTCAAAGCAATCTACAGATTCAATGCCATTCCTATAAAACTACTAATGTTATTTTTCACAGAACTAGCAAAAAGCTATTCTAAAATTCACTTAGAGCCAAAAAAGAGCCTGAATAACCAAAGCAATCCAAAGCAAAATGAATGCAAATTCAGGAAATACAGAGAACACCACTGAGATACTCCTCAAGAAGAACAACCCCAAGACACATAATTGTCATATTCTCCAAGGTTGAAACAAAAGAAAAACTTAAGGACAGCCAGAGAGAAGGGTCAAGTTACCTACAAAGGGAAGGCCACTAGACTAATAGTGGATCTCTCTGCAGAAACCTTACAAGTCAGAAGAGAGTGTGGGCCAATATTTGACATTCTTAAATAAAATAATTTTCAACCCAGAATTTCATATCCAGCCAAACTAAGCTTCATTAGTGAAGAAGAAATAAAATACTTCCAAGACAAGCAAATGCTGAGGGATTTTGTCACCACCAGGCCTGCCTTGCAAGAGCTCCTGAAGGAAGCACTAAATATGGAAAGGAAAAACTGGTATCAGCCACCACAAAAACATACCAAAATATAAAGACCAATGACACTATGAAGAAACTGTATCAACTAATGTGAAAAATAACCAGCTAGAATCAGGATGACATGATCAAATTCACACATAACAATATTAACCTTGAATGAAAAAGGGCTAAATGCCCCAATTAAAAGACACAGACTGGCAAATTGGATAAAGAGTCAAGACCTATCTGTGTGCTGTATTCAGGAGACCCACCTCACATGCAAAGACACACATAGTCTCAAAATAAAGGAATAGAGGAATATTTACCAAGCAAATGAAAAGCAAAAAAGAGCAGGGCTTGCAATCCTAGTCTCTGATAAAACAAACCAACTTTAAACCAACAAAAATTTAAAAAGATAAAGAATGGCATTACATAATGGTAAAGGGCTCAATTCAACAAGAAGAGCTAACTATCCTAAATATATATGCACCTAATACAGGAGCACCCAGATTCATAAAACAAGTTCTTAGAGACTTACAAAGAGACTTAGACTCCCACACAATAATAGTGGGAGACTTTAACACCCCACTGTCAATATTAGACAAATCAACAAAACAGAAAATTAACAAGGATATTGAGGACTTGAGCTCAGCTCTGGACCAAGCAGACCTAATGGACATCTACAGAACTTTCCACCCAAAATTAATAGAATATTCATTCTTCTCAGCACCACATCACACTTATTCTAAAATTGACCACATAATTGGAAGTAAAACACTCCTCAGCAAATGCAAAAAATGGAAATCGTAACAAACAGTCTCTCACACGACAGTGCAATCAAATTAGAACTCAGGATTAAGAAACTCACTCAAAGCTGCATATCTACTTGGAAACTGAACAACCTGCTCCTGAATGACTACTGGCTAAATAACAAAATTAAATAAATAAGTTCTTTGAAACCATTGAGAAAAAAGACAGAACATATTGGAATCTCTGGGACACAGCTAAAGCAGTGTTAAGAGGGAAATTTATAGCACTAAATGCCCACATTGGAAAGCAGGAATGATCTAAAATTGACACCCTAGCATCAAAAGTAAAAGAACTAGAGAAGCAAGAGCAAACAAATTCAAAAGCTAGCAGAAGACAAGAAATAACTAAGATCAGAGCAGAACTGAAGGAGAGAAACATGAAAAACCCTTCAAAAAATCAATAAATCCATGAGCTGGTTTTTCAAAAAGATTAACAAAATAGATAGACTGCTAGCCAGACTAATAAAGATGAAAAGAGAGAAGAATCAAATAGATACAATAAAAAATGATAAAGGGGATTCACCACTGATCCTATATAAATAAAACTAGCATCAGAGAATACTATAAACATTTCTACACAAATAAACTAGAAAAGCTAGAACAAATGGATAAATTCCTGGACACATACACCTTACCAAGACTAAACCAGGAAGAAGTTGAATCCCTGAATAGACCAGTAACAAGTTCTGAAATTGATGTAATAATTAAAAGCCTACCAACCAAAAAAAGCCCAGGACCAGACAAATTCACAGCTGAATTCCACTAGATGTACAAAGAAGAGCTGGTACCATTCTTCCTGAAACTATTCCAAACAATAGAAAAAGAGGGACTCCTCCCTACCTCATTTTATGAGGCCAGCATCATCCTGATACCCAAACCTGACAGAGACACAGCAAAAAACAAAATTTCAGTTCAATATCCCTGATGAACATTGATGTGAAAATCCTCAGTAAAATACTGGCAAACCAAATCTAGCAGCACATCAAAAGATGATCCACCACGATCAAGTTGGCTTCATCCCTGGGACGCAAGGCTGGTTCAACATTTGCAAATTGATAGATGTAATCCATCACATAAACTGAACCAATGACAAAAACCACGATTATCTCAATAGATGCATAAAAATTCTTTGATAAAATTTAACACCCTTTCATCCTAAAAACACTCAACAAACTAGGTACTGATTGAACATATCTCAAAATAATAAGAGCTATTTATGACAAACCCATAGTCAATATCATACTGAATGGACAAATGCTGGAAACATTCCCTTTGAAAACCATCACAAAACAAGGATGCCCTTTCTCACCACTCTTATTCAACATAGTATTGGAAGTGCAGCAAGGACAATCTGTCAAGAGAAAGAAGTAAAGGGTATTCAAATAGGAAGAGAGGCAGTCAAATTGTCTCTGTTTGCAGATGACATGATTGTACATTTAGAAAACTCCAATGTCTCAGCCCCAAAACTCCTTAAGCTGATAAGCAACTTCAGCAAAGTCTGGATACAAAATCAATGTGCAAAAATCACAAGCATTCCTACATACCAATAATAGTAAAAAAGAGAGCCAAATCATGAATGAACTACCATTCACAATTGCTACAAAGAAAATAAAATACCCAGGAATCCAACTTAACAAGGGATATGCAGAACCTCTTCAAGGAGAACTACAAACCTGCTCAAGGAAATAAGAGAGGGCACAAACAAATGGAAAAACATTCCATGCTCATGGATAGGAAGAATCAGTATCATGAAAATGGCCATACTGCCCAAGTAATTTATAGATTCAATGCTATTCCCATCAAGCTACCATTGACTTTCTTTACAGAGCTAGAAAAAGGTACTTTAAATTTCATATGGAACCAAAAAAGAGTTCGTATAGCCAAGACAATCCTAAGCAAAAAGAGCAAACCCGGAGACATCATTGTACTTGACTTCAAACTATGCTACAAGACTACAGTAACCCAAACAGCATGGTACTGGTACCAAAACAGATATATTGATGAATGGAACAGAACAGAGGCCTCAGAAATAACCCATCACATCTACAACCATCTGATCTTTGACAAACCTGACAAAAACAAGCAATGGGGAAAGGATTCCCTATTTAATAAATGGCGTTGGGAAAACTGGCTAGCCATATGCAGAAAACGGAAACTGGACCCCTTCCTTACTCCTTATACAAAAATTAACTCAAGATGGATTAAATACTTAAACATAAAACCTAAACCCCTAAAAACCCTAGAAGAAAACCTAGGCAGTACCAGTCAGGACCTAAGCATGGGCAAAGACTTCATGACTAAAACACCAAAACTAATTGCAAAACCCCCCATAATTGACAAATGGGATCTAATTAAACTAAAGAGCTTCTGCACAGCAAAATAAACTATCATCAGAGTGAACAGGCAACCTAAAAAATGGGAGAAAATTTTTGCAGTCTATTCATCTGACAAAGGTCTAATATCCAGAATCTACAAGGAACTTAACAAATTTATAAGAAAAAAAAAACAACCCCATGAAAAAGTGGGCAAAGGATATGAACAGACACTTCTCAAAAGAAGACATTTATGTGGCCAACAAACATTTGAAAAAAAGCTCATTATCACTTGTCATTAGAGAAATACAAATCAAAACCACAATGAGATACTATTTCATGCCAGTTAGAATGGAGATTGTTAAAAAGTCAGGAAACAACAGATGTTGGAGAGAATGTGGAGAAATAGGAATGCTTTTGCACTGTTGGTGGGAGTATAAATTATTTCAACCATTGTGGAAGACAGTGTGGTGATTCCTCAAGGATCTAGAACCAGAAATACCATTTGACCCAGCAATCCCATTACTGGGTATATACCCAAAGGATTATAAATCATTCTACTATAAAGACACATGCACACATATGTTTATTCCAGGACTATTCACAGTAGCAAGGACTTGGAACCAACCCAAATGCCCATCAACAACAGATTGGATACAGAAAATGTGGCACATATACAACATGGAATACTATGCAGCCATAAATCAGATGAGTTAATGTCCTTTGCAGGGACGTGGATAAAGCTGGAAGCCATCATTCTCAGCAAACTAACACAGAAACAGAAAAGCAAACACCGCATGTTCTCACTTATAAGTGGGAGTTGACCCATGGAATACATGAACACAGGGAGGGAAACATCACATGCCAGGGCCTGTTGGGGTATGGGGAGCAAGGAGGGGGAGAGCATTAGATAAACACCTAATGCATGCAGGGCTTAAAACCTAGATGATGGGTTGATGGGTGCAGCAAACCACCATGGCACATGTATACCTATGTAACAAATGTTCATATTCTGCACATGTATCCCAGCACTTGAAGTATAATAAAAAAAGAATTTATTATTTCCATGTTATCTAATTTGTTGGCATATAATTTTTAATAGTAGGCTTTTATAATCTTTTGTATTTCTGTGGTATCCATTGTAATGTTTCTGTTTTCATTTGTGATTTTATTTGAGTCTTCTCTCTTTTTTCTTGGTCTAGCTAAAGGTTTGTTGATTTTGCTTTTCTTTTCAAAAATCCAACTTTCAGTTTTGTTGATCTTTTGTATTGATTTCTTGTCTCTATATTAGTTATTTCTGCTCTATTACTGTTTTCTTCTTTCTGTTAACCCTGGGCTTAGTTTGTCCTTCTTTTCCTAGCTCCTTGAGGAGTAACATCAAGTTGTTTATTTTAGATCTTTTTTTCTTTTTCATGTAGGCATTTATTGTTATAAGCTTTTCTCTTAGAACTGCTTTTGCTATATCCCATAAGTTATGGTATGTTGGGTTTCCATTTTTGCTTTTCTCAGGATAGTTTTGATTTCCCTTTCAATTTCTTCATTGGATCATTGATTTTGCAGGAGCATGTTGTTTAATTTCCTATATTTGTGAATTTTGTGAAGTTTCTCCTATTATTGATTCCTAGTTTTATACCATTGTAATCTGAAAAGATACTTGATATGATTTCAATCTTCTTAAATTTGCTAAGGATCATTTTGTTTTCTAACATGTGATCTACTCTGGAGAATTCCTTGTTCACTGAGGAGAATGTACGTTCTCTTGTTGTTAGATGGAATGTTCTATGTGTGTCTGTTAGGTTCATTTGGTATAAAGTGTTGTTCAAGTCCAATGTGTTGCTATTAATTTTCTGCCTGGATGATTTGTCCATTGTTGAAAGTGAGGTATTAAATTCCCATACAAATATTGTATTGCAATCTATCTCTCCCTTTAGGTTCTTTAATATTTGTTTTATACATTTAGGTGCTCTGATATTGGCTGCATATAATTGTTGTATGCTTTGGAGGAATTGACCCCTTTATCATTATATAATGTCTTTCTTTATCTCTTTTTATAGTTTTTGACTTAAGGTCTATGTTTTAATTTTTTTTCATTCTTATTTTAGATTTGGGGGTACATGTGAATGTTTGTTACATAGGTAAACACATGTCATGGGGGTTTCCTGTGCATATTATTTCATCATCCAGGTATTAATCCCAGTACCCAGTGGTTGTCCTTTCTGCTCCTCTCCCTCTTCCCAACCTTTCCTAGCAAGCAGACCCTTTTGTCTGTTGTTTCCTTCTTTGTGTTCCTAAATTCTTATCATTTAACCCCACTTATAAGAAGAGCATGCAGTATTTGGTTTTCTGTTCCTGCATTAGTTTGCTAAGAATAATAGCCTCCAGCTCCATCTGTGTTCCCACAAAAGACATGATCTCATTCTTATTTATTTTATTTTATTTTATTATTATTATACTTTAAGTTTTAGGGTACATGTGCATAATGTGCAGGTTAGTTACATATGTATACATGCGCCATGCTGGTGTGCTGCACCCATTAACTCATCATTTAGCCTTAGGTATATATCCTAATGCTATCCCTCCCCCATGCCCACACCCCACAACAGTCCCCAGAATGTGATGTTCCCCTTCCTGTGTCCATGTGTTCTCATTGTTCAATTCCCATCTATGAGTGAGAACATGCAGTGTTTGGTTTTTTGTCCTTGCAATAGTTTACTGAGAATGATGATTTCCAATTTCATCCATGTCCCTACAAAGGATATGAACTCATCATTTTTTATGGCTGCATAGTATTCCATGGTGTATATGTGCCACATTTTCTTAATCCAGTCTATCATTGTTGAACATTTGGGTTGGTTCCAAGTCTTTGCTATTGTGAATACAGCTGCAATAAACATACGTGTGCATGTGTCTTTATAGCAGCATGATTTATAGTCCTTTGGGTATATACCCAGTAATAGGATGGCTGGGTCAAATGGTATTTCTAGTTCTAGATCCCTGAGGAATCGCCACACTGACTTCCACAATGGTTGAACTAGTTTACATTCCCACCAACAGTGTAAAAGTGTTCCTATTTCTCCACATCCTCTCCAGCACCTGTTGTTTCCTGACTTTTTAATGATTGCCATTCTAACTGGTGTGAGATGGTATCTCATTGTGGTTTTGATTTGCATTTCTCTGATGGCCAGTGATGGTGAGCATTTTTTCACGTGTTTTTTGGCTGCATAAATGTCTTCTTTTGAGAAGTGTCTGGTCATATCCTTCACCCACTTTTTGATGGGGTTGTTTGTTTTTTTCTTGTAAATTTGTTTGAGTTCATTATAGATTCTGGCTATTAGCCCTTTGTCAGATGAGTAGGTTGCGAAAATTTTCTCCCATTTTGTAGGTTGCCTGTTCACTCTGATGGTAGTTTCTTTTGCTGTGCAGAAGCTCTTTAGTTTAATTAGATCCCATTTGTCAATTTTGTCTTTTGTTGCCATAGCTTTTGGTGTTTTAGACATGAAGTCCTTGCCCATGCCTATGTCCTGAATGGTAATGCCTAGGTTTTCTTCTAGGGTTTTTATGGTTTTAGGTCTAATGTTTAAGTCTTTATTCCATCTTGAATTAATTCTGGTATAAGGTGTAAGGAAGGGCTCCAGTTTCAGCTTTCTACATATGGCTAGCCAGTTTTCCCAGCACCATTTATTAAATAGGGAATCCTTTCCACATTGCTTGTTTTTCTCAGGTTTGTCAAAGATCAGATAGTTGTAGATATGTGGCATTATTTCTGAGGGCTCCATTCTGTTCCATTGATCTATATCTCTGTTTTGGTACCAGTACCATGCTGTTTTGGTTACTGTAGCCTTGTAGTATAGTTTGAAGTCAGGTAGCGTGATGCCTCTGGCTTTGTTCTTTTGGCTTAGGATTGACTTGGTGATGCAGGCTCTTTTTTGGTTCCATGTGAACTTTAAAGTAGTTTTTTCCAATTCTGTGAAGAAAGTCATTGGTAGCTTGATGGGGATGGCATTGAATCTGTAAATTACCTTGGGCAGTTGGCCATTTTCATAATATTGATTCTTCCTACCCATGAGCATGGAATGTTCTTCCATTTCTTTGTATCCTCTTTTATTTCATTGAGCAGTGGTTTCTAGTTCTCCTTGAAGAGGTCCTTCATGTCCCTTGTAAATTGGATTCCCAGGTATTTTATTATCTTTGAAGCAATTGCGAATGGGAATTCACTCATGATTTGGCTCTCTGTTTGTCTGTTATTGGTGTATAAGAATGCTTGTGATTTTTGTACATTGATTTTGTATCCTGAGACTTTGCTGAAGTTGCTTATCAGCTTAAGGAGATTTTGGGCTGAGACAATGGGGTTTTCTAGACATACAATCATGTCATCTGCAAACAGGGACAATTTGACTTCCTCTTTTCCTAATTGAATACCCTTTATTTCCTTCTCCTGCCTAATTGCCCTGGCCAGAACTTCCAACACTATGTTGAATAGGAGCGGTGAGAGAGAGCATCCCTGTCTTGTGCCAGTATTCAAAGGGAATGCTTCCAGTTTTTGCCCATTCAGTATGATATTGGCTGTGGGTTTGTCATAGATAGCTCTTATTATTTTGAGATATGTCCCATCAATACCTAATTTATTGAGAGTTTTTAACATGAAGGTTGTTGAATTTTGTCAAAGGCCTTTTCTGCATCTATTGAGATAATCATGTGGTTTTTGTCTTTGGTTCTGTTTATATGCTGGATTACATTTATTGATTTGTGTATATTGAACCAACCTTGGATCCCAAGGATGAAGCCCACTTGATCATGGTGGATAAGCTTTTTGATGTGCTGCTGGATTCAGTTTGCCAATATTTTATTGAGGATTTTTGCATCAATGTTCATCAAGGATATTGGTCTAAAATTCTCTTTTTTGGTTGTGTCTCTGCCCGGCTTTGGTATCAGGATGATGCTGACCTCGTAAAATGAGTTAGGGAGGATTCCCTCTTTTTCTATTGATTGGAATAGTTTCAGAAGGAATAGTACCAGTTCCTCCTTGTACCTCTGGTAGAATTCGGCTTTGAATCCATCTGGTCCTGGACTCTTTTTTGTTGGTAAGCTATTGATTATTGCCACAATTTCAGAGCCTGTTATTGGTGTATTCAGAGATTCAACTTCTTCCTGGTTTAGTCTTGGGAGGGTGTATGTGTCGAGGAATTTATCCATTTCTTCTAGATTTTCTAGTTTATTTGTGTAGAGGTGTTTGTAGTATCCTCTGATGGTAGTTTGTATTTCTGTGGGATCGGTGTTGATATACCCTTTATCATTTTTTATTGCATCTATTTGATTGTTCTCTGTTTTCTCTTTTTTTTTATTACTCCATACCAACACAATTTAGTTTATTTAAATACTTCTAATAATATACATTTGAAATTAAGCTGAAACTTTTAATTATTCTAGAATTTAAATGAACGACTTAAAATTTGTTTCCTTGTTTGGTAATTGCTACAATACTCACTAATTAGCAATCTTCAGTTGAGCAATATATTTATCTAATAATATTACTACTAATAATAATGGAAATAGTTATTTGCTGCTTGTTTACAATTTGCCAGATGTTTTTTCTTTTTTTTAATTTATTTTATTTTATTATTATTATTCTTTAAGTTTTAGGGTACATGTGCACAATGTGCAGGTTAGTTACATATGTATACATGTGCCATGTTGATGTGCTGCACCCATTAACTTGTCATGTAGCATTAGGTATATCTCCTAAAGCTATCCCTCCCCACTCCTCCCACCCCACAACAGTCCCCAAAGCGTGATGTTCCCCTTCCTGTGTCCATGTGTTCTCATTGTTCAATTCCCACCTATGAGTGAGAATATGCGGTGCTTGGTTTTTTGTTCTTGTGATAGTTTACTTCTTTATTAGTCTTGCTAGTGGTCTGTCAATTTTGTTGATCCTTTCAAAAAACCAGCTCCTGGATTCATTAATTTTTAAAGGGTTTTTCGTGTGTCTATTTCCTTCAGTTGTGCTCTGATTTTAGTTATTTCTTGCCTTCTGCTAGCTTTTGAATGTGTTTGCTCTTGCTTTTCTAGTTCTTTTAATTGTGATGTTAGGGTGTCAATTTTTAATCTTTCCTGCTTTCTCTTATGGGCATTCAGTGCTATAAATTTCCCTCTACACACTGCTTTGAATGTGTCCCAGAGATTCTGGTATGTTGTGCCTTTGTTCTCATTGGTTTCAAAGAACATCTTTATTTCTGCCTTCATTTCGTTATGTACCCAGTAGTCATTCAGGAGCAGGTTGTTCAGTTTCGATGTAGTTGAGCAGTTTTGAGTGAGTTTCTTAATCCTGAGTTCTAGTTTGATTGCACTGTGGTCTAAGAGAGAGTTTGTTATAATTTCTGATCTTTTACATTTACTGAGGAGAGCTTTACTTCCAACTATGTGGTCAATTTTGGAATAGGTGTGGTATGGTGCTGAGAAAAATGTATATTCTGTTGATTTGTGGTGGAGAGTTCTGTAGATGTCTATTAGGTCCACTTGGTGCAGAGCTGAGTTGAATTCTTGGGTATCCTTGTTAACTTTCTGTCTCGTTGATCTATCTAATGTTGACAGTGGGGTGTTAAAGTCTCCCATTATTATTGTGTGGGAGTCTAAGTCTCTTTGTAGGTCACTCAGGACTTGCTTTATGAATCTGGGTGCTTCTGTATTGGGTGCATATATATTTAGGATAGTTAGCTCTTCTTGTTGAATTGATCCCTTTACCATTATGTAATGGCCTTCTTTGTCTCTTTTGATCTTTGTTGGTTTAAAGTCTGTTTTATCAGAGACTAGGATTGCAACCCCTGCCTTTTTTTGTTTTCCATTTGCTTGGTAGATCTTCCTCCATCCTTTTATTTTGAGCCTTTATGTGTCTCCGCACGTGAGATGGGTTTCCTGAATACAGCACACTGATGGGTCTTGACTCTTTATCCAGTTTGCCAGTCTGTGCCTTTTAATTGGAGCATTTAGTCCATTTACATTTAAAGTTAATATTGTTATGTGTGAATTTGATCCTGTCATGATGATGTTAGCTGGTTATTTTGCTCGTTAGTTGATGCAGTTTCTTCCTAGCCTCAATGGTCTTTACAATTTGGCATGATTTTGCAGTGGCTGGTACCGGTTGTTCTTTCCATGTTTAGTGCTTCCTTCAGGAGCTCTTTTAGGGCAGGCCTGGTGGTGACAAAATCTCTCAGCATTTGCTTGTCTGTAAAGTATTTTATTTCTCCTTCACTTATGAAGCTTAGTTTGGCTGGATATGAAATTCTGGGTTGAAAATTCTTTTCTTTAAGAATGTTGAATATTGGCCCCCACTCTCTTCTGGCTTGTAGAGTTTCTGCCGAGAGATCTGCTGTTAGTCTGATGGGCTTCCCTTTGTGGATAACCCGACCTTTCTCTCTGGCTGCCCTTAACATTCTTTCCTTCATTTCAACTTTGGTGAATGTGACAATTATGTGTCTTGGAGTTGCTCTTCTCGAGGAGTATCTTTGTGGCGTTCTCTGTATTTCCTGAATCTGAATGTTGGCGTGCCTTGCTAGATTGGGGAAGTTCTCCTGGATAACATCCTGAAGAGAGTTTTCCAAGTTGTTTCTATTCTTCCCGTCACTTTCAGGTACACCAATCAGGCTTAGATTTGGTCTTTTCAAATAGTCCCATATTTCTTGGAGGCTTTGTTCATTTCTTTTTATTCTTTTTTCTCTAAACTTCCCTTCTTGCTTCATTTCATTCATTTCATCTTTCATCACTGATAGCCTTTCTTCCAGTTGATCGCATCAGCTCCTGAGGCTTCTGCATTCTTCACGTAGTTCTTGTGCCTTGGCTTTCATCTCCAACAGCTCCTTTAAGCACTTCTCTGTATTGGTTATTCTAGTTATACATTCCTCTAAATTTTTTTCAAAGTTTTCAACTTCTTTGCCTTTGGTTTGAATTTCCTCCTGTAGCTCGGAGTAGTTTGATCATCTGAAGCCTTCTTCTCTCAACTCGTCAAAGTCATTCTCCATCCAGCTTTGTTCTGTTGCTGATGAGGAGCTGCGTTCCTTTGGAGGAGGAGAGGAGCTCTGCTTTTTAGAGTTTCCAGTTTTTCTGTTCTGTTTTTTCCTCATCTTTGTGGTTTTATCTACTTTTGGTCTTTGATGATGGTGATGTACAGATGGTTTTTGGTGTGGATTTCCTTTCTGTTTGTTAGTTTTCCTTCTAACAGACAGGACCCTTAGCTGCAGGTCTGTTGGAATTTGCTAGAGATCCACTCCAGACCCTGTTTGCCTGGGTACCAGCAGCGGTGGCTGCAGAACAGCGGATTTTTGTGAACCACGAATGCTGCTGTCTGATTGTTCCTCTGGAAATTTTGTCTCAGAGGAGTACCCGGCCTTGTGAAGTGTCAGTCTGCCCCTACTGGGGGGTGCCTCCCAGTTAGGCTGCTCGGGGGTCAGGGGTCAGCAACCCACTTGAGGAGGCAGTCTGCGTGTTCTCAGATCTCCAGCTGTGTGCTGGGAGAACCACTGCTCTCTTCAAAGCTGTCAGACAGGGACATTTAATTCTGCAGAGGTTACTGCTGTCTTTTTGTTTGTCTGTGCCCTGACCCCAGAGGTGGAGCCTACAGAGGCAGGCAGGCCTCCTTGAGCTGTGGTGGGCTCCACCCAGTTGGAGCTTCCCAGCTGCTTTGTTTACCTAAGCAAGCCTGGGCAATTGTGGGCGCCCCTCCCTCAGCCTCACTGCAGCCTTGCAGTTTGATCTCAGACTGCTGTACTAGCAATCAGTGAGACTCCATGGGCGTAGGACCCTCCGAGCCAGGTGCGGGATATAATCTCGTCGTGTGCGGTTTTCTAAGCCTGTGGGAAAAGCGCAGTATTGGGGTGGGAGTGACCCGATTTTCCAGGTGCCGTGTGTCACCCCTTTCTTTGACTAGGAAAGGGAACTCCCTGACCCCTTGCACTTCCTGAGTGATGCAATGCCTCACCCAGCTTCAGCTCATGCACGGTGCACTACACCCACTGTCCTGCGCCCACTGTCTGGCATTCCCTAGTGAGATGAACCCGGTAACTCCGATGGAAATGCAGAAATCACTCTTCTTCTGCGTCGCTCACGCTGGGAGCTGTAAAGCAGAGGTTTTCCTATTCAGTCATCTTGGCTCCAGCCCTTGTGCATGTGCCCTTTGCTCACGTTTTAATGGGGTTGTTTTTTCATGTTTAAATTTCTTTAAATTTCTTACAAATGCTGGATATTAGATCTTTGTGAGATGGATAGTTTCCTAATATTTTTTCCCATTCTGTAGGTTGTCTGTTGACCCTGTTGATAGTTTTTTTGGCTGTGCAGAAGCTCTTAAATCTAATTAGATTCCATTTGTCAATATTTGCTTTTGTTATGATTGCTTTTGGTGTCTCTGTCATGAAATTTTTGCCCATTCCTATATCCAGAATAGTATTGCCTAAGTTATCTTCCAGGGTTTTCATAGTTTTGGGTTTTAAATTTAAGACTTTAATCCATCCTGAGTTAATTTTTGTATATGGTGTAAGGAAGGGGTCCAGCTTCAATCTTCTGCATATGGCTATCCAGTTATCCCAACACCATTTATTGAATAGTGATTCTGTCAATTACTAGTTTTTGTCAGGTTTGTCAAAGATCAGATGATTGTAGATATATAGTCTTATTTCTGGGTTCTCTATTATCTTCCATTGGTCTATGTGCTTGTTTTTGTATCAGAACCATGCTGTTTTGGTTACTGTAGTCTTGTAGTATAGTTTGAAGTTGAATAACATGAGGCTTCCAGCTTTGTTCTTTTTGCCTGGTACTGCCTTGCCTATTGAGGCTCTTTTGTTTTTTTGGTTTCATATAAATTTTAGAATAGTTTTTTTCTAGTTCTGTGAAGAATGTCATTGGTAGTTTGATAGAAACAGCATTGAATTTGTAAATTGCTTTGGGTAATATAGCCATTTTAATGATATTGTTTCTTGCTATTCATGAATATGGGAGGTGTTTCCATTTGTTTGTGTCTTTCTAATTTCTTTGAGGAATGTTTTGTAATTCTCATTGCAGAACTCTTTCACCTCCATGGTTAGCTGTATTTCTAGTTATTTTATTCTTTTTGTAGCAATTGTGAATAAAATAGCCTTTCTGATTTGGCTCTAGGTTTGGCTGTTGTTGGTGTATAGTAATGCTAATGATTTTTGTACATTGATTTTGTATCCTGGAACTTTGCTGACGTGTTTATCAGCTGGAGGAGCTTTTGGGCTGAGACTATGGGGTTTTCTAGAAATAAAATCATGTCATCTGCAAACAGAGGTAGTTTAACTTTCTCTCTTCCTATTTGGATGCACTTTATTTCTTTGTCTTGCCTGACTGCCCTGGCTGGGACTTCTGATATTATGTTGAATAGGAATGATGAGATAGTGCATCCTTGTCTTGTGCTGGTTTTTAATGGATATGCTTCCAGCTTTTACCCATTCAGTAAAATGTTGGCTGTGGGTTTGTCAGAGATAGCTCTCATCATTTTGAAGTATGTTCCTTCAATACCTAGTTTATTGAGAATTTTTAACATGAAGGGATGTTGAATTTTATTAAAAGCCTTTTCTGCATTTATTGAGATAATCACGTGGTTTTTGTCTTTAGTTCTGTTTATGTGATGAATCACATTTATTAATTTTTGTATGCTGAACCAAACTTGCATCGTGAGGATGAAGGCTACTTGATCATGGTGGATTAGCTTTTTGATGTGTTAGTGATTTTGTTTTGTAAGTATTTTGTTGATGATTTTTGTGTGGATGTTCATCACAGATATTGGCCTGAAGTTTTCTTTTTTTGTTGTGTCTCTGCCAAGTTTTGGTATCAAGATGATCTTGGCTTCATTGAATGAGTTGGGGAGGAGTCCCTCCTCAGTTTTTTTGAATAGTTTTAGTAGGAATGGTACCAGCTGTTCTTTGTACATCTGGTAGAATTTGTCTGTGAATTCATCAGGTTCCAGACTTTTTTTGGTTGATAGGTTACTTACTAATAATTCACTTTTGGAGCTCATTATTGGTCTGTGAAGGGATTCATTTTCTTCCTGGCTCAGTCTTGGGAGGTTGTATATGTCCACAAGTTTATTCATCTCTTCTTGGTTTTCTAGTTTCTGTGCATTGAGGGGTTTGTAGTAGCTTCTGATGGCTGTTTTTATTTCTGTGATGTCAGTAGTAACATTCTCTTCATCATTTCTAATTGTTTTTATTTGAGTCTTTTCTCTTTTCTTCATTATTAGTGTAGCTAGTGGCCTATTTTATTAATTTTTTTCAGAAAACCAACTCCTAGTTCCTTGATCTTTTGAATAGTTTTTCATGTCTTGATTTCCTTCAGTTCAGCTCTGATTTTTTGTTATTTCTTGTCTTCTGCTTGCTTTGGGTTGATTTGTCCTTGCTTCTCTAATTCCTTCAGGTGTGAAGTTAGGTCATTAATTTGAGATCTTTCTAACTTTTTGATGTAGGGATTTAGTGCTATGGATTTACCTCTTAACATTGCCTTAGGTGTGTCCCAGAGATTCTGTTATGGATCTTTTTTCTTATTATTTTCAAATAACTTCTTTATTTCTGCTGTAATTTCATTATGTACCCTTAAAGTCATTATGGAGCATGTTTAATTTCCATGTCATTGCATGGTTTTGCATGATTTTCCTAGTCTTGACTTCTGTTTTTATTGAGCTCTAGTCCAAGAGTGTGTTCATAAGATTTTGGTTCTTTTACATAAGTTGAGGATTGTTTTAGGTCCAATTATGTGGTTGATTTTAGAGTACGTGCCCTGTGACAATGAGCAGAATGTATAGTTTGTTGTTTTTCGGTGGAGAATTCTGTAAAGGTCCATTAGATCCATGTCCAGTGATGAGTTTAGGTCTTGAATATCTTTGTTAATTTTCTGCCTTGAAGATCTGTCTAATACTATCAGTGGCATTTTGAAGTCTCCCACCATTATTGTGTGGGAGTCTATATCTCTTTGTAGGTCTCTAAGAACTGGCTTTATGAATCTGGGTGCTTCTGTGATGGGTGCCTATGTATTTAGGATAGTTAGGTCTTCTGTTGAATTGAACCCTTTACCATTATGTAATGCCCTGCTTTGTCTTTTTTTTTTTCTTTGTTGGTTTGAAATCTGTTTTATCTGAAATTAGGATTGCAAACCCTGCTTTTTTCTGTTTTCCATTTGCTTGGTAGATTTCCCTCCATCCCTTTATTTTGAGCCTAGGATTGTCATTACTTGTGAGATGTGTCTCTTGAAGACAGCATATCACTGGGTCTTGCATTTTCATCCAGCTTTCCACTTTGTGCCTTTTAAGTGAGGCATTTAGCCCATTTACATTGAATATTAATATTGATATGTGTGGATTTGATTATGTCGTTGTGCTGTTAGCTGGTTATTATGTTAGTTTGTTTTTGTAATTGCTTCACAATGACACTGCTCTGTGTGTTTAAGTGTGTTTTTGTATTAGAAGGTAGCAGTCTTTCTGCATTTAACACTCCTTTGAAGAGCTCTTGTAAGGCAGGTCTGGTGGTAATGAATTCCGTCAACATTTGCTAATCTGAAAAGGATTGTATTTCTTCTTCACTTAGGAAGCCTAGTTTGGCCAAATATGAAACCCTTGATTGAAGATTTTTTTCCCTATGATGGTTGAATAGAGGTCTCCAATCTCTTTTGGCTTTCAGGGTATCACCTGAGAGGCTTGCTGTTAGCCTAGTGGGATTCCCTTTGTAGGTAACCTGCCCTTTCTCTCTAGCTGCATTTAGCATTTATTTTGACATTTTGATGGTAGAAAATTTGATGATTATATGTCTTTGGGATGGTCTTTTTGTGTAGAATCTTGTAGGAATTCTCTGTATTTCCTGAATTTGATCATTAGCTTCTCTAGCAAGGTTGAGGAAGTTTTCATGGATTATATCCTGAAATATGTTTTCCAAGTTGTTTGCTTTTTCCTCCTCCCTTTCAGGAATGCCAATGATTCATAGATTTGGCCTCATCACATAATCCCATACTTTGCAGAGGCTTTGTTTATTCCTTTTTATTCTTTTTTCTTTATTTTTGTCTGACTGCCTTAGAGAACCAGTCTTCAAGTTCTGAGATTTTTTTTCCTCAGCTTGGTTTATTCTGCTGTTAATACTTGTGATTGCATTGTGAAACTCTTGTACTGTGTTGTTCAGCTCTGTCAGACCCATTAGGTTCTTTTTTGTAGTGGCTGTTTTGTCTTTCAGCTCCTACTTTATTGTGATTCCTATTTTCCCTGGATTGTGTTTTGCCATTCTCTGAATCTTGATAATCTTTCTTCCTATCCATTGGTTCTGAATTCTATCTCTGTCATCCCAGCCAGTTTGGCCTGATTGAGAGCTCTTGTTGGAGAACTGGTGTGGTTGTTTGGAGGACATCAGACACTCTGGCCATTAGAGTTACCAGAGTTCTTGTGTTGATTCTTCCTCATCTCTGCATGTGGCTGTTCCTTTAACTGCAGTGTAGATTGAGTACAGTCAATAGACTTCTTTTCTGGATGTTTTCACCAGGCCAAGGCTTTGTGCAGGGTTTTTCTTTGAAGCTGCCTTCTTGTCTCTGGTTTCAGAGGGGGTATATTAGGGGGGTATTTTTCATTTTGAAGCTTTAGAGTGTGATCCAGCAGGTAGTACTTAGGCTTATTTGTCAGTTGGTAGACTTTTGTTCGGTTGTGTTGCTCCCCTATGTTTCCTCACAGTGGCAGCCATGTTCCTGCTCAATACTCTGAAAGTGTGGGATCCTCTCCCCTTGAGTGCTGGCTGTAGATCATGATTTGGCACTCCTGGGCTGTTCATTGCAGCTCTGGGGCAATCTCAGTGTTGTTTTCTCCCCAACTTGGAGGCAGCAGAGGAAGGGATCTTAGTACTAGTTGTGGCTGAGGGTCATTTGCTTGTCTCCTGGGGCCTCTATGCCACAGAGATGCAGGTCAGCATTTGCCCAGTGCAATCAGCCCAGGATGGAGGGTCTATGCTGTGGGCCCAAGCCAGAGGTTCCCTGTCTTGTGATGAGCAGTGGGGGGTGTGTGAGACCCATGGGAGATGGACTATTCTCCTCTTCTTGGGTTGACTGCAGTTTGTTGGAGGTGTGAATAAAACACTTAGGGTCTTTGTTCCATTGTTAGTCTGAGGGTGGCAAGGCAGAGGCAGTGGCAGAGAGGCTTTCAGTTGCCCCTAGAGTTGCTACCAGCTCAATAACTCTGGTGGGGGGTGGCTGGAGGCCCAGGCCTGGAGGACCTGCCTGGTGAGAAGATATAGGAATGGACACCCATGTAACTGTCTTGCCACTTTTCCATAGGGCTGCTGCAGTGTGCTTGGGGTGCACTCTGGTCCCTAGTTGCCTCAGATATTTCAGTACCTGGAGGTTTCACCAGTGAATGCTGCAAAACAGCAAAGGTGGCAACCTGTTCCTCCATCTGGACGCTTTGTCCTAGGGAGATATGGGCCTGTTGCCAGCCCAAAGGCACCCTAGGAAGTGGCTGGAGACCCCAGTTGGGAAGCCCTGCCCAATGAGGAGGAATAGGATTGGAGACCTGCTTAAAAAAGCACTCTTGCCGTGTTTCAGTAGAGAAGCTGTGTTGTGTTAGGGGTCTGCTTCAGTCCCCAGTCACCTCAGACACCCTGAAGCCCGAAAGATGGAATGGCTGTCACTCAAAGAGCAAAGATGGTGTCCCACCCCTCCCTCTGGGTGCTCTGTTTGAGGGAAATTACAAATCTCTCTTGGCCAGAGAACACCAACAGGGGTGGCTGAAAGCCCACTTGGGAGTTCCCACCAAGTGAGGAGGAATGGGATTGGGAACCTGCTTAAGGAAGCAGTCTGGCCATATTTTGGTAGAGCAGCTGTGCTGTGGTGTGCTTTGGGATCCCTTCTACCCGTAGTCAGCTCAGACTATACAAAGCCCTAAAGCCTATTTTGTCTTACATAAGTACAGTTGGCCCTCTGTAGGCATGGGTTTTGCATTATAGATTTTACTAATTGCAAATCAAAAATATTTAAAAATACAATAAAAATAATACAAGAATAAAACATAATAAAAATAAAAAACCAACACAGTATAAAAGTTACCTATGTAGCATTTACATTGTATTGGGTATTATGTATAATCTAGAAATGATTTAAAGTATGCAGAAGGATGCACATAGGTTATATGCAAATGCTATGGCATTTTATATAAGGGACTTGAGCATTTGTGAATTTTGGCATTCATAGTGTTCCTGGAACCAACCCCTTGCAGATATAAAGGATGATTATATAGCTACCTCTGCTCTCTTTTTGTTTCTATTTGTGTGAAATATCTTTTTCCATCTTTTTACTGTTAGTCTATGTGTGTCCTTAAAAGTGAGGCCAGTCTCTTATAGACAGCCTATAATTGGGCCTTGTTTTTTTTTTTTTTTTTTGGTCTATTAATATATAGTCATGTTATGTCTTTTTATTGGAGAATTTAATCCATTTACATTCAGGGTAATTATTGATAGCAGAGAATTTAATAATGCCACTTTGTTAATTGTTTACTGAGTGTTTTGTTAATCATTAGTTCTTGTCTTTCTTTCTTGCTGTTTTCCTTTGTGGTTTGATGGTTTTCTGTAGTGATATGTTTTGAATTCCTTCTATTTGTACTTTGTGCTTCTACTGCAGATGTTTGCTTTGTTATCCTGAGGCTAACATAGAACATCTTATAGCAGGCTATTTCAAGCTGATAACAACTTTACTTTGATTATATGCAACTTTACAGTTTTTCTCCCTATGCATTCCCATTTTATGTTTTCGATGCCAATATTTACATCAGTTTTGTAAAGTGTACACCTTGACAATTTGTTTTAATTATAGTTATTATCAACAGCTTTTATTTTAACCCCCATGCTAGGAATAAAATTGCTTTACACACCATCATTAATGTCCTAGACTATTATGAATATTACTCTGTTTTACTTATACCATTGACTTTTGTTCTTTTGTATGTTTTATGATGTTAATTAGTAGCCTTTTTTGTTTCAGCTTAAGGAACTCCCTTTACCAATTTATGTCAGGCAGGTCTAGTGGTGATGAACTCCCTTAGATTTTTGTTTAGGAAAATTTTTATTTCTTCCTGATTTCTGAAAGACGGATTTCCTGGGTATTATTGGTGGGTAGTGTTTTTGCTTCTGCCATTTTGACTATGTCATCCCACTCTTTCTTGGCTTGAGGGTTTTTTGCTGAGAATTCTGCTGATAGTCATATTGGGACTCCTTTTCATGTGATATGTTTCTTATCTTTTGCTGCTCTCAACATTTTGTCTTTGTCTTTGATTTTTGATTTCTTTGATTATTATGTGTATTGCTGAATTTCTCTTTGGGTTGAATTACTTCAACACCTCCAGTATGTGGATGTTGACACTTTTTTCCAGATTAGGGAAGTTTTCAGCCATTATTTTTAAAAATATGATTTCTGGTTCCCTTTCCCTATTTTTCTTTTTTTAATTATTATTATACTTTAAGTTTTAGGGTACATGTGCACAATGTGCATGTTAGTTACATATGTATACATGCGCCATGCTGGTGTGCTGCACCCATTAACTCATCATTTAGCATTAGGTATATCTCCTAATGCTATCCCTCCCCACTCCCCTCACCCCACAACAGTCCCCAAAGTGTGATGTTCCCCTTCCTGTGTCCATGTGTTCTCATTGCTCAATTCCCATCTATGAGTGAGAACATGCAGTGTTTGGTTTTTTGTCCTTGCAATAGTTTACTGAGAATGATGATTTCCAATTTCATCCATGTCCCTACAAAGGACATGAACTCATCATTTTTTATGGCTGCATAGTATTCCATGGTGTATATGTGCCACATTTTCTTAATCCAGTCTATCATTGTTGGACATTTCGGTTGGTTCCAAGTCTTTGCTATTGTGAATACAGCTGCAATAAACATACGTGTGCATGTGTCTTTATAGCAGCATGATTTATAGTCCTTTGGGTATATACCCAGTAATAGGATGGCTGGGTCAAATGGTATTTCTAGTTCTAGATCCCTGAGGAATTGCCACACTGACTTCCACAATGATTGAAATAGTTTACAGTCCCACCAACAGTGTAAAAGTGTTCCTATTTCTCCACATCCTCTCCAGCACCTGTTGTTTCCTGACTTTTTAATGATTGCCATTCTAACTGGTGTGAGATGGTATCTCATTGTGGTTTTGATTTGCATTTCTCTGATGGCCAGTGATGATGAGCATTTTTTCATGTGTCTTTTGGCTGCATAAATGTCTTCTTTTGAGAAGTGTCTGTTCATATCCTTTGCCCACTTTTTGATGGGGTTGTTTGTTTTTTTCTTGTAAATTTGTTTGAGTTCATTATAGATTCTGGCTATTAGCCCTTTGTCAGATGAGTAGGTTGCAAAAATTTTCTCCCATTCTGTAGGTTGCCTGTTCACTCTGATGGTAGTTTCTTTTGCTGTGCAGAAGCTCTTTAGTTTAATTAGATCCCATTTGTCAATTTTGTCTTTTGTTGCCATAGCTTTTGGTGTTTTAGACATGAAGTCCTTGCCTATGCCTATGTCCTGAATGGTAATGCCTAGGTTTTCTTCTAGGGTTTTTATGGTTTTAGGTCTAACATTTAAGTCTTTAATCCATCTTGAATTAATTTTTGTATAAGGTGTAAGGAAGGGCTCCAGTTTCAGCTTTCTACATATGGCTAGCCAGTTTTCCCAGCACCATTTATTAAATAGGGAATCGTTTCCCCATTGGTTGTTTTTCTCAGGTTTGTCAAAGATCAGATAGTTGTAGGTATGTGGTGTTTTTTCTGAGGGCTCTGTTCTGTTCCATTGATCTATATCTCTGTTTTGGTACCAGTACCATGCTGTTTTGGTTACTGTAGCCTTGTAGTATAGTTTGAAGTCAGGTAGCGTGATGCCTCCGGCTTTGTTCTTTTGGCTTAGGATTGACTTGGTGATGCGGGCTCTTTTTTGGTTCCATGCGAACTTTAAAGTAGTTTTTTCCAATTCTGTGAAGAAAGTCATTGGTAGCTTGATGGGGATGGCATTGAATCTATAAATTACCTTGGGCAGTATGGCCATTTTCACGATATTGATTCTTCCTACCCATGAGCATGGAATGTTCTTCCATTTGTTTGTATCCTCTTTTATTTCATTGAGCAGTGGTTTGTAGTTCTCTTTGAAGAGGTCCTTCACATCCCTTGTAAGTTGGATTCCCAGGTATTTTATTCTCTTTGAAGCAATTGTGAATGGGAGTTCACTCATGATTTGGCTCTCTGTTTGTCTGTTATTGGTGTATAAGAATGCTTGTGATTTTTGTACATTGATTTTGTATCCTGAGACTTTGCTGAAGTTGCTTATCAGCTTAAGGAGATTTTGGGCTGAGATGATGGGGTTTTCTAGATATACAATCATGTCATCTGCAAACAGGGACAATTTGACTTCCTCTTTTCCTAATTGGATACCCTTTATTTCCTTCTCCTGCCTAATTGCCCTGGCCAGAACTTCCAACACTATGTTGAATAGGAGTGGTGAGAGAGGGCATCCCTGTCTTGTGCCAGTTTTCAAAGGGAATGCTTCCAGTTTTTCCCCATTCAGTATGATATTGGCTGTAGGTTTGTCATACATAGGTCTTATTATTTTGAGATACGTCCCATCAATACCTAATTTATTGAGAGTTTTTAGCATGAAGGGTTGTTGAATTTTGTCAAAGGCCTTTCCTGCATCTATTGAGATAATCATGTGGTTTTTGTCTTTGGTTCTGTTTATATGCTGGATTACATTTATTGATTTGCATATATTGAACCAACCTTGCATCCCAGGGATGAAGCCCACTTGATCATGGTGGATAAGCTTTTTGATGTGCTGCTGAATTCGGTTTGCCGTATTTTATTGAGGATTTTTGCATCAATGTTCATCAAGGATATTGGTCTAAAATTCTCTTTTTTGGTTGTGTCTCTGCCCAGCTTTGGTATCAGGATGATGCTGGCCTCATAAAATGAGTTAGGGAGGATTGCCTGTTTTTCTATTGATTGGAATAGTTTCAGAAGGAATGGTACCAGTTCCTCCTTACTTTTTTTTTTCAGCACCACACCACACCTATTCCAAAATTGACCACATAGTTGGAAGTAAAGCTCTCCTTAGCAAATGTAAAAGAACAGAAATTATAACAAACTGTGTCTCAGACCACAGTGCAATCAAACTAGAACTCAGGATTAAGAAACTCACTCAAAACCGCTCAAGTATGTGGAAAATGAACAACCTGCTCCTTAATGACTACTGGGTACATAACGAAATGAAGGCAGAAATAAAGATGTTCTTTGAAACCAATGAGAACAAAGACACAACATACCAGAATCTCTGGGACACATTCAAAGCAGCGTGTACAGGGAAATTTATAGCACTAAATGCCCACAAGAGAAAGCAGGAAAGTTCCAAAATTGATACCCTAACATCACAATTAAAAGAGCTAGAAAAGCAACAGCAAACACATTCACAAGCTAGCAGAAGGCAAGAAATAACTAAAATCAGAGCAGAACTGAAGGAAATAGAGAGAAAAAAAACCCTTCAAAAATTAATGAATCCAGGAGCTGGTTTTTTGAAAGGATCAACAAAATTGATAGACTGCTAGCAAGACTAATAAAGAATAAAAGAGAGAAGAATCAAATAGATGCAATAAAAAATGATAAAGGGGATATCACCACCAATCCCACAGAAATACAAACTACCATCAGAGAATACTACAAACACCTCTACACAAATAAACTGGAAAATCTAGAAGAAATGGATAAATTCCTTGACACATACACTCTCCCAAGACTAAACCAGGAAGAAGTTGAATCTCTGAATAGACCAATAACAGGATCTGAAATTGTGGCAATAATCAATAGCTTACCAACAAAAAAGAGTCCAGGACCAGATGGATTCACAGCCAAATTCTACCTTTCCCTATTTTCCTTCTTCTGCAACTCTTGTTATTCAAGGGTTTGGTCTCTTAATGGAGTTCCATAATTCCCATAGGATTTCTTCATTCCTTTGTCTTTTATTCCCCTCTGACTGGATAATTTTAAATGTCCTGTCTTTGAGCTCACTAATTCTTTCCTCTGCTTGGTTGAGTCTTCTGTTGATGCATTTTTACTGCATTTTTATAAGTTCATTCATTGCATAAGATTACCTCATTTTATTGCGTTTTGCTTTTTTTTCAGATATTGCATTTTTAACAAATTGAAAGTTTGTGGTACCCTGCATTGGGCAAATTTATTGCTGCTATTTTTTTTCAATGACATTTGCTCATTTTATGTCTCTGTGTCAAAATTTGGTAATTCTTGCAATATTTCAATTTATTATTATTATTATATCTGTTATGGTGACCTGTGGTCAGTTATTTTTGATGTCACTATCATAATTGTTTGGGGAGCCACAAACTACACCCATATAAGACAGTAAATGTTATCAATAAATATTGGGTGTGTTCTAACTGCTCCACCAACTGGCCATTCCCTCATCTCTCTCTCTTTCCTGAAGTTTTCCTATTCCCTGAAACACAACAATATTGAAATTAGGTCAATTAGTAACCCGACAATGACTTCTAAGTGTTCAAGTGAAAGGAAGAGTCACACATCTCTCATTGAAAATCAAAAGCATTTTTTAAAAATGGTTAAGCTTAGTGAGGAACATATTTCAAAAGCTCAGATAGGCTGAAAGCTAGATTCCTTTTGCCAAATTTGTGAATGCATAAGGAAAGTTATAGAAGGAAATTAAAAGTGTTACTCCAGTGAACACATGAATAACAAAGTAAAACAGCCATATAGCTGCTATGGAAAAAATTTTACTGGTTTTGACAGAAGATCAAGTCAGCCACAACATTCCTTTAAGCCAAAGCCTTGCCAGAACAAGGCCTTCATTTTCTTCAATTCTATGAAGGCCGAGAGAGGTAAGGAAGCTGCAGAAAAATGTTGGAAGCTAGCAAAACTTGGTTCATGAGGTTAAAGGAAAGAAGTAATCTTCATAGCATAAAAGTGCAAGGTGAAGCAGCAAATGCTGATGTAGAAGCTGCAGCAAGTTATCTAGACTTAGCAAAGATCATTGATGAAGACGGCCACATTAAGCAAGAGATTTTCAATGAAGACAAAAACAGCTTTATGTTGGAAGAAGATGCCATGTAGAACTTTCACAGCTAGAGAGGAGAAGTCAAAGTCTAGCTTCAAAATTTCAAAGGATAGACTGACTATCTCCTTAGGAGTGAATGCAATTGGTCAGTTTAAGTTTAAGCCAAAGCTCATTTACCATTTTGAGAATCCTAGGGCCCTTAATTATGCTAAATGGACTCTGCCTGGTCTGTATCAATAGAAACACAAAGTCTGGATGGTAGCACATCTGTTTACAGTATGATTTACTGAATATTTATAACTCCCCATTGAGACCCATTGCTCAGAAAACACAATTTCTTTAAAAATACTTCTGCTCATAGACCGTGCACCCAGTCACCTGAGAGTGCTGATGAAGATGTACAAGGAAATTAGTGTTTTCATGCTTGCTAGCACAACATCCATTCTGCAGTCAATAGATCAAGGAGTAATTTCAACTTTCAAGTCCTGTTATTTAAGAAAGGCATTTTGTAAGGCTATAGCTGCCAAAAATAGTAATTTCTCTGAGATATATGGGCAAAGTAAATTAAAAACCTTCTGGAAAGGATTCACCATTCTAGATGCCATTAAGAATATTTGTGTTTCATGAGAGGAGTTACAAATAACAACATTAATAGAAGTTTGAAAGAAGTTTATTTCAACCCTCATGGATGACTTTGAGGGGTCCAAGACTTCAGTGGAAGAAGCAATTGCCGATGTGGTAGAAATAGCGAGAACCAGAAATGTAAGTAAAGCCTGAAGATGTGACTGGATTACTGTGCCTCATGATAAAATTGTGGTGGTCTATAACTGAACCCACAGTATCTCTAAGTCATGCCTGTAACCTTTATCTCTAGAATTTCTATTTTTGCAATTGTGTCTATTTCTTTATCAAACTTCTCACTTTGTTCATGTATTGTTTTCCAAATTTTATTTAATTTTTAATGTGTATTCTTTTAGTTTACTGAACATCTTTAAGATGATTATTCTGAATTCTTTTCAGTCATTTGATAGATCTGTATATCTTTAGGGTTGATTATTGGAGCTTTATTAGTTTATTTTGAGAGTGTTATGATTTCCTGATTCTTTGTAATTTTTGTGTCCTTGCATTGTTGTCTGTATATTTGAGGAGACAGCCTCCTCTGCTGGCCTTTACAGGTGTTCTTTGGCAGGGATAGACCTTCACTGTTTAGTCTAACTGTGATTCTGAAAGGGCCAGCTGCTAATGACCCTAGGCAGGCAGAGCTTTTTGTGGGCTCTCTAGTTGGCTGGGCTGCTGCCTTAATTCTGTTTTTAGCTGGGGCTCCTGGCTAGGTTCCACTGCCCAGCAATATCACTGGTTGGGCACTGGTATAAGGGGGAGCTGCTGGCTAGGGACTGCAAAGCTTCTGGTCAGGCTGATAATAAGATGTATTCCCTGGCTGGATAATTCTGCTATTTGGGATCTGCAGTTGGGCAGGGCTCCAGGCTGGGCACTGAGGTTAGGTGTAGATACTGCTTGGGATAGACAGAACCAGAGGCCACGCTCTTTGAAATGCATGATTGAGGATTCCCTCCTTGTCCCAGTGGAGCTGTGTGACAAGCTTTTGGCTGAGTTGAGTGGCTGTTTGACTTCCTGGATCAAGTAGGTCTGGCGCCTGTGCTTCTCCAAAATGTGCTGAGGTAGGAGTTTCCGTGCCTTGGCAGGATGGTTGAGTGGGCTTTTGGTCTGAGTGGAACTGCTGCTTGACTTCTCCAGTCATGCAGGCCTAGCCACTGTGCTTATCTGCAATGGGTGGAGTTGGGGGTCTCCCTGCCTCAGTGGGGTCACTGGGGTGGGCTCTGAGACTGGGCATGAAGACTAACCCTCTGGGGAATCAAGCTAGGTTGAACTTCCTACTGTGCTTCTGAAGACCATGAGGTCAGCTTCATGTTGATTTGTGTCTTCCATCTGGTTCCATGGCTGGCAGAAATGCAGAGGTACCACCAAGATCTGTATGCTGGTCATTGTGACCTCTGCTTCCTTCCTTTGTTTTTACCTGATCCTGGGCAGTCTAGCTGTGCTATTACCTACCCACAGTGTTCCTCATGAAGTGAGACTGGAGTAGCCTTCCTGGGAATTATATGAGATTGTTAGGGAAGCTGGATAACTGTCTCCAGTTCTTTTTTCCCCCAGTAGAAACTTTGGGTCAAGGAGTTCCTCTCCGTCTGGCATTGTGGCAACTTGGGGGAGGGAGAGGAGCAGTGCAGTCAAAGTGAGACTGTTCTTCTTATCGTTTTAATTTGGTTTTCATTCAGTTTGGGGGACTATGTGAGTTCTATCTAAGTAGTAGGATTTTTGAAAAGATGTTCTGGCCTGTGGATAGTTGCTAGTGGATCCTTCTCTTGGCTGGGTAGTGAAAGTGGAGCCATAGACTTCCTATTCTACCATCTTGCTGTTGCCACCTTTAGAAAGTCTTCCAAATTCTTCATATGTAAAACAACAACAACAACAAATCTTCCTTGATTCTGCCATTTACAATAACATAGATGAACTTGGAAGACATTATGCTAAGTGAAACAAGCCAGATACAGGGAGACAAATACCACATGATCTCACTTATATGTGGGGTCTAAAAAAACTCACTTCTACTCTCCATAGAAGCAGAAAGTAGAATGGTGATTACTGAAGGTGGGGAGGTGGGGGAAATGGAGAGATACTTGTCAAAAGGCACAAGGATGTAATTAATGTAGGATGAAGAAATCTAGAAATCAAATGGGCAGCATGAGGACTATAGTTAATAATACCGTATTGCATACTAGAAATTTGCAAACAGAGTAGATTTTAGGTGTTCTTATCACACACACTAAAAATGGTTAACTATGGGAGGAGATGAATATGTTAATTTGCTTGACTGTAGTATTGTTAATCAGTTCATTATGTACATAAAAAACCTCTCCTTGAGCCCTGTATTCCTCCCTAACTAATGCAGTTCTCTTTGCCTCTTCATACCCAAATTTTTCCTCTTTCACCTCTCATTGCTTCTCAACCCGTTGCACCCTCTCTTAAGTTACCAAGTCAGGGAAAAACCTCTCACTAACACATACTCTTCCATTTGCAACAACATGAACCTGGGCATGCTTCCAGTCCACATATCCTTGTCCTTTTTAACTTTCCAGTCGTCAACATTTTATACTGTGATTACTCTCTTTTTGAAGACTTTGCTTCCCTTGCTGTTTGTGACCCACCCTGCTCTAGTTTTTTGTTGACTCTCTAGTCACCCCGCTGTCTCCTTTGCAAGGCATCTTTCTGAACATCCCTGTGATGTTGTTGTTCCTCAGTTAGCCCTCCTTTTTACCCCACACCACACATGTGCCCCACTTTCACCACACTGACTCCCACAGCTTCAATTATCGTCTCTATGCCACAGATCCTCTGTTTTTAGTTCTGACTTTGACCTCTGCTCTCAGCTATAGACAAGTATTTCTAATTCCATATGTCCAAATCTGAAGTCATCTTTTATTCCAAGCCTGTTCTATTTTTAATTCCCCAAGTTAGTGACATCACCATCCATTCTACTGCCTACCTCCAACAGATTATCAAATCTAGGAGATGCTGTTACAGTCTTAAGTCTTTCCACTTTTCGTTATTCCTGCTACAATTACTACTATTTTTCCTCAATATTATCTTTCATCTAGAATACCTCAAGTCTCTCCAAAGCTTTTACTGTCTTACCTACTTTAGTTGATCCATTCCCTACACTGCCACCAGAGGGAGCCTTCCACAGTATAAATCTGATGATGTGAGCAGATTAAAACTCTTTGATAACATCTATTGCTTAAATAATCAGTCCCGTGGCTCACAAGGTCCTTCATGACATAGTCCCTGTTAATCAGTTCAGGCATCTCTTCATTGATTATCCCCTTGCACTTTATTTTCCAGGAATACTAAAGCTAAAGCAGTTTCTAATTAGTGAATAAAGCATATTCATGCTCTTCCAAGACTATCTAGTAATAAATAAGTGGATAAATATTGTCTTCTCAATTGATTAATAAATGCATTTTCTTCTTATTTGGGGAAAATTTACATATGCTATTACGTATATTATGTATATGATAAAGTAAAAACCTGTGCATACCCACTTTAAAAACATGTATTCTTTGGAATGTACCTATGCTCAGAATTGCAGGAACCAAAGGTTAAATAGGAAACTGAATAAAATTCAAATAAAGTTGTTTTGTTAGGTTATGCTGACAGGGTGGGAGGACTGATGTAGCACTTAGGCTGTCATTTCCACATCCTGCCAGATATTGCTAATTAGCCATGGCATTCTTTTATGAAAAGCACAGACTCAACCTCATAAACCTTATCACAAGCAAACTGGGAAGCCACTGCCAGTAGGAGTGGCTTCTATTATGAAGCCTCTTTGCTGTTTTTATTTGTGGTTATGGCAAGCAATTTTGTCCTGAGGACTTGAGGATAAAAGAGCCTGGAGAAGTAAATGCTTTCTTGAATTTTCTGTCTCATTTTTTTCCAATAATAAGGGACATAAGAATTTGCTGTACATTTTTTTCAGTCATAAAGGAATCCCAGTTCAGATATCTTTAAACAGAGTATGCATACCCTTGAGGATATTTGAAGACTTTCCAGGGGTATATGGCTTGGACAGCTTTAAGGAAATCATTCTGAAGATGCTCAGCTTCCATTGTGTCTCTTCCTTAAGCTGATCTATCTGAAAACCACTCCTGCAGTCAGTATTTCTCCATTCCTACCACTCTTTTCACAATGGTCACCTCCTACTTTACAAAAAAAAAAAATGTGCACCTCTCATCCATCCTGAATCTTATGATGCATTTCCCAGGGTATAAAAAAGTTAGGGGCTAAAAAGAGGAGTGTTTGAATATGTAAAGCTCCTGAATAAGAGCCTTTGGTTAAAAACATATTTACATAAGCAATTGCAATGAAATTATATGTATTGTGTATATATAATAAAATTATATACAAAAGATACATGTGTATATGAGAAATGCCTGATTTTATTTAGGTAACAAAATCATGGAAAGGCTCTAGCTAACCTTTTCTCTGTTTATGTAAATTAGAATTAGAATTCAGAAGTAGAATGTGTGTTATGGAGTACATACTGACTTTTTTTTGAATTGAAAAATGTAAGTTTGGCTTTGTATGGCAATAAATCTGATTTGACTAATATGCTTGACCACGAGAACTGGCTTTTCCAGTGAGGTTTTATACAGCAGATGTTTCACAAATTGTTTCAGAAATATGTCTCATAAACATACAGCAGACATGTTTCATAAGTTGAATGGGCTAAATCTGCAACTTCAAGTATATTAATATATTTAGATCTTATACCTGATATGCAATATACTAGAAATTGCATCTTTTGTAACTATTAGGTTTGAGATAAATTTAGATGTCAACTTAAAAACATAAGGAAGTGTATAATTTCTTTAAATTGTGGTGTCAAATAAGTTGACATTTTATGTACATTATAAAGCAAGTTTAATATTCCATAATATGTTTAAAACAACAAAATTATGCTTTGAATGATAGAGCTCTTGAGTACTTTAGGGGACTGCGGTGTTATGATATACATTGATTTTCATCCCCAGTTCCTGGCCCATAACACCCATATCCCTGTTACAGTCTTTTGCGTTATAATGTTGGGTATGTCAGGCCTCAGGGGCAGGCCTCTGAACTTCCTCTGCCTTCTTTCCACTCTGACGTTCCCCCCTCTTTCTGACTGTGGGTCTTAAGACTCTCCCAGGAGTGGGTCCCACACTAAACCTGGGAGAAGGAATGGCGATGTCATGAGACTTCCATAAAAATGCAAGAGGACAGGTTTCATTGAGCTTTCAGATAGTGGAACCCGTGGAGCTTCCTGGAGGGTGATGCACCCAGGGAGGGCATGGATGCTCTGTGCCCCTTCCCCATACCTCGTCCTATGTGTCTCTTCATCTGTATCCTTTACAATATTCTTTATAATAAACCTACAAATGTATGTAGGTATTTCCCTGAGTTCTGTGAGCTGCTTCGCAAATTAATCAAGCCTGAAGAGGGTGTTATGGTAATCCCAGCTTAAAGCTAGTTGGTCAGAGTTCCACAGGCCGGGACTTGGGACCAGTGTGTGTGTGTGGAGAGGGGCAGTCTTGGAGATGGAGCCTTCAACTTGGGGGATCTGACACTATCTCCAGGTAGATAGTGTCTGAACTGAATTGGAGGACTCCCAGCTGCTATCTGCTGTTTGGTGTATGGGGAAAACCACCCATACATTTGGTCACAAAAGTCTTCTGTGTTGATTGTTGTGGTGTGAGAATAGAGGAAAAACATGGTTTAGAGGAAAGTTTTTCCATACCACAGGGACCATAGAGATACCTTCAACTGAACGATGAGAAAACTGAGGTGCAGAGAGGTTACTGACTAGCCCATACTCTAAGATAAGGGTAGATTCCATCTATTTCTCCTGATTTATCAGACTATTGCTCATTATGCCCACTGTAAAAGGTCTATAAAATTGGCATTGAATTCCACAAACTTTGATTATATAAGGGAGCATGAATGTACTATAACGTGTATGAAGCACACATGCATACACTCTACTGTGTCACAAACTTGCCTAATTACAATACGATATTCATAATAAACATTAATTGAACATTTAATTAATAGCAATTTTTCTTAACTTCTTAACATTTAGAAGGGTTTTTAGCAATTATTTTTGAAGTACAGATCTTTAAAAAGGTTATTCAGGGAACTATTTTTTTTAACTTCTTAACATTTAGAAGAGTTTTTAGCAGTTATTTTTGAAGTACAGATCTTCTAAAATGTTATCCAGGGAGCTACGAATTGATTTTCCTTTTTCTTTCAATAATTTTCTCTTTGGCAAATGAAGGCTTTCAAAGCTGTTGCAAATATTGTTAATTTACTAAATAGCCATCACGATACCTTGTGGAAGAAAGCGTCAGTCTCAGGAAATAAGAGTCCTGGACATTAGTCTCAGATGTACCACTTATTTGCTGTGTGACCTTGGACCACAGTGGGTGTGTATTTGTGTGTGTTAAATTGTAAGAGTGTTAGATAGGTTTTGTTCTGAGGAGCAGCTCTAATTGATGACAATTGCCTGGAGTTTTGCATAAAGAATGATTCTAGGGCTACTTCTGGCATTCATGAGAAAGGTTACTGACTGGTTGAGAATATTTCTTGTGGGTGTAGATGGAGAGTGTTATATATTTATCAACCCATATGATATAGATATCATACCATAACTATTTGTATCATCCATATGATACAAAGAATTTTGTTGACAGTATTCGGTGTTCTGGTGCACAGGGTGTGTGTGTTTTCTCCTCCTAAACAGGGGTTAATTAAAGAAAATAAGAAGTCAAGATAAATCATATTCCTTTAATTAGTGTTGGGGTGGCTGCCGTTTGTGAATTTTTAAAAATAACTGCCAAGAACACCTCGCTATTCCCCTAGATTTATAGTTCACAAGGGACCTACTGGAGAATTGGAAATGCACTTATGAGAGTTTGAGGGAAGGCCAATGAAGCTGTCATTGGGGGGACAATTCTGTTGTAGGTAGAACCACTCAGATTGAGTCTTGAGAACATCTTGATTAAGTCATCATTTCCTACAAGAGAATAGTCACCATTCTGTTGCAGGTCTAGGAGCAAGATTTGCTTAGTTGAACCAGAGGTTATTGTCCCTTGATGACAGTCTCACTGCTATTAATTTCACATATGCCTGATGCATAATAGCATTATACTTAATTAATAATGGGTGATAGACCTTTTATGAGTCCCTTATGCAAGATACACACTTCCTGGTATCATGATACTTGAGAAGTGAGTTTATTACTGGTGAGAAGATGAGTGTGGATTATGGTTCTGGAAATAGAATGGGTTGAAGTAGCCTTCAAAAAGATTAAATGGCTCAGTACTGGCTTAATGGGCAGTGTACTATAATCAGTGGGGGGGCTTGTCTTCCATTTTAACGTAGAATGCTGTATAGCATATTTGTGTGGCTGTATTATGATTAAGCCACATTCCTGTGAATCATCAGCTTTGGTGTTTGTGGAACTTGGGGAGGATAGTATTCTGAGCTAAAAAGGTTGGCAAGGCCTAGATCCATCTGGAAACTGTGCTGTGGCTAATGGGTGCTGAGTGACACAGAATTCTAAGAAATTCAATATGAAGAAAAGATAATGCAGGAACTCTTTAAGTACAAACATTCTAAAATGGAGGCAATATATTTATATGCTAGCAGGCTTCCTTCTTTCCTCCTCCTTATTAGATTTGAAATGTTATGGTGAGGAAGCTAAATTGGAGATGTGCAAGGGCCGTGATCTATGTAAACTCATCAAAGGCGAGTCTTAGGGTTTGGATTTGTTATTTCATATTGTATGCCCTGCTTTTCAGACTCTTAAGAGACCTGCTTACACAAAGAACCAGAACAATGGAATAACAGTAGGCGAGGATTCTGAAATCCCTGTCTGACAGAGACTACTTATTGCTCTTCATTAACCATTCTCCTTTTCCTTTTGAATAATATAATCCCTCTCTGGCCGGTTTTAGCAGAGCAGGTGGTCACCACCTAAGAACATACTTGTTTCTAGGTGTAGCCATGCAAATAAGTTTAATCCAATTGAATTTGAGCAGAAATGCGTGTAATTTCTAGGTTATCTTATATATATGTTATATATATATGTATGCATATATATGTTATATATATATGTATGCATATATATGTTATATATATATGTATGCATATATATGTTATATATATATGTATGCATATATATGTTATATATATATGTATGCATATATATGTTATATATATATGTATGCATATATATGTCACTGTGTTTTGGGGTTTTCCAAAATTATAGCATCTAATTAATACAGAAAATGGTACCCGGAAGTGGGGTCATACCCATAACAATAACCAGAACTATGCTTAGCAGTCTGCTAGTGGGTTGCAAAGCAATAAATATTGTAGACTCTGGTGATGTTGACTTAAACTGTTGAAAAATATTTGATACAATTTTGTCTACAATAACTTGGAAAGCAGAGCACATGCTCACTGAGTCTGTTGGTCTAGCATAACTGCATGGAAAAACTCAAAAGTTTGATGTTTATAAACTCTTTATCGTTGCTTTTTGCAAAAGAGAGGTGAAGGCAGCCAAGTTAGGTTTGGAAGCAGAGATGGAAAGAAATACAGATCTGCTAAAGGAAAGTCCCTCTGCCTATAACCTGCAGGTTAAATTTGGGGATTCACTGGGTTACAAAAGTCAACTCTTCTGTAGCAAAATTTTGAAGATAAAACTGTCCTACTCAACTTTTTGTTTTCCTGTCACTCACTGGGGAATGGTGAGAATTGGAGCAACTTTGAGAGGCATGTGTAGGGGACAGTAGAGTTGGCTGTGCCAAGCCAAGATTATTTACATCTAGACTGTGTGGGGAGAGAGTAAGAGACCTCTATTTCATTCAAGCTACTATATTTTTGTGTTGCTTTGAGGTGCTTTGTTAGAATAGACTAACTTCTTTCTTCTCATATTACTCAGATAACCCAGGTGTGTTCTTGGTAATAACAACAGAATGGCTTACTGAGATGTTTCTACTAAATGCTGAGGAAGTATAATAACATATTACCAGACCCCAGTGGAGAAAATCTCACTGGTGATGGGGTTGCTTGTGTCTGTCTTGAACAGTGTTAGATAAAAAGTGCCTTTTTTTTTCCTGAATCTGGCTATTATTAACTTGATAACCTTTTTTTACTGGTCAGACTTTCATTAAATGTGCTTATATATCTTATTATATTCTTCTACGGGGCTGGAGGACATTCTGTGCAATCTCAGTATGCATTTATATAATTAGACCAATCCCTGGCATTCTTGGAGAACCTCACTGTAACAGGTTGAATTTGAATTAAAAAATTAGTACAAGAGGACCTTTAATGAACAAAAATATGGAATGAGATTCACCAGTTAATGAGTGCTGTGGATATTCCCCAATAATAATGGTACAATAATAATATCATATGTACACAGTTAATGTCATTCTTAAAATAAATTTCTGTTTTATGCTACTGAAGCTGAAAATAGAACTGAGCTCACTTGTCCACCTATAAGATGACCCACTGTCACATTCCTATGAGAGAGAGACTCAGGAGAGTCATATCACAACCTGCCATTTTAACTTAGCCTAAAGTGTGGTGATCTAATTTGTAGTGTGGTTATTAATTATGAACTGATTTGAGGTGTTTTATGTCACACCCATAAGGAAACTTACTGTTATAAGTATGGTGAGTGGTTGGGAGAGGTACGTATTTTATATTCATGAACACATCAACATTCCCAAGACTATATGGAGGTAGGCAGTCTACATAGATGCCATAAGAAATGGATTACTAATATTGTAAGACTGAACCTAGAAAGATATTCTGAAGTTGGCACTTCAAGATGCTTTTGGAACAGGCCAATAATTATATATGCCTATGGAGAAATTTCAACAAAAGTGGAATTTTAGAGATATCAAAATGAAGATATTTTCCTTGGTGTCAACAAACTTTTCTAACCTGGATAACTGATCTCCAAGAGCTTGGATTTAGAATTATAATCAATAAGAGACCTTCACAGATTGGTTATGGGGCCATGCTATTTAAAATACTACCACGTTCTGCTCTTTAAATAAAGAGATCATGATTGTGTCTGAGTAGTCGCAAAGAATGCCTGCTGAATTGCTGTGGGAAGTAATCGCACTGGATTGTATTGCCCTGTCTAGCTCGCCTTCTCTCTTTCTGTGATAGTGAGTGACACTTTCTCTGGTAGTGAGTGGCACATATTTACAAGATGGCAGTTTGAGCTTTTAGTGTTAAATTTAGAAATACCAGGCTCTAATGCACTGAGTTAGCATATCAGCTCAGGAACTAACTAATTACTATATATTCAAATCTGACACATATTTTTTTATGTGTAAAAATCTAGGCTGGGCACAGTGGCTCATGGCTGCAATCCCAGCACTTTGGGAGGCCGAAGTGGGTGGATCACCTGAGGTCAGGAGCTCAAGACCAGCCTGGCCAACATGGTGAAACCCTGTCTCTACTAAAAATACAAAAATTAGCTGGGCGTGGTGGCACATGCCTGTAATCTCAGCTACATGGGAGGTTGAGGCACAAGAATTGCTTGAACCCAGGAGGTGGAGGCTGCAGTGAGCTTATATGGCACCACTGCGCTCCAGCCTGGGCGACAGAGCAAAAGTCCATCTCAAAAAAAAAAAAAAAAATCTAGTTAATCAAACCTAGTAGGCATTTATCACTTTGCTTACGGCTCTTCCCTGGCATTTTTCAAAGTAATATGAAGGCACAAAAAGTGAACTTTTGCTTTAAACATTTTCCTGTGCTATGTAGCATATATCTTATTTATTTTAATGCCCTGAAATTTAGAAAGGTCATTTCAACAGTGAGTAGAAGAGGTTCTTTCCATTTTTTTTCCATCATTGGCATTCAAGTATTCTTAGTGCTCCTGTAAAAACAGTGAACAAAAACTTCTCTTCCCTACTTTGATTATTTTCTCTAATTCCTGGCAACTTTTGGTGAAACACATGGCCTGTGTCTGAGGCAAGTTGTTGTGTTTTTTTTAACAGACATTTTAAGTGTCAGTGTCAGAAGTCCTGCAATATACAATGCTTTCTTATGTCACATCATTAAATGAACTAGGCAGCAAATAAAGTTTTTTTAAATGAAGTTTCTATTATTATTTGTAGCAGATCATGGCTTTAATAAAACTTTTAGGTTTGGATTTTTATAGGCTGACATTCTGAATAATTGAACTGTGGCAGTTCAAGTTTTCTGCCAAAATGTGTCAGGATGAGCTAGAAAGAATGCCACAGATGTTGAACTTGATGTTTTCTCTCCTTTGACAAGTTTAGTGTCAGGTCCTGCCTTGGCTTCAACAGTGACTTTATTTTATATCCCTGTAACTATGGAAACCAATGTAGGTGAAGGGGAGTTACAGTTATGGAGTAATTCAGATATCTTTGACCATGGCCATTCTCGGATAATACTCATAAGGTCATAGAATTTAAAAAATGCAGAGGGTTTCAGAGATGATTAAATCTCTTATGTTTTTTAGTTTGTGGAAACTGATTCCTGGAGGTTAAACTGAGCTTCTACTGCAGCCTGCTAATGGTTGTTTACCTCATCTCAGCAGTTAATGAAAGATTTGATCAGTGCATGGGTCAAAATCTGGTTGTATTACCTAGGAAGTTCAGGCCCTGTTCTCCCTCCTGGTTTTTGTGGTATACCATCTCTATGTAGTAGGCTCATTCCTCCCTCCCCTCTTCCATCTTGTTGAAGTCAAAGAAAATATAGAGACAAATCTCTAAATGTAAAACATTTTATTTGGGAAGACAGAATTGCAATTTGGGGCATACATACACACAGACCAGGTTGTCTTTGGTATGTCTGAAGAAGAAATAGAAGGTTGGAGGTTTTATAAAAAAGAGAATGTTATGTATTGTTTTGTAAGAAAGTTCATGAACACGAATAAAGTTTTGGGGGCTAGTAAGCTCTGACTGGTGAGTGACAGCTGTGGGTAAAACTAGTCTTAGAGTTGTAGCAGTTGTTTCAGTAGCCATTAGATAAAACTGATTTGAGGTTGCAGCAGGCAGTTTCAGCAGCCAGGCTTGTGGAGAAATACATTCTTGGAGTAATGTTCTGTGCCCTGAGTGCTTCCCTGCGGCCTGGCCCCTGGCATCTCAACTCTGTTTTAGTTGTATAGGACAAGAATGACCCCATTTGTATGATCAACTTTCACAGTCTCTTCTCTGTTACAGATACAGGCCGATCTTCAGTCTATCCTTAATGAAAAGTCTTACAAACAGAGCATTTTTCTTAAGCCTTCCATGTACCCATGTCCTCACCACTAAAAGCCTCATTATGATCTGCACCATTATTTTATTCTGTCTTTCCTTCTTTAGAAGTGTGTTAAGAATGGAGAAGAGAAGAAAAAGAAGGGAAGAAATTCTGTCTCATTACAACTCTCCATCTTGAGGGAATGCATTTCTCCTTCCTCTGTTTCTTCCCATCTGAGTAAAACCTCTCCACACTCCAGCACTGTGGACACTCTAGCTTATTTCCTTCTATTCCATGTAAACTGGACCGGCACAGGCCAACAGTTACTCTTTGACTGTCAAATCCAACAGACACTTTTCCAGGCCTTTTTTGACTTGACTTTCTGCACATTGACATATTTTGTAATTTCCTCCTTGAAATTACTACTCCTTTGGCTTTTGTAACAAGACTGAATATATCCTCATCTTTCTACTCCTTAAGTATGTTTCTGTGCTACCTGCATCCTTCCCAAGACAGTGCCATTGATTAGGAGCCAGGATAATGTAGTGTCTAAATGCTTAGGTACTGGAGCCAGATTGCCTGTGCTTGAGCCCTCCAGCTGTACCACTTGGGTCAGTTACTTAATTTTTCAGTGGCTCAGTTTTGTCATCTGAAAAAAGGGGATCTTACTAGTACTCTCTCATAGTGTTGCAGTACTAAGAATAATGCCTGGCAAATGGTAAATGTTTTGTAAGTCTTACATACACAGACACACAAACAGACACACAAACAGACACACACACACAAACAGAGAGAGAGAGAGAGAAGCACAATACTTTGTTTAAAAATATTTGAATGTCTGTGGTTCCCCTGCTGGAACTCCTGAAGAAGCTCTTAAGACCCATGCTCAAGAGACGTAGGAAACATAACTCACATACACATTTCTTTTTCATTCCTAATTTTGAAGTCTGATACTGGGTTTGGCTACTTTTCAGTAACCTTCCCATTCAAACATTTGTGGCCAGATAAACTAGAGAGCCCCTGGTCTCTGTCTTCATCATGGCTCCTGGGTTTGTATCAACCCTGCCTTGGCTGCTTGCTCACATTTTCCCATTGAATGTCAAGCTAGCTTTCTCTGCCTTTCCATTCCCCCCTATATTTAGAACTTCAAACCCACTATACTAAATCTAACCTTAAATAAATATGATGGGATAAAAGTGCCTACAACCTTTTCCCACTCTTGCAGAAATGGAGAGAGCAAGGGAGATGTTTATCACAATTATCATAACAAATTATTAGGAGTTGAAGACCAATGATACTTGCAGGAGGGTGGTATTGGTGGTGGCAGCATGGGGGCTGTGCATGCAGGTGCTTGGACCTCCAGCTTCATGACAGGAGGGAGGAGTGATATTCTTATGGTGATATCTAGCCAGGGTAGATGATTCCCAGATGAACAAAAAATGTTCTCCAGAGTGTTTAAATCAAGGACTGTTATGGTATGTGAGGGTAGTGTCAGAAGCGGGGGGTAAACAGAAAGGAAGAAAGAGTTTTAACAAAGTTTTGCTTTGGTCTACACATACCCTTCACAGTGTTCAAGAAATGTATATAAAGAACTTGAGTTAATTTTAAAATGACATTTTACTGTTGCACTATATTTTCTCATTATACTGCTGAGACTGAACCATGTGGTTCTTGGCTTAAAAAAAGCCAGTATCTTCTCTAAGTATGAGACAATCATTCATTACCAAACGACACTCCTCTGTTTAAAATCATAGCTCAAGATCTCCTCTCTGCTTTGAAATTTAATTGTCAACAATCCTCCCATCCCTGACTCACCCTGGCCTTTAAGCAATTATCGAAGACAATTTATCTACTCTAGGTTCATATTGTGCTATCCTGCTTCTCATAGAGTAATTCATTCATTAATACAGCAATCTTAGACATTGTTGTTTACACCATTTAGAAATTCTAAACTTCAGACAGATCAACGAGACAGAAAGTTAATAAGGATACCCAGGAATTGAACTCAGCTCTGCACCAAGTAGACCTAATAGACATCTACAGAACTCTCCACCACAAATCAACAGAATATACATTTTTTCAGCATCACACCTATTCCAAAATTGACCACATAGTTGGAAGTAAAGCTCTCCTCAGCAAATGTAAAAGAACAGAAATTATAACAAACTGTCTCTCAGACCACAGTGCAATCAAACTAGATCTCAGGATTAAGAAACTCACTCAAAACCACTCAACTACATGGAAACTGAACAACCTGCTCCTGAATAACTACTGGGTACATAACGAAATGAAGGCAGAAATAAACATGTTCTTTGAAACCAACAAGAACAAAGACACAACATACCAGAATCTCTGGGACACATTCAAAGCAGTGTGTAGAGGGAAATTTATAACACTAAATGCCCACAAGAGAAAGCAGGAAAGTTCCAAAATTGACACCCTAACATCACAATTAAAAGAATTAGGAAAGCAAGAGCAAACACATTCAAAATCTAGCAGAAGGCAAGAAATAACTAAAATCAGAGCAGAACTGAAGGAAATAGAGACACAAAAAACCCTTCAAAAAATTAATGAATCCAGGAGCTGGTTTCTTGAAAGGATCAACAAAATTGATAGACTACTAGCGAGACTAATAAAGAAAAAAAGAGAGAAGAATCAAACACACTCAATAAAAAATGATAAAGGGGATATCACCACCAATCCCACAGAAATACAAACTACCATCAGAGAATACTACAAACACCTCTACGCAAATAAACTAGAAAATCTAGAGGAAATGGATGAATTCCTCGACACATATAGTCTCCCAAGACTAAACCAGGAAGAAGTTGAATCTCTGATTAGACCAATAACAGGCTCTGAAATTGTGGCAATAATCAATAGCTTACCAACAAAAAAGAGTCCAGGACCAGATGGATTCACAGCCAAATTCTACCAGAGGTATAAGGAGGAACTGGTACCATTCCTTCTGAAACTATTCCAATCAATAGAAAAAGAGGGAATCCTCCCTAACTCATTTTATGAGGCCAGCATCATCCTGATACCAAAGCCGGGCAGAGAAACAACCAAAAAAGAGAATTTTAGACCAATATCCTTGATGAACATTGATGCAAAAACCCTTAATAAAATACTGGCACACCGAATCCGGCAGCACATCAAAAAGCTTATCCACCATGATCAAGTGGGCTTCATCCCTGGGATGCAAGGCTGGTTCAATATGCGCAAATCAATAAATGTAATCCAGCATATAAAGAGAACCAAAGACAAAAACCACATGATTATCTCAATAGATGCAGAAAAGGCCTTTGACAAAATTCAACAACCCTTCATGCTAAAAACTCTCAATGAATTAGGTATTGATGGGATGTATCTCAAAATAATAAGACCTATGTATGACAAACCCACAGCCAATATCATACTGAATGGGCAAAAACTGGAAGCATTCCCTTTGAAAACTGGCACAAGACAGGGATGCCCTCTCTCACCACTCCTATTCAACATAGTGTTGGAAGTTTTGGCCCGGGCAATTAGGCAGGAGAAGGAAATAAAGGATATTCAATTAGGAAAAGAGGAAGTCAAATTGTCCCTGTTTGCAGACGACATGATTGTATATCTAGAAAACCCCATTGTCTCAGCCCAAAATCTCCTTAAGCCGATAAGCAACCTCAGCAAAGTCTCAGCATACAAAATCAATGTACAAAAATCACAAGCATTCTTATACACCAATAACAGACAAACAGAGAGCCAAATCATGAGTGAACTCCCATTCACAATTGCTTCAAAGAGAATAAAATACCTAGGAATCCAACTTACAAGGGACGGGAAGGACCTCTTCAAGGAGAACTACAAACCACTGCTCAATGAAATAAAAGAGGATACAAAGAAATGGAAGAACATTCCATGCTCATGGGTAGGAAGAATCAATATCGTGTAAATGGCCATACTGCCCAAGGTAATTTATAGATTCAATGCCATCCCCATCAAGCTACCAATGACTTTCTTCACAGAATTGGAAAAAACTACTTTCAAGTTCATGTGGAACCAAAAAAGAGCCTGCATCACCAAGTCAATCCTAAGCCAAAAGAACAAAGCTGGAGGCATCACACTACCTGACTTCAAACTATACTACAAGGCTACAGTAACCAAAACAGCATGGTACTGGTACCAAAACAGAGATATAGATCAATGGAACAGAACAGAGCCCTCAGAAATAACGCCACATATCTACAACTATTTGATCTTTGACAAACCTGAGAAAAACAACCAATGGGGAAAGAATTCCCTATTTAATAAATGGTGCTGGGAAAACTGGCTAGCCATAAGTAGAAAGCTGAAACTGGATCCCTTCCTTACACCTTATACAAAAATTAATTCAAGATGGATTAAAGACTTAAACATTAGACCTAAAACCATAAAAACCCTAGAAGAAAACCTAGGCATTACCATTCAGGACATAGGCATAGGCAAGGACTTCATGTCTAAAACTCCAAAAGCAATGGCAACAAAAGACAAAATTGACAAATGGGATCTCATTAAACTAAAGAGCTTCTGCACAGCAAAAGAAACTACCATCAGAGTGAACAGGCAACCTACAAAATGGGAAAAAATTTTCACAAGCTACTCATCTGACAAAGGGCTAATATCCAGAATCTACAATGAACTCAAACAAATTTACAAGAAAAAAACAAACAACCCCATCAAAAAGTGGGCAAAGGATATGACCAGACACTTCTCGAAAGAAGACATCTATGCAGCCAAAAGACACATGAAAAAATGCTCACCATCACTGGCCATCAGAGAAATGCAAATCAAAACCACAATGAGATACCATCTCACACCAGTTAGAATGGCAATCATTAAAAAGTCAGGAAACAACAGGTGCTGGAGAGGATGTGGAGAAATAGGAACACTTTTACACTGTTGGTGGGACTGTAAACTCGTTCAACCATTGTGGAAGTCGGTGTGGTGATACCTCAGGGATCTAGAACTAGAAATACCATTTGACCCAGCCATCCCATAACTGGGTATATACCCAAAGGACTATAAATCATGCTGCTATAAAGACACATGCACACGTATGTTTATTGTGGCACTATTGACAATAGCGAAGACTTGGAACCAACCCAAATGTCCAACAATGATAGACTGGATTAAGAAAATGTGGCACATATACACCATGGAATACTATGCAGCCATAAAAAATGATGAGTTCATGTCCTTTGTAGGGACGTGGATGAAATTGGAAATCATCATTCTCAGTAAACTATTGCAAGGACAAAAAACCAAACACCGCATGTTCTCACTCATAGATGGGAATTGAACAATGAGAACACATGGACACAGGAAGGGGAACGTCACACTCTGGGGCCTGTTGTCGGGTGGGGGGAGGGGGGAGGGATAGCATTAGGAGATATACCTAATGCTAAATGACGAGTTAATGGGTGCAGCACACCAGTGTGGCACATGTATACATATGTAACTAACCTGCACATTGTGCACATGTATCCTAAAACTTAAAGTATAATAATAATAAAAAAAGAAAAAAAAAGAAATTCTAAACTTCTAATGAATAAAAAAATTTGGTATATTTTTTGCCTCTCTGCACACTTAATGCCATTTATTTTTTGAGGTGTGTTTCAAAAATATTGTCTACTTCAAAAAAACCCTTTGTGTAGTAAAGAAGGAAGGTATTCAGTTGATTTTACAGGTGAGAAACTGAGGCTCAGTGATGTGATAGGAGTTACCCAAGGTCTTGTGGCTGATTAGTGGTGATAATATTCTGTTTTTTGAGTCTAATGAGCAGCTTTACTCAGCTGTATCATGAGAGGTTAAATCAGGCTTTGTGGGGTTGTCTCTCCTCATTTAATACTGAGAGGACATGAAAGAAACAAAAGAAAAAGAAAACTCTGAGCACATTACGTTTCTGTGAGTGAATGGTGTTTGGATATTATTTTAGAATCTCTGGAGACAGAACCAGATTGCTGCTTGTACATTACTTTCATATCAGATTATACAGAGGGCAAATCATAGGTGACTTCTCAGTATTTCAGAAAGTATCTCAGTGTGTGTGTGCAAGGGGCAGAATTATTATATATGATAGAGGGGGCAAAAATCGTATAAAAATTGTGGGGGATTTTAATATTTTAGGTTTCTAAAGAGATAGATATCAAGTTTTTGGGTTTGTGGAAATGTTGATGCTAAGAAATTGATGCTGACACTTCAATTATGAAAACTAGGATTTTAATGGGAATTTGGAAATTTACAGTTTTAACACAATCCATAGATCAGCAGTACAGTAGTACAGAAAACTGGCTCTCCAGAATGATTATTGCAGTTTTGATGATACTTTGATGATCTATTGGGCTTAATTGAACACCTCTGTGCTTAGCCTCAGAATCACAGTGCAATGATGAACTGGGCTAATTAATGATAAGTATACTGGTTATATCAGTAATAAATATTCAAATCACATGACACAATGAGGACCTAACTTCACTTGTTACTGAATGAGTAACTTAGTTGTTATGCCTGCCTTGATGATTTAATTTCAGCAAATAAAGCTTTTTTTTAGATAATGTGAGGGCTTGCAAGGGTAAATGGCACAAAATTGCTGTCTGTCCTCTAGGACCTCACTATTTAATGAGAGAACAGAACTCAAACAAAATTCATTAAAACAAAAGACCCTGGCTGTTGTGTTGAAATAGCTGTATAGGCAAAATGAATTAGCATCATGTATATACGGTCTAATCCTTTGTCTATGTATTCAACTATGTGGACAACAATTTCTGTGATGTTCTGTAATGACAGGATGATACTGGAAGTCCGTACAGCTCTAGAGAGGGCATGGTGGGAAGGATGATGAGTTATTTCTGGGCATAAGTGGGGATTAATGAGGAAAATAATAGTCTTTGGAGAGGAGTGAGTTACGATGGTATAAGATGAGGTTACCAGTAGGAGAGACATTTTGGATACAGGGAATGCCAAGTGCCTTTGAGGTTATACCCACCTTAATTGGTGCCTAAAGATCAATCAACGTAATTTTACAGTTAGAGTTTCGTCAGGAAACATAGTCTTGATTCAATTTCTCAGCTTTCTACAATGGTAGAAGCAAAATCATTTCACTCTCATTCCAATGTGGAAACAGAGTCACAAAGGTAAGAAGAGTTGAAATAATGTTCAGGGTAACACCTAGATAAGACACAACTTTGGGACCACTGTTGCATTCTTTTCATTTTGATTGCTTTATCAGTGCTGAAGGTTTTGATAAATATGAGGTTTGAGGTGTGACAGTAAGTCAGAGAACTGACTTTTATGAATGTTTGGTACCCCCATTTCAGAGTCAAACCTTTATTTGAAACTGCACTCTTTCTTTCTTCTTATTGCAATCTTTTACACGCTGTAATCTTTTCTGGAAATAATCATTAAGTGGCATAGCAAATCACTATCACTTGTTCTTATTTTTTCTGAAAAGATGTACTTCTTTTATAAAAGAAAAGATAAGAGCTGCTAAAATATTTGTAATCCAAAAATGTGGTCCTGTTAGATTTTTAAAAGTACTTAAAATTTTTTTTAATTTTGTGGGTACATAGTAGGTGTATATATTTATATGATGACTGAGATGTTTTAATATAGGCATGTAATGTGAAATAAGCACATTATGGAGAATGGGGTATCCAGCCCCTCAAGCATTTAGCCATAGAGTTACAAACAATCCAATTACACTCTAAGTTATTTCAAAATGTATAATAAAGTTATTGACTATAGTCATGTTAGATTTTTTTGAAGCAGAGAGTTGATTCTGAGTTTGGAAATGTAAGCCATAACAAAGAAAAAGATGCATAAATGATAAATCATAATAATTATCAGTTATTGAAAAAATCTTCAGCCTTACCTCCATTTTTGTAAGAGAGAGATGTTAAAGGAATGCATTTATTATTCAGCCTTTCTTATTATCTTTAAGATTATTAGTTATATATAGCATTTATTGAGTGCTTACTCTGTGCCCCCCCCCAAACAAATCTCTGAGGTAGGTGCTATTCTTGTACTCATTTTACAGTTGAGGAAACTGAGACCCAGAGATGTTAAGCAACACGCCCAACGTCATTTAGCTAGTATGTGAAAGAATTGACATCTGAACCCATATTGTCCAGCACGTGTTTTCTGAACTGCTGTTTTATGGCTGTCTTCTCTTTAAACCTGCAACTTTTCATTAAGGGGTTCTCCATGGTGAAATTTCCAGTCAACAGTCAACTTTTTTTTCTGTGAGATATACGTGTGTATGTTGTGTGTGTGTGTGTGTGTTTATTTGTGCATACTTTGTATGTGTAGACCATCTATGCCAGTTTCCACAAGCAACCACTGTATCAGTCAAGATTAGATAGGCCATGGCAGTAGTAATAAACAGCCCCCAAATTGCAATGGCTTAACACAACGTAAGTTTATGCAAAACTCTTTTGTCCATTCTGCATATCAGTGTGGGCAGTCAGAGCTATGTGGGGATGGGAGACTGGGGGAAGCGACTCTTCTCTGCATGGTCTTACAGGGGCCCAGGGTAATGGAGGCTCTGCCATGTTGTAGCTGACCATCTGGAACGTGTAGATTCCTCAGTCTATGTGTTAGGAGAGGAGAGCCAAGAATCACATGCTGGTTTTTAAGTGCCTCCTCCTGCAGTGACAAAAGCACTTCTGCTTGTAACATCTCATCCAGAGCTAGTCGTGTGGCTCCACCTAACTGCAAGGGGGTGGGAAATGTAGGGAAGCAAAGAATGCCTGATGAGCAGCAAGTATCTCTGCCATAGCTGTTCTCACTATGAACTTCCTTAAAAGTTTTAAATAACAGAAAGCTATTGGATAATATGAATGTCACACATTAAGCCAGGAGAAAATGTGCATTAGATATTCAGAATTTCTGGGTGACTTCAGCTTGTCCAACCTCTTCACTTCATCTGCTCCCCCTGTTGTGGTGTTCCTTTTTCTTGGGGGTGGGGAGGGGTGGTATGCAAGTCTGTGGGTTATACTTGCTTCTAGATTTTCTCCCCTCCCACCTTTGGGACTCCACTGGATATGTAAAATCTTAGAATGACTGAGATTCCCTTTCAGCTTTGCCACCATCCAGCCATCCTTCTCTTCCCACTGAGATTTGGTGCTGCCTGCAGAAGCCTATTAGAGCAAAGTTCTTGCCTTTGTGTCAAATTTCCTGAATATATACAACAAAGCTCTCTTCCAAACTGGCAGAAGGAAGAAGGAATATGATTTTTTTCATTGCATTTCCCTCTTGATTATGTGTGTTGACATCACAGTGGGGTTCAGGAGATGCTACCCCAAAATGTAGCTGAGCAGTTTAGCAGCTTAGCCTCAAATCATATTTTAAATTTTTTCCCCCTTTCCTCCTTTCCCCCCAGTTTCAAGACGTAGCTCTGAGATAAAGTACAAATGTGTTTTACAGCCTCAAAATGTTTTCTTTTCTCCACTCCCTTCCCTTTGGCACTTTATGCTCCCATACCTTATATGCATTTATTTATGTAGATGTTTATTAAGCATATACCATTCTTACTTATCTGGTCATATTTTTCCTTAGAATCTTCAGGTATTGGATCCTGATACAGACCAGATATTCTGGAATTCTCTCTCCAACAAAAGATTACTTCAAGGCCAGAACACACTCCCAGCTAGAGATCCAAGGTAAGATTAATTGAGATTAATTTGTAACCTGGTTGGGCCCATGGTGGTGTTGGCCCCTTCATCAGATGGGCCCCTTCACCAGATGGGGACAATCATTCAAGATGAGCCATCAGAGCAAATCATGCCACCTGGGACCTCCTCGCTCCCCCAACCCCTGCCTCTTCTGCACCCCAAACCCTCTCTTTAAAAACTCCTGCGTTCCTTCCCCAAGTTAAAGGCGAATTTTTTTTTGCCTACTCTTCCCCTTGCTAGCAAAATAAAGTTTTGCTTCCTTTCTATCACATCTTGTTATTATTTTGGCTTCTTTCTACAAGCAGCGAGCAGCCAGACTCTTTTGCCAGTTATAAAAATATAGCACCTGGGCATATGAATTATTTTAAGCCGAAGGGATTTACAGAAGAAGGAAGAGCTCTCTGACTTCCCTCTTCCATTTTCCTCTAAAGCAGGTCAAAAGACCCTCATGTGAGAGATGCCCACCCTATACCTGGAGGAAAACAGCATCTTTATCTTGGAAGATGAAGGGATACAGTGAGGAATCTGAACAAACAGACCTTGCTAAATTACCTCCTGTTTATTACACTTACCTCATGTTCTTTGCCCTATTATATTTCTCTGCAACTGTACACTCTTCATCAAACCTACTATAAAAAAACATATGGGTTTAAGTGTTTCTTTGGGTCTTCATTTCCTATGAAGACTCCTGTGTCACAAACGGTGACCTTTGGTTCTTAGCCTGGTTCTTGGTGGCTTCTGCAGCATCAGAATGATAGGCTTTTACATAGGCCTAAGGGTAGGGCTTATTGGTGCTTTAAACCAAACTTGTGTGGGAAGATGGATGAATTTGAGAGACTGAGGGAGACCTTGTACATGAGGCAGCCTTAAACTTTAAGGAGTAAGAAGAAAATCCTCTTTTCCAAGATACTTTCCTCGCCTCCACACACTGTCAGTAGTAGACATAATTGCTTAGTCATAGCAACAGAAATTCCACTAATTAGGGATTCACTTATGTTAACAAGCACCCTTTTTAAGATGCAATTAGGATTTAGGATGGCAATTACTAATTAACAATTCATGCAAATTTTCTTAATCAGATAGCTTTTCTTCTTAACACCTAGCTGAGATTGGTCTCTAGGAAGGAAATGGAAGGAAAATTTGGAACTTGGTGGTGTCAGGGTTAGGAGTAGGTGGAGGTCAGAGACAGAAGAAAAGGTAATTAAAAATATTTTTTTTTCCAATTATTAAAACCCTTAGTACAATTCAGTGGAGTGCTTAAGAGCACAGGTCTGGAGCCAGACTACTCTTGATAGATGCATGGCTCTGGGCATGTTGCTTCACCCCCATATACCTCAATAATAGGACAATAATGCAAATACGTCAGCGGGTTTGATTAAAATTAAATGAGTTAATACATATAAAGATTTTAGTACATAGAAATATTAGCTCTTTTGAATAATTTAGAAAATACAAAACAAAATAAGAATTTCTCCGATTCATAGCACATCTCCAGATTATCGTACCTGTAAAGGACCACTGTTCACATTTTGCCCTATTTCTATTCAGTATGTTTACATATCATATACAAGTACACATATAAATTGAGATCATACTGTCATTACATCTTAGGGTTTTGATTTATTTTCAGGTAATATTAGCTATGAGTGTTATAGAACTGAACCAGGGTCTGCTTGCCTGGCACAGTAAGACCAAATGTCCATACCGAGGTTTGCAGCGGTAGAAAGGAAGGTGTTTATTTGCAGGGCTCCAAGCAAAGAGGTTCAGGCAGCTGGTGTTTAAATCCTGACCCCACTCCTCTCCATGGCTTGCAGGTAAGGGTTTTTAAAGGCAAGGGTAAATTTCAGGAAAGGAGGAATTATAGGCAAAATCATAAATCAATATAAGGAGGTTACACATTGGTTTTGACCTAAAAGCGTGGGATATCTTGAAGTGAGGGCTTACAGGTCATAGGTATATTCAAAGATTTTCTGATTTGCCATTGGTTAATGAAGAGAAGCTTTGCTTGAAAATTTGGGGTCAGCAGAAAAGAATGTTAGCTCTGGTTCATGAATGTGACTTTCTTCAGGCTCCTCAGGAAGAAACTGAGAACAAAGAATGACGGTCAGAGTTCAGTCCCCAGTTCCCTTTTATCTGAGGTCTACTGTGGGGACGAGTTGTTTGTTGGGGATCTGGGTTCCTGAAAAAAAAACTCAGAGACATATGTGAAGATGTTATCTTTAGTCTCTATTGGGGAACCAAACATCTTGTGATTCTAGCTTCCTTGGCTATTGTTTTAGGTTACTATTTTACCTTCATGCTTATCAAGTTGCTTAACTTCTCAAGGCTAGCTAGGTACCTGCAATTTCTCTTGAAAGAGCTCAATATTTTCCCTTATTTCCATGCTTGGGAGGCCTGCAGGCCACTGAGAGGAAAGTCTCTGCTGTGTCTCACAAGCACTTTGGAGAAGGCTTCGTGGAGGAGGTGGGCTAGTAAATGCATGTGCATTTCCACAGTCAGATTTGAAAGGAGTTTGCAGGTTAGGAGTATGGTGTAAACAAAAACATAAGGCAGGAAGCCCAGGAAGGAAAAGAGACACTCAGGTGGGTACAGGAGGGCTCAGGAGGTGGGGAGGATAAAGGAGAACTTGGGTCTGATTATGGAGGAACAAGAGCACTTGCTGTTTAGACAGTAATAGTGGGTTAGGTTGGCGGTGGGTTTAGGAAGACCAGTTAGGAGTCAATTGCAATAATGCAAGGCAGCAGGGGTGAAGGACTGAAATAGGGACTGCACGATTTCTGTTGGAATAAATAGGAAGCTGTGGGTATGAGAGGCAGTGTAGAGAAATAATTGACACAATGTACTGACTGATTAGATAAGGGTTTGTTAGAGGAAAAGGGAAGAGATAAAGATTCTAGAGAATTCTAGAGGCTCTGAGAATTATAGAAAGTATGATTGGGAGAGTGTTGCACTATTCAGAGAGAGAAGAATAGAGGAGGAGAGGCAGCTGGGCTGTAATAAATTCAAACTAGAAAATGATGGTGATGATAATAATAATAATAATAGTGGCAGTTTATCTGTTAAACACTGAGTATGACTTTAGCATTATACTAAGCATTTTATATGTATTATCTCATTTAATCCTCATAACCTTTTTATTGTCTATAATATATAGATATAATATATGAGCTGTATTACTTTAAAGAGGAATTAACTTCTCCAAGCCATATATTCTCATCTGTAAGTATAAATTCTCATCTATAAATACACATTCTCATCTGTAAATACAAACTTATAGATGAGAAAATATGGCTCAGAGAAGCTAATTCCTCTTTAAAGTAATACAGCTTATAAAAAAGTAGGGTCAGATTTTGAGGTGTCTTCTGTCTGCTAGTGAACCCAACGTCTTAATCACATGTGTTGAGTCTGAGGAGTAGTATATGTGGTATATGTGTCACCATGTCCAAAACAGATGGAAATTTGGATCTGGAGCTTAGGAGAGAAGCCAAGACAAACTAAAGATTTTGAAATGATCAGTACAAATAGGATAATTAAAGTACAAATCCGTGTGATTATGTATAATGAGAAAATACACATAATCTAAAAATGCAACTGTAAGAAAAATCAGTAACTAGGGGGTGAGGAAATGGAAAGGAAAAACTTTAAAAAGAGTCAGAATGTCAAGGAAGAATTAGCGTTAAGATAGTTCAAAGAGTTAACCATAAGGATAATATCTAGGAGGATGTGATCAACAATGTTAGGCTGCCAAGAGGTCCTGTAGGTTGTCGATTGAGAAAATTAATTAGATAGTAATTAGGAGCGCATTAAAGATCTCTGAGACAAGACTTTTAGAAGATTCATGAAAGGGGTAAATAGGAATCATATTACAGGGTTAACAGCACGTGGCTAAGAAGTTCAGGAAATGAGTGTCCATAACTCTTTTAAGGGCTTGATATCAAGGAATATGTAACATGGAATGTTAACTCAAAGGGGGAATAAAATGGAGGTACATTTTTTATTTTGCTTTTTTGTTTGCTTCTAGTTTATTTTGTTTTCTTAGGGATAAGGAAGACTTCCATCTGATGGGAAGGGAATGTGTGAAGATAAAGGAGAAAAGGAAGAGAGGGTATATAGAAATAAATGGAACCCCCAGTGGAAGAGTCCACTTTGGAAAAGAAGAAATTCCCACTCTCTTCTGAGGAGAGTTGAGGAGAAGACAGGTAGGGGAGGGGAGATATTACCATAGAAGAAACTGTAGGAGGCGAGGTCATTGGTAAGGGTAGTGAAGGCAAGCATGAAACAGATGTTAATAGAGTGGAAAATATTCTGAATAATCATGTAGAGAAAATGGACTCAAGTTAGGAATTTAAAAAAATATGCAGGAGTTTTGATGCTTACCTTATTTAACGAGAGAAGCTCATATGCCAACTTCAAACCAGATTTAAAATTGGATCAATATGCTATACAAATTCTTTAGTTATATAAACCTAATAGTTGAAGACATCTTCTTCTATTGCAGCAGAAATAAAAAATATAAATCTTTATATAACTTATGTGTTGAGTTCTCCTTTAAATTCTTGCTTGGATGAAGGGTACAGAGAGAACTGTGGCTTCTATGTCTAACTCAGGAAGTGATCATAAAGATTCCTTCCATTTGTATCGGGCTTTATTGTTTAGAAAATATGATAACTCATGTTATCTTACATTCCAAAAGGCCTGGAAGGAAGAAAAATCTTCTTGAGTATAAATCACACTGGAAAAATATTTTCAGAGAAGGGAAAGAGTCTCTCATGCTGTATAACTGCCATTTCCAGAAAGCATAGAAAAGAGGGCCGGGTGTGGTAGCTCAAGCCTGTAATCTCAGCACTTTGGGAGGCTGAGGTGGGTGGATCACCTGAGGTCAGGAGTTCAAGACCAGCCTGGTCAACATGGTGAAACCCCATCTCTATTAAAAATATAAAAGTTAGCCAGGCATGGTGGCAGGTCCCTGTAATCCCAGCTACTAGGAAGGCTGAGGCAGGAGAATCTTTTGAACCTGGGAGATGGAGGTTGCAGTGAGCCGAGATCACGCCACTGCACTCCAGCCTGGGCGACAGAGTAAGACCTTGTTTAGAAAAAAGAAAAGAAAAGAAAAGATGAATCCTCAAGGGCAGCTCAGAGTTCTTGTAAGTCCTTGTTAAAGAAGCCTGTTCCAGGTTAGGCACATGTTCTTGGGATTTGATATTTTGCCAGCGGAAATAATATTTCTTTCTCTTTGGATTTATGTAGGATGCTCAGAAAGCTGGGAGCTTCTTGAAATCTCAATTAGGGCTTTTACATAGTATACCAATAACAATTTCTTATACAGCTTTGAGCTCTTTCCAGGAATGGGGATGAGGTTTTGCATATAAAGCCAAATTTTTGTGTAAGCACTTTGAATCATCTGGTTGACATTTAGGCTATTGATCCTTGCTATCAGAATCACTAGCCACAGAGTTCTGAAGGATTGGCTTTGGCCTTGACACTCTTATCAAAAACTGAGCAAACAGCACTGTAGAGGGCTCTTTAGGGCCTTATACACTGGTTTCTAATTCTCCTCTTTCACATTTGTAACTTAGGAATGTGGCTTGTTGGTTTCCTTATTTAGAAGGTTTGTTTATAATAATCACTTTAAGTTTTATATCCTTTACAGTTTTGTATATTCTATTTTTCTCTTAGTGAATTCCTATGAAGTATGCAGGGAAGGGCAATGCTATTTTTTTCAACAGAAAAATAACCCTGTAGTGAAGATGATTTGCTCAGGGTCTCACAGCTAGTCACCGGGGAAGCCAGGATTTGAACCCCCCATCCTCTCAGACCTGCTTTTAACCTGACATTTTGATGCCTGTGCAAGTCATGGGACTTGATTCTAGAGTAATAATGGAAAGGAATTATATTTGTGTCAAATAGAATAAGATGCAATTTCCATTTTTAATGTCTAAAATCGTTGAATATTGGCAATATCATGTAGTTCTACTTAATATAGATAGCCAAGTACTGTGGGGAAATAGTGTAGATTTTAGCATCTGACTAGCCTAAGCTAGAATCCCAGCTGCACCTCATGTCAGAATTGAATTACTTCTATATTGTTTAACTTTTCTAAGCCTTTGTTTAACCTTCCTAAGCCTTTGTTTCCTCATTTTTAAAAATGGTGGAGAATGGTACTTCCTTTAAAGGTCCTTATGAAGAGCACACAGTGCCATGTCTGCAAAAAACCTATCTCAGTATATCAGTATATTATGCATAGTAAGTTGTAAATAGAACACAGCAGATATTATTGCCAATAAGGGATTAACAAATACCAAATTGGAAAATAAGAGGAGCATTTTAATTGTTTGTTGTATGTTTAATATTGTATTTTTAGATAAGAAATAATTTGTCATTCTTTTTAAATGCTGAATACTATTTTTTAGTACTGAGTGCTATTTTTTAATTTGTAGATTATTTGGCTATGTGTGGGAGAAGAAGGGCATTATTGATGATTTCTATGTTCTGTCTCTTACACATATTTTCTTTTTTTCTATAATAAATAAGAAGTGTTTTTATAGTGGATATGAAGCTATAAGATAAAAATTGGTTTAAGCATTAAATGATAAAATATTAAGAATTTAAAAAAGGAACAACTTTCTAAAAAAGTCGATAGCCTCTGGCTGAAAAGGAGAGTTTGATATTTAAAGTAAAAATCCACGTATGTCTTCCATCTGCTCATGTGCATTCTGTCAGTCATTTATACATTTATTCATTCATTCAACAAATAATATTTAAGTGCCACCATGTTTCAGGAACTGTGAGGAGATTAGAAAAAGATGTAATTCTTAATTCATAATGGGTTATTGATGACATCTTTTCCTCAGAATAATGAAATGCCAGGAAGATGCACCCTTCTTGGGCAGTCAGATATGTATACTTTATATGCATATTTGAGCTCACTGAACAAGAATAGGAAATAGAAACTCAGCTTCAGGAAAATAATAGATTATTTCTATCATACATTCAATGGCTACTGGAAGACTAACTTATAAAGATATAGGTGGTATATTTGCCATTGAAAAAAATCTTACAAAAAATGCTAATAGGTACTAACTGTCATTAAAACACTGAACGTTACTATTAAAGAAACTAATAAGCAAGGGAATTCATACAAGGAAAAAATAAAATTACAGGTTTAATGAAAAGAATGTTTACCTTAGGATAGAGAAACCCATAACCAAAATTTGAGAAATCTTTGAAATGATAAACAGCCATTGACCTGTTACGGGTTCTGCACTGTGCTTGCCCAAAGAGTTTATTTTACTTTTTCTTTTCATGCTGTAGGTCAGAGTAAAACATTTTCTCATTCAATGTTTTAAGTTTTGATTAAATGGCATTGACATTTATTGATTTTTAAAATATTATGATTAGAAAAAAATAGAATTTTTTCAGATGGTATCTGCAACATAATTGGCAGCTGAATTTGAATTCTGCTTCTGTCCTAATTGGTCGTATAATCTTAGGCAGGTCACTGGACAATTCTGAGCTTCAGTTTTCTCATCTATTAATTAGGCAGAATGGTTTCTAAGATACAGGATGGTTGTGAGGATGAGTGTTATGAGATAGAGAACATGTCTAGGATGGTATCTAGGACACAGAAGAGACTCAAATGTTATCCCTTTCATTCAAAAAATATTTGATGCATGAAATGTGTGGTTTTCAAAAAATTGCTGCTATTTTAGTTCTACTTTTAATTATTTCTTAGAATCTTTTTTTTCCTCCTTGGAAATATGTAACCGAGTTTACATAAAAGTAAAATAGGTAATAAGATTTAATTCTTTAATTTTGTTTTTTCCAGCTGTTGTTTTAGAAAAATGTTTATTTTTTAAAAAAGATACGTGATCTTGGATGTTTGCTAACATTTTTTCATGACACAGGGAGACATCAATACTAACTTGTCCTTCATTCAATATTTATTAAGTACCTACTATGCACCAGGCATGATTCTGAGACTGTGTACACAATGGTGAATGAGACAGACATGGTCTCTGCTCTTATGAAGTATGAGAAGTGACATAAAGTAAAAAGACAGGATGTTGTGATAGAGAATGATAGGGAAGTACAACTCTGGATTGGGTGGACAGGGAACTCCTCCCTGAGGAGGAGACATGTTGGTTAAGATGGAAGGAATAAGAAACAGCCAGCCGTGAGAGAGTGATTTAGAGTAGTAAGCCAAATGCCCTAAGGTCAGAAAGATGTGTACGAGGAAATGATAAAGGTCAGTGTGGCTGGAGCACAGGAAGGTTGGAAAGAGTAGTGTGAAACTGCAAAAGACTGGCCCTGGAACTAATCATGCAGGGCCTTGTAGATCATGGCAAAGAGGATGGCTTTTCCTTTAAGCATGGGAAAGCTATTAATAGAAAGTCAAAATTATAAAAGATCTGTCCCCTGTGATGTGATTTAGAAACATGAGTTAGGGATGATCACAGCTTGGACTAGGTTGGTGACATTCTCTGTGAGATGCACAGAGAAGCAAGTAGAAGAGTCATCTGTTTTGAAGATAAAAAGTATAGGCTTTTTCTTTTTTTTTTCCTAGCATGGGATGACTATGAGAGCTAAAGGAGATAGATGAATTCAGAATGATTTTGCAAGCTTCTGGCTTGAAAAATTGGATAGTTCTTGGTATCATTTGCTAAAATGGGGGAAAACTGAAGAAGGAGTAGGATGATTATATTTTGTTTTTTGGTGAGGGAAGATTAAAAGTTCTGTGTGGAGCATGTTAAGTTGGAAATACCTGTGAGACATTCAAGTAGAGATAGCAAGTTGGCAACTAGTTCAAAACACACCATTCACTTGCTCAAACCCTCTATTGGTTTTGTATCCTGGTTAGAATAAAATCTAAAGTTCTTATAATGGCTGACAAGTCTTGTTTCGGCCTCTGCTCTCAGATTCCATCTGCCTGCTTTCTTTCCCTCATTCACTCTGCTTCAGGTACATTTGTCTTCTTACTCATCATGGAAACTCACCATGCTATTCGTGTTCCAGAACATTTGAGCTCACTGTTCCTTGTGCTAGATAGCCTCTTTCCATGATCTTTGCTTGGCCCTTATGGTTTACTCCATGCAGGTCTCTGATCAAATATTACCTCCTCAGAAATTCCTCCCTGATCACTCAACTAGAATGGCTTCTACCTTCAACTTCAACACTCTCTCCCCATATCCTGCTTAATTTTTTCCCCCAGCAATGAATGCTTCCAACATATATGAATATTTTACTTTATTTTGTTTATGATCTGATTGCCCACTTAAAAATAAGCCCCATGAAGGCAAGGACTTTGTCAATTCTCCATTATATCTCCAGTACCCAAGATAATACCTAGTATATTGTGGACACCCAATAATTGAATAAATATTAACAGAATGAATGATTATGATAGAGTGCATAGGAATGGTTGCAACTAGAATGTACATTTGGGATACAAGTAGATGGTGTGTAAAGCTCCAGTGATAGCTAGGATGATCCAGGGAGAGTGTGTATTATGAGTAGAAGTGGGCCAAAACTTAGTGCTGACAGACTCCCAGTTAGAGGTTGGATTGAGGAAGTGAGGGAGGTCCAAAGCCAATAGAGACTGAAGGGTGACAATCAAAGAAGACTGGAAGATCTGGGAGGTAAACCAGGGGAGCACAGAGGCATGATTCCAAAAAGAGAGTGCTATAGGATGGTGGAAGCAATCCCTTTTCACTAGATCTTTCTTCAACAAAGTTATTTATTAACTGTCACGTTATTACTTAATTTCTTGGCATAACTAAAACCTAGTCATACATAGACTATTCCTTATACATGGAGATAAAGTATTCAAATAATTAATCTGATATTGTATGTCATAATTACAGTCCTTTTATCAATCTCTTTTCCTACTACTGTTTACCTAATGAAAAGGTACCTATTTGCCAAATATGTACAAATATCTGTTTTTAAACTGCTCCATACGATTATTTTTGTTCCTGCTGTCTGCTTTTTGTCACTGTTTGATATAACCATGTAGTTGTGATGAAAAACTGGATCGAGGGTAGGAAGGGGAAACAGTAAAGTCAAAGTAGCATCAGAATAGTTCATTTAGCTCTTAGAGACAGGCTATTAAAGAAAATGGTGTTGCCATTGATTACTTATGTACTAGTATCCTGAAATTAACAAACACAGTATAGTAAGAGCATAAAATCTGCTCAAAAATAGTGGGATGGATATTAATATTTGACCTACTCAATCAATATAGACTTAATAAGTCAGCTTTTCAGCTTGGGTGTTACTTTAAAAAGTCTAACTTTAATGTGATTTTCCAAAACATCATCAAAAAATTAATTTTACTTCATTGTTGGTGTCACCAAATAATTTCCTTCATTTTGAACTACGTCAAGAAGGTTTTTTTAAAAATAGAGCCAAACACACATTTTCATGGTTGATTTTATCTGTCTTCTAATATCCTGACATTTCGTTACTTAGAAATGTATTTGAAGCCACAGTCACCTTGGCCACTGGTAAATGCCTGTTATTTGCTTCTTTCAGAAGAAACTCTCTTTTCAGTTTAGGCACCAAATAGTGTTTCAACACTTTTCTTGGCCATGAAGAAAATACTGCACTCTTTGGCATTATGGCAAATCATATACAATTACAGATTTTGCCTGAAGTTGTTCCTTACTGGTCCAGGCATTGTTTATATTGCATATGAAATAGCTTCAGTAAAGCTGTAAAATTATTTAATATTAACTTTAAGATATCAACAAAATGGTTTCTCTTATAATTATTGTTTCTGATACAGGTAGGACAAAGTGTTCTGAATTTGTACCTTCATATAATTTTAGTTTGAAAATGTAAGGAATAAAGACCTAAAAACCTTGAGTCTTCTTGCTATACATGGAAACTATTCTCTCTCTCTTCCTTTGCTCTTTCCTCTTTATCTTTTTCTCTTTTGTTTCACAAAGATTTAAAGTGACACAAAAAGATATTAAAAAGAAAACAAGTTAAAATGAATGTTAGACCAGCAAGACATGTGACACAAAGGAAAAAATAAAGGACAGTAAAACTAAATTAGGAGTGAGATTAAATCCTCAAATTGTAGCTACAAAACCCCAAGTACTTGTTAGAGGTAGGCAGTGGATGCAAAACTAGGGCTTCTAACTGGCAATGTGAGTAAGGAAACACTAGGTTTTTTCATAAGGAGAAATAATCTGGTATCCTAGGTTAATCACCATTATTCCTTACAGGGACAACAGAAAGATTTCTACACTTGGTCCTTAGAGAGAGGAGACTGTGTAGTGTAGTGAACAAAGTTCTCAATAGCATTATCAGCAATTAACATAGGAATTATTCTCATATTGCCTTATAGCATCAAGCCAAAGTACAACTCAGTAAAAGCAATTCAGACCCATGGGGGTGGGGGATTAGAGGGGTACTTTTAAAGTGGCCAAGGTGAAATGCCCCCTAGTGAACTATTATTTAGATTAGATAATATTTAGATGAATGCTAAACTTTATATCTTTTATGGCAGTGATCTTCAAACTACAGTTTGCATCTGTTAGTGGGTAAAATTATTTCAGAGCGTTGCAACCAACTTAAAAAAATATAATAAACAAGAATAGTTTGAAAAATCAGAGTGTTTTGAGAAATATGTTAATATTTACTTCCATTGTATGTACAGGGTCATGATGCAAAATGTACCTCCCAGTGTGAGTCTATTTAAAGGGTTTGGAACATGCTGCACTGAGGCAATTTTCATAGATGATCTTCTTTGCCTGATTTTGGGGAAGGTATTGCTTGGGAGTAACTCAGATTATATCCCTTTGCAAGCACCTTGAGAGCTGCAATTCTGAGTTCAATTATCAGTTAGGGCCCAGAGAGATGGGAATGGAGAGAGAAGTATTGAAATGCATTTGGAGAAATGGAGATTACTGATCTACACTGCTATGTGATGGTGAATCAAGACAGCATGCACCAGGGTTCCAGGAGACTTTGTGAAAATGAAAGAAAAACCTATATAATTGAATGCATAGCTCAGTATGGAGCATCTGCTATAACCCAGTTAAAAGTTGGAAGTCATCCATCCAAAATACTAATTTTGGGTCTTTTTGCCAGTGATTTCACTGAAGGTCCGTGATAAGTGATAAGACAACTGCATAACTGTGATAAAGTAACATCATGTACAGCCACAAGATTAACCCTAGAAAAGATTACCCTTTCTTTCCACAAGGCAAGTCTCACTGATGCAAAAATCTATTTTCACTCCTGAGAATTTGATTAGATTTCACCAACCACAATTAGAAAACTCAATCTTTTTCATTCTCACACGCTTCAAAAGTAATTGAGTGTTGAAGTGCCACAATTAGCAAAGCCTCAGAAAATATGACTTCATACATGGTAATTTTACATTCCATTTACCTCATAATTAAACCCAAGAGAAATCACACAAGGGGATGTTATAACAGCAAATGTCTCGTAAGATCTTCTACTTTAAATATATATATATATATACACACATACACACACACATATATATACATATTCAGTTATTGTGAATCGTATTTTTCTCTGATCTTGCCTTCTTTACCATCCGTAAGCTCCCTAAGATCAAAAACAATGTTCTGTACTTTTTAAAAGAAAGCAAGTTTACTCAGATATAATCTATGTAGAGTAGAGTTCACCCTGTCGTGTATAGAGTTCTAATGAACTTTGACAAATGTTTGCTGTGTTCTGTAACCACCACTGAAGTCAAAGTACAGAGCTTTTCCATCACCACCAAAGGGTTCTGCATGGCCTTTTGCAGTTATCCTCCTTCCAGGCTCACAGTCCTTGGTAACCACTGATCTGTTTTCATCCAGTTTTGTCTCTTCCAAAATGTCATTTAAATTGAATCATACAGATGCTACTGACTTATCCATTCACCAGTTGATGGGCAGTTTTTTTTTTTTGGTTTTTAGTGGTAATAACTAAAGCTGATGTAACTATTTATATACAGGTTTTTGTGTAGAAATATGCCTGGATTTCTCTTGGTTAAATGTCTAGGAGGAAGATTGCTGGCTTATATGGTGAATGTGTATTAACTTCGTAAGAGCAAGCTCTTCTTGACTATAATCATTTCTCAGTTATTTTTGCCAAGGATCAATGCAGATATGGAGGAAATTGGGTACATGTAAATGAACAAACCACCTATCAGCTATTAATTCCAATGAAATTATTACTGGAAAACTCAGGAATTTGACTGAGTTTGCCTTCTACCTCAATGCCTTCGTTTACTATGAATTAGCTACCAATAAACAGTGAAATCACCCAAAGGCAGTAGAAAACAAGTTAGAAAAGCAACTGAAAATCTGGTAGATCCATAAGTTGGAAAATAAGTGTCTCAAGAAGTAAGAACTAGCTATTAGCTTAAAAATCATGCAGAGTTCTTACTTTTATAATCTTCATACTCTGAGTTAGAAAATTGGCAATATTTTCAAAGATGCCTGCTTTCTGTTAAAGGAGTTGATTTTACATGCAAGTAACATAAAAGTGACCTAGATTATTTCTTTTGAAAATGTAAATTAAAGAAGCAATTTTGCATCTATTATGTTAAGTTTTAGCTGCTGAACAGAGATAGGTCAACAAATGCTGCCAAACTGAAGTGCTACAATGTGTTACCATAAATAAGAACATCACTACAATAAGAAATTTACATTTTAATCAAACACAATTTCCAATTTGTCTTTCCTTTTGTTTTTTTTTTTATCTGTACTATCTCAATTATTTTGACTAAGGCTCAAAACCCCGTCAACACAATGAAAAGCTGTTTTTTTTGTCTTAAGTGTTTAGATGAATTCTTCCAACTGAGCCAATTGTCAGAAGCTATTTTGATGAAGTGTTATTCACTGTAGAAATTAGAATTCATAAATGCAAAGATTATGTGAATGATAATTAGCTTTATTATCATTTAACAATCAAGGTGTTATGGGGATTTACTCACACAGGATGCTCTTTTAGGAATCTTTAAAATTTTTGAAATAATGATGTGCTTTTTAAAGCATGCCTTAAACATGCACTGTAGCCTATGCACTTATTCATCATCACTGGCAATTGCAAAAACAGATTCCAGGGTCATAGAAGAGGAAGTCAGACCATACTTGGAAGGCAATGCTGAATTATCACAGATAGAGTCTTTGAGTGATGCTTAGCAGTGCTAGCATATGGGTCACTAAGGCTTATTCTAGGTACATGAATATCTTTATCCCTTTGAGGTCTTGTACACAGTAGGGCTGTTTGTAGGCCTGGTGAGTACACAAGGGCCTGTTGGAATGTGCACCCTGAAACTGCCTCTTGGAGTTCCCCTTACTGGTTGATACCTGAATTTTACTTGTTCACATATCTATATTTTTGTGTGGGGTTTTAGTTCCTATTAAAAACTGTGATAAACAACATTGTCTTTTATATTTACATTTTAAAGTATTGCATGAAAGAAGGACCAAAGAATAGATATTGCCCAGGGAGACTGTAAGAGGAAGGGGAGTTGTCACAGATTGGGAAATTACAGTTCATGCCCTAGAACCTAAATGAACTAGCTTTTACCTTAGAAATATAAGTCACTGTGCCTGCCCATCACAGACCCCTGTAGATACTGCCCAGCCACACCTGGGATGGACATTTGACCTAATGAACAGTGATTTCCACTGGATATATGTATATCAGACCAGAGTCCTAGAGGATAAATGATGGTGTCTTGAATCAGAGTGACAGCAGTAGACAGGGAGAGAATAACTAGACCAATTAGGGCCCAAATTTGCTAATTGATTGCTGGGCTGTGGGTGGGGATAAGAAAAGATATGCTGTAAATATGAGGCAACAGATACAACAATGTAGGGCAAACTAGGATAGGGTCATATCTGGGAAGAAATTAAGAGGTGCATTCTGATCAGATTAGTTCTGAGATGCCTATCAACTATTAAGTAAACAGGTGACAGCTGCAAAATTCTTGGTGTGAATGATTTAGTCCAACTTCCTGCACTAAAAGGCTTGACCAAACTCTAGTGGCTTCTATCAGCCCAAGACCGTGTCCCTAGGATAACCCCAGTCTTCTTGAGAAAGCTCAATACTGCCAAAATAATTTATCATTTGTTCCAGCCAAAACCTGACCATAGGCTCCTAGTCTCCCTTTTCTTGGAGCAGTTTAGAAAACTTGCCATTGTCGATCCTTTATCTGCCCCTTTGATAAGTAAATCTTCTTTCACCCATAAATGTTTATATCTCAGGCTCTCCTTAAGAGCCTGAGAGCCATCTCTTGGAAATATAAACATCTAGGGAGGTAGTTTTTCTGACTCTCAGTTCATGTGGAAGGGAAAGAGCCTAACTTTGATGGACATCTTGCTTTAATTTGCAATACTTCCTTCTGTCCTATAGATAAGAAGAGTTTGTTTCTCCTCCTATACTCACCAATGTGCAAACTCAGATATCCTAATCACATTCACCAACCCCTCACCACCTCCTACTCCTGACCTCCAACCCCTTAAGAAAGCATATCCCAGTATTTAAAAAGTCTCCTGACTTGTTTTGGTGGAGTTCAGATCAGTTTGCACTCAATTCTCTCTTCTTTACTGCAGTAATCTGAATAAAATCTGTCTTACTTCATTTCTCTTTGATAGATATCAAGTGGGACGTTAATATACAGGTCAAAAGGTCAGAGGATAGGTTGAGGCCAGACATGTAAAATTGTAAGTCATCAGTACATGAATGCTATTTAATTCACCCTGGGAGAGAGTAGAAAGAGAGAGAGAAAAGATAAGGAAACCCTGGACAAAGCAGTGGAGAACCATTACATTTAGAGTAAGACATGTAGAAGAGGAAGAATCAGAGATCAGATGGAGAAGGAGGACCTGGAAAGAGGATTGACGAGGAGCTCAATCAGGTAAGAGGAAAATCAGGGGGTATGTTGTTGTAGAATCAAAGGAGACAGGCATTTCAGGTCAGGAGTGGTTAATTATATCAGATGCTACTGAGAGGAGGACTAATATAAGAACAGATAATTGATGATTATATTTGGCAACAAGGTGGTGTCAATGACTTTGACAGACTCCAGCAGCGGGCTTATAGAACCAGAAGGTAGACCTTCAGAGAGGAGTGAACAGGGCTGAAGAAGTGGACAATACTGAGAGGTTCTACTAAAAAGAGAAGTAGAAGAAGGGAAATGAAGTGCAAGTGCAATGTGGGGCCAATGGAGGTTTGTGTTTTTTTCTCTGAAGAACAAACACTAGAAATGGAATATTTATGATATGAAACAGAGGGGATAGTGCCAGAGTGAAGCCCTTCAGAAGGCAAAAGAGATGGCCTTCAAAAAAACAAGGTGTGAACTCTGATAGAAGGAAAGACACATTCTCCCTTTTAAGAAGAGGGAAGGAGCAGAAGTGGGTGCTAGTGCAGGAAGGTTTACAGATTTGGCGACATGAAGATGAGAGAGCTCTTGTTTAATGGCTTTTATTTACTCCATATACATAAAGTGAAATCTAAATGAGACAAATCATTACAAATAGAAAAGTGAGAAAAAGATGTAAAATAGTCACCTCACAATGTAGCAAAAACCGTGGGGAAATATTGTCAGATTGCAAGTGTTTTAAAGGTCCAGCGGGCTTTGTGGTTATGAATGTTATACAAAGTTGGTTAATTTACCTGTGTGATGTCTTTCATCAATGTTCAGCTGTTTGGTTGACCACCTTAAATATTGGCATCAACCAGGGCTTTTATTTTCTACTGTTACATTTAGTGCGGAGAAAAGAAGATGTGCTGATGGTGAGAAAATGGTGGAGTCCACGGGACAGAGGGTTTGATCAGGTTCAAGAATTTTGGCAGTGGGGGTATTAAGCAAGTGTTCTAGAGGATTTGGAAGTGGTGACTGAAAACTGTAATGTTTGAAATTGAGATTTTTGAAGGTGGAGCAATTTCCAGTGATAAAACATAAGGAATAGGATATAACCATAGTGTGGGTGACTGTGGTGGAATGGTACAAAATAAATTAGAATCACTAGTGGATAATCTTGTAAGTGTTGAAGCTATTATGAATGATGATAGAGTCTAGATGGAAAGGAAGACCATACATAGAAAAAGGGGGATGACAAAGACCCTAGTAGATGGCAATAAGCAGGAGAAAAACTAGTTGCAATATTCAAGTGGCCTACACATCAAGGAAGCAGGAAATGTGCCCCACCTCCTCCCCAGACATTGGCATCACCTATCTAGAGAGAAATTCAGACCCTTTAACAAGGAATACAAAGTTCTGCATGGTTTTTCCTTCCTTGCCTGCCTTTTCATCTTTTCTGGCATTACTCTCCTGAATACTACCCACATCCTACTCATATCAGCCTTTCAGTTTCTTGAGGAGGCTAAACTCCTCCATCTCAGGGCCTTGGCATATGTTATTTCCTATGCCTTAAATTCTTTTCACGTGTATGGCCCCTTCTTAACCTCAGTTTAGGTATCACTTCTCTTTTCTGACCTCACAAATTAAGATGTTCCCTCTTATAATATCTTGTGTTTTTTATTTGTGGTACTTATCAAAATGTGAAAGTATATACTTAATAATTGGTATATTTTTAATTTATGCTAGCTTCATGAAAGTAGGATATTTTTCCCATTATTATATTTGCAGAATATAACAGAGAACCAGGTACATGGCAAGCAGCAACTAGAGAAGCATATTGGCTAAGAGTGCAGGCTCCGGAGTTATATGGCCTAAGTTCAAATCCCAACCCCACCAATACTACTTAGGAGATCTTGGGAAAATTTACAACCCAATTTGTAAAATAGGGAAAATATTTATCTCACAGAGTACAGAGTAGATGTCAGAATTAGAAATAATATATCCAATTGCTCAGTAATGTTTTGCCAAAGGATGCAGTAAATAAACATTCATGGATTCAACTTTCTATTGTAGATTAGTTTGCTATGGAAAAAAGCTCTCTTTTTAAGTGATAAAAATTCTTTTTTTAAATTTATTTATTGTACTTTAAGTTCTGGGATACATGTGCAGAATGTGCAGGTTCGTTACATAAGTGTACACGTGCCATGGTGGTTTGCTGCACCCATCAACCTGTCATCTACATTAGGTATTTCTCCTAATGCTGTACCTCCCCTAGTCCCCTACTGCTGACAGGTCCTGGTGTGTGATGATCCCCTCTCTGTGTCCATGTGTTCTCATTGTTTGACTCCCACTTATGAGTGAGAACGTGTGGTGTTTGGTTTTCTGCTCCTGTGTTAGTTTGCTGAGAATGATGGTTTCCAACCTCATCCATGTTCTACAAAAGGCATGAACTCATCCTTTTTTATGGCTGCATAGTATTTCATGGTATATATGTGCCACATTTTCTTTATCCAGTCTATCATTGATAGATATTTGGGTTGGTTCGAAGTCTTTGCTGTTGTGAACAGACCCAGCAATCCCATTACTGGCTATATACACAAAGGATTATAAAAAGCTGTTTTAATTGTGCAACTATACTTAAACTATAAAAACTAGTGCAATGTGGGGCCTTAAACTATAAAATGAGGAAACTGGGTACTGTGATCTCAATATTTTTTTCTGGGTCTAAAATCCTCAATTATAAAATGGGTGTTTTCCTCCCCTGACCTGTCAGAAAAGTAGTAGTCCTCCATTACTCAAAACAGCGAGTTAAGAATAAAAATAGTTGGAGGATAGTGGAATCCTCTAGAAAGCTCTATCAAATTACAGATGCTTTTCCTCTTCTGTTGCTTCTGATTCTGGCACATATGGAGAGTGGGTGTTGTAGTTTAAAAATTTCCCCAGCTAAATGAAATCTCCTTCTTTTGGCTTTTCTCACTGATCAGCTTCTGTTACCTGTCCAATTGAGAACCACTGATTTAGCAGATACTGTAAAAGAAGAGACGCTTAGCATAAATGCATGTATAGCAGTCAAACACCACAGCTTTTCTTTTTTAAACATCATGATGGTGATGACCATGTAGATGCATGAATGTACCATTTATTCTCCCCAGCTGGAATTGTTATGAATGTCGCTTTTTGGAAAATGATTCTATTCACAGCTCTGTGCAACTATATCTCTCCAATCCTTAGAACTTCTGTATCAAGTAGCAGTTTATTATCACAAATCTCTCTAAATAGAATTATACTCTAATAATGATGTGAAAGAATTTTAGTCACTTGAATTTCCTTGTATTCTATTCAGTGAAATCCTATTTAGATTTTAAAAGGCAGCATATCTTTGAAATTTGTAGCAATCAAATTCCAATGAAAAATCATGGCAAATTTAGGTTTCAGGTGTAAAATTGTGAATAAGTGACTATTTCCCTTCTTGTCTGGTCTGCTTCAATTCTTCTTCCATTTACTTCCAAACCAAATGGAGAAAGGGGAAGGGAGATTCATAAACAAGGGAATGGAAATTGGGTCAGCATATGGATTCCTGACCTTGGTAACCACCAAGCTTTGGTATCTATCTGGAAAGTCCTGGGGGTGGATTTTTTATTTATTGGCTTAGATGGTGACTATTGACCTGCTTCAATTTATGGAACTTCCTCTCCATGACAGATAACCTCCAAGGCTCTTGTTCTCTGCAGTTGCAGCGAGGGAATTTTCTGCAGCTTGAGGAGGCCTTTCTGTGTCTCTTTTGCACCTTTAAGACTAGGATAATAATCTTGACTTTTTAACGTTAGAATAGTTGTGAGAATTGAATGAGAAGATGTACCTAATGGTCCCTCATAAACTGTAATAGCCACATACAAATGGAATTTTTAAGTGATTTTTAAGTGATTTTCTAGGTATTTTCAAAATACTTGATGGTTATGTTGATGATGATGATGAAATTGATGGTAAATGTTTATTGATGTTGGATCCCATAAATGCACCCAACAGGTAATACTGGAAATGGATATATTATGAACCAAAATGTATTTCCTCAAAATTAATATCTTGAAGCCTTAACCCCCAATGTAACTGTATTTGGAGATATGAACTTTATAAAGGTAATTAAAGTTAAATAAGGTCATAAAAGTGGGACCATAATCCCATCAGACTGGGAGTCTTATAGGAAGAGAAACAGATACCAGGGATGTGCACACACAGAGAAAAGGTCCTATAAGGACATGGTAAGAAGGCAGCCATCTGCAAACCGAAGAGAGAGGTCTCATGAGATGGCAATCCTGCCAGCACCTTGATCTTGGACTTTTAGCCTCCAAAAGAGTGAGAAAATACATTTCTGTTGTTGATAATATGTTTGTTATGGCAGCCCTAGCAAATTAATACAGGATCCTTATATAAACATCAATTATTTTTCACTTTCTTAATGATTTGTGCATACCACCACTAAAATGTTCATTTAAATAGAGAATCTATGGAAAAAAGCTCACCTAGTGTTTTAGGACTGAAATACTTAAAAGTAGTAACAACAGACTCACGATTACCAGACGTATTTTTTTTTTTTTTTTTTTTGAGACAGAGTCTCGCTCTTTCGCCCAGGCTGGAGTGCAGTGGCGCTATCTTGGCTCACTGCAAGCTCCGCCTCCCGGGTTCACGCCATTTTCCTGCCTCAGCCTCCCAAGTAGCTGGGACTATAGGCGCCCGCCACGGCGCCCGGCTAATTTTTTTTTTTTGTATTTTTAGTAGAGACGGGGTTTCACCGTGTTAGCCAGGATGGTCTCGATCTCCTGACCTCATGATCTGCCCGCCTCGGCCACACAAAGTGCTGGGATTACAGGCGTGAGCCACCGCGCCCGGCCAACCAGATGTTTAAATGCAACAAGTTTAAGAGAAGAGTTGTGATATTTCACTTGATTCAATAATTTTGTATTGAAATTTCAACTCTAAGTTTTAAATTTTTTATGCATATTATTATTTACTTAAATTGATGCGTAATAGATATACATATTTTCAGGGAATATGAGATAATTTAATACATTCATACAATTTGTAAAGATCAAATCAGTATACTTGGGATATTCATAACCTTAAATATTGGTCTTTTCTTTATGACAGAACCATTCAAATTCTTTTCTTGTAGCTATTTTGAATTATACAATAGATTATTATAAACTATAGTTACCCTACAGATCTATCTAACCCTAGGTTTTATTTCTTCTATCCAACTGTATATTTCTACCCAATATCCCCTCTCCACTACCCTTCTTGGCCTCTGGTAACCACCAGCCTACTCTCTATCTTCACGAGATCTACTTTTTGTTTTTAGCTCCCACATAGAAGTGAGAATATGTGATATTTGTCTTCTTGTGTTTGGCTTATTTCACTTAACATAATGACCTCCAATTCCATCATGTTGCTGCAAATGATAAGATTACATTTTTTAATGGCTGGATAATATTCCACTGTATATATATATACCACATTTTCTTTATCCATTGATCTTTTGATGGACACCTAGGTTGATTCCATATGTTGGCTTTTATAAATAGTGCTGCAATAAACATAAGATTTCAGGTGTCTTTTCAATATATTGATTTCCTTTACTTTGGATATATACCCAGCAGTGGGATTGCTGGATCATATGGTAGTACTATTTTTAGTTTTTTGAGGAACCTCAATACTGTTCTCTATAGTAGCTATACTAACTTACACTCCTGCCAACAGTGCATGAAGGTTCCCCTTTCTCCACATCCTTGAAAGCATCCATTACTGCCTGTCTTTTTGATAAAAGCCATTCATTGAGATCATATCTCATTGTACTTTTGATTTGCATCATTCTGATGATTAGTGATGTTGAGCATTTTTTCATATACCTGGTGGCCATTTGTATATCTTCTAGTGAGAAATGTCTATTCAAACCTTTTGCCCATTTTTAAATTGGATAATTTGTTTTTTGCTATTGAGATATTTAAGCTCCTTATATATTTTGCTTATTAATCCTTTGTCATATGTGTAGTTTGCAAATATTTTCTCCCATTTGGCGGGCTGTCTCTTAATTTTGTTGATTGTTTCCTTTGCTGTGCAGAATCTTTGAAGTAATCCTATTTGTCTATTTTTGCTTTGGTTACCTGTGCTTTTGAGATTGAACAAAAATATTTGCCCAGACCAATGTCCTGCAGCATTTCCCTGATGTGTTTTGCTAGTACTTTCATGGCTTCAGGTCTTAGATGTAAGTTCTTAACCCATTTCAATTTGATTTTTGTATATGATGGGAGATAGGAGTATAGTTTAATTTTCTTCATCTAGTTATCCAGTTTTCCCAACACCATTTATTAAAGACACTGTCGTTTCCTCATTGTATGTTCTTGGCACCTTTGTTAAAAATATGAGTTGGAGTGGCTGGCAGGATGGCCGAATAGGAACAGCTCCAGTCTGCAGCTCCCAGCGAGATCAAGGCAGAAGGCGGGTGGTTTCTGCATTCCCAACTGAGGTACCTGGCTAATCTCACTGGGACAGGTTAGAGAGTGGGTGCAACCCAAGGAGGGTGAGCCGAACCAGGGTGGGGTGTCACCTCACCTGGGAAGTGCAAGGGGTTGGGGAGCTCCCTCCTTCAGCCAAGGGAAGATGTGAGGGACTGTGCCATGAGGAATGGTGCTCTCCAGCCCAGACACTATGCTTTTCCCATGGTCTTTGCAACCTGCAGACTGGGAGATTCCCTTGGGTGCCTATGCCACCAGGGCCCAGGGTTTCAACCACAAAACTGGGCAGCCATTTGGGCAGACACTGAGTTAGCTGCAGGAGGTTATTTCCCCCCCCCAGTGGCACCTGTAATGTCAGTGAGACAGAACCATTCACTCCCCTGGAAAGGGGGATGAAGCCAGGGAGCCAAGTTGTCTAGCTCAGTGGATCCCACCCCATGGAGCCCAGCAAGCTAAGATACACTGGCTTGAAATTCTCACTGCCAGCACAGCAGTCTGAAGTCAACCTGGGATGCTTGAGCTTGGTGGGGGGAGGGGTGTCTGCCATTACTGAGGCTTGAGTAGGCAGTTTTCCCCTCACAGTGTAAACAAAGCCACCAGGAAGTTTGAACTAAGAGGAGCCCACCACAGCTTGGTAAAGCCGCTGTAGCCAGAGTGCCTCTCTAGATTTCTCCTCTCTGGGTAGGGCATCTCTGAAAGAAAGGCAGCCCCAGTCAGGTGCTTATAGATAAAACTCTCATCTCCCTGGGACAGAGCACCTGGGGGAAGGGGCGGCTATGGGTGCAGCTTCAGCAGACTTAAACATTCCTGCCTGCCAGGTCTGAAGAGAGCAGCAGATCTCCCAGCACAGTACTTGAGCTCTGCTGAGGGACAGACTGCTTCCTCAAGGGGGTCCCTGACCCCCCTGGCTCCTGATGAGGAGACACCTCTCAGCAGGGGTCAACAGACACCTCATACAGGAGAGCTCCAGCTGGCATTAGGTGGGTGCCCCTCTGGGACAAATCTTCCAGAGGAAGGAACAGGCAACAATCTTTGCTGTTCTGCAGCCTCCGCCGGTGATACCCGGCAACAGGATCTGGAGTGGTCCTCCAGCGAACTCCAGCAGACCTGCAGTAGAGGGTCCTGACTGTGAGAAGGAAAACTAACAAACAGAAAGCCATAGAATCAACATCAACAAAAAAGATGTGCACACAGAAACCCATCTGAAGGTCACCAACATCAAAGATCAAAGGTAGATAAATCCATGAAGATGAGGAAAAACCAGTGCAAAAAGGCTGAAAATTCCAAAAACCAGAACACTTCTTCTCCTCCAAAGGATCAAAACTCCTTGCCAGCAAGGGAACAAAACTGGACAGAGAATTGGTTTGATGAATTTTCAGAAGTAGGCTTCAGAAGGTGGGTAATAACAAACTCCTCTGAGCTAAAGGAGCATGTTCTAAGCCAATGCAAGGAAGCTAAGAACCTTGAAAAAAGATTAGAGGAATTGCTAACTGGAATAATCAGTGTAGAGAAGAACATAAATGTCCTGATGGAGCTGAAAAGCACAGCACAAGAACTTCGTGAAGCATGCACAAGTATCAACAGCTGAATAAATCAGGTGGAAGAAAGGATATCAGAGATTGAAGATTAACTTAATGAAATAAAGCATGAAGACAAGACTAGAGAAAAAAGAATGAAAAGGAATGAACAAAGCCTCCAGGAAACATGGGACTATATGAAAAGACCAAATCTACATTTGATTGATGTACCTGAAAGTGATGGGGAGAATGGAACCAAGTAGGAAAACACTCTTCAGGATATTATCCAGGAGAAATTCCACAACCTAGCAAGACAGGCCAAAATTCAAATTCAGGGAATACAATGAACACCATGAAGATACTCCTGGAGAAGAGCAACCCCAAGACACATAATTGTCAGATTCACTAAGGTTGAAAAGAAGGAAAATATTGATAAGGGCAGCTAGAGAGAAAGGTTGGTTTACCCATAAAGAGAAGCCCATTAAAGTAACAACAGATGTCTCTGCAGAAACCCTACAAGCCAGAATAGAGTGGTGGCCAATATTCAACAATTGTAACAAAAATAATTTTCAACCCAGAATTTCATATCCAGTCAAACTAAGCTTCATAAGCAAAGGAGAAATAAAATCCTTTACAGACAAGCAAATGCTGAGAGATTTTGTCACCACCAGGCCTGTCTTAAAAGAGCTCCTGAAAGAAGCACTAAATATGGAAAGGAACAACTGGTACCAGCCACTGCAAAAACATACCAAATTGTAAAGACTATCGACACTATGAAGAAACTGTGTCAACTAACAGGCAAAATAACCAGCTAGCATCGTAATGACAGGATCAAATTCACACATAATATATTAACCTTAAATGTAAACCAGCTAAATGCCCCAGTTAAAAGACATGGACTGGTAAATTGGATAAAGAGTCAAGACCCATTGATGAGCTGTATTCAGGAGACCCATCTCATATGCAAAACACACATAGGCTCAAAATAAAGGGATGGAGGAAGATTTACCAAGCAAATGGAAAGAAAAAAAAAGCAGGGGGTTGCAATCCTTGTCTCTGATAAAACAAACCAACATTAAACCAACTTTAAACTAACAAAGATCAAAAAAGACAAAGAAAGGCATTACATAATGGTAAAGGGATCAATGTAATAAGAAGAGCTAACTATCCTAAATATATATGCACCCAATATAGTAACACAGATTCACAAAGCAAGTTCTTAGCGACCTACAAAGAGACTTAGACTTCCACACAATAAAAGTGGGAGACTTAAACACCCCACTGTTAACATTGGACAGGTCAATGGGACCAAATATTAATAAGGATATTCAGGACTTGAACTCAGCTCTGAACCAAGTGGACCTAATAGACATCAACAGAACTCTCCACCCCAAATCAACAGAATATACATTCTTCTCAACACCACATTGCACTTATTCTAAAATTGACCACATAATTGGAAGTAAAACACTCCTCAGCAAATGCAAAAGAATGGAAATCATAACAAACTGTCTCTCAGACCACAGTGCAGTCAAATTAGAACTCAGATTTAAGAAAGTCACTCAAAACTGCACAACTACATGGAAACTGAACAACCTGCTCCTGAATGACTACTGGGTAAATAATGAAATTAAGGCAGAAATAAATAAGTTCTTTGAAACCAATGAGAACAAAGACACAACATACCACAATCTCTGGGACAAAGCTAAAGCAGTGTTTAGAGGAAAATTTATAGCACTAAAAGCCCACAGGAGAAAGTGGGAAAGATCTAAAATCGACACCCTAACATCACAATTAAAAGAACTAGAGAAGGGAGGAGCCAAGATGGCCAAATAGGAACAGCTCCGGTCTACAGCTCCCAGCGTGAGTGACGCAGAAGACGGGTGATTTCTGCATTTCCATCTTAGGTACCGGGTTCATCTCAGTAGGGAGTGCCAGACAGTGGGCGCAGGCCAGTGGGTGCGCGCACCCTGCGTGAGCCGAAGCAGGGCGAGGCATTGCCTCACCTGGGAAGCGCAAGGGTTCAGGGAGTTCCCTTTCCGAGTCAAAGAAAGGGGTGACGGACGCACCTGGAAAATCGGGTCACTCCCACCCGAATACTGCGCTTTTCAGACCGGCTTAAAAAACGGCGCATCACGAGATTATATCCCGCACCTGGCTCGGAGGGTCCTACGCCCACGGAGTCTGGCTGATTGCTAGCACAGCAGTCTGAGATCAAACTGCAAGGTGGCAGTGAGGCTGGGGGAGGGGCGCCCACAATAGCCCAGGCTTGCTTAGGTAAACAAAGCAGCTGGGAAGCTCTAACTGGGTGGAGCCCACCACAGCTTAAGGAGGCCTGCCTGCCTCTGTAGGCTCCACCTCTGGGGGGCAGGGCACAGACAAACAAAAAGACAGCAGTAACCTCTGCAGACTTAAATGTCCCTGTCTGACAGCTTTGAAGAGAGCAGTGGTTCTCCCAGCACGCAGCTGGAGATCTGAGAATGGGCAGACTGCATCCTCAAGTGTGTCCCTGATCCCTGACCCCCGAGCAGCCTAACTGGGAGGCACCCCCCAGCAGGGGCACACTGACACCTCACACGGCAGGGTATTCCAACAGACCTGCAGCTGAGGGTCCTGTCTGTTAGAAGGAAAACTAACAGACAGAAAGGACATCCACACCGAAAACCCATCTGTACATCACCATCATCAAAGACCAAAAGTAGATAAAACCACAAAGATGGGGAAAAAACAGAACAGAAAAACTGGAAACTCTAAAACGCAGAGCGCCTCTCCTCCAAAGGAACGCAGTTCCTCACCAGCAACGGAACAAAGCTGGATGGAGAATGATTTTGACGAGCTGAGAGAAGAAGTCTTCAGACGATCAAATTACTCTGAGCTACGGGAGGACATTCAAACCAAAGGCAAAGAAGTTGAAAACTTTGAAAAAAATTTAGAAGAATGTATAACTAGAATAACCAATACAGAGAAGTGCTTAAAGGAGCTGATGGAGCTGAAAACCAAGGCTCGAGAACTATGTGAAGAATGCAGAAGCCTCAGGAGCCAATGCGATCAACTGGAAGAAAGGGTATCAGCAATGGAAGATGAAATGAATGAAATGAAGCGAGAAGGGAAGTTTAGAGAAAAAAGAATAAAAAGAAATGAGCAAAGCCTCCAAGAAATATGGGACTATGTGAAAAGACCAAATCTACGTCTGATTGGTGTACCTGAAAGTGATGGGGAGAATGGAACCAAGTTGGAAAACACTCTGCAGGATATTATCCAGGAGAACTTCCCCAATCTAGCAAGGCAGGCCAACGTTCAGATTCAGGAAATACAGAGAACGCCACAAAGATACTCCTCGAGAAGAGCAACTCCAAGACACATAATTGTCAGATTCACCAAAGTTGAAATGAAGGAAAAAATGTTAAGGGCAGCCAGAGAGAAAGGTCAGGTTACCCTCAAAGGGAAGCCCATCAGACTAACAGTGGATCTCTCGGCAGAAACCCTACAAGCCAGAAGAGAGTGGGGGCCAATATTCAACATTCTTAAAGAAAAGAATTTTCAACCCAGAATTTCATATCCAGCCAAACTAAGCTTCATAAGTGAAGGAGAAATAAAATACTTTACAGACAAGCAAATGCTGAGAGATTTTGTGACCAGCAGGCCTGCCCTAAAAGAGCTCCTGAAGGAAGTGCTAAACATGGAAAGGAACAACCAGTACCAGCCGCTGCAAAATCATGCCAAAATGTAAAGACCATTGAGACTAGGAAGAAACTGCATCAACTAATGAGCAAAATAACCAGCTAACATAATAATGACAGGATCAGATTCACACATAACAGTATTAACTTTAAATGTAAATGGACTAAATGCTCCAATTAAAAGACACAGACTGGCAAATTGGATAAAGAGTCAAGACCCATCAGTGTGCTGTATTCAGGAAACCCATCTCACGTGCAGAGACACACATAGGCTCAAAATAAAAGGATGGAGGAAGATCTACCAAGCAAATGGAAAACAAAAAAAGGCAGGGGTTGCAATCCTAGTCTCTGATAAAACAGACTTTAAACCAACAAAGATCAAAAGAGACAAAGAAGGCCATTACATAATGGTAAAGGGATCAATTCAACAAGAGGAGCTAACTATCCTAAATATATATGCACCCAATACAGAAGCACCCAGATTCATAAAGCAAGTCCTGAGTGACCTACAAAGAGACTTAGACTCCCACACATTAATAATGGGAGACTTTAACACCCCACTGTCAACATTAGACAGATCAACGAGACAGAAAGTCAACAAGGATAACCAGGAATTGAACTCAGCTCTGCACCAAGCAGACCTAATAGACATCTACAGAACTCTCCACCACAAATCAACAGAATATACATTTTTTCAGCACCACACCACACCTATTCCAAAATTGACCACATAGTTGGAAGTAAAGCTCTCCTCAGCAAATGTGAAAGGACAGAAACTATAACAAACTATCTCTCAGACCACAGTGCAATCAAACTAGAACTCAGGATTAAGAATCTCACTCAAAGCTGCTCAACTACATGGAAACTGAACAACCTGCTCCTGAATGACTACTGGGTACATAACGAAATGAAGGCAGAAATAAAGATGTTCTTTGAAACCAATGAGAACAAAGACAGAACATACCAGAATCTCTGGGACACATTCAAAGCAGTGTGTAGAGGGAAATTTATAGCACTAAATGCCCACAAGAGAAAGCAGGAAAGATCCAAAATTGACACCCTAACATCACAATTAAAAGAACTAGAAAAGCAAGAGCAAACACATTCAAAAGCTAGCAGAAGGCAAGAAATAACTAAAATCAGAGCAGAACTGAAGGAAATAGAGACACAAAAAACCCTTCAAAAAATCAATGAATCCAGGAGCTGGTTTTTTGAAAGGATCAATAAAATTGATAGACCACTAGCAAGACTAATAAAGAAAAAAGAAGAATCAAATAGACACAATAAAAAATGATAAAGGGGATATCACCACCGATCCCACAGAAATACAAACTACCATCAGAGAATACTACAAACACCTCTATGCAAATAAACTAGAAAATCTAGAAGAAATGGATACATTCCTCGACACCTACACTCTCCCAAGACTAAACCAGGAAGAAGTTGAATCTCTGAATAGACCAATAACAGGAGCTGAAATTGTGGCAATAATCAATAGTTTACCAACCAAAAAGAGTCCAGGACCAGATGGATTCACAGCCGAATTCTACCAGAGGTATAAGGAGGAACTGGTACCATTCCTTCTGAAACTATTCCAATCAATAGAAAAAGAGGGAATCCTCCCTAACTCATTTTATGAGGCCAGCATCATTCTGATACCAAAGCTGGGCAGAGACACAACCAAAAAAGAGAATTTTAGACCAATATCCTTGATGAACATTGATGCAAAAATCCTTAATAAAATACTGGCAAACCGAATCCAGCAGCACATCAAAAAGCTTATCCACCATGATCAAGTGGGCTTCATCCCTGGGATGCAAGGCTGGTTCAATATATGCAAATCAATAAATGTAATCCAGCATATAAACAGAGCCAAAGACGAAAACCACATGATTATCTCAATAGATGCAGAAAAAGCCTTTGACAAAATTCAACAACCCTTCATGCTAAAAACTCTCAATAAATTAGGTATTGATGGGACGTATCTCAAAATAATAAGAGCTATCTATGACAAACCCACAGCCAATATCATACTGAATGGGCAAAAACTGGAAGCATTCCCTTTGAAAACTGGCACAAGACAGGGATGCCCTCTCTCACCACTCCTATTCAACATAGTGTTGGAAGTTCTGGCCAGGGCAATCAGGCAGGAGAAGGAAATGAAGGGTATTCAATTAGGAAAAGAGGAAGTCAAATTGTCCCTGTTTGCAGACGACATGATTGTTTATCTAGAAAACCCCATCATCTCAGCCCAAAATCTCCTTAAGCTGATAAGCAACTTCAGCAAAGTCTCAGGATACAAAATCAATGTACAAAAATCACGAGCATTCTTATACACCAACAACAGACAAACAGAGAGCCAAATCATGAGTGAACTCCCATTCACAATTGCTTCAAAGAGAATAAAATATCTAGGAATCCAACTTACAAGGGATGTGAAGGACCCCTTCAAGGAGAACTACAAACCACTGCTCAAGGAAATAAAAGAGGATACAAACAAATGGAAGAACATTCCATGCTCATGGGTAGGAAGAATCAATATCGTGAAAATGGCCATACTGCCCAAGGTAATTTACAGATTCAATGCCATCTGCATCAAGCTACCAATGACTTTCTTCACAGAATTGGAAAAAACTACTTTCAAGTTCATATGGAACCGAAAAAGAGCCCGCATCGCCAAGTCAATCCTAAGCCAAAAGAACAAAGCTGGAGGCATCACGCTACCTGACTTCAAACTATACTACAAGGCTACAGTAACCAAAACAGCATGGTACTGGTACCAAAACAGAGATATAGATCAATGGAACAGAACAGAGCCCTCAGAAATAACGCCGCATACCTACAACTATCTGATCTTTGACAAACCTGAGAAAAACAAGCAATGGGGAAAGGATTCCCTATTTAATAAATGGTGCTGGGAAAACTGGCTAGCCATATGTAGAAAGCTGAAACTGGATCCCTTCCTTACACCTTATACAAAAATCAATTCAAGATGGATTAAAGATTTAAATGTTAGACCTGAAACCATAAAAACCCTAGAAGAAAACCTAGGCATTACCATTCAGGACATAGGCGTGGGCAAGGACTTCATGTCCAAAACACCAAAAGCAATGGCAACAAAAGACGAAATTGACAAATGGGATCTCAGTAAACTAAAGAGCTTCTGCACAGCAAAAGAAACTACCATCAGAGTGAACAGGCAGCCTACAAAATGGGAGAAAATTTTCGCAACCTACTCATCTGACAAAGGGCTAATATCCAGAATCTACAATGAACTCCAACAAATTTACAAGAAAAAAACAAACAACCCCATCAAAAAGTGGGCAAAGGACATGAACAGACACTTCTCAAAAGAAGACATTTATGCAGCCAAACAACACATGAAAAAATGCTCATCATCACTGGCCATCAGAGAAATGCAAATCAAAACCACTATGAGATATCATCTCACACCAGTTAGAATGACAATCATTAAAAAGTCAGGAAACAACAGGTGCTGGAGAGGATGTGGAGAAATAGGAACACTTTTACACTGTTGGTGGGACTGCAAACTAGTTCAACCATTGTGGAAGTCAGTGTGGCAATTCCTCAGGGATCTAGAACTAGAAATACCATTTGACCCAGCCATCCCATTACTGGGTATATACCCAAATGACTATAAATCATGCTGCTATAAAGACACATGCACATGTATGTTTATTGTGGCATTATTCACAATAGCAAAGACTTGGAACCAACCCAAATGTCCAACAATGATAGACTGGATTAAGAAAATGTGGCACATATACACCATGGAATACTATGCAGCCATAAACAATGATGAGTTCATATCCTTTGTAGGGACATGGATGAAATTGGAAAGCATCATTCTCAGTAAACTATCGCAAGAACAAAAAACCAAACACCGCATATTCTCACTCATAGGTGGGAATTGAACAATGAGATCACATGGACACAGGAAGGGGAATGTCACACTCTGGGGACTGTGGTGGGGTGGGGGGAGGGGGGAGGGATAGCATTGGGAGATATACCTAATGCTAGATGACGAGTTAGTGGGTGCAGCGCACCAGCATGGCACATGTATACATATGTAACTAACCTGCACAATGTGCACATGTACCCTAAAACTTAAAGTATAAAAAAAAAAAAAGTTAAAAAAAAAAAAGAACTAGAGAAGCAAAAGCAAACAAATTCAAAAGCTAGCAGAAGACAAGAAATAACTAAGACCAGAGCCGAACTGAAGGAGATAGAGACTCGGAAAACCCTTAAAAAAATCAGTGAATCCAGGAGCTGGTTTTTTGAAAAGATTAACAAAATAGATAGACTGCTAGCCAGACTAATAAAGAATAAAAGAGAGAAGAATCAAATAGATGCAACAAAGAATGATAAAGGTAATATCACCACTGATCCCACAGAAACAGAAACTGCCATCAGAGAATACTATAAATACTTCTATGCAAATAAACTAGAAAATCTAAAAAAAAAAAGGATAAATTTGTAGACACATAATCCTCCCAAGGCTAAACCAGGAAGAAGTTAAATCCCTGAATAGACCAATAACAAGATCTCAAATTGAGGCAGTAATTAATAGCCTACAAACCAAAAAAAGCCCAGGATCAGACAGATTCACAGCTTAATTCTACCAGAGGTACAAAGAGGAGCTGGTACCATTCCTTCTGAAACTATTTCAAATGATAGGAAAAGAGGGACTCCTCCCTACTCATTTTATGAGGCCAGCATCATCTTTATAGCAAAATATGGCAGAGACACAAGAAAGAAAGAAAATTTAAGGCCAATATCTCTGCTGAACATCAATGCAAAAATCCTCAATAAAATACTGGCAAACAGAATCCAGCAGCACACCAAAAAGCTTATCCACCACGATCAAGTCAACTTCATTCTTGGGATGCAAGGCAGCTTCAACATACACAAATCGATAAATGTAATCCATCACGTAAACAGAAGCAATGCCAAAAATTATCTCAAAAGATGCAGAAAAGGCCTTGGATAAAATTCAACACCCCTTCATGCTAAAAACTCTCAATAAACTCGGTATTGATGGAACATATCTCAAAATAATAAGAGCTATTTATGACAAATCCATAGCCAATATCATACTGAATGGGCAAAAGCTGGAAGCATTCTCTTTGAAAACTGGCACAAGACAAGGACGCCCTCTCTCACCACTCCTATTCAACATAGTATTGGACGTTCTGGCCGGGGTAATCAGGCAAGAGAAAGAAATAAAGGGTATTCAAATAGGATGAGAGGAAGTCAAATTGTCTCTGTTTGCAGATGACATGATTGTATGTTTAGAAAACCCGAACATCTGAGCCCCAAATTTCCTTAAGCTGATAAGCAACTTCAGCAAATTCTCAGGATACAAAATCAGTGTGTAAAAATCACAAGTATTCCTATACACCAATAATAGAGATCCAAATCATGAGTAAACTCCCATTCACAATTGCTACAAAAAGAATAAAATATCTAGGAATGCAACTTACAAGGGATGTGAAGGACCTCTTCGAGGACTACAAACCACTGCTCAAGGAAATAAGAGAGGACACAAACAAATGGAAGAACATTCTGTGCTCATGGATAGGAAGAATCAGTGTCATGAAAATGGCCATACTGCCCAAAGTAATTTGTAGATTCAATGCTATCCACATCAAGATACCACTGAATTTCTTCACAGAATTAGGAAATAGAAAAAACTAGTTTAAATTTCATATGGAACAGAGCCTATATAGCCAAGGCAATCCTACACAAAAACAGCAAAGCTGGAGACATCATGCTACATGATTTCAAACTATACTACAAGGCTACAGTAACCAAAACAGCATGTTACTGGTACCAAAACAGATATATAGACCAATGGAACAGAACAGAGGCCTCAGAAATAACCCCACACATGTACAACAATCTGATCTTTCACAAACCTGACAAAAACAAGCAATGGGGAAAGGATTCCCTATTTAATAAATGGGTTGGGAAAACTGGCTAGCCATATGCAGAACACTGAAACTGGACCCCTTCCTTACACCATATGCAAAAATTAATGGCTGGGCATCATGGCTCATACCTGTAATCCCAGCACTTTGGGAGGCCAAGGCAGGCAGGTCACTAGGTCAGGAGATTGAGACCATGTTGGCTAATATGGTGAAACCCCTTCTCTACTAAAATACAAGAAATTAGCCAGGTGTGGTGACATACTCCTGTACTGCCAGCTACTTAGGACACTGAGGCAGGAAAATCACTGGAATTCGGGAGGCAGAGGTTGCAGTGAGCCAAGATCACACCACTGCACTCCAGCCTGGGTGACAGAGTGAGACTCCGTCTCAAAAAAAAAAAAAAACAAAAACAAAAACAAAAAACCAAAAACACACTTACACACAAAAGTTAATTGAAGATGGATTAAAGACTTAAACATAAAACCTAAAACCATAAAAACCCTAGAAGAAAACATAGGCAATACCATGCAGGACATAGGGATGAGAAACGACTTCATGACTAAAACACCAAAAGCAATGTCAACAAAAGCCAAAATTGACAAATGAGATCTAATTAAACTAAAGAGCTTCTGCACAGCAAATGGAACTATCATCAGAGTGAACAGGCAGCCTACAGAATGGGAGAAAATTTTTGCCATCTATCCATCTGACAAAGGGCTAATATCCAGAATCTACAAAGAACTTAAACAAATTTACAAGAAAAATACAACCCCGTCAAAAAGTGGGCAAAGGATATGAAGAGACACTTATCAAAAAAGACATTTATGCAGCCAACAAACATATGAAAAAATGCTCATCATCATTGGTCATTAGAGAAATGCAAATCAAAACCACAATGAGATACCATCTCATGTCATTTAGAATGGCGATCATTAAAAATCAGGAAACAGCACATGCTGGAGAGGATGTAGAGGAATAGGAACACTTTTACACTGTTGGTGGGAGTGTAAATTATTTCAACCATTGTGGAAGACAGTGTGGGGATTCCTCAAGGAGCTACATCCGGAACTACCATTTGACCCAGAAATCCCATTACTGGGTATATACCCAAAGGATTATAAATCATTCTACTATAAAGACACATACACATGTATGTTTATTGTGGCACTATTCACAATAGCAAAGACGTGGAACCAAACCAAATGCCCATCAATGATAGACTGGATTAAAAAAATGTGGCACATATACACCATGGAATACTATGCAGCCATAAAAAAGGATGAGTTCATGTCCTTTGCAGGGACATGGATGAAGCTGGAAACCATCATCCTCAGCAAACTAACACAGGAACAGAAAACCGAACACTTGCATGTTCTCACTTATAAGTGGGAGTTGAACAAAGAGAACACATAGAAACAGGGAGGAGATCTTCACGCACCAGGGCCTGTCAGGGTGGGGGACTAGGGGAGGGATAGTATTAGGAGAAATAACTAATATAGATGATGGGTTGAGGGGTGTGGCAAACCACCACATCACTTGTATACCTATGTAACAAACCTGCACGTTCTGCACATGTATCCCAGAACTTAATGTATAAAAATATTAAATTAAATTTAAAAAATATGAGTTGTGTGTAAATGTGTGTATTTACATTTGGAGTCTCTATTCTGTTCCATTGTTCTATGTGTCTGTGTTTATACTAGTTTTGGGATTTTACTCAGCAAATTTTGCACGAAGTAATGCATATCTGTTGTTCCAGTGCGTAGGTGTGTTATCACCCCACCAAAACATTTATATCTCAGATGAAGTGTTCGATGTTACAATAATTGTCTATCCAAAAATGAAAGGGAGAGCTCAGATGACTAGGAGCAAAATGGCCAAATAGAAGTCTTCACTGATTGTACCCCCAAAGAAACACCAAATTTAAAAATTGTCTACACAAAAAAGCACCTTCTTAAGAACTAAAAATCAGGGGAGCACTCACAATACCTGATTTTAACTTCATATCACTGAAAGAGGCACTGAAGATGAAAAGAAATACAGCCTTGAATCACTAATGCTGCCTCCCATCTCCTGGAAGCAGCCACATGGCACAGAGAGAGAATCTGTGCACTTGGAAGAAGGAGAGTTCAGCAACTGTGAGATTTTGTATTGAACTCAGTGCTGTCTTGTCACATCAGAAAGCAAAACTGGGCTGAACTCAGCTGATGCCTACCCATGGAAGGAACGTTTAGATGAGCCCTAGCCAGAGGGCAATTGCCCATCCCAGTGGCTAGAACTTGAATTCTGGCAAGACTCACTACCATGGGCTAAAGTTTTCTGGGACTCCAAATAAATTTGAAAGGCAGGCTAGGCCACAAGGACTGCAAGTCCTAGGCAAATCCTACTGCTGAGTGGGGATCAGAGCCAGTGGACTTGTGGGCATCATGCAAACTAATGAGACCCCAGCCAGGGTGGCTAAGGGAGTGCCTGTTGTCACTCCTCCCCTAACACCAGGCAGCACAGCTTGTGGCTCTAAAAGAGACCCCCATCCTTCTGCTTAAGGAGAGAAGGGGGAAAAGTAAAGATAAGTTTGTCTTGTTTCTTGGATACCAGCTCAGCCACAGTAGGACAGGGCACCAAGTGAGCTGTTTTAGGTCCTAACTCCTGGTTGACATTACATGCGCTAGCTCCTGGATGACATTTCTAGACACACACTGGGCCAAAAGGGAACCTGTTGCCTAGAAGAGAAATACCCAGTCCAGGCAGGCCTCATCACATGCTGACGAAAGGGCCCATGGGTTCTGAATACCCAGCAGTGATTCCCTCATAGTATGCCATGGATCTTGGGTGAGACTCTGAGATGTGTTGGCTTCAGGTCAGACCCAGCCTATTTCCAGCTGTGGTGGCTATGGTGAGAGACTCCTTCTATTTGAGAAAAAGTAGGGGGAAGAGTAAAGGAGACCTTGTCTTGCACCTGAGGTACAAGCTCAGCTATAGTGGGGTAGATCATCAAGTGGGCTTCTGGGGACTCTTGTTTCCAGGCATTGGCTCTTAAACAGCATTTCTGGACCTTCCCAGGGGCAGAGGGGATCCTACTCACGTGAGTGGTGAGTTCCAGGCCTGGCAGCATTCACTGCAAGCTGACTGAAGAGCCCTTGGCCTGTAAATGAACACTTGTGGGCCTGGCAGAAGCCCCCATGGGATGATGGTGGTGGCAGCCATAGGGAGAGGCTCCTTGTATGGGAAGGCAAAGGAAGAGTGGGAAGGACTTTGTATTGTGGTATAGGTGCCAGCTCATTTGCAGTACAATAGAATACCAGATAGATTTCTAAGGTTTTTGACTCCAGTCCCTGGCTCCTAGATGGCATCTGTGAGCCTGCCCAGGTCCTTGGGTGAACTTGCCACCCTCAAGGGAAAGACACAAGCCTGTTTAGTTTTTCTACCTGCTGATTATAGAGCTCTAGGGCCTTGAGTGAACATAGATGGTAGCCAGTTAGTGGTTATAGTGGGCATTGGTTGAGGCCCAGTGCTGTAGTGGCTTCAGGTCTGACCCAGCACAGTCTCAGTGGTGGTGGGCACAGGGGTGCTTATGTTACTCACCCCCAGCTCCAGAGGCTTAGCATAGAGAAAGAAAGACTCCATTTGTTTGAGAGAAAGTAAGGGAAGAGAACGAGAATCACTGCCTGGTAATCCAGAGATTTCTTCCAGATCTCATCCAAGACCACCAAAGGGGTACCTCTATGAGTCTGAAAGAACCATAACATTACTGGGCTTGGGGTGTTCCCTAATGCAGATATGGCTTTGATAACAACACCCAAGTCCATTTGAATATATGAAAAGCCTTCCCAAGAAGGATGGGTACCAACAAGCACAGGCTGTGAACGCTACAATAAGTATCTAACTTTTCAATGCCCAGACACCAACAAACATCCACAAGTATCAAAACCATTCAGGAAAACATGATATCACCAATTGAACTAAATAAGTCACCAGGGACCAATCCTGGAGATACAGAGATATGTAACCTTTCAGACAAAGAAATTTAAAAAAGCTGTTTTGAGGAAACTCAAAGAAATTTAAGATAACACAGAGAAGGAATTCATAATTCTACCAGATAAAGTTAAAATGATATTGAAATAGTTAAAAAGAATCAAGCAGAAACTCTGGAGTTAAAAAGTGCAATTGACATACTGAAGACTGCATCAGAGTCATTCAATAGCAGAATTGATCAAGCAGAAGAAAGGATTAGTGAGCTCAAAGACACGCTATTTGAAAAAGGCAAAGTCAGAGAAGACTGAAAAGAAAAAAATAAAAAAGAATGAATTATGCCTACAAGATGTAGACAATAGCCTCAAAAAAGCAAATCTAAGAGTTATTGGCTTTAAAGAGGAGGTAGAGAAAGAGATCAGGGTAGAAAGTTTACTCAAAAGATAATATCAGAGAATGTTCCAAACTTATAGAAAGATATCAACATCCAAGTACAAGGCTATAGAATACCAAGCAGATTTAACCCAAAGAAGACTACCTGAAGGCATTTAATAATCAAACTCCCAAAGGTCAATGAAAAGGAAAGGATTCTAAAAGTAGCAGCAGAAAAGAAACAACATACAATGATGCTTCAATATGTATGGCAGCAGACTTTTCAGTGGAAAATTTACAAGTTAGGAGAGAGTGGCATGACATATTTAAAGCTAAGAAGAAAAAAACCTTTATTCTAGAATTGTATATCTGGCAAAGATATTCATCAAGCATGAAGGAGAAATAGAGGCTTTTCCAGGAAAACAAAAGCTGAGGGCTTTCATCAACACCAGATTTTTCCTATAATAAATGCTAAAGGGAGTATTTAAATCAGAAAGAAAAATATATTAATGAGCAATCAATAATCACCTGAAAATACAAAACTCACTCAATAATCACCTGAAGGTATGAAACTCACTCATAATAGTGAATACACAAAACAACACAGAATATTATAATGCTGTATCTTTGGTGTATAAACTATTCTAATCTTAAGTAGAAAGACTAACAAATGAACCAGTCAACAAAAGCTACAACAAATTTTCAAGACTGAAACAGACCAGTAAGATAAATAGAAACAACAGAAAGTTAAAAAGTGTGGGAACAAAGTTAAGATATATAGTTTTTACTAGTTTTCTTTTAGTTAGCTTCTTTGTTCACTTGTTTATATATGCAGATGTTGTTATCTGTTTGAAATACTGGGTTATAAGATAGTATTCATTTGCAAGCCTCATGGTAACCTTAAATGAAAAAACATAGAATAGATACAACAGAAAATAAAAAGAAACTAAACATATTACCAGAGAAAATAATTTTCACTAAAAGGAAGACTGGAAGGAAGAAAAGAAAGAAGAGAAAACTGTAATATAACCAGAAAGCAAATAACACAATGGCAGGAGTCAGTTCTTACTTATCAGTAATAACATTGAATGTAAATGGACTAAATTTTCCAATAAATATACATAGAGTGGTTGAATTCATAATAGTAAAGATCCAATGACCTGTTGCCTACAGGAAACACTTCACCTGTAAAGACACAAATAGACTGAAAATAAATGGCTGGAAAAAGTTATTACTTGCCAATGGAAACCCAAAAAGCAAGACACTTTGGGAGCCTGAGACAGGTGGATCACTTGAGCTCAGGAATACAAGACTGGCCTGGGCAACATAGTGAAACCCCCATCTCTACAAAAAAATACAAAAATTAACTGGGTGTGATGGCATATGCCTGTAGTCCCAGCTACTTCAGGGGCTGAGGCAGGAGGATTGCATGAGTCCAGGAGTTTGAAGTTGCAGTGAGCTATGTTGACCCCACTGGACTCCAGGCTAGATGACAGTGAAACCCTGTCTCAAAATAAATAAATAAATAAATAAATAAATAAATAAAATAAATAAAAACCTGGAGTAGTTTTATAAGACAAAATAGATTTCAAGACAAAATGTGAAGAAGAGACAAAGAAGGCCATTATGTAATGATAAAGGGGTCAATTCAGCAAGGAGATGTGGCAGTTGTAAATATATACACACTCAACACTACAGCACCCAGGGCTATAAAGCAAGGATTATTAGAGCTAAGGAGAGAGACAAACCTCAATACAATAATAGGTCTAGACTTTCACACCCCCTTTCAACATTGGACAGATCTTCTGGACAGAAAATTAACAAAGAACATCCTACTTTATCTATACTACAGACAAAATGGATCTAATAGTTATTCAGGGAGCATTTCATCCAGTGGCTGCAGAAGACACACTTTTTCCTCAGCATGGATTATTCTAAAAAATACACCATATGTTAAGTTACAAAACAAGGCTGAAAATATTCAAAAAAATAAAAAAAAATCTAGACTCTTTTCTGACCACAGTGGAATAAAACTAGAAATCAATAACAAGAGGAATTTTGGAAACTATACAAACACACCCAAATTCAACAATATGCACCTGAATGATGAGTGGATTAATAAAGAAATTAAGAAAAATTTTGAAAAATTTCTTGAACAAATGATAAGGAAAACACAACATACTAAAACCTATGGGGTACAGCAAAAGAAGTACTAAGAGGGAAGAGTATAGCTATGAATGAGTACACCAAAAAAGAAGAAAAATTTCAAATGAACAATCTAATGATGCATCTTAAAGAACTAGAAAAACAAGAGCTAGGTGAACCCAAAATTAGTAGAAGAAAAGGATTAATAAAGATTAGAGAAAAAATAAATGAAATGGAAAGAAGAAACAATACAAAAGATCTATGAAACAAAAAGTTCATTTTTTGAAAAGATAAACAAAATTAACAAATTGTTAGCCAGACTTAACTAAAAGAAACGAGACAAGACCTAAATAAAATCAGAGATGAAAAAGGAAACATTAGAACTGATACTGCTGAAATTCAAAGAAACATTAGTGGCTAATATGAGCAACTATATGCCTGTAAATTGAAAAATCTAGAAGAAATAGAAAAATTCCCAGACACATACAACCTTCTAAGATTGGACAAGTAAGAAATTTGACATCAGAGCAGACAAATAACAAGTAATGAGATCGAAGTGGTAATAAAAAGCCTCCCAGTAAAGAAAAGCTCAGGACCCGATATGGTTAGGCTTTGTGTCCCCACCCAAATCTCACCTTGAATTGTAATCCTCATAATTCCCATAATCCCCACTTGTCAAGGGAGAGACCAGTTGGAGGCAATTGAATTGTGGGGGTGGTTTTCCCCATGCTGTTCTCATGATAGTGAGTGAGTTCTCACAATGTCTGATGGTTTTATAAGGGGCTCTTCCCCCTTGACTCAGCACTTTTCCTTCCTGCTGCCTTGTGAAGAAGGTTCCTTGCTTCCCTTTCACCCTCCACTGTGATTGTAAGTTTCCTGAGGTTTCCCCAGCCATGCTGAGCTATGAGTCAATTAAAACTATTTCCTTTATGAATTACCTAGTCTCGTGCAGTTCTTTATAACAGTATGAAAATAAACAAATACCCTGAATTTGTACTACAGAAAGTGGGGTGCTGCTATAAAGATACCCGAAAATGTGGAAGATACTTTGGAACAGGGTAACAGGCAGAGGTTGGAACAGTTTGGAGGGCTCAGAAGAAGATAGGAAGATGTGGGAAAGTTTGGAACTTCCTAGAGACTTGTTGAGTGGCTTTGACCAAAATGCCAATAATGATATGGACAATGAAGTCCAGGCTGAGGTGGTCTCAAATGGAGATGAGGAACTTGTTGAGAACTGCAATAAAGGTGATTCTTGCTATTCTTTCACAAAGAGACTAGTGGCATTTTGTCCCTGCCCTAGAGATCTTTGGAACATTGAACTCAAGAGAGATGATTTAGCATATCTAGTGGAGGAAATTTCTAAGCAACAAAGCAAAGATGTCACTTGGGTGCTTTTAAAAGCATTCAGTTTTATGCATTCACAAAGAGATTATTTGGAATTGGAACTTATGTTTAAAAGGGAAGCAGAGCATTAAAGTTTGGAAAATTTGCAGCCTGATGATGTGACAGTAAAGAAAAACATATTTTCTGAGGAGAAGTTCAAGCCAGCTGCAGAAATTTGCACAAGTAACAAGGAGCCAAATGTTAACGACCAACACAATGCGGAAAATGTCTCCAAAGCATGTCAGAGGTCTTCCTGGCAGCCCTTCCAATCACAGCCCCAGAGGCCTAGGAGAACAAATGGTTTCCTGGGATCAGCTCAGGGCCTTGTGGCTTTCTGCAATCTTGAGACTTGGTGCCCTGCATACCAGCTGTGGCCACATGCAGTTCAGGCTGTTGCTTCAGAGAGTGCAAGCCCCAGGCCTTGGAAGCTTACACATGGTGTTGGGCCTTCAGGTGCACAGATGTCCAGAGTTGAGATTTGGGAACCTCTGCTTAGATTTTAGAGGATGTATGGAAATGCCTGGGTGTCCAGGCAGAAGTTTGCTGCAGGAGTGGCGCTTTCATGGAGAACCTCTTCTAGGGCAGTGCAGAAGGAAAATGTGAGGTTGGAGTCCCCACACAGAGTCACCACTTGGGCACTGCCTAGTGGAGCTGTGAGAAGAGGGCCACCATTCTCCAGGCCCTAGAATGGTAGAACCACTGACAGCTCACACTGTGCACCTGGAAAAGCCACAAACATTGCCACCCTGTGAAAGCAGCCTGGAGGGGGGATATATCCTGTGAAGCCACAGAGGCAGAGCTGCCCAAGGCCATCAGAGCCAACCTCTTGCATCAGTGTGACCTGGATGTGAGACATTAAGTCAAAGTAAATCATTTTGGAGCTTTAAGAATTGACTGCCCACTCAATTTTGGACTTGCATGGGGCCTGTAGCCCCTTTGTTTTGGTCAATTTCTCCCATTTGGAACAGGTATATTTACCCAATTCCTGTACCCCCACTGTATCTAAGAAGTAACTAACTTGTTTTTGATTTTATAGGCTCACAGGGAGAAGGAACTTGTCTTGTCTCAGATGGGACTTTGGACTTGGACTTTTGGGTTAATGCTGAAATGATTAAGAGTTTGGAGACTTTTTGGAAGGCATGATTGGTTTTCAAATGTGAAAGGCGTATGACATTTGGTAGGAGCCAGGGTGGAATGATATGGTTAGGCTTTGTGTCCCACCCAAATCTCATCTTGAATTGTATAATCCCCATAATCCCCACATGTCAAGGGAGCAACCAGGTGGAGGCAACTGAATCATGGGAGTGGTTTCCCACATGCTGTTCTTGTGATAGTGAGTAAGTTCTCATGAAATCTGATGGTTTTGTGAGGGGCTCTTCCCCTTTCACTTGGCACTTCTCCTTCCTTCTGCCTGTGAAGGAGGTGCCTTGCTTCCCCTTTGCCTTCTGCCATGATTGTAAATTTCCTGAGGCTTCTCCAGGAATGCTGAACTGTGAGTCATGTAAACCTCTTTCCTTTATAAATTACTCAGTCTTGAGAAGTTCTTTAAGGCAGTATGAAAACAGATTAATACAGGACCCAATGGCTTCACTGATGAATCCAACCAAACACTAAGGAACTAATATCATTTCTACTCAAACTATTCCAAAAAATAGAGGAGGAGTGAATTCTTCCAAACTTATTATATGAGGTCAATATTACCCTGATATCAAAATGAGACAATGGCACATCAAAAAAAAAAAAAAAAAGAAAGAAAACTACAGGCCAATATCACTGATTAATACTGACGCAAAAATTCTAAGCTAAATACTGGAAAATAGAGTTCAACAACATATTAAAATATCATTTGTCATGACTAAGTGGGATCTATCCTAGGAATTCAAAGATGCTTCAGCATATACAAATCAATCCATGTGATGCATTATATCAACAGAATGAAGGACAAAAAATATAATCATTTCCATCGATGCTGGGAAAACATTTGATAAAATTCAACGTCCCTTCACGATAAAAACCTCAAAAAACTTAGTATTGAAGGAGCATACCTCAACATAATAAAAGTCATATATGAGAGATCCACAGCTAGTATCATACTGAATGAGAAAAAACTGAAAGCCTTTCCTCTAAGATCTGGAACACGGCAAGGATGCTGACTTTCACCACTGTAATTTTTCATAGTACTGGAAGTCCTAGCTTAAGCAATCATACAAGAGAAAGAAATAAAGGGCACCCAAATTGGAAAGGAATAAGTTAACTTATTCTTGTTTGCAGATGATAGGTCTTATATTTGAAAAAACCTAAAGACTCCACCAAAAAACGATTAGAACTGATATACAGATTCAGTAAAGTTACAGCATATGAAATCAACAGACAAAAATCAGTAGCATTTCTACATGCGAACAACGAACAATCAGAAAAAGAAGTCAAGAAAGTAATCCCATTTACAATAGCTACAATTAAAATTAAATGCCTACATATTAACCGAGGAAATGAGAAATCTCTACAATGACATCTATAAAACATTGATGCAGGAAATTAAAGAGGACAAAAAAATGGAAAGATATTCGATGTTCATGGGTTGGAAGAGTCTTTATTGTTAAAATGTCCATTCTACTGAGAGCAATCTACAGATTTAATAAAATCCATATCAAAATACCAAAGACATTCTTCACAAAACTAGAAAGCAGTCTCAAAATTTATATGAAACCACAAAAGACCCAGAATAGCCAAAGCTATCGTAAGTAAAAAGGACAAAACTGGAGGAATCCCATTACCTGACTTCAAATTACACTCCAGAGATATAGTAACCAAAATGGCATGGCACTGGCATAAACACGGACACATCAACCAATGGAATAGAACAGAGAGCCCAGAAATACATCCATACAGTTACAGTATACCCATTATTCACTAAATTGCCAAGAAAGGACAAGTCTCTTCAATAAATGTTGCTGGTAAAACTGGATATCCATATGCAGAAGAATGAAACTAGACCCCTGTCTCTCACCATATACAAACATCAATCAAAATGGTTTAAATCCTTACATCTAAAACCTCAAACAATGAAACTACTACAAGAAAACATTAGGGAAACTCTTCAGGACATTGGACTGGGCAAAGATTTATTGAGTAATACTCCACAAACACAGGAAATCAAAGCAATTTGGACACATGGGATCACATGAAGTTAAAGAGCTTCTGCACAGCAAAGGAAACAAACAACGAAGTGAAGATACAATCCACAGCATGGGATAAAATATTTGTAAACTACCCATTTGACAAGGGATTAAGAATCAGAATATATAAGGAGCTCAAACAACTCTATAGGAAAAAATCAAATAATCCAGTTGCAAAGTGGGCAAAAGATCTGAATAGACATTTCTCAATGGAAGACATACAAATGACTAACAAGTATATGAAAAGGTGCTCAATTAACACCATTGATCATTAGAGAAATGCGTATCAAAACTACAATAAGATATCACCTCACTTCACCTCAGTTAAAATGGCTTTTAGCCAAAGGACAGGCGATAACAAATGCTGGTGAAGATCTGGAGAAAAGTGAATCCTTGTACACTGTTGGTGGAAATGTAAATTAGTACAACCACTATGGAGAATAGTTTCTAGGCTTCTCGAAAACCTAAAACTAGAGCAACAATGTGATCTAGCAATCCCACTCCTAGATACATTACCCAAAAGAAAAGAAATCAGTATATCAGAAAGATATGCCACACTCCCATATTTATTGCAGCACTATACAAAATAGCCAAGATTTGGAAGCAACCTAAGTGTCTATCAACAGATGAATGGATAAAGAAAATGTTGTACATATACACAATGGAGTATTATTTAGCCACGGAAAGAATTAGATCTGGTCATTTGCAACAACACAGATGGAATTAGAGGTCATTATGTTAGGTGAAATAAGCCAGGCACAGAAAGAAAAACTTTGCATGTTCTCACTTATTTGTGGCAGCTAAAAATAAAACAAATGACCTCATAGAGATGGAGAGTAGAAGGATGGTTACCAGAGGCTGGGAAGGATAGTCGGGGTGTTGGGGGGAAAAGTGGAGATCATAAGTGGGTACAAAAAAATAGCTAGAAAGAATAAGACCTTGTATTTGATAGCACAACAGGGTTACTATAGTCAAAAATAATTTAACTTTACATTGAAAAATAACTGAAAAGTATAATTGGATTGTTTGTAACATAAAAGATAAAATGCTTGAGGGGATAGAGACCCTATTTATAGTGATGTGATTATTACACATTGCATGTGTGTATCAAAATATCTTATGTACCCCATAAATATATATACCTACTAGGTACCCACAAAAATTAAAACTAAATAAGAAAAAAAAGAAATGCCTCAAGGCTACAATTCTTTACTGGGCTTATTTTCATATGCAGTACAGGCTATATTTATATATGCTTTGTTATCTTATTTTTATTCAACATGGAATGTTTTTCAACATAAATGTCCTTATCTTCTTCAAATCCCCAAATTTATGCACTGAGAAATACCACTTCTGTTACTTTTGTTTTTCATTTATCTATAACATTATTATTTTAATTTGGGTACTTCCAATTAATAACTAAAATGACAACTGGCTTCTGAACAAATCACTTGGTAATGAAGATTCTAGATTACTTATAGTTGACTTCTTATTATTTGATAATGGTACGGCATCACATTATGTAGACAAAACTTTCTTTAACAAAAGCTGTAAAGCCATTTGTTAAAACTGGCCAGCATTAAAGATAGGTTATAGAAAGGACAAGTTTTTTCGGCAGCTGAAAGTGCCTCAAATGGAGGCTTTTAAAAAAGATTTGTCAGACCAAACCTATTTTTAATATGAAAGTTGAGTGACTTGAAAGTTCAGAAATGATGGAGTAACTGCTGTGGAAGTAATCACACCATCTCTCGCTTACCAAATTAGTGTTACACCCACTATAATAATGATGGCTTGATGGCAATAGATGAATGGATACTTTGGACAAATTATGTAGTATAGGAACACTGCTATGACTAAAGAGGGCCCTTTTCAGTGCTATGCTTCATGGTGAGAAGCTTTGTTACCGGAAGGAGAAATAGAAATGAAAGTTACCCTGGTGATGGTGATGGGGGTAGGGATAGGACTAAAGTTAACAAAAAGTATTCAGACCTTAAAATACTGAGGTGACTAATCCAGCTTGTTTAAGCTTTAGGCCTTTCCTTGTTAATGTAGGCACCATCCGGTCATCATTTAATAGTATTTATAAATGTCTATTAATAGTATTAAACATTATAGTATATTTAATGTATAGTATTAATAAATATTAAATAATAAATATTAAATAATAAATTAAATACTATTATAGTATTAAATGTATAGTATTATACATATACATTTATATGTATAATATTATACATATATAGTATTAAATATATATGTATAAATTAATGTATAAATTATATATATACATATATATGTATATATACATATATAATGTATAAATTATATATGTATAAATGTATAAATATATATGTATAAAATAATGTATAAATTAAATACTATAAAATGTCTGTTTAATAGTATTAATCCTCACACAGAACTTAGTTTAGACCCTTGCTCTTCAAAGTGTGACAGTCCACAGACAAGCAATCTGAGTCACCTGGGAGCTTGCTGAAAATTGCTGGATCTTGAGCCCGTTTCAGGCCACAGAACTATTGAATCATAATCCGCATTTTACAAAGATCCCAGGTGATTTATCTGATTCATTCCTTAAAGTTGGAGAAGCACAGTGAGTGCTGTACTTTAAGGTGGGTAAGAATCACCTGAATATCTATTAACATGCAGCTTCTGCTTTTGTAGTTATAGGGAGCCTGAGATGCTGCAAGTCTGAGAAGCTCCCAGGTGATGCTGATGCTGTGGGTTGCTGGACCACGCTTTGAGCAATAAGGTCCACTGACGGGCTCCCAAATTTTCTGATGAGAAGAATAATCCAAGGAATTTGTTGAAAATTCAAAATTCCAAGCATCTTATTAGAACCACTAAATTACATCTCTGCCACTAACTAGTTGTGTGACTTTGGGCACAGTATTTAACACTTCTGAGTTTCAGTTTTCCCATATGAAAATCGGAATAATATCTACTCGTGTTTGGGGACTTAGATCATATATATAAGGAAGCTAGCATAGCATATGAGACACAACAGATACCCAAAAACTCATAGGTTCTGTTTCTTCTATTACTACCACAAATTACAGTTTGGCTGCTGCATGTATATGTGTTCCTAACTACCTTATAGAAAACTGAAGGGCAAAGAGAACATTTGACTTTTTAAATTTTCTTTCAGTTCTCAAAATGGTGCAGGTATTTGGACATAGGTGTAAAAGTTCCACATTAAGATAAAATGTGAAACTCAAGTATAAGTTAAAGAAGTTCTGCCCTTAGAGTTAGGAGCCAAACACACACATGAAGCACAGAGTACAAGCTGTAGAAGCATTTCCCAAATGGTGTGCTGTAGAATTTTGATCTTGGGTAATGCATGCTGAAAACAAATTGAATTGAGTTGAAATTAGTTTAGGAAACACTGGTATTTATAGCCTCCTCCTGATAAACAACTAATATTAAAGTATTGCAGTAAAGAACCCTGTTTAACTTATTGAACCAAGTGTTTTCCACATTTTGACTATGAAACATTTTTTCACCTAACACCTGTGCACAAGACCAGGGACTGGTGTAAGAACTCATTAGCATGACCTTCAGAGACAGCTGTCTAACAGTTCTCTGCTCTCTTTTCAGCAGCTCTATGTCAAGAAGATATCATTAGTACTGTAAAGTACTAATCCTGGCTGTGTTAAGCGAGGGAGGGCAGGGATGATAAATGAAAACTGTGTCTATGTCTTCATATGTTTATTCTGTACCTGACTTTTTGTAATATTTTATTTTGATGAGTTGTACTTGGCTCAGATGAGGTTATCCCAAGCTCGTGTCTAGACTAGTCTGTTAGAAGAACTGCTCCACCCATATGTATATAAGTATGTATATAAAATTCAAATCTGTGGCTTAATTTGGAGAAGAGCAGTGGAGCCTCACTCAATTCATGCTAAGGTAGTGAGAACTGGGTTTCTATGTGGTTACAGCTCCTTCTGGCCAGGAAAATGTTGCTGATAACACTAATGCAGCTCTTTACTGACTTGCTTCTCTATCCTTGAGATAAGTCAACCTAGTATGTGATGTTTGTGCCTGGCCTTTCTATCAACTTAAACCTGTTCTTGGCATTTGTTAATATTGGGGTCATACAATCCAGTAAATGCCAGAAATAATTTTCCGGGAAGAACAAACTTCTTTTAATTTAGAAGCAGTTTATATCTTCCTATGGTTTTACGAAGCTATCATTGTCAAATTTAGCAGGTAAAAACCATATTTGAATGTAAAAATTACACTGTGAAATTAGAGTCTCGTAACCAACTGCCACCAAATTAACTTGCCAGATTAATTGTGCTCTCCATTGAGTTGTATGCTAACCAAGAATAAATTGTGCTTGGTCTCAAACTTGTTTATGTTACTTGTACCCTAACTCTAACCTTATACTTTCATAATTTAAGTAAATATTACATATTCTATGAAAAGAATGCAGGAGAGGATTGTTATTGAATTTTTTGTGTAAAAAAGCTACACAAAATGTAAGCTGCCTCCCCACTTCCCCCAAATAGGCATCAAATCTACATAAAGTAAGCTGCCAAATTATTACTGTAGAATTAGGTGTAGACAAAACTGTTATAAAGGTTGAGGGAGGAGCAGTAATAAAAATCTGGAAGAATTCTTCACTCAGGGGGTATTGCAAATGCCTGTAAGTTCACTTACAGACATTAAAACTTGACGTCATAGATGATGTATTATCCAATTATAAATAGACAATGCAGAATTTCAACCAGTGAATCTGAATGCTAATGAGAAGTTTTGATTCTAAACCAAAATCTTAGTGAATGATTGCGCTCCTATGTGGTTTCAGTAAAAATGAAATGTATGCTGTGTGTCATTACATATCGACTTTTAATGCTTGCTTGATTTAACAATCTATCTTTCTCAGTTAACCAACCAACTTGATCAAGTCTTGTTATACTGGATAGTAGGCTTCTGTAGTATGAACATTGCAACCAATGAAACATCTGACGGCCCCCTATAATTTTGGCTGTTCTCTTTCAGATAGCTATAGCATAGATAATGGGGTCTGGGACATGTTACTTTAAAATATGGCACCTTGGCATTTGAGGAAACTGCAGAAACAGGAAGGTCACTTTTGACTTCTCCTGCCTTCTTCCCTGAAGTAGGACATAAAAGAATTTTCTGACCTTCCTCTGAAGAAGTCCTTCATTCTAGGTGAGTCTACCCTTTATTCAGAGGAAAGGAATGTCTTTGAAGATGCAGAGATGCCAAGAAGAATCTGAATAAACAGATCTTGCTCAAGTTTATTATCATTATATCATAACCTTTTGTCTTCCAATCATAATTCTGCATGACTGTACATAAAAATACACAGGTCTCACTGTTTCATTGAGTCTTCACTTTTGAAGGTCCCCATGTCTTGTAAAATTTATATTAAATGAATTTGTCTTTTTTGTCTCTTGTTAATCTGTCTTTTGTAATAGAGTCTCAGACATGAACCTAGAGAGGACTGAGGAAAGAAATCTTTTTCTCCCCTACATGGACATACCCAAGGCTATGGAATCCTGTGCTCTCTTTAACTCCAGTTGCTGCTTCCACCTGTCAGCTTACTTATGCTCAACAGCCTATAAGAAAAGGGTAAACGATGATGAAGATGATCTCTCCTTGTTTCTGGAGCCGGCTTATTCTTTCTATTGGTTCATGAAGCTGTTGCCTTACTGTCCCTGAATTCCTGAAGTTCAGAGATTTGCTTGCCCTAGTCATAGTGACCCAGCTTGCCTTTCTTTACACTGTATTCCCTCCTTTAAACCAGTGGCCTGCTTTGGTAGCTTACAGTTCAGGTTATCTCATCTTTTTTCTCATGTCCTGTCTCATGGACCTCTCACCTGTCCTGCCCACACTTCCCATGCTTCATTTATCTCTGAGTTGAGTGTGTGTTTTGCAATCCCTTGTCTTGGTCTTTACTTGGCACTTTTGATGCTTTGGGCACAGTCTTCATCTTCTAGTTTTAAACCTCTACCCCAACTGGATGGTGAAATGATTTTGCTCTTTTTATTGTATTTTTCAACAGGTGCAGCAAACTGGAACTTAACTGCAAAGGCAGCTATGCTTTGCATTTACTGCTTTGAGTTCTGTTCTTGATGTTGTTTTGAACTGGATCTAGAAGCAAGAATAAAACTGGAGGGACTAATTTCTTGTAATTATGAAGCTTGTTCACAGGCACCATAGTTACTACCTACCATATGGTATGAAGTTAATTCTGGATTATTAATTATGTATGTATTGATTATGGTTCTGGATTTCAGGAACCAAGGCTAGGAGTTTAACCCAGCCATGGAAAGCTAGTAGATTATAATAGATAAAGAGGAGCAAGGTGGGGTGATGGTGAGTCACCGTTTCTTATTATAAAGATACACTATATTCTTGGGTCATGGTAGAGAATCAATTCAATAAAGTTATTATGAATACAAAGCTAAAAAGGATGAAATAATGCTTCTACTTAGAATGCTTTGTCTCTATGAGTTAAGTTTGTGTAGAGTTTAAACAAGGACATGGATTAGTTTAAAACATACTTTGACATAATATCATCATAGGAAGAGAACAATAATGAAAATATACATCATCTTGTAGCTCTGGTCCTCATACCATTCTCCTCAAATACTCTTGCCTGATGCTAAATTAGGGCTGTCCAATGACATAGCAAATAATCCTTACGAAAAACTACAAAGGTTACTGTGACTACACAAATTATTAACTCGAGTTGAATTCTTCAGTCTAACCATTTATTTCCAAATAGAGTTGTGCATGTCATTATATGGTTTTATAGCTCATTCGATACTGAGAATTCTAGGTCTACTGTTTGGAATTTGTCAGTTGGATTTAGACAGTACATGTGTTGGAAGTATTAATAAATATGATATAGTCTTAACTATTAAAAGATAATCTGTAGCCAGTCTTTCGCTAGTATTTTTCAGTCCCTGATTAGCAAGGCAAAAGCTTAGAAATACAACTCAGTGATGCAGAAAATAAACACAGAGTATACTAAATGCTATGCTAAAAACAATGAACAAACTCTAATATTCTGGGGATAGGGACAGGAGTAATTCTCACAATAGAAAAAGACACAGTGTCTTTAGGTAAAGTAATACTGGTAGTAAAAGCTCCCCATTTTATACAATGAGGTATAACAGCAGAACAGTGTAAATGGGCTCTCCAGATAACTTAGGGAAAGAACAACATACTGTGCTATTCAGCCAGTAGTTACAGGCAAAAGGTCCAGGCATATTAAGAATCCATCCTATTGGTAGTAGTAAGCCATTCTTGGCCACTTCTACTTGATATAATAAAGGGTGATAATTCAAACAGAAGAGATTTAAGTGAATTTGCCTTGTGTTTGCTAGCAAATGCCAAGTAGCAACAGCCTAAATTACATTAATTTTTGGATACATTGATTTTTAACATCATGTGAAGATTTTATAGCACCCATCAAGGATTCCCTTCATTGATGTACATAAAATGCTGTATCCAAGAATTTTTTCAATTTAAAAAGCTACCTTGCAAGATTGATTTGGAAACTCTTGTGTGCTCAAAATATAAGATAAAACACAACTCCAAAGATCTCAGCATAATGTGGCTTCTTTTGACAGAAAAAATACAATAATATTGGGCATACCTGGGGGTTCTCATGAGGTCTGCTTCCTTCTTCCAAACTAAAACCTCCTGTCCTTCTTCCAAACTAAAACAAATAGGTGTTGTCTTGAGAATACCTCAAGATGTATCCTTTGGGGTATATTAGCAGCAGGCAAATACACTAATGCCTATAAAGTTGTGATTACATAAATCATATATATGGTAGTGATTCTGCTTTGAGCAACTGGTCTGGATTTTCCATTGTATAACATTTTTAACACTGAGCTTACATGCACTGTATCATAGCCTTGCCTCTTCCTTAGAAGACTATCAGAACCAAGTTATCTGTTCTGACTAAACCTCTTTAGTTACACATGCTCTCCTCAAAGGGATAATTATTATCTCTTTGGGGGAGCTGAGACGCTAAAGCAAACTTTTTCTTTCTTATCACTCCATTTGAACTTGACCTGCAGAAAAAGCTGAAACTTTAAACACAGCCTCCTGGTCACAGATGTGGACTTCTGCCCACTTCTTAGTCACTTTTAACTCTCAGCCTCTTTTGCTTCTCGTAGGCAGAATGACATGAGGCAAATGGGGTGGTGATCTGCAGCGAGAATGTCAAAAGAACAATTGGCAATTAATATTTTGTCAGAGTTTCTCCAGGAAAGGAAATACTTTGATCCTAGATGACAGGCTACATTTATGGACAGAAAAATATGAGGGAAAACCTCTGAGGAAATAAAAGAATTTGCTATGAATATCCTTCTACAGCAAGAAACTCCATTATCTTTAAGTCTGTGCCTATAAAACCAGGTCACGTTTGCTCTTCTAGGTGGATTACTCACAGGAATTTATCGCTATCTCTTTTTTCCCCAGCCTTTTACCTTTATTCCATTCAGATGATTACTCTTACCTCTACCCTTGAGGACTAGTCTTTGCTTAAAATAAATCATGAGCTATTGACTGGGGAAAATATGTTAGTTTGATGTGTTATTTGATCCCATTTACTGCCTAGACTCTTTGCTTTGATTTGCACACCGATGCCTCATTTTCTTGCCAGAGTTTTGTCTTTTGCTTGAGCTGTAAATCCCTTTATTTGGGTAGCTGCCCTAAATTCTTGATCTGTTGAGTTCTGATCTTTAAATACAGTTTTAATTTTGTGCTGGAGTGTATGTGTGTGTGTCTTTGCCCAGGTAATAAGTTAATACATTTAGATGGGTCATTGGTTCATTTTTCCGTCTTCAAAACAAGGCTGGCTTTGGTGCGTGTTCACAGGCATGTAGATTTCTCACAGACAAACCTCTGGATACTCTAAACGTGGGTGTTAGCAATTTTGCACTGCCTTTTACTTCAAAAGGTTATGTGACAACTTACAAATATGCAAAATAAAACAATGAAACGAAGAAAAAAATGAGTTAATCAGAAAAGAGAGGAATAGAATTAGAGAAATAAAATGAAACCAGGGATGAGGTTAGCACACAAAATGCATGCTGAGGCCTTCCCCACTTGCTGCACTTGGACCACAGGTTTACCTTTGAATCTTCTAGCAGCCAATCTGGAGAAATAAACATAAAAATACATAATTTGCTGTGAATATGATTAAAACTCAAAATAAGGACAATTATTCTCAATGTTTATTCCTATGAGAATGTTTGCTGTGTTTTCATAAAGACCATTCTGTGACATTTAATGAATCATCAGTAATGTCCTCATGCTGAGACAACAATGAATATCCCAGAATTGTTTCTTTTTGCATCCCTCAATGTGCATTGCTAACATAATTATTAAGCACAGTTAATTCAGTAAGAGCAGTTTTACAGGGATCAGACAATGTGGTCAAGCTGCATAGCTCTCACAGTTTCAACTTAATGTAGGACAAACTGAAGTTTACAATTTATGGGCCACTTATTCAAAGTTTAGAAAATCCTTAAATAGTGCTTCTGTCAATGGAATTTTGACAGTAACTTGGAGGACATGGGCATGAGGCTATGATTACAAGTTCCTGGAGTGCAGACAATCCATTGTTGCCTAAATTCAGAATCTTATTCCTTAATAGACAGGTGAGCTGGAAAATAGGACTGACATTCTCTTTTCGGATTTAAGGACCCTAATGACAATCTGATTTCCTAATAGAAGTGAACCTAGGTAATTCACATGCAGAAGATAATATTTTGCTTTGCTCAACCACAGTGAAAAATTAATGATGCAAGCAAGAAAGTTCTATTTCTTGGAGCCTAACTGTAATAACTTTAGCCTAGAAATTTTCTGGAGTGAGTGTTAGAAAAAGCCAGTTCAACCATAAAAATAATTCAGTAAGCATCTATGAAATATCCAGCTTTAAATATAGAATTTCTTGGTGAACTTTTCAAGGCAAACTGATTGCAAAATATACCTTTAATAATCTCAGTGATTTGATTTGCTCCTATATTGCTGTAAGATATAAGCCAGTTAAATTTTGGGTGATGTCTATTCAAAAATGAAGAAATTGGCTTCTGAATGGTTAATATATCACCAATCTTCCTGGCAGTAACTGGACCATGGCACACTTTGTCAGCATATTTTACTTCTATCTTTTAATTAATTGTACTAATTGATTCTTTGATTTTACTGAATTGTTTTAATCAAACTTATTTCTACTTAGCAGCATTGTTTTTCCTACATAACTTAAAATATTGTGCAAATTTCACCTCCCCATTTCCCTACCTTTTGCATATAAGTTACTTAGTTTGAGACACTTTGTGGGCTTTTTGTATCAAGAAAAGAAAGTTTCCTAGAAGCTCTATAGAAGACTTTTGTTTGTGTTATGTTAGCCAGGACTGTGTTACCTGACCATTCCTAGTTGCAGTGGAGACTGGGAAAGCAAGTGTTTAGCTTTTCCAGCATCTAGAGTGGAGGCACACCAGTGAGAATGGGAATGGGAGCTAGGGTTACTGACTTGCATGATTTCTACAACAGCTTTCTATGCCATATAACAAAGATGGTGGTGGAAGTAGGATTACAGGATAAGGGAAGGGCATTTAGATATTTGCATCAATAAATGGATGAGGTGGGGGTTGGGACACACGAGGATAACTTACTCGGTAGAGTCAAGGCAAAGTCAGGAGGAGGTTCAATAATTATAACTTAGAAGTTCTTACTCCTCCACTTGAGTTTTAATGCAGTAAACTGCTATGCACTTCTTGATATTAAGGCATTTCTATAGTCATTTAGCTCTAAAAATGGATAAGAAGGATCTCAAATTTGGTATCTTGCCTCTAAATGAGGTATTCAATAGAAAATATTTTGGAAAAAACACATCACAAAGAAAAAGTGATGAATTATTATGTAAATTGAATAAATAGGTAAAATAGTCACGTTCTTTCTCTCCCATTTTATAGTAGAGATTTATTCAAGAACATTATTTTGTAATACTTATCAGATTAAAAGCATATTGAGAAAAAGAAAAATATTCATACTTTCATCATTTGAAACCGTTTCATCATTTGAAGCTGTTTCTATCTTAGGAAGACATCAGGTAGGATGTTTTTGGCAGGAAATAACAAAATCTTCATCTAATGACTTAAAAAATAGGAGATTTACTTTAACTTATATGTACCTAGGTAGGGCAGGTACAGAGTTCCTTCAGATTACTTTTGCCCTTGTCTGAGAAGCCCTTGACTCCAGTCTTTTCTTTCTGTTAGTGCCATTTGTGGTCTGGTAGCAAAATTACCACAGTTCCAAATGGTACATAAAAAACAGGTTTCTACAGAGGAGCTTAGTTTTAAGAGCTAAGATTTCAAAGAAAAATCTTAGATGGACTTCATTGGAATCATCTGGGGACTTGCTAGGATGAAATTTCCAGGCCTACTCTAGACTTCCTAAATCAAAAACTCTGGGAGTGGGGCCCAGTGTTTTAACAAGTCCTCTAGGTAATTCTTGGCTGGCTGAAGTTTGAGAACCACTGGCTCAGACCAGTAATTCTAAATCCTAGCTGTACATTAGAATCACTCAAGGAGGTTTAAGCACACCAGACACCAGAGTCTTATCCCAGAACTGTCCATTTTTGAGGGAGGCTGAGGTGGGAAGAGAATAGGTAGGGAATTGAGTACTGGTACCTCAAAATCTTCTGCATTAAGAGCCTCTGGTTTAGACTAATGTTGATCCACCCCTTGGGCTGGGAATGACCTGGGCCCAGACCTCCCTGAACATATGGTGAGATGGTCTGAATATTTATGTCCCTCCTAAAATTCATATGTTGAAATCCTAACCCCTAAGGGATAGTATTAGGAGGGTACAACCTTTAGGAGGTGATTAGGTCATGGAGGTGGAGCCCTCATGAATGGCATTAGTGCCCGTATAAAAGAGGCCTGAGAGGGACCTCTTCTGTCATTGAGGTTAGAGTAAGAAGATGGCTATCTCTGAATCAGGCAATGGTTTTTTACCAGAAACCAAATCTGCTGGTGCCTTAATCTTGGACTTAGCCTCCAGAACTGTAATAAATATATATATTTTTTTGTTTATAAGTCACCCAGTCTATGGTATTTTGTTATAATAGCCTGAACAGGCTAAAACACATGGCCTGTGGAGAAGGGTAGGTACCTGCAGAGAATATGAAATATGGAAGTTAGGAAGAAGGATGGCTGTGGGTAAGTCAGCAAGAGCACCTTCCACATGTTCCATAGCTCTGATCTCAACACAGACTTGAATTAATGCTTTTTTCCCCTCTTAACATTATGAAATATTTTCATGTTGTTACACAGTTTTATTTCATAATTATTGTCTTAATGTCCACGCAATAAATGGAATCACTTTTGAAGTTGAAATATGTGTAATTTTCACAAATATAAGAAATGTTCATGAAGAATATGAGGAGCTGGTGTTATATAAGCTTAAAATTACCATAGAAACATATTCTGCAAAGCTGTGTTAACAGAAGCATAGCGGACAAGTATGTGGATGATGTGTCAAACACCAGCAAACACAGATTTTGGAAGCTGTGCTGAGTGTTTTTCTACCTTCCCGGATGACAGTATGTAGATTATTCCAAGTAAAAAAGTCTGCAAAAAGTTTCTCTGCTGTACTCTATAATTAGTAGAATACTAGTTCTTTTAGGTATGAGCTGGAAATACCATGATTCATACTGGATAGCTAAATATTTGGAAGCTCAATGCCAGATATTTCCTAACTCTCTACTGACAATGATCACATAAAGTGAAAAGAAGACCAACTGACAAATCAAAAAATAGATACCTATTAGGCATCTCTAAGACATATATACAAGACAATATGCAAGGGGCTATGCAAGAAAAGAAAGAAGAGCAAAACAAGACATGATCCTTGCTCTCAAGGCCCTTATATTGTTGCTGGGAGATGAGTCAATATACATGAAAAGCTAAATAATTTAAGGAGCCAAACAGATAACTAATAAGAGACAATGGATTTATCAAATGGCTACTATCAATAATAAAATTAATAGATATTTAATGGAAGTCTTTGGGTTATGATTATGTGGTATAAAATCATAGAGGAGTGATTGCCGCAGGATTCTAAAAGATAGACAGCCTTTAGGTCTCCATAAGGAGGATTATGAGGCAGCTTAGAAAGTCTGGGGAAAAGCACATGAAGATGTATAGAGGCTTTTGATGGTGAAGGACTATCTCAGTCTGGTTTGATGAGTGAGAAGAAGTCCATTCCTACCGTGCTTCTGGTTAAAACATCTGGTATTTTTGCATGTTAAGTATCAGCTAGAAACTTGTATAAAGTGAGGTTGTAGATACAGGAATGGGCCAGATCATGGAGATGGTTGTGAGACATGTTATGGACTTTAGTTTTCCTGTGCCTCTGTTTCCCTATCTACAGGATAGGGATAATAATATGTAACTTGGCCAGGTGCGGTGGCTCACACCTGTAATCCGAGCACTTTGGGAGGCTGAGGTGGGCGGATCACAAGGTCAAGAGATCAAGACCATACTGGCCAACATGGTGGAACCCTGTCTCTACTAAAAACGCAAAAATTAGCTGGGCATGGTGGCATGTGCCTGTAATCCCAGCTACTCGGGAGGCTGAGACAGGATAATTGCTTGAACCTAGGAGGCAGAGGTTGCAGTGAGTCAAGATTGTGCCACTGCATTCCAGCCTGGTGACAGAGCAAGACTCTGTCTCAAAATAATAATAATAATAATAAGTAACTCAAAAAGGATTTTTTTTTAATGAGGACTCTATGAATTAATACAAGTGCACGGCACATAGTAACTGCTCAATCAAGGTTTTCTATTATAAGTAGTATTATTGTCTTAATAGCATGGGAAGCTCTTAAGTACCATTAAACAAAAGATATAAATATAAATTATTCAATTTGTTTTTTTTTTTTTTTTTTTGAGATGGAGTTTAGCTCTTTTTGCCCAGGCTGGAGTGCAATGGCACGATCTTGGCTCACTGCAACCTCGACCTCCGCCTCCCAGGTTCAAGTGATTCTCCTGCCTCAGCCTCCCCAGTAGCTGGGATTACGGGCATGCACCACCACACCCGGCTAATTTTGTATTTTTAGTAGAGATGGGGTTTCTCCATGTTGGTCAGGCTGGTCACAAACTCAATTTGTTTTTTTTTTTTTAATTCCTCTGGCTATAGTGCAGAGAATGGACTGATGGCAGAAGACGGGGGAGATGGGAGAATGAAATTAAGAGGAAACAGCAATAATCTGGGTGACAGAGAGTGGGGACTTGGCTTAGCCAGAGGAAATGCACTAGATTGGTAAGTGTCGTATTTGACTGTTTGGCTATTACTTCCAATTGTCAGACAAATAATTATTGAGCTCATATCATGTACCAGGCACTGTTCTCAATGCAAGAGAGGCAATGCTTTTTTATTTAATTTTTTTCCATTTAGAGCTTAGATTCCAGTAGGGAAGATAGATAAAATATATGCAAATTAATAAATGAGATAACTACCAATTGGGATAAGAGTTTTGCAGAGAGCAAATGAACAAACAAGAGGTGAGAAAAATAACAAGTCAGGATTTGGGGTGGGCTGGTTTTTCATGCTTCTTTTAGGAGAAATCACTCTAAAGTGGCATGGAACCTGAAAACTACAGAATGAGAAGCAGCAGCTGTCCAGGGGAAGAGTCAGGGGAAAAACCATCAGGCTTAGGGAATGGCACCCACAGGATGGAGCCAGTGTCACTGGAGCCCTGTGAGCAAGAGCCGGAGCAGAGTGAATGGCAGTGGGAGAGGTACACAGGACCCAAGTTTTGTAGAGTTGCCTGTCTTAAAAAGGAATTTGAATGACTTTAACTGCAATGGGGAGCCTTTGCAGTGTTTTAAGTAGGAGAGGGAGAAAGACTTATGCTTCCCAATGATGTTGTACAAAAAAGAGACTGACGAACCTAACTCTTAAACAAAATAATGAATGAAGACAAGTTGTAAAAAGAGGCATAAACAAAAATGCTCTGTCACTCAAAGGAAGGCATTGCAGGAAATTTGTCCATTTTAGATGGAGAAGCCTAGGCATATGGAATTACACTTGGCAATATATTTGAGCAACATGCAGAAGGACTTTTGATGTTAAAAGTAATAGTTACTATCTCTTTTAAAATCTATAACAATAGATTTTCTTTTCTTTTTTTTTAGTTAGGGTAGATGGTAGATATTTTCATCTGTTCCTAATTATTTTTTTTTAAAAGTCTTTCTTTACATTTTAGCTAATTTTAAGTTGTCTTTTCTGCCTTTAAATATTTCTTTTAGTATCATACATTTGAAAAACCCTTCTCAATAGGCAAATTGAGTAAAGTTAACTGAGCAGATAGCTGAATCTTAGAACCTCAGAGTCCTAGAGGTGTAACAACAGCTAGAGGTCATTCTGTCCAAATTTCTACCTCAGGTCAGAGTTCTTTTCCACAAAGTACTCTACCCCATGATGAACATCTTGTCTCTGCGCTGGTCCACTACTCTCTCACCTGAACTGACCTACAGTCAGGCAATATTAACTCTTCCTCCTTAAATTGAACCTTATATTGATTTGACACCTGCTTTGTTTAAATTATATACAGTGGTTCTAGTTTTACTTTCTGGATTAACAGAACATATCAACATCCTTTTCCTTTAAAATATTTCACAATAGTTGATGGAGTTCTTGCTGCCTTCTTATAAGTATTGCCCTTTACAGAGCAAACATTTACTTTTAATAAAAAGTCTTTGTCAGATTATCTAATCAATCTGGGCACTCTCTTTTACCTTAGTATTTTATGGTCCTCTGATCTCTGAAATTTAACAAAGTAGGTCAGGGTAACCAGACTTGCACTGTGGTGCATGTGCTCCTCTGGGTAACTAAAACTCCTAACTTTTATTTGAATTAAGGATTTTTTTTTTTTCTGGCCTGCATTTGTGTCTTGAATTTTTTGAATTAAAGTTTATGATTTTGCAATTATTTTTGCTTAAATTTTATTCCTGCACTTCTAGATATCATCCAAGTATTTTGAAAAAGAAAACCCCTTTGAATATTTATTCAGCCAGCCATTGGATTAAGTATATTCTATGTTTGTGTTCAAAAGGTATTTAGTGATCTTTATCATGCCATCCACAACACAAATAAAATAATATAGAATAGAACATAGTTCTAGAACACAACTCTTGGGACTTGCTAGTAGTTTGACATCAGTTTATTACTTTATACCCTAATGATAGTAAATTGCTTACCAAGTGCAAGTTACTTAAATAATTGCTTTGAATACATTATTTATTATGATAAAACAACCTTATAAAGATGGTGTTATATTATTGTTTCCTTTAATTGAAAAAAATTAAAGTTTAAAAACAAAGAAACCTGCTCAGGGTCACTTGCTGAAGAACTATGAAGCTAAGGTTACAACCTAGACAGTATGACAACACACCCCATGCTCTCAACCATGAAACAGTGTTCTATTTTAGCCATCTAATTATATTATCATCCTCATTTCAAAGACATCATTGAGTATTTTGTTCAATAATGGCCTAAAATCAATTTTCAAAATATTTAAGTTATATTCCTGGTTTACTAGTATTTTTCCTCAATTAAAAAAAGAGAAATTAATGTATAAGGGTAATATTAGAACTTTTTTACTTAAAGGATTTTGCCATTAATAAAATGTAAATACTTAGCAGTCCATTTTAGTCATGTACTGATCAATGTGAATGAGACTGGCTTTATTGGAAGAAGATAAAAAGTATTGTCATACTTTATGTTTCAGTCAGAAACACCAGTTAAGACATAATGTAAAATTTCATCCTTTAAATAACTTCTATTTATTCTCTAACTTGGCCACTTGAGTATGTGCATAAATACGTATATATATATATATATATATACACACACACACACACACACACATATATATGTATTTTTTTTGAGACAGAGTCTCGCTCTGTCACCCAGGCTGGAGTGCAGTGGCACAATCTCAGCTCATTGCAACCTCCGCCTTCTGGGTTCAAGTGACTCTCCTGCCTCAGCCTCCCGAGTAGCTGTGATTACAGGAGTGCCTCACCATGCCTGCCTAAGTTTTGTATTTTTTTTAGTAGATATGGGGTTTCACCATCTTGGCCAGGCTGGTCTTGAACTCCTGACCTCATGATTCACCCGCCTCGGCCTCCCAAAGTGCTGGGATTACAGGCATGAGCCACCGTGCCAGGCCAAAGATATAATTTTTTAAAAATTTCACAATATTTGAGGAAATTTTTTTTCTTAAAAAACAAAATAAAAAATGTTGGGAAATATTGCCAAATAAAAAGAAGAAAGAAATGAAAGCATCCATCATTTAGAGATAACCCCTCTTACCACAAATGTGTACATTCTAGATCTTTTTCTATGCTTTTCTTTTACTTTTTAAAAAATTAAAAAACTATTTTTAGAGAAATATTGGTTTACAGCAAAATTGAGCAGACAGTAGAGAGGGTTCCCATATACTCTGTTTTCATGCACATGCAGCCTCCCTCTCTACCAATATCCCTACCACATTGGTACATTTGTTGCAAGTGATGAACCTACATTGACACATTATTATAACCCAAAATCCATATTAAGGTTTATATTAGGGCTCATTCTGGTATTGCTCATATTTTGATTTTGAAAAATGTGAAATGATATGTAGCTACCATTGTGTATCATACAGAGTAGTTTCACTTCCCTAAAATCCTCTGTGCTCCACCTATTCATCTCCCCCACTGTGCCCCCCAGCAACCACTGATCTTTTTACTGTCTCTATATTTTTGCCTTTTCCAAGATATCATATAGGTAGAATCATAAAGTAGGCAGTCTTTTCACATTGGCTTATTTCCCTTAGTGAAATGCATTTAAAGTTCCTCCAAGTCTTTTCATGACTTGATAGCTCATCTTTTTAGCACTGAATAATATTCCATGTCTGGATGTACCACAGTTTATTTAACCATTTTACTGAAGTAAATCTTGGTTGCTTTCAAGTTTTGGCAATTATGAATAAAGCTGCTATAAACATTCACGTGTAGGTTTTTGTGCGAACATAAGTTTTTAATTCATTTGGGTAAATATCAGGGAGCCTGATTTCTGGATCATATGGTACAAACATGCTTACTTTTGTATTGAGGAACAAATATTAATTATAACTGAAACCAGATAGAGGTTTGAATTGCAAAGCTGGGTTTTTCACAGGCTGAATGGTACTCATCTACTCACTAGACTGACTTTTTCTGTTTTGTTCTCTTATAATTTTGGCTGGTATGTGGTACTGACTCCAGCACTAACTCAACACATAACCTTCCTATTCAGTATACATCATCCTCTGGTAGTCTCTGTACAAAATTAAGAAGGGAGCTGTCTGATTGGCTCAGCCTAGCCTTTAGGATTGATTGGTTTCCTCCAGCTTTGGTGTCCAATCAGCTAGGGTCACAGGACAGGACCAAAGTCTTAGACTTGCCCCTCAAGAGAAGCTGGAGGGATAGTGTTTGTGTGTGTGTGTGTGTGTGTGTGTGTGTGTGTGTGTGTGTGTGTGTGGTGATGGGGCTTGAGGGGTTGTTGGAGGATAATTTCACATCAGGAGGTTTAGCTGGGAGGCTATGTTAGCTGTGTCTAACTCAATTAGATCATATTGTTCCCAATTACTGGTTTCTCTGGTCTAATTATTAATAGTAGTACTGCCTTCTAATTTCACAGTTTTGACTGGGATTATCTGTGGGTATCAGGTACATGGTAGGAAGAAATTCTAAAAAATTCTAGAACCTTCTTTGTATGCTTGGGGGAAAGTAAGTTGGATAGTTTTTAGAAAGAAGAAAGAAAGAAAAACAAACTAGCCCTAAGTTATAGTCAGAAGGTTTATTATGTTTTGTTTCAGACTAAATAAAGACTTGTTCTTAAAAAAAAGAGCATGAAACAATTCAGATTTTTTTGAAGCTGACCATTTCCTTTTGTTAATTTACTTTAGTTAAATGCAAATGAACATAAAAGTAAATTTCTTGTTGGCCCAATTTACCTGTTAATTAAATTGCTCTTATTTTTCTATGTCCCTCCAATATTTGTGCAAGCCAGATATTTAATGACAATAGTTCTATCATATAAATTCAGTAGTTCTTCCTGAAAGGTAATTAACATGGAAATAATTGGCTTTTGTACTCATTTAACCAGAGTGCTTTCTTTTCTCAACTTTTCTTTCTCTGGTGTGCTTTTCCTTTAATACTTTTTAATAGATTCCAAGCAGCTCTAGCATTAAAATATATGTTTAGCTTTTTATGATTACTTTAAGTTTATTTAGCTTTAAATAGTAATCCTAGAAAAAAGAGAGAGAGAAAAAAGGAGTTTATGCTATAAACCATATTGATTCTGGTCACAGGCAACAAATGCTTGTCAAGACATGACTGAAGAAATTCACTAGAGATTGTTACAACTCTGCTGTTTTCAAAAGATAAATATTCAAATGGTAAACATGAATCCTTTCACCTTATTTGCTTATGTTTCTTTTATTGCATTCTTTAAATAAGTCATGGGGGACGATATGTAGTGATTGAGATGAAGATTGAATTAGAACTAAAGTATTAGAAATTTGGGAGATGGTTGTTTGATTTTTTTTACTCTATTCACTGATAGTATTTCAAAATCCTTTTAGGAAAAAAATCTATAAAGACAGCTCTGAAGATATGAATATTGTAAACAATAATTTTGACAATCTGCTTGATACCAGCCAAGTGATGAAAGGGATGAGAGTGTTCCAAAATGGAAGAATAAAAAGTTATGGGAAAAGTGTTAGCTTCCAAGCGTGATGAACCCTTCAGATAGACTCATCAGTTTATCAAATACCATGATAACACCCAATTCAATGTAATGGGGCTTTTTCCACAGTCTGGCTTACAGCCCATCACAGCTTTACTTTTTTTATGTTGACACAAAGAAATCTATTACACTAAAAACTTATATAATATAAATGAATGTGGGTTGCAAATTTCTGCTGCTCAGTCAGCAGACTACTATTAAATGGAGACATTGTTCTTTTGAAAAAGAGTCAGATATAGTAACTCCTAGTCTAGAGTACAATGAGAGATATTCTTAGGCATTTTGACATATTTGATAGATCCCTCCTCATTGGCCCTTCTTCTTCCAGGGCTGCAAATGTTCATATTCCAAGACAGAACCCCATCCTCAGACCCAAGTCCTCGGTGGTTGATTGCATTTGTGTCTTACAGGGTAGGCTCAAATTGTATCTCCTTCAGGATGTTTCCCTGAAGGAAACATTTTAGGACACCCCACACATTTATTATTTCCAGGTCTTCAAATTGCCACAGTAAATAGTAATCAATCAAGAGTTATCCTGTAGTTGTTTCATGTGGGTATACATACTGATCACCTTGTCAAGGACCGTATGTTCTAATAAGCAGTATTCTTTAAATATCACTCACTGAATGCTGAGAAAAGAAAGCTAGAAGTCACCTGACCTTTGATTATTTTTCATTTTACTGCTTAAGTTCAGTTAAACAAAAGTATTCAGAGATGGACTTAACATGAAGCAAATTAAGTTTATCTTTAGGGCACTTCTTTGCAGGGCCCTTTTCAAGGAATGGGAGTGGCCTCAGGATGTGTTCACATGGTCACATGATTTTGTAAAATTTGCAATAGTAGTCATTTCAGCCTTAATTAGTTAACACTGTTATCTCCTTCCATTTATATATACTTAGCCTCTGTCACACTTCCTCTTGGCTTAGTTGATGTGAAGTGGCTGCAGGCATTCTGGGATCCAGGAATGGAGAATTTGATTTCACTTGGGATCAGTGAGATATACATAGCTTGCAGTCATTTCTGACTATAGATTAGCTATGGCTAGCTGTCCTGAGGTAGCCATATGCCCACTACTCCTTGTGCTGAGTTACAAGGGGCAGGGTTAGAAGTTGTATGATAATGTCCTGTAGTATCTAGCTTTGAATTTATGTTGAGAGTGGAAGAGAAATAAAGTTTGAAATATATAGAACCAGAAGCTAGTCTGCTGGAAATTCTTTCAAGTATTAGCACTTCTATATGAAAAGCACACACAAATACACACATACAGATCACCAGCGCCACTACAGACAAAAACCTTAATGGAAATTTACCCAAATTTGATAGCATTCTTAATAAATTTGTATGACTTTACTGATGGTAAGCTGCAAAACAGATGAAATCTTTTCCAAACTATCAATTATCAAAGAATATGAAGCCACACACTGTAGCAACCGTCTCAAATAAGGGGGACCTGAATCTTAATTAGTGAGATAGCCACCCTCTTAAGAAAACAAAAATCAACAATTTTCTTTCCTTCCTTCTTTTCTTTTCTTTTTTCTTCTCTTCTCTTCTCTTTTTTTTTCTTTTCTTTTGACAGAGTCTCGCTCTGTCTCACGTTGGAGTGCAGTGGCGCGATCTCTGCTCACTGCAACCTCCGCTTCCCAGGTTCAAGCTATTCTCCTGCCTGAGCCGCCAGAGTAGCTGGGATTACAGGCGTGTGCCACCAAGCCCGGCTAATTTTTGTATTTTTATTTTATTTATTTATTTATTTTTTGAGACAGAGTTTCACTCTTGTTGCCCAGGCTGGAGTGCAATGGCTCGATCTCGGCTCACTGCAACCTCCACCTCCGGGGTTCAAGGGATTTTTCCTGCCTCAGCCTCCCAAGTAGCTGGGATTACAGGTGCCTTTCACCACAACTGGCAAATTTTTGTATTTTTAGTAGAGCTGGAGTTTCACCATGTTGGCCAGGCTGGTCTCAAACTCCTGACCTCAGGTGATCCACCCGTCTCGGCCTCCCAAAGTGCTGGGATTACAGGCGTGAGCTACCGTGCCCAGCCTGCATCTGTGCCTTGCCACCATCTGTAGTTTTTTGACTTTTTAATAATTGTCATTCTGACTGGTATTAGATGGTATTGCATTGTGGTTTTTATTTACATTTATCTGATGATTAGTGATGTGGAGCATCTTTTTTCATGTATCTATTGCCATTTGCATGTCTTCTTTAGAGAAATTATCTGTCATATTTTCTGCCCAATTTTTAATGGGGTTATTTGATTTTTGCTTGTGGAATTGTTTAAATTACTTATAGATTCTGGCTATTAGACTATTGTCAGATGTGTAGTTTGTGAATATTTTCTCCCATTATGTAGGTTGTCTGTTTCCTCTGTTGATAGCTTCTTTTGTTGTGCAGAAACTCTTTAGTTTAATTTGATCCTACTTGTCAATATTTGTTTTTATTGCAATTGCTTTTGAAGACTTACTTATAAATTCTTTCTCAGGGCCGACGTTCAGAATGGTGTTTCTCAGGGCCGATTTCCAGAATGGTGTTTCCTAGGTCTTCCTTAAGTTTCCTAGATTTTCCTTTATAGTTTGAGGTTTTACATTTAAATCTTTAATTCAACTTGAGTTAATTTTTGTTTGTGGTGAAAGGTAGAGGTCAATTTTTATTCTTTTGCATCTGTCTAGTCAGCTATCCAAGGATCATTTATGGAAGAGAGAGCCCTCTCCCTAATGCTTATTGTTGTTGACTTTGTCAAAGATCTAATGGCTATAGGTGTGTGTGTGGCTTCATTTCCGGGTTCTGTATTCTGTTCCATTGGTCTGTTGTGTCTGTTTTTATACAAGTACCATGCTATTTTGGTTAAAGTAGCCTTATTGTAGAGTTTGAAACAGGTAATGTGATGCCTCCAGCTGTGTTCCTTTGCTTAGGATTGCTTTGGTATTCAGGCTCTTTTTTTGTTTCGTATAAATATTAGAATAGTTTTTTCTAGTTCTGTGGAAAATGATACTGGTAATTTGGTAGGAATAGCATTGAATCTGTAGATTTCTTTGGGCCCTATTAAATAACCATTTTAACAATATTGATTCTTCCAACTAATGAGCACGGAATATTTTTCCATTTGTTTGCATCACCTATGATTTCTTTTAGCAGTGTTTTGTAATTTTCCTTTTAGAGATTTTTTCACCTCCTTGGTTAGCTGTATTTCTAGTTATTTTATTCTTATTGTGGTTATTATGAATGGGATTGCATTCTTGATTTGGCTCTCAGCTTGAATACTATTGATGTATAGAAATGCCACTAATTTTTGTACATCGATTTTGTATACTGAAACTTTACTGAAGTTGTTTATCAGTTCCAGATTTTTTTCAGAACTGATAAACTTTAGGTTTTTTTGATATAGGATTATATCATTCATGAAGAGAGATAGTTTGACTTTATTTCCTATTTGGATACTTTTTATTTCTTTCTCTTGCTTGATTGCTCTGGCTAGCACTTCCAGTACTGTGTTGAGTAGGAGTGCTGAGAGTTGGCACCCTTGTTTCATTCCAGTTCTCAAGGGGAATGCTTCCTGTTTTTGCCCACTCAGTATGATATTGTCTATGGGTTTGTCATAAATGGCTCTTATGATATTGAGGTATTTTCCACTGATGCCTTGTTCCTAGGATGTTTTTATCATGAAGGGAAGATGGATTTTATTGGAAGCTTTTTCTGCATCCATTGAGATGATAATATGGTTTTTGTTTTCAATTCTGTTTATGTGGTGAATTGCATTTATTCTTTTGTGTTTGTTGAACCAACCTTGTATCCCAGGAATGATGCTTACTTTATCATGGCAAATTAACTGTTTGATATCTTGTTGGATTTGGTTTGCAGTATTTTGTTGAGGATTTTTGTGCCTATGTTCATCAGGTATGTTGGCCTTTAGTTTTCTTTTTTCATTGTGTCTTTGCCGTGTTTTGGTATCAGGCTGATGTTGGCTTTGTAGAATGAGTTGGGAAAGAGACCCTCCTCCTTGTTTTTTTGGAATAGTTTTAGTAGAATTGGTACCAGCTCTTCTTTGTGCATCTTGTAGAATTTGGCTGTGAATCCATCTGGTCAGGGGCACTTTTTGATTGGTAGGTTTTTTGTTATTGCTTCAATTTCAGAACTTAATACTGATCTGTTCAGTGTTTCAATTTCTTCCTGATTCAATCTTGAGAAATTTTATGTTTCCAGGAATTTGTGCATGTCCTCTAGATTTTCTACTTTGTGTCAGTAGAGGTGTTTATAATAGTCTCTGAAGATCTTTTGTACTTCTGTGGGATTGGTTGTAATGTCACCTTTGTTGTTTCTGATTGTGCTTATTTGAATCTTCTCTCTGTTTTTCCTTTGTTGACCTAGCTAGCAGTCTATTAATCTTGTTCATTTTTTCAAAGAACGAGTTTTTGGGTTCATTGACTTTTTTTTTTTGAGATGGAGTCTCGCCCTGTTGCCCAGGCTGGAGTGCAGTGGCATGATCTCGGCTCACTGCAAGCTCCGCCTCCCGGGTTCATGCCATTCTCCTTCCTCAGCCTCCTGAGTAGCTGGGACTACAGGTGCATGCCACCATGCCTGGCTAAATTTTTGTATTTTTAGTAGAGATGGGGTTTCCGTGTTAGCCAGGATGGTCTCGATATCCTGACCTCGTGATCTGCCCGCCTCGGCCTCCCAAAGTGCTGGGATTACATGTGTGAGCCACCGTGCCCAGCCAGTTTCATTGATTTTTTATATGGACTTTTGGGTCTCAGTTTCATTCAGTTCTGCTTTGATTTTATTTATTTCTTTTCTTCTGCCAGCTTTGGGGTTAGTTTGTACTTTTTTTCCTAGTTACTCTAGGTGTGATGTTAGATTGTGAAATTGAGATCTTCCTAACTTTTTGAGGTAGGTGTTTAGCACTATAAACTTCTCTCTTAACACTGCTTTTGCTGTACCGAAGAGATTTTGGTATGCTGTGTCTGTGTTTTCACTTATCTCAAAGAATTTTTAAATATCTGCCTTAATTTCATTGTTTACCTAACAGCATTCTTGTAAGCCTCCTTGCTGCTCGCTGCATTTCCAGTTGCCTCCTCAGGTGTGTAAGCCTGAGCAGGTACTGTCTGTGCCAGATGATCTGGAAGCCAGCCCCATGGATCTGTACTTGAGTGCTGCTGTACTTCAGCCTACTGAGAGTTACCTCTAAATTTCAGTGATAACTGGGATACTGTGGGTGACAGTATGAAGCTCCCTCCTTCACCCTTTCTTTTTGGTCCTTTGCTAACCCTTGAAGATTACTCAAAGAAATTGCTGAAGGCCCAGCATTTGGGCCCATATCTTGGGCCAGATGTGGATGGTGGGAGATGGGTGCAGATACCAGGGATCTCAAAATTCTGAGGAAATCTCTGCACTAGTGCCTCAAAGTGGATTGCGTACTGAAAATGGGAAATCAGAACCCACTTCTATTAGTTGATAGTTTGTTTTGGGAATCATTCGACTTTGGTAGATTTACATTTCTCATTCTAGACCAATGACAAGTTCTGAAATTAAGGCAGGAATAAATAGCCCACCATAATTTCAGGTTATCCTATCTTTAAAATATCCTCCCATATATTGCTTTTCCAGCTATGATCTGTTTTTTCTGCTCCGCATTCCAGCATAATTTCCTATAACATAAATATTTGTTATTTCTACTTCCCTTTTTTCCCCTTTTCTACTCTAATTGAGCCTCTGTTTCCTTTATTCTATTATAACTACTTTTGTCCAGGTCACAGATTTTTTCCAACCAAAAAAAAAAAAAAACGAAAAACAAAAAAAAGCCCAGGACCAGAGAGATTCATAAGTGAATTCTACTAGAGGTACAAAGAGAAGCTGGTGCCATTTTTACTGAAACTATTCCAAAAAATTGAATAGGAGGGATTCCTCCTTAACTCATTCTATGAGGCCAGCATCATCCTTGTAATATTTTTGGACTGTGGTTGGCTGCAGGTAACTGAAATCACAGAAAATGAAACCATGAGTAAGGGAGACTGCTGTCTTCTAATATTTTTCAGGGATGACTAAGGAACACGTGAAGGTTTAACTAAAGCAGAGCTAAAAGATCACTGACCCATCCTTGGGGGCTAATGACTGGCCAAGAGACCATAATGTCAAACATTCAAGAGAGAGGAAAACCTCTTTTATGTAATTTGTTGGCTGTTGCTTTATAGTTCTGCTTTATATGTTGATAGCAGTTTCATAGAAGACTTTGAGAGGAATTTTCAAGTTTCACAAATGATTCCATTTTATGTTGGAAACATGAGGGATGAAGCAGATGAGTGAGTAATACAAACACAATAACACCAAAATTTCCTGTTTTCAGTCTCAATCTTGGCATAGATATGAGGTACAGCTATTCATCTTTGATTCTATCTATAGCAGTCCTCCTAAAAACTAACTATGGAAAGACACATTTTTCTGAAAAGTAGCAAAATAAGAATCAAAGACACACAATAAGAACAGCCTTATTTAGAATCAGGTAACAGTGAATCTTAAGTTATTCAGGGCTTAAAATATTACATGGGTCAGAGATGTGAGGGTTATACAAGAAAAATCAAAGCAGTAGTTTTGGCTTGATTGCCCTTGTAGTCTGTGGCTCAGTGGACTTCTAACCCTATTTAATCTTTTGAGGAGCTCACTGAGTTTTGTTTTTGTTTTCTTTTGACTTTTAACTTATCTGATTGCATGGCAGCATTTGTTAGATATAATATTTGAAAATAAAACAATAAGCCTCCAGGCTTCCTAACCTAAGGGGAAATTGCTTCCCCAGCTAAAGTTTTAAAACCTCCAACTAGCCTTCAGCCTGGGGTTCAATGTCAATTGCTGCCCATCATAACCTCCTGAGATGTTAGAAGCCTTTTCTCTTATTAGATATATGACTTTTACCTACAATCCTCTCCATGGCTTATTGAATAGCAAATTCTTTCCCCTCTAGGGCTCTGATTTTTAAAAAGGGCAACCAGGGAAAATTTCTTAGGGACAGATTGCATTGTACCCATTTGGGTTATCTTCAAGTACTTGTGGATCTCAGACATACTACTTCCTTTCACTGGTGGAGATATCCACAAGAAGCATGAAGTTTTGATTTGTTGCCTTCTCCACTCTGAGGAACAAAAAGCTTTATTGAAACTTTGGATTCCATGAAGGGGAATCCAATGAACCTTTGGGGCAAGGCCCGTTTAATAATGTGCTGCCTTGGCATGATTTCACCCCTTCCACATCTCCTGCTAGAATTTCTTTAGATACACTCAAAGAGAGAATACTCTCTTCACTTTTGAAAGTTGCCTTGCTAATCAATAATCAACCTGACGTACACCCATCTGTTTTTAGAAACCACTTTTCCCCATCAAATCCTTCCCCACTCCACTGTCTGTCTTCTCCTGTTGACAGTCCTGGAGACCCTTCCCTTGGCTGTCCCAGAGTGACTCTCATTCTGCCGAATTATTCCTGTACATCCATCTGTTACCATCAGCCGGTATCAGGCTGCCTATCTCATATGGCAAGAGATCTTTTCCTTGGGTTATTGTCTAGGTGGCAGCAAGCTGTTTGCTCTCCTTGCAAAGAAGTGTGGTGCTTTTGGATGCTGGGACTTGCTTTTAATGATTTTTTTAAAAAGCTTTATTCTCCATACCTTGGGTAGAATTAATCATTCTGGGGGGCCTGATAGGGGCCCATCTGGAGCTACTCAGCTGTAGAAGGATTACAGCCCATAGGACATGCTTTGAACGATGGCAGTATTAATTTAAGTGGGAAAATTCTTAGCTAATTCATGAACAGAATTTGGTGGGATGGGATTGAGTGGTAGTTTCTAATAATGAAGATTGAACATTTCAGTGAATAATCTCTATTGAATTAATTACAGCTGTTCATATTTGGGTTTCCTCCAGTCTCTTCCTAACATGCTTTAAGTGCATCATCAAAGTGAAATGGCATAAAGATTGAAATTCGTTTAGTGAATTTCTTTGTATAACAAAACAGCTTGTATATTTCACACCATTTTGTAGGCAGCAGCATTGCATGGTAAGAAACACAAAGGGACCACGCACGATGGCTCACGCCTGTAATCCCAGCACTTTGGGAGGCCGAGGTGGGTGGATCACCTGAGGTCAGGAGTTCGAGACTAGCCTGGCCAACATGGTGAAACCCTGTCTCTACTAAAAATACAAAAAATTAGCCAGGCGTGGTGACAAGCACCTGTAATCCCAGCTACTTGGGAGGCTGAGGCAGGAAAATCACTTGAACCCAGGAGGTGGAGGTTGCAGTGACAGGAGAATCGCTTGAACCCAGGAGGTGGAGGTTGCAGTATGCCAAGATCATGCCATTGCACTCCAGACTGGGCAAGAAGAGTGAGACTCCGTCTCAAAAAAAAAAAAGGAAAAAAAGAAAAACAAATACACAAAGGAAGAATTTCTCACATGCTGTTATAAAATTTAGATTATCATTTCTACTTAAAGCTGTCATTTTGATGAGAAGATAGACTATTCCAGGATGTAGCTGAATGCCTTACCATCACCCCAAGACACAGTCAGGAGATAATGGTTCAGTAAATGACATAACCAGTGGAGATATTTTCTGAGGGAATGTGAGAATTCCCCATGTAGGTACTTCAGGGAGATAGCTAACTCAGTTTTAGTGTTTTTCTTCTGTGACAGGTCACACTGTACAGCAGTCTAAAATAGCATGGATTTAGAACCAGCATGCCATGTCATAGATTCTCATCAAATGTACTCTTTAGTTTTTTTAAAAGCAGCATCCCCAAAGACTAAAAGTTCTTGGAGAAGCTCAAGAGTCATATGTTTCTATGTACCACAGAAAGAAAGCGGTACAACCCAGGATGGATTAAGACGTATAAATAATAATAAGAAGCTATTACCAAATTACCAATATGCATTTTGTTTACTTTGTGACTCACTTCAACCTTAAGATTGTTAACATTGCTTCATGAGCTGTAGATTTCTCATATGGAAAGTGTCATTTTGTAATTTAAAGTAATAATGCTTGAATAGCTGTCAGTCAAGAAGACAACTTGCTTGACACTTGGCCAAGTGTTGCACAGTTTTAATAGCCACCTACATAAAACATTTGGAAAATTGAATATTTTAAAAATTTATTATGAGTGAATAGAAATACCTGCTCTTCTGTCATGCTTCATTTGTGAGCAATGCCATGGCTTTATTTGGGCATATTTCACAGGGTGTGTACTCTCAGAGTTTCCAGTTGCATCTACATTCCTGGTCACTGTCTTACAGGGGGTTTGGGGGAGTAGTTTAGGAGGAGAAGGGGAAGACTGGAGGAGACAGAGGAGGTGCTTCTCATAGCTCACCTCATCTCTTCTTTAGTAGCAATGTGGTGCAATGGCCTAAGCCTGGGCTTTGAAGTGACACAAGCCTGGTCTCAAGCTCTTTTCCTGCCAATCACTAGCTGTATATCCTTGGAAATGTTGTTTAATGTCCTGAGCCTCAGAATACTACTACTGCTCCTGAGGAATGCTTAAGGCATAGTTACGAGAGTTAAATGAGATAGCATATGGCAGGTGCCTAGCACAACTTCTAGCATGTGGTAGCCTACCAATAAATGCTAGTTTTACTTTCCCACTCCCCTTTATAACTTCCTTGAGACAGCTTTTTCCTTTGCTTCCTGATCTAGGAGAAGACTCTAAGCATGACTAGCTTAGCATAAAATTGTAGTATTTTAGTTCTTCATCTACTTCATTAAAATTACTCCTGAGTTTAAATTGCTAAATCCAATGGACACATGTCAGTCTTTATCTTATTTAATCATTGTAACATTTAACTTTGAGAATTAAAAAAAAAATCCCCTACTGTTAGAAAATGTCTGCCTCTTCTATAGTCATGGTAACAGCCACTAGAATAGGTTTTAAACTTTTAAATAAATCAATACTTTAAGCAGTAAATTCAATTTTGGTTTAGTTTCATATTTTTTTCTGGCAGTTTTAACTTTTGACAATTTTACGTGTAAGGCTAAGGCTCAGCCAGGATAAACTGGTTCAGATGTTCTGGCTGCTTAGACCTGGTGCTTATTATTTATTTGTTTTTATACCTCTCTCAGTATTTCTTCTCAGTCTTTGCTTGCTCCTTATTCTACTTTTGCCTTCTTAAATCTTGACGTTCTTTAGGCTTTTGTCTGTGGCTCCTCTAGTTCCTCACACTCTCTTGATGACCTCTTCCACTTTAGCAGGTTTAGCTGTGACCTTAATGAGTCCCAAATTGATATCTCTAGATAGAAATGTTTTTACTTACTTACAGGTTTGTTTGCCCACTAGATACTTAAACAGGATGTTGCGCAGGTACTTCAGACGTGACATTTCTCACAATGAAATTCATATTCACACTCAAATCTGCTACTTTTATGTCCTGTGGCCCAGTAATCCAAGCCAAAACCTAATTGCCTGTCCCACACCATTCCTACAGCAAAGTTAAATGATTTTGTTTTCTTCTGCGTGTTTATGTATTTCCCTTCTGTTTTCAGGTCCCATTCCATCTTTTGCTTGAATTATTGCAACAACTCCGTAAATAATTTCTGTAACTCTAGTCTTGTTCCTTTTCAAAACCCCACTCTGGTCAGAGTAATATACATAATACTGTATCAATTTTGAATGCTGTGCTCACCTGCAAATAAAAGGAAACTCAACTAGTTGTGATTTAAGTAATAAAACATAATTTGCATCACATAGGAGGATTTGTCTGGAGATATCAGTCCAGAGCTGGTACAGTGTTTCTGTGATACCATAAAGAAGTGGCTGTTTGTTTACTTCTGCTTCACTGTTGGATTTTTGCCCTCGTGCTTGGTGCTTCATGGTAGCAAGATGGCAGCAGCTACAATGCCATGTAGCATGTCTTACTTCAAAGGCTTCATACCTAAAAGCCTTGTGAAATTCTGTTCTTTTTTCTAGGGAGACAAAGCTTTCAAGAGGGGGTTCCCAACAGATTTCCCCTGTTAAATCAAGTTTAGCCTAAAGCTGCCTCCTTAGCATATTTAAGTTCAGCCTGAAGGTTTTTCTGTACATTGTGAATAATAACAAGTAGAGGTGTAAACAGATCGTAGACTACATTTGTGCCAATCACTGAGTTTTGGCCAAGCAAATGTAGCCAACTGTTCAAACAATGTTCGTGTAACACAAATGCTGAGCTGTAACCAATCCAGCTATTTCTGTACATCACCTCCATTTTCTATACATTGCTTTCCTTTTTCTGTCCATAAATCTTCTTCTGCCACGTGGCTGTGCTGGAGTCTCTGAGCCTGCTTTGGCTCAGAAGGCTGCTCGTTCATTGCTCAATTAGACTCCTTTAAATTTAATTTGGCTGAAGTTTTTCTTTTATCACCCCTTATAGTTCATTGGCCAGAATTGGGTCAAAAAGCACTCTTAGCTGTAAGGTCTGTTAGTAAGTGAATGTCTCATTTTTTCAGCCTCCATTGTTGGAGGTGGGCAAGGAGGAAAGAGGGTGGGAATTGATGTTGAGTTGGCTAACTAGCAGTGTCCAACTCAAACTTATAAACTAAAACTGCTAAAACGACTTCCTGTTGTCCATAGAACATCATCCAAATTTCTTAGCATGGCATATAGGCCCCTTCATCAACTGGCCTCTCTTATATTTCCTATTATTTTTCTTTCACCTACTCTCCACTTTTGCAGAGCAGAAGGGAGGAGAATCTGAGAGATGAACCATATTACTTAGTGACAAAGCATTTAGCTAAAGGAATTGTTTAAATTGTTGCACTGAATAGGGCTTAAATTAATGTTTCTTTGTACTATCCATTGTGTAGACATATGTAAGGAAGATTAATAGAGAGAAAGATTATATAGAGAAAGAAGTTACGTTTTCTTTGCACCTCTGAGTGCAGTGTAAATTTAGTATTTCACTAGAAAGAACATCAAAGGACATTAGGGAGGTTTGGATAATTAGAATAATTTGAGAAATTGCCTAATAAAATAGCTGATATCTTTTCAATTTAACATCTCAGTGAAGAATGTTTAAAAATTTCTTCCAAAGACAAATAATTATGTTTTTAACAGATTTGTCAATCAAAGTTTTGCCCCTAGGGAAACATATCTACCCATAGTCACCTTAATGTTTCTATAGTTTGTTTTTCATAACCATAGATGAGTTAATTAGATAGGTAACCATTGGCAGGTCAGAGATATGACACGCAGCTGTGATTGTAGTGGCAGCAAACCACCTTTGGGTTCAATGTCCCTGCCTTTTTTTCAGTATAAAAGTTTTGCTAATCTTTAGTACCAACACCATTCTTTGATAAATGACCCAATATCTTATTACTTAAACATTACAGCAATGATGTTGCAGGGTATATCCTGTTCATCGATGACCTGCTGTGTTGGTAGAATTGGGCACTCTTCTCTGTGGAAGAATGTCCTTTGATGTGCAGCCTTATTGAATTCCTTTTTCAGTTGGCCCAGTCCTTTGATAACTCTATGCAAGTTTAAACTTCCACGTAATTATGGACTCTTTGCAATTTATTTCCACATTGATCTCTCAACCTGAACTGAATTTTCTAGTTTTCTATTACAATATCCATTAAAACTTAAATTGAACTGTTTGTTTTTACAATTTTATAATTGAGTTACTTTTATTTCAAATTGTACTAAGTAATAAATGTATATTAATATATTATTAACAAAATGATTCAGCTTCAAAGAAGGTCAAGTGCTGCATATATAGTATCTAATAATAAAAACTGGTTTTCTTTTTTTTTTTTTTTACAATAAAAGTTCTCTTTGTGTCCTGAATATGTTTTATGTATAAACTAGAGGATATTGGTCATTGTATTAGTTTGTTCTCATGCAGCTATGAATACCCGAGAATGGGTAATTTAAAAAGGAAGTAGGTTGAATTGACTCACAGTTCTGCACGGCTTCAGAGGCCTCAGGACACTTACAATCATGGCAGAAGGCACCTCTTCACAGGGTGGCAGGAGAAAGAATGAGTGCCAAGTGAAGGGAGAAGCCCCTTATAAAACCTTCAGATCTTATGAGAACTCACTATCACAAGAACAACATGAGGTTAACCGCCCCCATGATTCAATTACCCCTCACTGGGTCCCTCCCATGACATGTGGGAATTATGGGAACTCCAATTCAAGATGAGCTTTGGGTAGGGACACAGCCAAACCACATCATTCTCCCCCTGGCCCCTCCCAAATCTCATGTCCTCACATTTCAAAATGCAATCATGCACTTTTAACAGTCCCACAAAATCTTAACTCATTCCAGCATTAACTCAAAAGTCCAAGTCCAAAGTCTCATCTGAGACAAGGCAAGTCCCTTTCACCTATGAGCCTGTAAAATCAAAAGCAAGTTAGTTACTTCCTAGATACAATGGGGGTACTGGCACTCATTAAATAGACCCATTCCAAATGGGAGAAGTTGGCCAAAATGAAGGGGCTATAGGTCCCATGCAAGTATGAAAGCCAATAGGGCAGTCATTAAATCTTAAAGTTTCAAAATGTTTTATTTTACTCCCTGTCTAATATCCAGGTCATGCTGATGCAAGAGGTGGGCTCCCACAGCCTTGAGCAGCTCCAAACCTGTGGCTTTGAAAGGTACAGCCCCTTGCCTGGCTTCTTCATGGGCTGGCATTGACTGCCTGTGGCCTTTCCAGGTGCATGGTGCAAGCTGTTGGTGGATCTACCATTCTGGGGTCTGGAGGATGGTGGTTCTCTTCTCACAGCTCCACTAGTCAGTGCCCCAGTGGGGACTCTGTGTGGGTGTTCTGACCCTACATTTCCCTTCCACAGTGCCCTAGCAGAAGTTCTCCATGAGGGCTCCACCCCTGTAGCAAACTTCTGCCTGGATATCCAGGTGTTTCCATACACCCACTGAAATCTAGGCAGAGGTTCTCAAACCTCAATTCTTGACTTCTGTGTACCCACAGGCTCTACACCACATGGAAGCTACCAAGGCTTGGGGCTTGCACCCTCTGAAGCCATGGCCTGAGCTGTACCTTGGCCCCTTTTAGCCATGGCTGGAGCAGCCAAGATGCAGGGCACCAAGTCCTGAGGCTGCACACAGCATGTGGGGGGCCTTGTACCTGGCCCAGTGATATGGTTTGGCTGTGTCCCCACCTAAATCTCACCTTGAATTGTAATAATCCCCACGTGTTAAGGGTGGGGCCAGGTGAAGATAATTGAATCATGGGAGTGGTTTTCCCCATTCTGTTCTCATGGTAGTGAATAAATCTCATGAGATCTGATGGTTTTATAGCTGGGAGTTCCCCTGCACAAGGTTTCATTCCCCTGCACAAGCTTTCTTGCCTGCTGCCATGTGAGATGTGCCTTTGTTCCTCCTTTGCCTTCTGCCATCATTGTGAGGCCTCCCATCCCTGTGGAACTATGAGTCCATTAGGCTTGTTTTTCTTTATAAATTACCCAATCTTGAGTATGTCTTTATTAGCAGTGTGAGAACAGGCTAATACACCTAGGAAACCATTTTCTCTCCTAGGCTTCCAGCCCTATGATGGGAGGAGCTTCCATGAAAGTCTTTGATATGCTCTGGAGACATTTTCCCCATTGTCTTGGTGATTAACATTTGGCTCCTCATTACTTATGCAAAATTCTGCAGCAGGCTTGAATTTCTTCCCAGAAAATGGGGTTTTCTTTCCTATCACATCATCAGGCTGCAAATTTTCCAAACTTTTATGCTCGGCTTTCTCTTGAATGCTTTGGTGCTTAGAAATTTCTTCTGCCAGATACGCTAAATCATCTTTCTCAAGTTCAAAGTTCCACAGATCTCTAGGGCAAGGGCAAAATGCCATCTATCTCTTTGCACAGCAAGAGTGACTGTTACTCCAGTTCCTCAAAAATTTCTCATCTCCATCTGAGACCATCTCAGCTTGGACTTTATTGTCCATATCACTATCAGCATTTTGGTCAAAGTCATTCAACAAGTCTCTGGGAAATTCCAAACTTTTCCACATCTTCCTGTCTTCTGAGCCCTCCAAGTCTCTGGGAAGTTCCAAACTTTCCCATATTTTCCTGCCTTCTGAGCCCTCCAAATTGTTGCAACCTTTGCTTTTTACCCAGTTCCAAAGTTGCTTCCACCTTTTTGGGTAACCTTAGAGCAGCACCCCACTGCCACTACCAATTTACTGTATCTGTCTGTTCTCATGCTGCTATAAAGAAATATCTGAGACTGCATAATTTATAAAGAAAAGAGGTTTAATTGACTCACAGTTCTCCATGGCTGGAGAGGCCTCAAGAAACTCACAGTCATGGTGGAGGGCACTTCTTTACAGGGCGCCAGGAGAGAGAATGAATGCCAAATGAAGGTGGAACCCCCTTATAAAACTATTAGATGTTGAGAGAACTCACTCACTATCACAAGAACAGCATGAGGGTAATCACCCTATGATTGAAGTATCTCCCATTGGGCCCCCTACCATGACACGTAGGGATTATGGGAGCTACAATTCAAGATGAGATTTGGGTGGGAACACAGCCAAACCATATCAGCCATGAAGCAAAGTTCTAAGCTAGTGTTGCCTAGGGATGTTTAATGGTATTATACAGAAGTATAAAGCATTATGCAAGTGGGAATCTGCTTTTCAGTTTGACTGTAAGCTAGAGACTTCACTCATCAAACAGGCTTTACATTTTCTATTCCACTGTCAATGCAATGAAAAACTGATTCCACAAAGGGAAAGCAGCTGCCAAGGAGACTCAGAAACAGAATGTGCTTTTAAAGAGACAGAGCAACAACATTACAAAACCACTGTTGGAGTTAACAAAAAAAAAGCAAGGATTCTGCATGATCAGAAATGCATGAGCTCCCAGCTCAGATGGTGAGGAACACAGTAAAGAAGACTCATTTGAGGGCAGACCTTGTGTTCTAAACATTGTTTAGAGCTCATCCCCAGATCATTGATGAAGAGGAAACAAAGAAGAGTATCAGAATCCTAGACATATCCCATTGAGTTGGTGTAAAACTGTAGGTATTGTGGCTAAACATTTTTTCAAACTCATCCCCAGATTATTGGAGAGGAGGAAAAAAAAGAGTATCAGAATCCTAGATACATCCCATTGAGTTAGTGTGAAAACGTAGGTATTGTAACCTGGATACATTTTCCATTCAAGAATGTAGGCTTAATCATTTAAAAATATTTTGAAAAGACATGAAATAAGATGAAAAAAGTACAATATTATAAACACTTGTATTCTGATCACTAGAATCAATCAAGTCATTTTCAATAAATTCTTCTATCCTTGTCAAAAGCCTCATAAATCAGAAACTTTTGGGAATTGTTGCTTACAGAAATTTGGATGCTACCTGTTACTATGGATGAGATTCTATAACTTAGAATGGGCAAAACAGGTAAACAGCCTTCTCTTACAGAATGATGCCTTGATCTAACAAAATTTATTTATTTCCAGTTATGATTTTTTTAATGGCGCTCAGGAGTTAGGAAGTAAAAAAAAAAATCATGAATTCTATCTTATGTGTTGTACAGTAGGAAAAAGTCTCAAAACTTTAAGGCAGGCATTTAAGAACAGTGAGGCCCCCGAAAGCCAGCAGAAGCCTGAGCATGAGTCTTGTCTTCTACCTCTCCCTAAAGAGTCCAGGACTCATTGCCACTTTGAACATCAAGAAGATGTGGTTGTTAAAATAGTTCCATAATGCCCTTCTATAAATTCAAAGCAAGCAAACAAATAAATATAAAGCTTCAGTTGCTTGTCCTTCATTTTTTTCCCCTTTGGACCACAGGTTGGATTGTGTATTCCTTCCACTGTTCTTGACATACTGTTCTTCTCTCATGGTGGTGGGTGATAATTTTGGGAGGCTAATGAGAACATTAGCTTGATGTAGTTAGCAGAGCTAAAGTCCAAGCTAGTATCCTCACTGAGAGGGATGAAACACAAATGGATAATTGTGATGGTAAATTTTTCAAAGGGACTGTAATGAGCAGGGGACAGTTTTGGTCATGTGTTCTCAGCTTTGTTTGGGAACAGCCATCTCATCTGTTTTATAACAATAAAACCATTGGCTTGGGCATCACCTATTGTGGTAAATTCCTGAAAATGTGCAAAGGCCTGCATTCCATATGTTTCAAAATAAAAGGCATGGGCACGTAAATGATGGTGATTTTTTTCCTTCTTCAGGAAATACCTTTGATGAATAAGACTGCATCAGCATGCTGTGCTTCTGTGGAGTGGATAATGAGGCATTTGTGATGCAGTGTTGGGGTCTGCTTTCACACTGGCATTCACAATCCAAGCAAAATTATTTGACTGAAAAGTAACAGACAATACATAAGGGGGATTCACTTCTTATTTTTTCTTGTATTACTTTTTCAAACCCAATCAAACATGGAGAATATTTTAGATCCTGAAACCAGCATATTTAATGGCAATAAAACAAATAATTAAAAAAAAAACCAACAATGATTTGTTTGGTGTCTGCTTGGTATTGAACACCATGTAAGTGTATATAAGATAAAGGGGAATTTAAGTGTCAGATTCCCTGCTACCCCTCAGACTCAGCACTTACACTCCAGATGGAGAAATAAGATACATATGAAAAAACTAATTTTTTAAAAGAGACAAAGTCTTTGTCACCCAGGCTGGAGTGCAGTGGTGCCATAATAGCTTGCTGCAGGCTCAAACTCCTGGGCTCAAGTGATCTCTCACCTCAGCCTCCTGAATAGCTAGGACTACACGCACATGCCACCATACCTACCTATGAGAAAACTTTAGGAGAGAAGAAATTCGAGCTGAGTGTACAAAACAAAAGGCATGTTTCTAAGAAAGGAAAACTAAAGTTTGAAGTGATTAGTAGAACAAAAACAGGTTTATCCCAAGTTCTAGTAGAATTTAAGTAGAGATAAATACATCAGGCTGTATTCGGATTTTATTGTGGCATTGAGGAGTCATTGAAGTTTATGTGTCATAAAATCACTGCTTTAGACACTGTTATAATAGTTTTTGTGTGAAGTAACTAAGGATTGGAAACCTACAAAGTGGTGGTGTAGATAAAGAAGGAGGATGAGCTGGAGAGAAACTGGGACTGGGGATAAAGAATGGTGTGACCTTGGTGAACACTCTGATGACAAGAGAGAGAAGAAGAACTAAAGAGGTGATGCCTTGTTATTCCTGGAGAGCCTGGAGGACCTAGAAAGCAATGACTGCATACACATCAAGGCTGCTCTATCATAAGTGGGGCTGGCTGGAAGTTCAGAGAAGAGTATGCTATGGTAATGGGCTTCTGAGGCAGAAAGACATAGTGAAGTGTCATCCTCACAGAAGTAGAGAGCAAAACAAAATCTAACAGAAACAGTCTAGAAAAAGTAAAATTTGAATTTAGAAACAAATTACATTTTAGTTGAAAGCAGCAGGATTTTCCCTCATCTCAATATGCAATTAAAAGTGGAAAACATTTTTTTTTCGTTGCAAATAAAAGCAATCTGGAATTTGATATGTATGAAATTAAGAGGAAATTATGTATGCTGGTTTGAATCTGTGAAGTGACATAAAAGTGTCTATAATTCTTATGAATCAAGTAATCATGTTTTGGGAAGGTGAAGGGTGTATGATAAACAGATATGTGCTGCATCTCTGAATTCAGATAAAACAGATATGATTTTCTATCACCATTGTCATCTGATGGCCATTATTACAATGGATCAAGTACCTAATTACACATGACATTTTTAGGCCCTATTAAAAATGATTTATCAAAAAGCGTCTGTGTTCTGAGATCTAAAGCATAATCTCATGACCTTAAGTTCATTTAGGACTTGATAATTTGGAATCAAATACAATCCACTTTATCAAGTGTTTTCTGAGCATATACATGACACTGCTAGGGTTGTGGGAAGCCTGCAAAGATAAGTTAGACACCGCTGTCCTCTAGGAGGAAGGAAGCAGCACATGTTCACTAAATGCCTATTTGTCCTGTGCCAGGCACTGTGCTCAGCTCCATGCTGGGTCTTCATTTTATGTGTTGTCTTATAATCTAGTTGGGAAAGCAGGTGCATATCCCAATGACTCTAATACCAGCTAAGCTCTGATAAGTAAAATACTAGATCTGGGGAAACTCCTCGCACCAGGTGAAATCTAAGCTGAACTTTGACAGATGGGCAGAATAATCATGTTTTTTTTCAATATTTGGATTTTTTACTTTGTAACCCTTGAATGTTCAATATACCATCATGGATATAAATACAGCATAATGGACAGTATAATTTAGCCAAAACAATTGAGAATATTTCAGCACGAAGCAGAAATACTGACCTTAACCATACCTGAATCATATGTGCAATTTAAATCAATAATAAATATCCAGTATGACTATAAATAAAATGTTAATAATAAATGATTTCCTATTAAATACCAGTCAGCTTTTATATATCTATTTCTCACATAAATAGGTTGGTTTTGGCAATTCTTCTAAAAGACATTGATTCCAGGTTTTTACAATTAAAAATAATAGTGAAATAAACATTCTTTACACATCTCCTTGCATACACACATCAAGAATTCTTCTAGAAGATCACATCCAGAGACTAGGTTAGTGTGTAAGCAAATATTTTTTGAGTACCTTCTCTGGTCCAGGGCTTAGGGAAAAGGAAAGTGTCTTGCTTTCATGGAGCTTATAATCTACTAAAGGATCTAAGAATGACAAAAGAAAATGAAGATATTATTTTATTCTTTCCTTTGCCACCTCTTATATTTTTGCAAATTGATGCTATAAAACCGTATTTTTAATAGGCCCACCCAAGTGCACTGAAAACTATTAAGGCAAACTACTTATCTCGTTATATGGAACCAAGAAGGCAAAATTGTTTGCTGTAACAAGTTTTAGTCTTTTGATATCAGATAGTGGCAATGTCACTGTGAAGTTCTTTTATTTAGTTTCTCAGTTCTAAATAAATGACTGAATCCATTGCATCTTGGCTAAAATACTTCAAAAGAATTCATGTGTAGATACAGAAAAACGCTGGATTTTTCAGTATTGAATATGTTTAGAAAAGATTCTTTGAATTTGGGTTGACTGTCTATGGTTGGTGAGTGTGGGATGAGGCATGAGACCCCAAAGCACAAGCTCAGGTGCCAGTGGCTGTTCTTTATCCCCCTTCTATAAGAGTAGATGTCAAGGGTGGTTCTCAGAGAAGGGAAGGCAGACTCCTGGGTTAGGCAGACCCTTGTTTATGCAGAACTTTTGTTGGATATGAATCTTGAAATGAATAGGATATGTACGGCTGAGGGAGGGCTGGCTCTCTCCGCATATCAGAGACATGGTTGTTCTTCTCTGGAGAGAGCAGGCATCTCTCTACTATGTAGTCACCTGAAGGAGGGTATGTCAGAGGCCAGACCATGATCAGTAAGGATTCATTTTTATATGTTGCTATATTTAATTCTTCCTTTTCCCATAAATTCTTTTTTATTGTGAAAAAATCAAACCTAAGAAAAAATGTTTAGATCTTCTGACTAGATTTAACAACTGTTAATATATTGCCACATTTGCTTTCTCTATCTTTGTCTTTCTCAGCATCCACTGGGCTGTGTTTTTAAAAGAGGCAGAGTTACTGTATTGTATTTGTATATATATATATGTGCATGTGTGTATCTCATATGTTCTGTTTCTCTAGAGAATCCTGATTAATATATGTGTGGGTATACATATGTGTATGTATACATAGATATAGATACATAATATTGAGAGAGAGAGATTTTAAGGAATTGGCTTATATGATTATGGAGGTTGGCAAGTTCAAAATCTTCAGGGTAGGCAGGCTGGCTGGAGATCCAGGGAAGAGTTGAGATGTTGAAGCCCAAGGCAGTCTTCTGGCAGAATTCCTCCTTCTCCTGGGGTTGTCAGACTTTTTCTATTAAGGCCTTCACCTGACTGAATGAAGCCTGCATACATTATGGAGGGTAATCTGCTTTACTCAAAGTCTACTGATTTAGATGTTAACCTCATCTAAAAAAACAACATAAAAACATCTGGACTAGTGGTCTAAGCCAAGTGACACAAAAATTAACCATCACATGCATCAAAAAGGCAAGGTGGGAGAGGTCTCTCTTTCTCCCTCCTCACATTCCCCCTCTGCCTTTTTGTTTGTCTTCCTTGTGCTCAAACGCAGTGACTTTTAGCGTCTTATACTCCATTTGGCCAACCTCCTTGAACAACTTCTTCAAAGGAAGGGGACTTTTCATTCTGGACTTATCCTTCCGTGATTGGGTGACCACTTCAGGGATATGAGATGCCCAAGGCGTGGGTTCTAGTAGGGAGCTAATAGGCCTCCATTTGTCTTTGTTTTATAGGGTAAACCTTAGAATAGAAATTTACTAAGGACCTCTGTGCTTTAGGAGTTATGAGATAAAACTGCTATTTTTTTTTTTCCTATTTAGCTCCTCTGTCTATTCCCTATTAGCTAGAACTTGGGGATATATAGAAAAAGGCTGATTAATTTAAACTTAATTCCACAAAGGTGTGGATTTCAACTAATCATTGCTGTGAAGAATCTGATGCTCACATTTTTATCTTTTCTAAATTTTCTATAAAATATATTTCTTTAATAATCACAAGATTTAAAAAATCCCCAAACTTAATTTTGTGTTGGTGTAGAAAACCTGATGTTTTAGTTTTTTATTGTTGCCATAACAAATTACTGCAAGCTTAGTGGCTTAAAAACAATATAAATTAATTATCTCACATTTCTGTAGGTCAGAGAGGTCTAAATTGGCTTGGATAATTTCTCAGCTCCTGGTTTTACAAGGCTGAAATTAAGGTGTAGGCAGGCCTGCATTCCTTTCAAGCCTCAGGGATGAATCTGGCCTAAGCTCACTCAAGTTGTTGACTGAATTTGGGTCCTTGTGGTTGTAGACCAAGAGGTTCCTGATTCCTCAATAGCTGTTGGCCAGAAGTTGTTCTCAGCTGTTAGAAGTCGCCTTCATGTATTCCTTGTCTTGTTACCTCCACCTCTATCTTCAAAGCTAGTAAAATTGGGTCAAGTCATTGTTAGGCTTTGAGTTTCTCTTACGTTCCTTCCTGCCTCATCTCTCTGATGGTCTCTTTTGCCTTCATTTTTGGCTTTTAAGAGCTCATGTAATTACATTAGGCCTATCCAGAGAATCCAGAATAACCTCTTTATTTTAAGGTCAGCTGATTAGCATCCTTAATTCCATCTAGATTAGTGTTTGATTGACTAACCAGGGAGAAGACTCTTGGGAAAACTTCATTAGAATGCTGCCTAACACACTGGAGTCCCAGCACTTCTTTCTTGATGGAACCCGAAGAGTTCTGTTCCTGAATGAATTTGCCGAAGCTTACCCTAGCAATTGCTAGGTAAGCAATTGCTATTAGGGTAAGCTTTTGCCAATGTAGCAATTACAAAGTAGTAGTTTCAGGCAAGTATCTAGAAAGCTCAAAGAGTTTTGCTCCTTAAGTTTGTGGGGCAAGGTTTTTTGACTGAAGAGAAGAATTTGTTTCAAATTTGACATTCTCCAACGTTTCACACATATCTGAATTGCAACTGTCTTTCAAAGACCACAGCTTACTCTACTGCCACCACCTTCTCTTTTTACTTCTGTACTATGACCAGTTTGGTCTTATCATCAGTTACTCTTCATCTTCTGTCTGATTGTCAGGTTATTGCCAAAAACTGGTGCATTCCCATCTTAGCTTCTGGCACCTTCAGAATCTTCTTCATTGGCTTCTTCTCCTTCTCTGATGCATGGATTTTTCCCAAGTCCTCTATGTCCTCAGCGTCCTCAAGTTCTTTCAGTGACACCATTCTTTGAAGGAACTCATCTGATCCCATCCCAGGATGTTCTTCCCTCACTTCAATTTGGATGATATCCTGTGCCAATCTTCTCTTCCTACATGTGCTGTACCAGCTCATGAGTAGCTGTGCCTTTGGGGGAAGAGTAGGCACTGTAGACTCAGCAAAGGGTATGCCTAAGAAATGATCTAAGTGGGAAAGCAGAATTTAGGGCAAAATGGGGCAGACAAAACCTCACTGAGGACACCTGAATCATAAAATACCAGGTAGGGCCAGTGGTTGCATAGATATGAGTCTTTTAATCTGATTTCAAATACTCAGTCTAGTACTGTGTTCTACCATCCCTATAACCATGTGTACTTGCCAGCAACATAGCCTGGCTTTGGCTTCAGATGATCTTTGAGCTTTGGTACAGGAAGTTAGTGATGCCTGGCTTCCTTAAAAGAGAATAAAATCATGTCCTTTGCAGCAACATGAATGTAGCTGGAGGCCATAATCCTAAGCAAATTAACACAGGAACAGAAAACCAAATACCACATGTTCTCACTTAGAAGTGGGAGTCATAAACTTTTTAATGGGTTCTTTCTAAGGTCTAGTCTCTAACACCTCTCAAAAATTCAATAACATTCACAAAATCAAATTTTGACATTAAGCCAGCAGCAAAGATTACCAAAGGGGACATTCAATGGGCTCAGCAGTGTTCACTCCTGTGGCTAATTCACATGGTTGACACAGGAACTCTAGACACTAAGGCTTAGTTGTGGACATATTTTTATTTATTCACTATTTCATTCAACAAAGAGTTATTAAATAGTCCTCTGTAAAAGGCACTGCCTCAGGCACTAGGGATCCACCGAGCAAGAAAGAGGAGTCCCTGCCCCCACTGAGTTTATAATCTGGCAAGGGAGAGAAGCATCAGGTGACTAATTACACAAGTCATTATTTAACTTGTTTGTGATATGTGCTGTGAAGGAGACATCCAGTGAACCCTGAGAGAGTGTAATTGGAGGATTTGATCCAGCTTTTTTTTTTTTTTTTTTTTTTTTTGAGACGGAGTCTCGCTCTGTCGCCCAGGCCGGACTGCGGACTGCAGTGGCGCAATCTCGGCTCACTGCAAGCTCCGCTTCCCGGGTTCACGCCATTCTCCTGCCTCAGCCTCCCGAGTAGCTGGGACTACAGGCGCCCGCCACCGCGCCCGGCTAATTTTTTGTATTTTTAGTAGAGACGGGGTTTCACCTTGTTAGCCAGGATGGTCTCGATCTCCTGACCTCATGATCCACCCGCCTCGGCCTCCCAAAGTGCTGGGATTACAGGCGTGAGCCACCGCGCCCGGCCCTGATCCAGCTTTTTAAGAAAGCTGTCCTTCAGAGAGAAAGGCTAGTGCTGGGCCTGAAGGATCCCGAGAACAAGTTATCTCTGCAAGTTGAGGCAGAGAGGAGGAGTCCAGCTGGTGGCTGTAGCACCTGCCAAGGCCCTAAGGTGGTCAGGAATAGGGTTAGTTAGAAAAAACTGGGAGACTTTCCAGTGGAGTATGGAGAGCACATTGCAGTGCAGTGTGGATGTGAGTGTGCTGAGCTTAAGCAGTATCACAGTCATTGAATGGAACATAAATGCATAAATGTGACCTTTGCATTCACACTTCTTGTTTTCATTTTCTGTTTTTAGTTAGCTCTTTATTCCATCGTCTTCTGAATAGGGTTTAAAATAGACACAATTTATGAACATGCCATATGAATAGTTGACAATAAGAAACTTGAGTGAGGAAACAATGAAGATAATTTAGATAAGCATTTTTAAAAACCAGCCATTTAAAAAAAATTCAGGTGCCAAGGTAGTATTTTATTTAATAACACCAGGTACATTCTGTAGCATGCAGGGCAGAAAAATTTAAAACAATAACATCATAAATACTAAAATGCATCATGAAATCCTGTCAGGAAATATTGATGTAAACCCCGTGAAAGCATTGAGCGTGCAGAGTAATAACTGTGTGATCCTCCTAAGCTCCATTAGAAATCAATCTTTGCTTATAAATGGAAAACACTTTCCAGTGTTTCTAGTTCAATTTCATTTGGGAAGAGAAAGAACCTGTGCATCACTTTGGAGCCCTCACTCAGAGGCCTGAATGTGTGTGAAAGCCTGGAACTCTGTTCTGTGGCCATTCTAGGCTCTGTGTGATTGTTCATGTCAAATATCATCACTGAAAAGCTGCTGTATGTTTTCAAATTATTTTAAAGATGTGAAACACCATGATGTTAAAGATGCAGGATACAAAACTGTAGAGTATGATATCCATTTATAACATGTGTGTGGGCTGAGTTTCTCTGGCCTTCACTAGTGTATGAGTACAAACGAGGTCTCATTACTGATTATGTACAAAATTTTACGTTTATTCTCTCTGTTTGCATAGTCAATCTCAGCATTTATGACTGGGAGGCCCTGAAGTTGTCTTATATAAACTTTATAATGAGTTCTATCAGTTTCCTTTATTTCAGGATACCTTTATTGGTATCTAGGGCCCACAGAGTCCAGGGAGCTTAGTCTGTATCCAAGTTAGGATTATGTGTATATAAATCCAAGTGTATACAGGAAATTATTAGAAGAAAATACAACAACTGTTCTCTCCAGATGGTGAGATTATGGATAACTTATTTTTTGTATTTTCCAAATTATTTTCAATGAATCTGTTTTACTTTTAAAGAAAGACCTGTTAAAGAAAGAAGAGAAAGAGGAAGAGAAGAAGGAACGGGAATGGTAGGAAGAGAGGTAGAGAAGGATAGAGAGAGATTAAAAAATGCAGAAAGTAAACTTCATCCACTGGATCCATGAAATGATGTTATGAATTATGCTAAAAATGTGGCAGTCATAGCCTCTGTCCACAGTGGAAGCTACCAGTTGCAGAATGACATATTCTCCTGCTTGGAGACTCTGACTTGCTGGGAAGCTGAGGAACTAAGCATTTCTGCATATCATTTTTCAACTGAGAGGGATAAGCAAGGCCTTTTGCTCCTGTGGTTCTACCTTTCCTGTCTGTAAAATGGAGGCATTGACCTAGTTCTAATAGATTTCTCGCAGCTCTGGTCACTTGATACCATAATTTTTAGCAATAAGAGAGGTTGTGCAGGAACATTTGCTGAAGTCTCATGGAGATGATATGTGGCTTGAGGATGCCCAAGAATCTTAACTGTTCTAGGTAGAATGCAAGTGTGGTTTCATCAAACACAAGCAACAGTGCATGTGAGATGAATGGTGTGGGTTTCCTGGAGGATGAGTGCAGATAGGTGGGACCAAGGAGAGCAGGGGAAGCTTAGCAGTGTTTATAAAAATGAAAGGGTGGGCAAGCAGACCATGAGAGCAGGAAGAGATTGGCGTACCTGCATGCTTCTGGCCAGTCTCCTCTCTTTCTTGTTCAGCTCAGGAAAGATCCAACAATATGAGTGTATATGAATGACTCCCAGGCTACCACTTGTGAAGGAGCATTTGCTGTATCTTAGCATGTCTAATTCTAATGATCCCCATAGTCTGTCTCTATTTTTCTAAAGAAATATGACAACTTTAAAAAAAAGAAATCAAATCAAAGTCTACTATACCTTGTAGTATTAAAGACTGCCTTTCTAAACGTGAATTTCTGTAGACGTGGAAGTGTCAATATGAACTACGGAAGGATGGTTCTGGCACGGAGCTCCAAGTGCCTAAGCAGTGAGCTTCTGGAATACTGATGCCTCAGTGTTTTCTACCTCTAAGTTTGAGAAATATATTTTTGTTGTTGGTTGGTATTCTTTTCCCCTGAGGCTAGTTATGCACAATCCTTAAGTCTAGTTTTCTTTTTTGGAATTTAATCAATAAAGTAAAATATTACCAGCCATTTTTTCAAAAGATAATTCCTGTCTTCCCTGAAAATTCAATTTTCTTAAAAAATAGGCATCTTGCAAAGCTTTGGGAGCTTACTGGGATTTGTCTGAGAACATTTTGCAGCTTTGTAGACAAGACAAGTATCTGAGTCTGGACTCCATTCCATGTGCTCCTTTGGTGATCTATTCAGCTTAGCTCTCACCAACCCAGGGTGGCAACTTACAATAAAAAGCAAGAAGTTGAACAGAAAGAATATAAGGAATTAATTTCAGCATTAAAAAGTACATAAATAATATAAGTGCTTTATTATTTATAGTTTATTCACATATAATATTTCATTTGAACAGTTTATATGTGCAGTTATATGTCCAGCACCAAGTGCTGGACTTAATCATGCTTAATGCACTGCACTAAATGCTGGAGATACAAAGGCAAGAAGACAAATACATGCTGTCTACATGGGGCTTGTAATCAAGTGTGAAAGATTGACTTTGAAGAAGTTCTTTGGTCCATGGTTGGAGAGTACTGTCTCAGAGAAAATAAAGAGTGTTTAGGGAGCGTAAAACAATGAACCAGTAATAGCATATCAGTCAGGGTCCCAGCAGAATTCCATTCAAGTGATGAGGCAATCTACAGAATTCTCAACAGAGTTAAGGGAACCAGCTGTGGACGTTGAGTCATTTAGGGACTAATTGTCATGGGGAGGCCTTTATGTACCTCATCTGGTGAGAACTGGGGCCATTGAGAAGAGGAACACAGCCACTCCCAGAAGCACAAGGTAAGGCAGGGAGGGAGCGAGGGAAGAAATATCCTGACCTCCCTCTCTTCTTGCTCTGTTCTCCCTCAAGTATTTGCCTTCAGCCATTCCAGACAGAACCAGAGGGCGAGGCAGGCTAAGCGAGGCAGGAGGTTTGTCTTAGCTTTCTGGAGCCCAGATCGGGGCAGGAAAGAAGAGAGAAGCATTGGGGAGGAGAGAAAAGAAATGGAGAGTCACCATTACAGAGTGCCTCCTTCTGAAACAAACGTTTTAAGTTGAAATCTGAAGGACAAATAGGAACTGTCTGAGCTAGGAATGGGGAAACACTGGAAATGGCATGTTTGAGTGTCCTGACACGAGAAAGAAAGGCATGTTCAAGGAACCGAAAACACAGTAAGGAAAGGCTGCGGTGAAAAGAGCCAGGAAAGCTGTGGTATGAAATGGAACATCTTAATGATTCAGGGCTTTATCCTGAGGGAAATGGGAAACCACAGAAGGGCTTTGAGTGAAAAATGATCTAAATCAATTTCAAATTTTAAATGATTACTCTGGCTTCTATGTGGAGAACAGTTTGGAGAGACCAAGAATAAATCCAGTGAGATGAGCTGGGAAACTGTGAGAAATGGAAGAGATTAAGGGATAAAAAGAAGTGGATATGTTCAAGAGATATTAAGTGAAAAAATCATTAGGACTTGGGGGTTAAGTAGAAATGAATGGTGTATGAGATGGGGAGTGGTCCAAGATGAATCCCAAGTGTTTGGTTGAGAAGTTGTATGCACGACAGTGCCATTTGCTGAAGTAGAAGACACGGGAAGCAGCTTTGGGGTTGAAGGTAAGCTTTTGTTACTGATGGGTGGAGATATCAGTAGAAAATTGGTTATGTGATTCTGGACCTCAGAAAGTGCCACTCAAAATATTGGGAATTGCTTATAAATGGCACTTGTCTTCTTTATGTTGCAGCCCACATACAGCCATTGTTACTGATGTTCCCCAATAGCTTATCTCAGTTCTTTACTTGTCTGAAAAAATATTTTTTCTAAAATATGAGCATATCTATGAGTGCATGTTTTTCCTGTGAACATCATTTTTCATATCCTTCAGGAGAATGTTGAAGACTGCTATATTATGCAATGGAGACATTGAAAAATATTTCTCCAGGGCCTAATAAACTGGGTGATGGGCTCAAGAAAGAGACTAATATGAAGATAGTGTATATTAGTAGTATAGAGAAAATATGTGCAAATAATTAAAGTTTGAGGTAGCCAAGAGTGCTATAAGGTAAAAGAGTGAATATTAGAGAAGTTCATAACAGTAAGAAACCACTCCCAGTGATATTGAAATGGGTCCTTAAGTAAATTAATAGACAAGTTTCATGTTATTAATATGTTGTTTATATTACTAGTATATTATTAATAGGGTTAGGGCAGTTTTGATTCAACCTTTTCTTATACTATCTTGACCAGTATAAACCAGGCAGAAACTGGTTTTCTCTCTTGTAGCTTGTACTATAGTGCCCTGTACCTTAAAACTGTGCATTGCTTTGCCAGATGCAGTGAAATACCTAGTTTCTAGAGACTTCACATTGGAATGAAGGAGCTGGGGGAGGGAAGGGGTTGTGGATTAGCATGGATGCTGAGGAATTGTAGTAAGCATGGTTCATTTTCTTAGTCCATTTTTGTGTTACTATAAAGGAATACCTGAAGTCGAATAATTTTTAAAGAAAAGAAGGTGGTTTATTTGGCTCATGGTTGTGCAGGTACAAGAAGCATGGTGCAGCGTCTGCTTCTGGTGAGGGCTTCAGGCTGTTTCTGCTCATGGTGGAAGGTGCGAAGGGGCACTGGAGTGTAGAGGTCACATGGTGAGACAAAGAAAGTGAGAGAGTGGGGAGTGAGGCATCAGGCCCCTTTTAGCAATCAGCTTTCCTGGGAGCTCATACAGGGAGAACTCAGTTACCTCCCTTCCCAGGGAAGGCATTGATCTGTTCATAAGGGATCTCACTTGTGACCCAAACACCTCTCATTAGGCCCGCCTCCAACACTGGAAATGAAATTTTAACACGTGGTTTGGGGGACAAACATCCATACTATACCACTCATCTTTACCACTGTTCTAGAAAATGACTCAAGAAATGTGCAAGACATGGAGCTATGAAACCAAGATCTCACATCAGAGAGGGACTTGCTACCTAGCTGAGGGGAATATGGTTTGCAGACAACCTACAACTGGCAGCTTCTTTAGGGTTGGCCTCATGTCAGCTGCAGAGAGCCACTTTCCCAAGGTCTTGCCTTTCTAGGGCAGCCCCCATCTGATGAGTGAGCTCAGTACAGGTCCATCCAGTGTGACCCAATACCTCTGAGTCATTCTCACTCCAGAGGTGACCACTAGGTTGGCTGAGGGTTTGTCAGGCCTGCATTATAGTTTAACTTCTTCCTGTGTTCAGTCCTGCTCCCTCCCCTCTCCTTTGCCAGGTGCTGATCACTTCATTAACATCTTACACTCCAACTTCATTTTATACAATCCACCGTATGTCAGTTGATAACAGGAGTGGTACCACAAATCAGATAATAAGATGGGGGTTTGGAGCTGGATTGTTATAGCCCAGCCAAAAATAAGAACCATATCACTGTTGGTAAGTTGGTAGTGCATTTCTAGTGAATTGTATCAGTGGAAGGGAATAGTAGCTGGTATTATTATATTTTATGTGTTTGTGACAGACAGACAGACACACACACACACACACACACACACATTTTTGTCTATGGTTCCTGGCTCATATCTCCCATAGTCCTTGTTACAGTGTTTTGTTATAATATTGGAGTGCTTTAGGCCTAAGAAGCAGGCCTCAGGAAACAGAATCTCAGGACCCTAATCTAATTGTGGATCATAAGACCCTCACACTCTAGAGGAAAGAAAGCTGCACAAAGAGGCCAAAAAGGCCTTGCTGGGATTAGGTCATATCCTTTTTGTCCAGTTACATTTCTAATGGCTGTACATGGTTCAATCATGGAAAAGCAATGAAGTCTCCATAGAAGGCACAAAGGACAGGATTTGGGAGCTTCTGGATACCTGAACACATGGATGTTCCTGGAGAGTGTTGTAAGCAGGGAGAGCATAGAAGCTCTGGTCCCTTCCCCCATACCTCACTCTATGCATCTCTTCATCTATTCTTTGCAATATCCTTTATAATAAACCAGTAAACACAAGTGTTCCCCTAAGTTTTGTGAGCCACTCCAGCAAATTAATTGAACCCAAAGAGTGAGTGGTGGAAAGCCCAACTTAAAGCTGGTTGGTCAGAAGTTCCAGAGGTTCAGACTTGCAACTTGTATCTGAAGTGGCAGGGCAATAGGGGACTGAGGTCTCAACCTGTGGAATCTGATGCTATCTCCAGGTAGACAGTGTCAGAATTGAATTGGAGGATACCCAACTGGTATCCCCAGTCAGTGGGGAAAAACCCCCACCCATTTGGTCACAGAAGTCTTCTGCATTGATTGTTGTGTTGGTGTTAGAGCAGAGAAAAAACAGGGTTTGTGTTTTTTCTAAACAGTGACATACAGGATAAATAGTAGCTCTAATAAAGATAATTGAACTCGATGGTTTTGATAAGTGGAACTTATTTCTTATTTATAACAAATAAATGAGGGTAAGCAGCATACAACTAAAAGCCAGATATAAACTCCAGAGGCAAGCTTTGGTTTTATAAATAAGACACTGTTATTTTCTGAAAAAGAGATTGAAGAAAGCTAAGGATAGAGACTAGAATTTATAGTGGCTGAACTTCAAAATGATTAACCTCCACCAAAGGCAGATTGTTAAGCAAAGGTTAGAACTCATGGGGAAAACCAGAGACTCCTACATGGAAGGTAAGAACAATGAGTGGATGCTCCCAAATATTTTGATTTTTGATTTTCCAGACTCCTTAAATCCTCTGAACCTTCATAAGTGTTCCATACCTCCATGTTAAAAACCAACACAATGACATGCTGGAAAAAAAATGAAAACTCTCAGAAAAGAACAGGTGCTCCTCACAGGATCTGCTCCCTTCTCCCCTCCTGTCCACTACACCTATAACTAGGGTACATTTCCAGCATATTTCAGTGAGGGCGATGCTGGGCGTAACAAGAGAGTAAAGGGAGTATACCCCAGAGGAGATAAAGATCTAGCCAGCATGTTCTGGCAGGAGCCATGCGTATATGTGTGAGATTGGGTCCTGAGGGTGCTTAATCAAGGAGACTAGAACATAAGATCAGAGAAGGAAACATTCTACCAAGTTACAGAATTTCACATTTTGGCAAGGAGCTCAAGAAATGATGCAAAATCATGATCAGGATGGGTTCTAGAAGCACAGAAAAAAATCATAGCTTACACTAAACAAAGTTGAAATGCCAGAATCGTATAGGAGATAGTAGAGGAAGAAATTAAAAGGCTTCAGGTTTTGGATATGCTAGAGTGGATACCATGTGGCCAGAAGACCCACAAGACAGTTATGTTCCACAAGACCCAGAGGGCACACCATTTACCAAGGCCGTGAAAGTATGCTGGTGAGGGGACACTAATATCACTAAAACTTTCAGTGGCAGTTGTCCTCTACAGGCCAGGCTGACAGTAGAAGATGTTACAGAACTTAGCACGCTGATACAAGTGGGGATGACAAAATTCTAACACAATAAAGAGCAGGTGGCAACATTTAACTGCCAGAAAAAGAGGTTTACAATTACCATAACAACTGGCAAGGTGGACTGTAAGCCAAGGAGGTCTGACTTTCAGAGAATTATGGAGATGCTTAACAGTTTACAGTGTCTCTAGATGGGCAATCAACAAGGATGTTGGTCTGTGTGAGGAGAAATAATAGATGCTTGCCCTAGTAAAAAGTTACAATCTCATATCCAATTTCCAGACCTGAGCCAGTTTTCATATCCAGAGCCCACTGACTAAAGAGCTGGGTCTTGGGAGATGCACACAAGTCATAAGGCTGTGTGAGTACAGCAATGATCCTTTATAAGATGAAAGTGCTGCAGATGGGATCAATAGGCATAATCAAGCTGTATGGGCAGGTAGCTCAGGCTCCCACAGCATCCACCGTTGTTGCACCAACACCTTTCTTCAGTTGACGTTTAGAGCTGTATTTGGTCTTCCAATCAAACACCTAAAGGAGAAGGGAAGTCTGAACTTGCTTTATGGGATGCGTCATCATGGTATATGAAGTCAAGCTGAAAATGGAGAGCAACTATACTAAAGCCCAATCCGAGGTGGGTTCAAAAGACAATGGTGAAGGAAAGTTTCACCCAATGGGTAGAACTTCTGATGGTGTACCTGGTCATCCAGTATTTGTGGAAAGAGAAGTGGCTTGGATTTGAGCATATATGGACTCATGGTCACTGGCAATTGGCTTGGCTGGAAATGAAAACATTAAAAGATCGAGGACAAGGAAGTTTGGTTTAGAAAAATGTAGATGTACATATGGGAGTAGATATGAAGTATTAAAGATCTTTGTATCACATGTTATCTAAGAGAGAACATCCACCATGAAAGAAGCACTAGTCTGACAAGGATACAAAATGTCTTAGACAGAAGATGTCAGCCAGCTTCCATCATCAGCTACCCAGTGTTGTCACAATGGGCAAGTGAAAAATGTGGCAATGGTAGCAGGGATGGAGGTTGTGTTCCAGCCTAACAAACAGCATAGGCTTATACTTCTAACACTGATCTAGATACTTCTGCCTCTTACTGTCCAACCAGAAACAGAGACTAATGCTGGGACCCTTAGATGGCACCATTCACAAGATCAATCAGCCCCTTGATGGCAAATTGACTACACAAGGCCCCTTTTATCCTGGAAGGGCCAGTGATTTGCTTTTGGGAATATATACCTATCCTGATGTGATGGTTAATATTAGGTGTCAATTTGACTGGATTGGGGGATGCCTATATGGCTGATAAAGTGTTGTTTCTTGGTGTGTCTGTGAGAGTGTTGCCAGAGGAGATTGACACTGAGTTGGTGGACTGGGAGAGGAGACCCATTGTCACTGTGGGTGGGCATCATCCAGTCAGTTGCCAATGTGGCTGGAACAAAGCAGGCAGAAGATGTGGGGGATAAGCTTGCTTGCTGAGGCTTTTTGGCTCTCTGTTTCTTCCCATGCTGGACACTTCCTCTCCTCCTGCCCTTGGATATCAGACTCCAGCTTCTTCAGCCTTTGGACTCTGAGACTTACACCAGCAGCTTCCCTGGGACTCTTGAGCCTTTGGCTACAGACCGATGGCTGCACCACTGTCTTCCTTGGTTTTGAGGCTTTTAGAATTTGGCAGAGCCACTACCCCGTTCTCTTTCTTCAGCTTGCTGATGGCCTATATTGGGACTTCACTCGTGTGAGCCATTTCTCCCTAATAAGCTCCCTTTTATATGTACATATATCTTATTGGTCTGTCCTTCCAAAGAACCTTAATACACCCAGAAATGGATTTGTCATTTCTGCTTGCAGGACTTCAGCCAACACCTATCCAAGGTTTTATGCAGTATTTGATCACTTAGACCAGGGGTCCCTCTCTAGAGCAAAGAAAATGTAAGAGTGGGCCTATGACCACAGGATCCTCTGGTAATATCCCATGCCATAACACCCATAAGTTGCTACTTCTGAAGGGGCATTGAAACACTTGCTGAAGGCACAGTTGAAGTGTCGTATCAGAGGGACAGCATCGAATTTGCAGTATAGGCACAGAATCAGATCTTGATATAGTACTGGGTTTCAAGACTAGGACCAAGAAATGTAAGCAGTAGTGGTTGCACTTAACTATCACTCCCATTGATTCATTGGAGGTCTTTATGCTTCTCATTCCTACACCTCTGGGCTTTGCAGGGATAAAAGTCTTGGTTTCTAACAACGGAACACTTTTGCCAGGGAACCCAGCAAGAGTCTCATTGAATTCTATGCTTTGGCTCTTGCCAGGGCACTTTGGGTTTCATGTGTCCAGGGACTAGCAGGCAAGATGAGAAGTCACTCTCTTGGTGAAGGTAATTAAGACTGATTATTAGGGAAGAAAAAGGGATGTGGAGGAATATGTATAGAATCTAGGTGGTCCAATTTAGGTGCCTCTTGTCACTCTTTTGCTAATCGTGACTGAATATTTAATAAGCAAATCTGGAGTAAGTAGATAAGGGTTACCTCTCAAGGTCTGGGTCATACCAGGTAGTAAACCATCATGGCCAACAGAGGTGCTCTTGAAGCTAAGAGGAATCTAGAATGGATAGTGAAGGAGAGAGTTGCGGCCCTGAGACCAGCTAGACTAGTGAGATCTGTGGTTAGTCCCGCTTCTAAAATTCTCCCAAGAAGAGACTTCCATCAAAATTCTTGAGGAGCAAAATTCTGGAGGTCCATCTAAATTCTGAATACATATGGAACCCAAGTGACATAAAGTGTGAACTGTGGTAGACATAGCTAAGTGCCACCAAGATCACCTTTCAAGGAGGGACTTGCTCCCCAGCTATAGGAAATGTGGTCAGCAGACAGCCTCCTGATGGCTGCTCTTTTTTTTCTTTCTTTTCTATTTATTTATTTATTTTTGAGATAGAATCTCACCCTGTCGCCCAGGCTGGAGTGCAGTGGTGCGATCTTGGCTCACTGCAACCTTCGCCTCCCAGATTCAAGCAATTGTCATGGCTGAGCTACCAGGTAGCTGGAATTTCAGGTGTGTGCCACCATGTCCAACTAATTTTTTTTGTATTTTTAGTAGAGATGAGGTTTCGCTATGTTGGCCAGGCTGGTCTTGAACTCCTGGCCTCACTCAAGTGATCCTCCCACTTCAGCTTCCCAAAGTGCTGGGATTACAGGTGTGAGTCACTGGGCCCAGCTGAGATATGCACTTTTCTATATTGTATCTTGTAATTTAATTTTTTTAGGTTTTAAGAAAACATTAAAAATAAAAAAGATAAATAGTCTCTCATACAGGAGAATTTCAAATAGTTTATGGAGATAATCCCTCCTCAAGGAGAAGGAGCATAAACCCCCACTCCTTCAGTGTGGGCTGTGCATAGTGACTTTCTTCCAAAGGGTACAGTATGGAAAGGGGGGAAAGGAGTAACTTTACAGTGAAGAGACCTGACATGCACTACCTCAGCTAGGTGATCAAGGTCAACATACACACCTGTAAGTCATATTGATAGGATGTAACCTTGACATGATGTGACAAGAATGGCACCTAACCTCCAAGGTCTTCCTACCAACAAACCATAACCCCAGACTTACCATAAGAAAAACATCAGGCACATTCCAATAGTGGGCATCCTACAAAATATCTGACCAGCACTCCTGAAAATTGTCAAGGTCATCAAAAACAAGGGTATCCTGAGAAACTGTCACAGCAAAGAGGAGTCCAAAGAGACATGATGACTAAATGTCATGTGATATCCAATGGGTCCTGGAACAGGAAAAGGACATTAGGTAAAACCCAAGGAAATCTAAGTAAACCACGGACTTTAGTTAATGAGAGAGAGAGAGACAGAGAGAAAGAAAGAGGTCATTTTCTATAAAACTGAGCCTAACCTCAAACCTCAACCTTTTTCTTTTTCTTTTTTTTTTTTTAATCATACTTTAAGTTCTAGGGTACATGTGCACAACCTGAAGGTTTGTTACATATGTATACATGTGCCATAATGGTGTGCTGCACCCATTAACTCGTCATTTACATTAGGTATCTCTCCTAATGCTATCCCTCCCCACTCCCCCACCCCACAACAGGCCCTGGTGTATGATGTTCCTCTTCCTGTGTCCAAGTGTTCTCATTTTTCAATTCCCACCTATGAGTGAGAAGATGCGGTGTTTGGTTTTCTGTCCTTGTGATAGTTTGCTGAGAATGATGGTTTCCAGCTTCATCCATGTCCCTACAAAGGACATGAACTCATCCTTTTTTATGGCTGCATAGTATTCCATGGTGTATATGTGCCACATTTTCTTTTCTTTTTATTTTATTTTATTTTATTGTTATTATACTTTAAGTTTTAGGGTACATGTGCACAACCTGCACGTTTGTTACATATGTATACATGTGCCATGTTGGTGTGCTGCACCCATTAACTTGTCATTTAGCATTAGGTATATCTCCTAATGCTATCCCTCCCCACTCCCTCCACCACACAACAGTCCCCCAGTGTGATGTCCCCCTTCCTGTGTCCATGTGTTCTCATTGGTCAATTCCCACCTATGAGTGAGAACATGTGATGTTTGGTTTTTTGTCCTTGTGATAGCTTGCTGAGAATGATGGTTTCCAGCTTCATCCATGTCCCTACAAAGGACATGAGCTCATCATTTTTTATGGCTGCATAGTATTCCATGATGTATATGTGCCACATTTTTTTTTATTTTTAATTTTATTATTATTATACTTTAAGTTTTAGGGTACATGTGCACAATGTGCAGGTTACATATGTATACATGTGCCATGCTGGTGTGCTTCACCCATTAACTTGTCATATAGCATTAGGTATATCTCCTAATGCTATTACTCCCCCCTCCCCCCACCCCACAACAGTCCCCAGAGTGTGATGTTTCCCTTCCTGTGTCCATGTGTTCTCAATGTTCAATTCCCACCTATGAGTGAGAACATGGGGTGTTTGGTTCTTTGTACTTGTGATAGTTTACTGAGGATGATGATTTCCAGTTTCATCCATGTCCCTACAAAGGACAGGAACTCATCATTTCTTATGGCTGCATAGTATTCCATGGTGCATATGTGCCACATATTCTTAATCCAGTTTATCATTGTTGGACATTTGGGTTGGTTCCAAGTCTTTGCTATTGTGAATAGTGCCACAATAAACATACGTGTGCATGTGTCTTTATAGCAGCATGATTTGTAGTCCTTTGAGTATATACCCAGTAATGGGATGGCTGGGTCAAATGGTATTTCTAGTTCTAGATCCCTGAGGAATCGCCACACTGACTTCCACAATGGTTGAACTAGTTTACAGTCCCACTAACAGTGTAAAAGTGTTCCTATTTCTCCACATCCTCTCAAGCACCTGTTGTTTCCTGAGTTTTTAATGATTGCCATTCTAACTGGTGTGAGATGGTATCTCATTGTGGTTTTGATTTGCATTTCTCTGATGGCCAGTGATGATGAGCATTTTTTCATGTGTTTTTTGGCTGCATAAATGTCTTCTTTTGAGAAGTGTCTGTTCATGTCCTTTGCCCACATTTTGATGGGGTTGTTTGTTTTTTTCTTGTAAATTTGTTTGAGTTCCTTGTAGATTCTGGATATTAGCCCTCTGTCAGATGAGTAGGTTGTGAAAATTTTCTCCCATTTTGTAGGTTGCCTGTTCACTCTGATGGTAGTTTCTTTTGCTGTGCAGAAGCTGTTTAGTTTAATTAGATACCACTTGTCAATTTTGTCTTTTGTTGCCATTGCTTTTGGTGTTTTAGACATGAAGTCCTTGCCCATGCCTATGTCCTGAATGGTAATGCCTAGGTTTTCTTCTAGGGTTTTTATGGTTTTTGGTCTAACGTTTAAGTCTTTAATCCACCTTGAATTAATTTTTGTATAAGGTGTAAGGAAGGAATACAGTTTCAGCTTTCTACATATGGCTAGCCAGTTTTCCCAGCACCATTTATTATATAGGGAATCCTTTCCCCATTGCTTATTTTTCTCAGGTTTGTCAAAGATCAGATAGTTGTAGATATGTGGTGTTATTTCTGAGGGCTCTGTTCTGTTCCATTGATCTGTATCTCTGTTTTGGTACCAGTACCATGCTGTTTTGGTTACTGTAGCCTTGTAGTATAGTTTGAAGTCAGGTAGTGTGATGCCTCCGGCTTTGTTCTTTTGGCTTAGGATTGACTTGGCAATGTGGGCTCTTTTTTGGTTCCATATGAACTTTAAAGTAGTTTTTTCCAATTCTGTGAAGAAAGTCATTGGTAGCTTGATGGGGATGGCATTGAATCTATAAATTACCTTGGGCAGTATGGCCATTTTCACGATATTGATTCTTCCTACCCATGAGTATGGAATGTTCTTCCATTTCTTTGTATCCTCTTTTATTTCATTGAGCAGTGGTTGGTAGTTCTCCTTGAAGAGGTCCTTCATGTCCCTTGTAAGTTGGATTCCCAGGTATTTTATTCTCTTTGAAGCAATTGTGAATGGGAGTTCACTCATGATTTGGCTCTCTGTTTGTCTGTTATTGGTGTATAAGAATGCTTGTGATTTTTGTACATTGATTTCTTGTCCTGAGACTTTGCTGAAGTTGCTTATCAGCTTAAGGAGATTTTGGGCTGAGACAATGGGGTTTTCTAGATATACAATCATGTCATCTGCAAACAGGGACAATTTGACTTCCTCTTTTCCTAATTGAATATCCTTTATTTCCTTCTCCTGCCTAATTGCCCTGGCCAGAACTTCCAACACTATGTTGAATAGGAGTGCTGAGAGAGGGCATCCCTGTCTTGTGCCAGTCTTCAAAGGGAATGCTTCCAGTTTTTGCCCATTCAGTATGATATTGCCTGTGGGTTTGACATAGATAGCTCTTATTATTTTGAGATACGTCCCATCAATACCTAATTTATTGAGAGTTTTTAGCATGAAGGGTTGTTGAATTTTGTCAAAGGCCTTTTCTGCATCTATTGAGATAATCGTGTGGTTTTTGTCTTTGGTTCTGTTTATATACTGGATTATATTTATTGATTTGCATATATTGAACCAGCCTTGCATCCCAGGGATGAAACCCACTTGATCATGGTGGATAAGCTTTTTGATGTGCTGCTGGATTCGATTTGCCAGTATTTTATTGAGGATTTTTGCATCAATGTTCATCAAGGATATTGGCCTAAAATTCTCTTTTTTGGTTGTGTCTCTGCCAGGCTTTGGTATCAGGATGATGTTGACCTCATAATATGAGTTAGGGAGGATTCCCTCTTTTTCTATTGATTGGAATAGTTTCAGAAGGAATGGTACCAGTTCCTCCTTGTACCTCTGGTAGAATTTGGCTGTGAATCCATGTGGTCCTGGACTCTTTTTGGTTGGTAAGTTATTGATTATTGCCACAATTTCAGAGACTGTTATTGGTCTATTCAGAGATTCAACTTGTTCCTGGTTTAGTCTTGGGAAGGTGTATGTGTCGAGGAATTTATCCATTTCTTCTAGATTTTCTAGTTTATTTGCGTAGAGGTGTTTGTAGTATTCTCTGATGGTAGTTTGTATTTCTGTGGGATCGGTGGTGATATCCCCTTTATCATTTTTTATTGCGTCTATTTGATTCTTCTCTCTTTTCTTCTTTATTAGTCTTGCTAGCGGTCTATCAATTTTGCTGATTCCTTCAAAAAACCAGCTCCTGGATTCATTAATTTTTTGAAGGTTTTTTTTGTGTCTCTATTTCCTTCAGTTCTGCTCTGATTTTAGTTATTTCTTGCCTTCTGCTAGCTTTTGAATGTGTTTGCTCTTGCTTTTCTAGTTCTTTTAATTGTGATGTTAGGGTGTTAATTTTTGATCTTTCCTGCTTTCTCTTGTGGGCATTTAGTGCTATAAATTTCCCTCTACACACTGCTTTGAATGTGTCCCAGAGATTCTGGTATGTTGTGTCTTTGTTCTCATTGGTTTTGATTGCACTGTGGTCTGAGAGACAGTTTGTTATAATTTCTCGTCTTTTACATTTGTTGAGGAGAGCTTTACTTCCAAGTATGTGGTCAATTTTGGAATAGGTGTGGTGTGGTGCGGTGCTAAAAAAAATGTATATTCTGTTGATTTGGGGTGGAGAGTTCTGTAGATGTCTATTAGGTCTGCTTGGTGCAGAGCTGAGTTCAATTCCTGGGTATCCTTGTTAACTTTCTGTCTCGTTGATCTGTCTAATGTTGACAGTGGGGTGTTAAAGTCTCCCATTATTATTGTGTGGGAGTCTAAGTCTCTTTTTAGGTCACTCAGGACTTGCTTTATGAATGTGGGTGCTCCTGTATTGGGTGCATATATGTTTAGGATAGTTAGCTCTTCTTGTTGAATTGATCCCTTTACCATTATGTAATGGCCTTCTTTGTCTCTTTTGATCTTTGTTGGTTTAAAATCTGTCTTATCAGAGACTAGGACTGCAACCCCTGCCTTTTTTTGTTTTCTATTTGCTTGGCAGATCTTCCTCCATCCTTTTATTTCGAGCCTATGTGTGTCTCTGCACATGAGATGGTTTTCCTGAATACAGCACACTGATTGGCCTTGACTCTTTATACAATTTGCCAGTCTGTGTCTTTTAATTGGAGCATTTAGTCCATTTACATTTAAAGTTAATATGTTTTGTGTGAATTGATCCTGTCATTATGATGTTAGCTGGGTATTTTGCTCATTAGTTGATGCAGTTTCTTCCTAGCCTTGACGGTCTTTACAATTTGGCATGGTTTTGCAGTGGCTGGTACCGGATGTTCCTTTCCATGTTTAGTGCTTCCTTCAGGAGCTCTTTTAGGGCAGGCCTGGTGGTGACAAAATCTCTCAGCATTTCCTTGTCTGTAAAGTATTTTATTTCTCTTTCAGTTATGAAGCTTAGTTTGGCTGGATATGAAATTCTCGGTTGAAAATTCTTTTCTTTAAGAATGTTGAATATTGGCCCCCCATCTCTTCTGGCTTGTAGAGTTTCTGCTGAGACATCCGCTGTTCGTCTGATGGGCATATCCTGCAGAGTGTTTTCCAACTTGGTTCCATTCTCTCCATCACTTTCAGGTACACCAATCAGACGTAGATTTGTCTTTTCACATAGTCCCATATTTCTTGGAGGCTTTGTTCATTTCTTTTCTTTTTATTCTTTTTTCTCTAAACTTCCCTTCTCACTTCATTTCATTCATTTCATCTTCCATCACTGATACCCTTTCTTCCAGTTGATCCCATCAGCTCCTGAGGCTTCTGCATTCTTCACATAGTTCTTGAGCCTTGACTTTCATCTCCATCAGCTCCTTTAAGCACTTCTCTGTATTGGTTATTCTAGTTATGCATTCATCTAAATTTTTTTCAAAGTTTTCAACTTCTTTGCCTTTGGTTTGAATTTCCTCCTGTAGCTCAGAGTAGTTTGATCGTCTGAAGCCTTCTTCTCTCAACTCGTCAATGTCATTCTCTGTCCAGCTTTGTTCCGTTGGTGGTGAGGAACCACATTCCTTTGGAGGAGGAGAGGCGCTCTGCTTTTTAGATTTTCCAGTTTTTCTGCTCTGTTTTTTCCCCATCTTTGTGGTTTTATCTACTTTTGGTCTTTGATGATGGTGATGTACAGATGGGTTTTTGGTGTGGATGTCCTTTCTGTTTGTTAGTTTTCTTTCTAACAGACAGGACTCTCAGCTGCGGGTCTGTTGGAGTTTGCTAGAGGTCCACTCCAGACCCTGTTTGCCTGGGTGTCAGCAGTGGTGGCTGCAGAACAGCGGATTTTTGTGAACCGTGAATGCTGCTGTCTGATTATTTCTTTGGAAGTTTTGTCTCAGAGGAGTACCCGGCCGTGTGAGGTGTCAGTCTGCCCCTACTGTGGGGGTGCCTCCCAGTTAGGCTGCTCAGGGATCAGGGGTCAGGGACCCACTTAAGGAGGCAGTCTGCCGGTTCTCAGATCTCCAGCTGCGTGCTGGGAAATCCACTGCTCTCTTCAAAGCTGTCAGACAGGGACATTTAAGTCTGCAGAGGTTACTGCTGTCTTTTTGTTTGTCTGTGCCCTGCCCCCAGAGGTGGAGCCTACAGAGGCAGGCAGGCCTCCTTGAGCTGTGGTGGGCTCCACCCAGTTCGAGTTTCCTGGCTGCTTTGTTTACCTAAGCAAGCCTAGGCAATTGTGGGCGCCCCTCCCCCAGCCTCGCTGCTGTCTTGCAGTTTGATCTCAGACTGCTGTGCTAGCAATCAGTGAGACTCCTTGGGTGTAGGACCCTCCGAGCCATGTGCGGGATATAATCTCCTGGTGCGCCGTTTTTTAAGCCCATTGGAAAAGCGCAGTATTAGGGTGGGAGTGACCTGATTTTCCAGGTGCCATCTGTCACCCCTTTCTTTGACTAGGAAAGGGAAATCCCTGACCCCTTGTGCTTCCTGAGTGAGGCAAGGCCTCACCCTGCTTCAGGTCGTGCATGGTGCACTGCACCCACTGTCCTGTGCCCACTGTCTGGCACTACCTAGTGAGATGAACCCGGTACCTCAGATGGAAATGCAGAAATCACCCGTCTTCTGTGTCGCTCACGCTGGGAGCTGTAGACCGGAGCTGTTCCTATTTGGGCATCTTGGCAGACAGACCCGTTCCCCACATTTTCTTAATCTAGTCTATCATTGATTGACATTTGGGTTGGTTCCAAGTCTTTGCTATTGTGAATAGTGCCACAATAAACATACATGTGCATGTGCCTTTATAGCAGCATGATTTATAATCCTTTGGGTATACACCCAGTAATAGGATTGCTGGGTCAAATGGTATTTCTATTTCTAGATCCTTGAGGAATCACCACACTGTCTTCCACAATGGTTGAACTCATTTACACTCCCACCAACAACAGTGTAAAAGCGTTCCTATTTCTCCACATCCTCTCCAGCACTTGTTGTTTCCTGACTTTTTAATGATCGCCATTCTAACTGGTGTGAGATGATACCTCATTGTGGTTTTTACTTGCATTTCTCTGATGGCCAGTGATGATGAGCATTTTTTCATGTGTCTGTTGGCTGCATAAGTGTCTTCTTTTGAGAAATGTCTGTTCATATCCTTCGCCCAATTTTGATGGGGTTGTTTGCTTTTTTCTTGTAAATTTGTTTAAGTTCTTTGTAGATTCTGGATATTAGCCCTTTGTCAGATGGGTAGATAGAAAAAATTTTCTCCCGTCTGTAAGTTGCCTGTTCACTCTGATGGTAGTTTCTTTTGCTGTGTAGAAGCTCTTTCATGTAATTAGATCCCATTTGTCAATTTGGGCTTTTGTTGCCATTGCTTTTGGTGTTTTAGACATGAAGTCCTTGCCATGCCTATGTGCTGAATGATATTGCCTAGGTTTTCTCCTAGGGTTTTTATAGTTCTAGGTCTAACATTTAAGTCTTTAATCCATCTTGAATTAATTTTTGTATAAGGTATAAGCTGACAGCTCTTTCAAGGTCTGCCTCTACTCCAGACAGCCACCTCCCCTCAGGTCAGGTATTTCTAGGGCATCTTACAAGAAGTTACTAGCAGGGCAGGGATACGAAGGCATGTTGAATTTGGATGCATGTTGCAGGACAACTTTGATGAGCAATTGTTGATTCAGAGCTCCCTGCTAGGCTAGTCAAGGCTTTGTCAGGCTTGCAATTTGGCTCTCCTTCTGCCAATCTCCCTCTTCTCCTTCCTTTCACAGGTGGTGTGATATATATCTCATCCCTGATATACATCTTTTGCCTAATCCTGTTTATGCATCTGCTTTCAGAGAACCCAACCTGTGATGACAAAGTTCATGCTCGAAGTTAATATAGAGGTCTTCCTGTCCCAGGCACTTTGAGAGCCGCAGGTTACCCTGCAGACATGACCAGGTCCAAGAAGACTGCACACAACCAGTCCTGAAAAATGGCACAGAAATGGTGTCAAGAAACCACAATTACGAAGATATGAATCTCTTAATGGGGCGTAACATGCACTTTGTCAGGAAGCACAACAAGAAGAGCCTGGAGAAGATGTAGGCCAACAATGCAAGGCCATCACTGCACATGCCAAGGCTGTCAAGGCCCTCATAAAGCTCAAGGAGTTTAAGCCCAAGATGTCAAAGGGCATCAGTCCGAAGCTTGATGGACTTGCCTACACTGCCCATCCCAAGCTTGGGAGTATATTTGTGTCTACATTGCTAAGTGGATCTACTGGCCAGAGGCCAAGGCCAAGGATCAAACCAAGGCCCAGGCTGTGCCTTTAGCTTCAGCTGCAGCTGCAGTTCCAGCTCAGGCTCCCAAAGGTGTCCAGGCCCCCATAAAGCCTCTCTGCCAACATGAGGACAGAAGGACCGATTTGATCACTGGGCTACCGTCTGGATGGAGCTTCTGTCCTTCCATGCTATTTGTATGAATAAATCTGAGGCAAGAAAAAAACCCCCAAATAAACACAAAGTTAATATTGAACATCCCAATTGATAAACTGGACAATTGATCAAATGTACTGTTCTTTGTGAAATTTGTGTATTCTTTGGCTCAAATAATTAGCAATTCTTTTAGAGCCTACCTCGGCGTTTATTATTCAGGGATTTTATTTGTCATCACTCTTCAGCTGCTACTGCTGTGTTGTAATTGGAGTTACGGTTCTTTAGAAAAAGTTTTTGCTAGAATTTTTTGGTTTTCTTTAACATATCTATCTGTTACCTATACCTTTAATATATCTGTTACAATTACCCAGTATTGTGAAGGATTTCTGTATATAGGCTCACCCAATAATGAGTCATTCATGCTTGAATTTAAAAGAAAGAGAAACGTGAAGATTCTGAGGTGCTGCTGTTTGGTGTGCAGATTTTTATGATGACGTAATTGGGAAGTTGGGGGTTTAGAGCCAGTATAAATCTATCTGAAGTGATGCCTTCTTTGAAGAGTTCTTCACAGTACTATTTTCATTTCATAGAGCTTTCTTTTTGGCTCAGTATTTTTTGCTGCATTTTCTAACAGTCTAAGAGTGACAGTGAACAATGCTATTTTTAAAAACCTTGTATTTGGAAATAGTTTTACACTCGTAGAAATGTTACAAGAATAAGACTAGTACAAAGAATACCTGATCATTTACCCGGACTCAACTATTGCTAACATTTTACTTCATATGCTTTGAGTACTCTCACTGTCTTTCACTACCCTCCTATTATGTGCGTGTGTGTGTGTGTGTTTGCATGTGTGTATTTGTCTGTGTGTGTACATACATACACACACATAATAATTTTTTCTTAACCATTTAAGAGTAAGTTACATCCTTCATGGTTCTTTTACCCTAAGTATTTCCATGTTATGTTTAAGAATAAAGATATTGTTTTTCATAAAAACAGTATAGCTGCTAACTTGAGGAAATTCACCATTAATGCAATACTCTTACATAACCTATCATCCACATTTCAAGTTTATCATTTGATCTAATAATGTCTTTCTAGCACTTTTCTCCTGGTACAGAATTCAGCTTAGGATCATTTATTGCATTGAGTTAGTTATCATGTTTTCTGTTAGGCTCTTTGTGTGTGTATGTTTAATCAGGTACGTTGTTATTTAAAAATATTTAATTGACAAGATACTGAATATATTCAAGGCATATGATGTGATTATTTCTTCTCTTTTACATCTACATTGTGTAGTGATGATAACCAAAATCAAATTAATTAACACATCTACCACTACCTATGCTGCACATAGATCCCCAGAACTTGTTCATCTTATAGCAAAGTTTATATCCTTTGACCAACATGTCTCCATTTCTCTTACCTCCCAGCCTCTGGTAACCACTGTTCTACTTTCTACTTCTGAGTTCAATCTTTTTAGATTCCACACATAAGTGATATCATACAGTTTAAACCAAAACAGCCCTGTCTTTTATGACATCGACATTTTTGAATAATATAGTATTTTATAAAATAAAATGTTTCTCATTTTGGGCTTGTCTGAAGATTTCTTGTGATTGTATTCAGATTATGCATTCTTGGCTGGAAAACAGCATAAGTGATGTGGTATCATATTCAGGGCATTACATCCTGAGCTGAGGTGGGTGATGCCCATCAGCCTCATATTGGTGAGGTTAATTTTAAACCCAGTCAAAACATTGTCCAATTCTCTATTTTATAGACACCATTTTTTTCTTTGTAATTAACAAGCAACCTGGGAAGACACTTTAAGAACATCTGGATTTAATTTAAAAATTACCCTTAGATTTAGTGTCCATTGATGATGCTTGCCAGCACCAACTTTAATGTGATGTTTGCAAACTGATCATTTGCTACCTCCAAGCACTCCTACATTTTCCAGTCTGCACTAGGCATTTTACGTAAGCAAGAACTCACTCCTCTTTCCCGGTTGTCTGTATATCCTTTTCTGTTTACTAGGTAAATAGGTTATGGATTTTAATTTTTTTCAAAGGTTTACAATTCATTACTATCCTTAATAATCTTAGTGCTCAAGTTATCACAAATATGACCAGTGGGAGCCACAGAGGGTTGACTCCCATGTCTTAGGACATGTGCTACCATTTTTTGACTACTTCCTTACGTTTTGGAATAAGATATTCCAGGTTGTTCTCATAACCCACATTGACCAAGTTCTGGAGTCAGCCATTTCTCTGAGGAGCCCTGGTGTTTTTGTAGTGGAGAATGGTGTTAAAATCAAGATCTGGGTGCTAGGTGTGCTCATTGCTACTGGGGTGTCTTTGCTTCTAGTTTCTAGTGGACAAATTTAAATAATATATGCTTATATATACACATATACATACACACACCTAAATACATGCACATACATACATATATACACCAGCATGCATGTACACATATATAGGCATATACACATACATATGCAAATTTTAGAAATCATAGATTTATACCAGTGCTGCTAATTTCAATTCCTCCCCTCAGGATTCTTTTTTGCTTTTTCTGATATTTTTATAGGCCTTCTTCACAGTGAGAACCTTGGCTCTCAAGCACATCAATATATTTATTCTCTTGTTCATTTCTATAATGCATCTCAGGTAGTTTCAGAATTGCTTACTCCACACTACTACAAAAAACAAACCTACAAAAATAGTTCAGAATTTGTTTGTGGTTCCTTCTTCTCCCATCCTATTCCTCCCAAGACTGACAGTGTATGGTAAAATACTGCAATCATAAATTACTTTTTAGTATTTTCTCTTAATCCCTTTAGGTGTGATTGTTATTCATTTGAAATATTAATCATCTCTTTCAGTTTGCTTTCAGTTTTAGGTTTTTTCACCCTTTCCCATTCTTGTTGATTTTTTTTTTTTTTTGACAGAGTCTCAATCTGTCTCCAGGCTGGAGTGCAGTGGCATGATGTCGGCTCACTGCAACCTCCAACTCCTGGGTTCAAGCGATTCTCCTGCCTCAGCCTCCTGAGTAGCTTGGACTATAGGCATGCCACCATGCCCAGCTAATTTTTGTATTTTTAGTAGAGATGGGGTTTTACCATGTTGGCCAGGATGGTTTCAATCTGTTGACCTTGTGATCCACCTGCTTTGGCCTCCCAAAGTGCTCGGATTACAGGCGTGAGCCACAGTGCCTGGCCTGTTGATTTAAATTTTAAATATAAAAAAATTAACATTGTCCTGAAGGTCAAAACTATACAAAAAGGGCTTATCAGAGAAGTGTCTCTCTTTCCTGTATTCTTTTAACTTCATTCCTCTGCCTTTGTAGGTAACCAAGCTCTTTATAGTAGGCTAGATAATGGCCTCCCAAAAGACATCCATGTCCCAGTCCCTTGAAACTGAATGTTACCTTATATGGCAAAAAGGTCTTCCAGTTGTGATTAACTTAAGGGTCTGCAGATAGGGAGATTACTGTAGATTATCCAGGAAATCTTAAGTGAAATCACTAGAGTTTTTATAAGACAGAGTCAAGAGGATAGTACACATACATGCAGAATATGAGAAGGCAATGTGGCAGAGGCAGAGACTGGAGTGATGCAGCCACAAGCCAAGGAATACTAGCAGCCACCAGAAGTTAGAGGAGGCAAGGAACAAATTCTTCCCAAGAACCTCTGGAGGAAGTGCTAGTCCTTCCAGAACCTCGATTTTGGCCCAGTGAAACTGATTTTAGATTTCTGGCCGCCAAATCTTAAGAGAATAAATGTGCATTGTTTTAAGCCAAAAAGTTGTGTTATTTTGTTACAGCAACCACAGAAAATGAACACAATTGTCTGCCGGCTTATCTTCACATCAAGAGGAGACTATAGGGGCTATCTTAATTCTGTTTTAGTCCCCGACTCTCAGCTCACTTCAGTAAGTACTGGTGGAATGTTCATTACATGTGAGGAATTGCTCAATGCTGGGCTCATAAACATATGTACAACATGAGCGTGTCTATTAAGTGTACAAAGTACCTGGTGGTATGAAGGAGGATGTTAACTCTATGTGGGGGCTGGGAAACTGTGGGAGGGGAATCCAGGGAGAAATCACAGAGGAAGCAGTTATCCTGCCAGGCATGATTTCTGCCTGCCTTCTGCAATGTTTAGGGACTCAGCCCAGGTTTCTCTTCTTGTCCTGTCCCTAACGTGATATTGCTTTCCTTCCTGCCACTACACCTGGGATTTGATGCAGATTTTCCCCCTAAGCTACCAACCTGAAATCTTCTGGAATCTCATTCTTGCTGAGCTCCTCAGTGGTCATCCCCTCCTCTCTGTGTGACAGGCTCCTGAGCCCCTTAGATCCTGCCACCACTCTGAACTCAGGGAGTGCCTGCACCAGACTCATCTGAGCCTCAGGGTGAGGCTTCCTGTGAGGAATTCTTTCCTCTTATTGATACAGTGGTAGACAGTTTGCAGCCGCTCTGCTCCCAGACCTTGCCTTTTACCTTTGATAGCATTACATATTTTCTGACTTAAACTGATTAGTATGTCTTAAGAAAAGTTCGTGAGGTTTTTCATGTCTTCAAGAGAGTAAGCTTTCTTGAACTTTTTGTTCTGTACAGTATCTAGCATGATACTTTCCACAGGGTAACCCTTTGAAAACAGTTTAGTACTTACTCAAGAAACAATTCCTTGCTGGAGAAGCACAGTTCACGATCAAGTGAAGTGACGGCTATATCCCCAGGTGGGCCCACGCCCCATCCCAGCTGTGTGGGGCAGAGCATGGTCCAGGCAGGATGAGGAAACATCTTTCAACTTGTAGGAAGGCAAGTGAGAAAACACATGCTGGGAATAAAGATTAAAAAACCAGTACTTTAGAGGTAAGAATCACTGGACTTTTTTTTTTTTTTTAAGAAAAATAGCAATGTAGTGATGACTGATGGATATGCTGATTTATTATTTATGATCTCTGTTTAAAAACTGATTTGCTTCTCTGGCTCTCCATTTCTTGGAGGGAGTCAAACCTATGATAGAAGAGTCTGTAGGTGGGAATTTCTGGCTTTTGAGCCGGAAATGGGTAACTACCTTCAAGAATCTGTGCCTAAAAAACAAAAGGAGAGCCAACTCCGGAAAGGTGCTGCCACCCACATGGTCACTTACATGAGCTCATACCTGAAACAAGAGCTTCTTTCTGTTTTCTCCAAAGGGCACACTTCAGAAAGAGCACTGGGAATGGCAAACTAAAAGAGGAGGAAGACATGAAAAGACCTGTATTTACTTGACATGGGAGAAAGAGTCCTGAATATTTTAAATATGATTAAAATTTTAAGTCCATAATTTTTCAGAATGAAAGCCAATTTTCCAAACTCACGTTTTGTTTCTGGGTTCTGGGAGGGGATGGAATGCAGAGTGGGAAGAAGGTGCCCTCGGAAACTCATTCCTGTGTTTGTTGAGGCAGTAGTAATAAGCCCTCATCATCTTGTGGCTCTCAAACACATAAGCTTTATGCAACTTTTGTAATTTGGGAGAAAAGGAGTGAGGTAGCAACAGACTCAGGCCTTAGAAAATGGTCTAAATGCTGCTGTGCCCTCCCACGATATTTTCTTTCTCAGCAAATGCCAATTATTTTCTTCCAGATTTTCAGATAAAAAAACCTGGGAGTCATTCTTGACATTTCTCATACCCCATAGACAATCTATCTTAAAAATATGTCTGGAATGTAATCACCACTCACTGATTTCACCACTATTACCCAGGGCCAGGCTGCCTTGATCTCTTGCCTGCGTTGTGCATTGTTAGCCTCTTTACTGGTCTCTCTGCTTCTAAACTTGCTCCTTTACAGTCTATTAAGACAGTAGCCAGAGGATCCTTGTAAAAGATAAGTCATCTCGTATCACTCCTCTGCTTGAAGCTCTGCGATGGCTTCCCATTTGACTCAGGATAAAAGTTAATTTTCTTTAGTGGCCCCCAAGGCCTCCATGACCTGCACCCCATTACCTAGTCCTACTTACCTCCTGCTGTTCCTTAAACCACCAAGTATGTTGCTGCTTTAGAGGCTTTGCTGTTCCTTTTGTCTGTGACACTCGTCTCTTCCTTCAGGTACTTTTATTATACACTTCTCATGTCATGGCTGTATGGATTTGCATATCACCTTATCAATGAGGTACCTCTGGGCCACACTTTATCACCAATTCCTTCCCTAGTGGCTCTCTTTCACCGATTTATTTAACTCCAGAACACTTAGCATCTGGCACACGGCTTACTTGTTTTAATTGCGTTTCTCTTGTTAAATATAAGCTCCTTTACAACTCTTTGTTTTATTTATCATCATATCCCCAGTGCTTAAAAGAATGCATGGCATGTTTTCAGTACTCAGTTAAATAATTGAGTAAATAATTCCCCATGAAAATGATCAAGTTAGGGACCTGTAAGTCTAAATCCTAATAAGAAGAATTTCCTGTTAGTAAAAAATGTTCAATTAATAAAACCCTGCCATTAAATACCAAAGAATCTTTTTCTGCAGGTCTTTAAAAGAATGAATGATTATCTTTAAAGGTTCATGATTTGCTATTCAGAAATTGATAAAATATAACATTTTAATTCTAGAAATCTTCGTATGTTTTCTTCGTAAATCTGGAATTCTTAGGTTATGATGAGTCCGGACCAGAGGATTGGGGATCGGGATCTCCATAATTAAATAAAGTGGATTCAAGTCTTTTTAAGTGGCAGTGACATTTTTGGTGATAAGTCTGGGAGGATCAAAGTTGATGACAAAACAGAGTGCACTAAAGGGGCTAAGGTGTACGTCATCTCTGCAGCAGCTTAATGTTAAATCAAGGGCGAAGAGTACACCCATGGGGGCATGAGGGCTCTGTCCACACCAGTCAGAATCGCTAGAAAAGGAATCCTGGTTCTACTTATTTTTTGATATTTCCACTTTCTACAGAGTTCCAGATCGCAGATACCTGGATATAGGAGGTTAATCTGCATACAGTTTAGCAACCCTAAAATGTGTGCTTTAAAGAGTATTTTCTGTAGGTCCCACTGAAATGGTAGAGTTTAGAGTGACTATCTTACTCAAAGAACCCTCTATTTTTAAAATCTGAATTTCAGTGTGGAAATTTTCAAACATACAATTAGAATATTGTAATGAGCCACCATGAACTCACCATCCAGCTTCAACAATTACCACATGCTGCCATTCTCAAAACCCACTTAAGACTTCTACACTTTGCACTTAATATGACTTTGCATTTCTGTGTAAATAGTGGATGATTACATCCTTAATAAACAAAGACACCACAGCTGATTGAAAAGCCAACTGGCATAAAGAAATAATTACCTCACTTATTGTGACACACTGGCTTTCTTTATAAGGTTTTGCTAGTTATAAATAGATGACATATTAGGCATAGGTTCAGAGTCAAAGAGCTACAGCTTGGTGGCTTGTTTTGCTGAGTACAAGAAGAGAGGGTGGGAAATAAATACTTAGATGAATTGGATGTGGGAGAAGGAGAGACTAAGACACTTAAAAAAATCACTGCAGTTTTACATAAGTGGATTATTTATGGTAACAAATGTATAAAATGTGGTCATTTCTAAGAGAAAAATGTGGGTTTATAAATGGGAACTAAAAGATTTACAGGATTTAAGAAGTTGTTCTGAACAGTTCTGGGTCAGAACATACTTTGTGTAACTCCCAACTGTGGGCTGAACAGCATGCATGTTTCCTTACACAGAGGGTTCTAGATGTGGGGCTGGTAGCATCAGAGAACATGAGTAAGTCAAAAGTCAAAGGTAGTGTGGTGGCCCCTAGAGAGCTGCTTTTGACGAACAGATCTTGGAGCAATTGGTTTTTGTGTTTGGTTTGCTCCACTTAGCATTTTTAAGGGGAAAAATCCACTTAGCATTTTTAAGGGGAAGTGTAGTAACTTGTGAAACATGTATAGAACTATTTGCTCTTAAATAAATCCAGGTGGTTGAATAGCTTTTCAGTATTTCCAGGCTTAGATAGTTACAAAATAACTTTATTACTCTGTAACAATCAGCCAAGTTTTAATATGGGTTTATAGTATTATAAGTTGGCAATAAAAGCCGACCTATTTTCAGATAATGAGAAAGATACAATATTCATTTTATTAAGTCCTAATAGTTTGCACAGAACATGTATTATAAGATGTCATTTATATGATTAGGTAGTGATTTTTTTTCTTTTTCCTTTTTTTTTTTTCTTGAGACAGAGTTTGGCTCTGTCACCCAGGCTGGAGTGCAGTGGCCCCATCACTGCTCACTGCAGCCTCAACTTCCTAGGCTCAAGTGATCCTCCCCCCTCAGGGCCCCCGTCCCCCCACCCCCTACCAGAGTGCCACAATGCCAGGCTAATATTTGTTTATTGTAGACACAGAATCTCTCTGTGTTGCCCAGGCTGGTATTGAACTTCCAGGCTCAAGCGATCCTCCTGCCTTGGCCTCCCAAAATGCTGGGATTATAGGCATAAGCCACCATGCCTGGCTCCGATTATTATTATTTTTTACTTGTAAAAAGTTCAAGGCCGAAGGGGAAAACATTTATCATAAAATATTCACATCTATTTGTAATATTTTTAGTAGAGAAGAAAATATGCACTAAAACATAATTCATCTGTTATAATGGGAGCATATGAAGCTGTGGTGAATAGGGAAATATATTAACAAAGGCTGAAATATTAATCAAACAGTATAAGTTATATCTCAGTAAGATTTTTAAGCTATGAAACTGTATAAGGAACTTATTTATTGCAAGAAATATCTCAGAATTATATTGGGAAAGGTTCTAATGGAACAAAAGTCCACCAAAAAGATCTCACTATTAAAATTATGGGCTGTAAGTAATTCTGAATTAATTCCTTTGTTGGGGTGGTAGGGTGGGAGTAGCACAGGATAATTTTCTTTTTTAAATTGGTAGAATAAAATAATAATAAGAGAAAGGAGGGCAGAAGGAGACATTTCTGGCAACAAATGTGGCCTTAGCACTTTGAAGGAAATGCATTTTTTTGAGCACTTGTTTAGTATCTTGGCCTGGGATAGGTGAACTTTTCTTTTAAAATCTGTTTTGCATTCATGTTATTAAAAAAAATTAAGTGCTGATTCATCTAGAAGATATTTTTAACCATATTGGCACGCACTTTCTCACCTTGACATATATAGCATATTTTCTGGAAATGTGAGCAAAGCACATTTTGTGCTGCATACAATAATACAATGCAGTGCAATGTAATTCATGTCCCTGAGATAGTGTGAGGTACCAAAGGCAAACAAGCCACAGTGTATGCATCTGGGGAGAATTTTATTACATAAAGGGGCCTCTTTATGTCCAGGAAAGTGATAGTGAGGGATAATACTTTTTCTGGTCCAATCATGTCTTACCAGTCATTGTCTGCTTCTACAGATGCCATGATATTCTTTACCCTGCAGTACTTCAGAGATTTTCCAGTGGGGAACCGAAGTTTAGTAATGATATAGTTTGCCTTTTTGTTCCCACCCAGATCTCACCTTGAATTGTAGTAATCTCCATGCGTCAAGAGTGGGACCAGGTGGAGGTAATTGAATCATGGGGGTGGATTCCCCCATGCTTAAGTTCCCATGAGACTGAGTTAGTGCTCACAAGAGCCGATGGCGTTACAAGGGGCTTCCCCCTTCACTCAGTACTCATCCTTGCTCCTGCTGCCCTGTGAAGAGGTGCCTACCTCCATGACTGTAAGTTTCCTGAGGCCTCATCAATTATGCAGGACTGTGAGTCAATTAAATGTCTTTTCTTTATAAATTACCCAGTCTCAGGTATTTCTTTATAGCAGCATGAGAATGGACTAATACAGTAAATTGGTATAGCAGAGAGTGGGATGCTGCTATTCAGATATCCAAAAATATGGAAGCGTCTTTGGAACTGGGTAACAGGCAAAGGTTGGAAGAGTTTAGAGGGCTCAGAAGAGACAGGAAGATGTGGGAAAGTTTGGAATTTCCTAGAGACTTGTTGAATGGTTTTGACCAAAATGCTGATAGTGATATGGACCATGAAGTGCAGGATGAGGTGGTCTCAGATGGAGATGAGAAACTTGTTGGGAACTGGAAAAAAGGTGACTTTTGTTATGCTTTAGCAAAGAGACTGGTGGCATTTTTCCCCTGCCCTAAAGATCTATGAAACTTTGAACTTGAAAGAGATGATTTAGGGTATCTGATGGGAGAAATTTCTAAGCAGCAAAGCTTTTCAGATGTGGCTTGGGTCCTCTTAAAAGCATTCAATTTTATGCATTGACAAAGAGACTATGTGGAATTGGAAGTTGTGTTTAAAAGGGAAGCAGAGCATAAAAATTTGGAAAATTTGCACCCTGATGATGTGATAGTAAAGAAAAACCCATTTAGTGAGGAGAAATTCAAGCCAGCTGCAGAAATTTGCATAAGTAACAAGGAGCCAAATGTTAATTGCCAAGGCAGTGGGGAAAATGTCTCTGGGGCATGTCGGAGGTCTTCATGGCAGCCCCTACCATCACTGGCCCAGAGGCGTAGGAGGAAGAAATGGTTTCCTGGGCTGGACCCAGCACCTTGCTGCTTTGTGCAGTCTCAGGACTTAGTGCCCTGCATCCCAGCTGTGGCTAAAAGGGGCCAGCATACAGCTCAGACCATTGCTTCAGAGGGTGTGAGCCCCAAGCCTTGGTGGCTTACATATCGTGTTGGGCCTGTGGGTGTACAGAAGCCAAAAACTGAGCTTTAGGAACCTCCACCTAGATGTCAGAGGATGTATGGAAATGCATGGATGTCCAGGCAGAAATTTAATAGAGGGGTGGAGCCTTCATGGCAAACATCTGATAGAGCAGAGTGCAGGGAAATGTGAGGTTTGAGTCCCCACACAGAGTCCCTGCTGGGGCACTGCCTAGTGGAGCTTTGAGGAAAGGACCACTGTCCTCCAGGTCCCAGAATGGTAGATTCACTAACAGCATGCACCATGTGCCTGGAGAATCCACAGACACTCAGCATCAGCCTGTGAAAGCACCTGCGAGGGAGGCTGTACCCTGCAAAGCCACAGAGGTAGAGCTGCTCAAGACCATGGGAAGCCACCTCTTGCATCAGTGTTACCTGGATGTGAGACATGGAGTCAAAGGATATCATTTTGGAACTCTAAGATTTAATGACTGCCCTGTTGGATTTCCGACTTGCCTGGGGCCTGTAGCCCCTTTGTTTTGGCCAATTTCTCCCATTTGGAATGGGTGTATTTACCCAATACCTGTACCCCCATTGTATCTAGGAAGTAACTAACTTGCTTTTGATTTTACAGGCTCATAGTGGAAGGAACTTGCCTTGTCTTAGACGAGACTTTGGACTTGGACTTTTGGGTTAATGCTGGAATGAGTTAAGACTTTGGGGGACTGTTGAGAGGGAATGAATGTGTTTTGAAATATGAGGACATGAGATTTGGGAGTGACCAGGGGTGGAATGATATGGTTTAGCTCTGTGTTCCCACCTAAATCTCACCTTGAATTGTAATAATCCCTATGTGTCAAGGGTGGGACCAGGTGGAGATAATTGAATCATGGGAGCAGTTTCCCCCATGCTATTCTCATGATAGTAAGTTAGTTCTCATGAGATCTGATAGTTTTATAAGCGGCTTCCCCCTTCTTTTGGCACTCATTCTCTCTCCTGCTGCCCTTTGAAGAGGTGCCTTCTGCCATGATTGTAAGTTTCCTGAGGCCTCCCCAGCCATTAGAAACTGTGAATCAATGAAGCCTCTTTTCTCTATAAACTACCCAGTCTTTGATATTTCTTAATAGCAGTATGAGAATGGAATAATACAAGTAATGAGGCTTATAATCCTTCCAGCAACACAGTTCTTTGACATGGGGAGTCTAGACTTACAGAAAGCTTGTAGTTGTGTGGTATTGTAGAAAACTTACTGGGCTGGAGTGAGCACATTTGGATTCTAGCACCTTCTCTGCAATTTATTGTGAGATCTTGGGTATAATTTGATTACATAAGATCTAAGGATTTAAAAAATTTTGTTTAGTTTATATGACATTTGAGACCACTCTCCAACAGAATTTTCTCTACTATGTTCTTCTTCATTCCTTACCCCATACCCCTCACTTTTTGTCATGCCATCTGAATCTCACTACTTAGAGCCTTAATGAGAAGTTTTTGAGGGCTTAATAGCCTTTTGGCTGGGGACCTAGGATGTCCAATTCTGCTGTCTGAATACCTCTTTTTCCTATGAATTTCTCAAAGGAAAATTATAAAAGGAAGCTACTTTAAAAAATTATCAAAGATGCTTATTTCCCAAACCCTTATGTAGTGTTTTTAGGTTTCCTGGACAGGTTGCATCACTTAAATCTGAGTCTTTTTCTTCACTTAAACCCAAATCTCAAGTCTAGGTCCAACTATGTACTTGAATATGAAACAATGAAAGTACCTAAGTGCTCCTGAGAAAAGGTGAAAAGAATGAAAGCAAAGTGGATTGGGTTTTCTATTTGGGGAGTTTGGCATTAACTCAGTTTAAATAGGCAGGATGGCTTTTGAACACATAATGACCTGCTCACTAGTAAACACAGTCCAATCAGTGTTCCGAAATTTGACCCCGTTGGATTAGAGTTCTTTCCTCTTGGAGAAGTTGAATGTGGTGCAGATATCCTTGCATACTTTATCACAAATCCTACTGAAGTCCTGTGAAGGGTCATCAAGTAGAATTATACTAAAGTATAATCAGTAGTCTGTATGGTCAAGTAAGCTCCTACCAGACTGACCGTCCCATAGAAAACAACTGTAAACTCTGGAAAAAATACAAAGATCAACTACATGAAGGCACTGGAGATGAAACGAAGACAGATTTTGGAGGGAAGTTAGCATATGAGCAAAGCTAATGATACAGTGAGAGTTTCCTGTATTTTATGAATTTTAGATTGGGGGCAGACTCCAGCCAGTGATGCATGAGATCAATGAAACTCTTATAGAAAACTTGCAGTCCTGTTGCCCAGAAGATGAGTTTCAGGACAACCAAAGCCATTTGAAAGTGAGCGTAGAATTGCAGAAAGGAGAGAAGCAAGAAAGGAAGCACAAATTCTGTGTATAAACTCTACCCAAATCTCTGGCTAACCCCTGAATTACACATGTGCATGGTAAACTGCAGACAGCTCATTTAAGGATTAAAAAATTGAACTAAGGTTTGAGCTCCTTCTTAAGTGACAGAATTTACAGTTTTCATTCAGCCAAGTTAATTGAACTTCTAAAAAAAAAAACACTCATCATAGGACTATAACAGAATTCAGAACTTCTACAATTTAATACTCATGTCAGGCTGCAATTTGAAAGTTCTTGACAAAGACCAAAAAAAAAAAAAAAACAAAAAACTGTGACCCATTCTCAAAAGATGATAATCAATGGAAACTGACTCTGATATTGAAAATAACAAACAAGGATTTTAAAGTGGCTATTATAACCATCCTCAATGACATAATGGAACATATGCTTGAAATGTTTGAAGAAATAGAGATTTTCAGCAGAGAAAAGTTTTAAGAAAGAACCAAATAAAAATTCCAAAACTGAAATATACACTTTCAGAATAAAAATTACTTGGATAGGCTTAACAGTGAAATGGAGAGGACATAAAAGTTAGTTAATTCAAAGATAAATCAGTAGAAAGACCAGTGTTGTGTGTACCTGCTGGCTCACAGAATGTATTAGGAGTTTACATTTCTAAGCCATGACTCAAAAATCTTTGTGGAACAAATATTAGCTCCACTGCTTTAACTTTTTTTTTTTTTTTTTTTTTTTTTTTGAGACGGTTTCACTCTGTCACGGAGGCTGGAATGCAGTGGTGCAATCTTGGCTCACTTTAACCTCCGCCTCCCAGGTTTAAGTCACTGCTTTAACTTGAGAATGTGCCTTGTAATTCATTTGTAAAGATAACAATAGTGATCAAAAGAAACTTAGTGTGGCCATTATATGCTAGTTAACAAATATGGCAACTGGAAGTTGGTTTCTACATCTCTATTGTAAAATAATTTGAATTCTTTTTGGATTTTAATAATTGACTGCTTTAATTGTCCTGAGATATTAATAAAATCAAAGTATTTTTCAAAATTAAAATTTCATATAATACTTAATTTTTAGTTCTTAGAACTTTTTATGGTAATGGTAATGAATACCAAGGTAATAATAATAGCTTAACTTTATTGAGCACTTTTGTACCTGGCACTGTACTTAGAATTTATATCATATACTCCTCAAAACAATCTTAAGAAGTAGTATCATTTTAATGCCATTTTTAAAGATGAAGAAACTGAAGTTTTATAATGTTACCTTATACTCATATCACATAGCTCATAAATGGCGATGTCAAGATACAAACCCAGGCTCTTTGTAGCCAAAGGCCATGTACTTTATTTCACCCTGCCTCTCAAGGTTTTATTCATTTGGTAATCAGGGCAATAACTAGACTCCACATCATTCAATGCACATGAATTAATGTAGTGTGTTCTTACTTGTAAATGATTCTAACATTTGCCAGTTATTTAAACTTAATCTATTCAAGTACCTTGCCCAAACTAAACATTTAATGAAGTGTGGCTGATGACTATAAAGAGTATTTGTTTTCATAATATTTATATATTATTTTAAGTGTGAACTCTGCTTAGGATAAACAGTGATTCTTTTTTACTCTTTTAAATTTATATTTAAAAATTATTTTTAATGGACACATAATTGTATGTGTTTATGGGGTACAGAGTGATAGTTTAATAAATGTATACAATGTGTAATGATCAAATCAGGTTAACTGGCATATCCATAACCTCAAACTTTATCATTTCATGTTGGGAACGTTCAGAATCCTCTCTTCTAGCTATTTGGAGTTATACAATAAATTATTGTTAACTATAGTCACCCCACAGTGCTACAGAACACTAGAACTTGTTCTTTTTGTCTAGTTGTAACTTTGTGTTTGTTAACCCACCTCTCCATATACCCCTTTCCCCCTTACCATTCCCAGCCTCTAGTAACCATTATTCTACTCTCTTCTTCTATGAGGTCAACTTTACATATGAGTAAGAACATGCAGCATTTATCTTTTTGTGTCTGCTTATTTCACTTAACATAATCCTCCGGGCTCATCCATGTTGCTGTAAATGATGCTGAGAATGGCAGCATTCTGTTGTTTTTTTAATGGCCGAATAGCATTCCATTGTGTGTATACACATTAAAAAATATCCACTCATCTGTTGACAGATACTTAGATTGGTTCCATATTTTGGATATTGTGAATAGTGCTGCAATAAATATGGAAGTTCAGTTATTTCTTTAACATAGTCATTTTCTTTCCTTTGGATATAAAACCAGTAGTGAGATTGCTGGTTCATATGGTAGTTCTATTTTTAGCTTTTTGGGGGAACCTCCATACTTAGAGATTCTTGAACACTTTATCATCAGTAAGTCACCCACAACAATTCTTCATCTGGTTTAATGGCTACAAAATACATTAATTGTGATAATTATTCCAAGGTGTATTTTCAAAATACAATTAATAAGGATTTTATGTTGTATTAAATAAATCTAAATTAAACATAGGTAATGAGGCCCTTACATGCTCTTTTGAAAAGAACTCTCAGGCTTCTTTGGTTTATTCATTTAAAAGTATCTTTGTTTTCTTTTAAAGTAACCCATGGAATGTCTTAAAATGTTAAATATTCTTAAAAATGTAATAAATACCTACTACTGTATCCTGCCCTTTTCTTATCATTTCTCAGCCCACTTTCTAAAATGTAATCCCCTTAACTCTTGACTATTTTCCCTGGTATTTATCTCTATTTTTCTGAATATGAATGGATATTCTGCTATATTTTAATTTATTAAAAACATTGTCTATTACATTTATCTCATCAGTACAGAAGGGCTATTTGTATGTGACTGTGTGGAGAGACAGAATAAATTTCTAAAAGGACTGATCATACATACTGAATTTGGCAAGGTGTGGAGGAATTGGAACTCTCTCACAGCACTGGTGGGAATGTAAAATGGTACAGCTGTGATCCCACCATTCCATGCCTAGGTATTTGCTCAAGACAAGTGAGAGTGCATGTCTATACAAAGACTTGCACATGAGGTAAGAGAATGTGGAGGACGTGTCAATAGGTGCAGCAAACCACCATGGCACACGCACACCTATGTAACAAACCTACATGTTCTACACATGTATCCCAGAACTAAAGTTAAAAAAAAAAAAAAACAGTTGCACATGAATGTTCCTGGCAGCTTTATGTGAAATAGTCCCAAACTGGGAACAATCTGCAAGTCTGTCAGTTGGTGAATAGAAACAAACTACTATATCTACACGAAGAAATTGTACCTAGCAATAAAAAGCAATGCACTATTGAAACACACTACAACATGGCTGACTCTCAAAACATTTTTGTTGAGTGAGCAGACTCAGACAACAAAGAGAACATAGTTTAGCATTCCATTTATGTAGAATTGTAGGAAATGTAAACTAATTTATGGTGACAGAAAGCAGATCATTATATTATGCAGCCATAAAAAAGAACAAAATCATGTCCTTTGGAACAACATAGACGCAGCTGGAGGCATTATCCTAGGCGAATTAACACAGAAACAGAAAACCAAATACTACCTGTTCTCACTTATAAGTGGGAGCCAAACATTGGATACTCATGGACATAAATATGGCAACAATAAACACCAGGACTACTAGACAAGCGAGGGAAGGCAGGGAGCCAGGGTCAAAGAACTAAGTGTTGGATACTATGCTCAGTATGACAGGATCATCCATACCCCAAACATCAGCATCACACAATATACCCAGGTAACAAACCTGCACATCCATCCCTTCAATCTGAAATAAAAGTTGAAATTATATAAAACATTGGTTGCCTGGGGATTAGGAGGTGGAGAGAGAGGGAAGAATTATGAAGGCATGTGAGAAAATTTTGGGGGGGTGGTGAAGGATATGTTCACTACCTTAATTGTGGTGATGATCTTGTAGGTGCAAACATATGTCAAATCTTAACAAATTATACACTTTACATATGTGCAATTTATTTTATGCCAATTATACCTTAATAAAGCTAATAAGAATAATTCCAAAAGCCACAAGTCTATCCCTAAGATAGCATGCAGCCTGAAAATTGTGCACTAGCTGTGTCCATCTGTAATTAGGAATTTTCACTTTTCCTGAACCTTTCTCATCTCCTTCTTAGTCGTTATCACACTTTCTGTAATGGCCATTAATTGTTCCATAAATGACTTGCATTCCTATCTCTAGATCCAGCTCAAAATCTCTCTGTCTGGAAATTCATCTCCACCCTGGTTTCTGATTCTCACCATTAGTAAGTTTTTTAAACCTAAGTCCATCCTCCTCTAAGAAGCTTAGTCATCCTACTCCCATAATTAATCTCTTTCTTCTTTGTGCTCACATGCCATCTATTATCGTAGTTAGGGTAGTCTGCCTAGTATTAGTGCCATTTATGTGCATATGTAAATTTCTCTACCCTCTCATGACATGAATTCCAGAGGGAGAGACTGTTTCTCATTACTCTTCATAGTTTCAACCTGTATTTGTACATGGAAACACTAAATACACATTTGTTGAATTAAATTTCCATTTTTAATGCACTTTTCATAGTATCTATCTACTGCATTCTCCAAGGAAATTTTACCCTTTTAATACTGTGTCACGTAAAATTTAAAGTAAAAAGCAAATTTTAAAATGTTGGGATATAATTCTTTTAGATTAGTTTTTTGATTTCACTTTCTGCTGTCTCCATTAAAAACAAAACAAAACAAAACGAAAACTAATCCCTGAATATGTGGGAAAGATTTTCACTTTTCCTGAACCGTAGCAGACTATGCTAACTACCATAATACTTTTCAAGTAAATTATTTCTTCAATCATCCTTCTGGGCAGTAGAAAGCCCCATAGCCCCAGACAATGCTTCTGTTTGCTGTAGTTGTATTTTCCAAAATTTTGTTCTCACATCAGATGTTCTCAGTGTTAGCTCTCTTAAAATTAAGAGTTTATCAGGCTGTCCTTTCAACATTTTGGGGCAAGCTATTTCCTTTCAAATTCAGCTTTACCCCTGACCCTTGGGCTAGTTTTGCTATTCAGGAAAGATAATGGACTATGGGGAAGTGGTTTTTATGGGCAGAAAGCCATTACCATCTAGAAAAATTTAACTCACTGCCCATAATGTCAAGGTGAGAGAATCAAATAAAAATCAAGTCAAATAATGTTCTGGGGTATGTTTTTAGTTAGAATCCAGAATCAGAATCTATCTTCATGGATTCTAGCAGAATTTTCCATCTTACTCAGTTATTGTATCAGAAATGTGCCAATTTTCTGAGTTTTATTTGGTTAGTTTTGAGAAGAGAATTAGAACAGAAATGAAAATGAATTTTTAGCCTCTTCTCTGCTAAGCTCCAGATATATACTATATCCAACTTCCTACTCACATATCCACTTCCATGTCTAAGAGACATCTCAGACTTTATATGTTCAAAACTGAACTCCTAATCTATCTGCCTCAATTGTGTGTTCCACCCACAATTTTCCCATCTCAGTTGATGGCAACTTCATCTTCGAGTTTCTCAGGCCTTGGAGTTATCCATGACTTGTCTTTTTATCTCACCCTCACGCCATCTCACCCTATTCATGTTACTGCCCATACTCAGGCTGTTGTGATATCTTGCCTGGGTTATGGTTCTTGTCCCAAAAGGTCTTTCTGCTTGTCTTCCCAGCCCTCTATAATTTACTTTCATCACTGCAGAGAGTATGATCCTTTAAAAATGTAAGTTACATCAGAATACTTGTCTGCTAAAAACCCTCCAATGTCCCCCCATCTCACTCAGAGTAAAAGCCAAAGTCTTCCCCATGGCCCACAGGCTCTTCAGGTCTCACCTGCCCTCAGTTCTCCCCCGACCTCTTTGCCTATGACTTGCCTCAGTCTCTCTGTTCCAGCCACACTGGCCTCTTCACTTTTTCCTGAGAGAGTCAGGTCTGCAGTGTCTCATTCATTCTCATTGCTAGAGGTAGACTGGAGCAGACTGAATGTGTTCCTGAGTCCCTAGGCCAGGACTATCATATAAGAATTACTAAAAGTGCCAGCAACGTTTCTTCCATATCGTGCAGTGGGGTCTATAACATACAGAAAATAAAAGCACACTTTCTGTGTTGAAATTCTATTATTTAATAACGTTGCAAATGTTTGGACGCTATATAAAACATTTGAGAAACAACTTAGAAAAGGAAAGTCAAATACCACATGTTCTCACTTATAAGTGAGAGCAAATAATGTGCACCTATGGACATAGATTGTGAAATAATAGACACTGGAGACTCAAAAGGATGGGTAGATGGGAGGGGGTGAGGGATGAGACATTATTTAGTGGTTACAGTGTACATTATTCCACTGATGGTTACACTAAAAGCCTAGACTTCACCTCTATGCAATATACCATGTTAAAAAAAACTGTACTTGTACTCTTCAATTTACATCAAAAGTTGATATTTTTAATGCTAGATTTTAATACTCAATAATTTTTGGTGAATTACCAAATGATGTCAGGGTAGCCAGTATTTGTTCTATATTTCTCAAGGTTTTATTAATCACACCCCAGAAAAAATGTCCATGAATATATTCATTTAGAAAATACTCAATTTAGTTTAAATCTGTCAATTTGTTGCAAATTGTCTTAGAGTCCTAAAGGCCCTGATATGTGCAGGCAATTTTCAAAAGACTATAGATGACAAAATTTATTATACTTGCTTGATCAGATAATCCCTATCCTTTAAAAAAGTAATTGGCAATGTAATGATAGTGTTGAAAAGAGACTTTTTTTTTCTCATTATGAATGCTGTCTCCCTTTAAGAAAAGGACAGAAATATACTTCCAAGAAAAAATTTAAATAATTTTATAACCTTAGGGTGTTTATAATTGACATATATGTCATATCATACCATTTGTTTTTAAAGACTATTTAATACTCTGAAGGAAATCTATATTGTAAAATAAGATTCAATAATCTCAATATTAATATAAGTAAGAATAGTCCTGTATGTATGTGGTGGTTAGTAACAAGGAATAGTATGCCCAAAATGTATGGGTAAACTGATGGGAAATTTTAAAGGGCTAGTATTTCTTGCGTCTCAGTTTGGGGAATAATTTATTAGGTGATTAATTTAAGATACTCAGGCCCTCCATTTCTTATTTGAAAGCAACTTTTTTGATGAGAAGGGATGATAGCAAAAAATCTAATGATTGATAGAGTCATTAATTAAATTTGATTAGCACTGACCAATCAGGATGGATACCACTCTTGTAGCATGTTCCCCTCATATTAACACTGCTGTTCATCACTGATATTTCTGGAAAAAGAAATCTATGCCTGTGGTTTATTGATGTCTTACTTCAAAAACAAGTAAAAAGAAAATAAGCAAAAGGACTTCCAAACAATAGAAATTAATAGTGACTATGCTGTGAAATGAGACATTGTAATGTAAACATCTTTTATGGTGTACTCAGTATTTAAGCACATGCGATACATGAGCATTTTGTTTTTCACATATGTAAATTAGGTGTGGTCATTTGATACGCAAAAGAATTGGCTTATCAAAGAATTCTAACAATGTTCTTTTACACAATAACTGTCCCTAGTAGAGTCAACATATATGTCAATTTTAAAAAACCTGATTTCCACACCTTATGTAACTAATCGGCTGTGTAAATTGAAGAATATCCTTATCCAAAGACCTGAATTGTGAAGTAAAGAAAACAAAAGCATTAGATTAGTATAGCCATTAAGGAAAACAGTATCGAGGTTCCTCACAAAACTAAAAATAGAACTACCATATGATCCAGCAATTCCACTAATGGGTATATATGCAAAAGATGTGCAATCAGTATGTCAAAGAGTTATCTGCACTGCCATGTTTATTGCAGCTTTGTTTACAAAAGCCAAGATATGAAATCAACCTAAATGTCCATCAGTGGATGAATGGATTAAGAAAATGTGGCATATACACAATGAATACCATATTCAGCCATTAAAAAATGAAATTCTGTCATTTGTGACAAGATGGATGTATCTAAATGACATTATATTAAGTGAAATAAGCCAGGCACAGAAAGATAAACACTGCATGATCTCATTCATGAGTGGAATCTAAAAAAGTCAATCTCATAGAAGTAGAGAGTACAGTAGTGGGTTATGAGAGGCTGGTGGTGAGGAGGGGGGTTAGTCCAAGTATACATAATTACAGGTAGATAGGAGGAATACATTCAAGAGATCTATTGTACAGCAGGGTAACCAAAGTAATGATGATAAATTGTATTCTTGAAAAAGACAAAGAGAGTGAATGTTGAATGTTCTCACCGCAAAATTGGTAACTGTGTGAGGTAATGTATTTGTTAATTAGCAAGAGTTAAGCATTCCAGGATGCATATATACCTTGAAACATCATGTTGTACATGATAAATACATACAGTGTTATTTGTCAAATTAAAAATCAACAAGAAGAGCATTAGGGAGTGTTACAAAACTTACTGGGAAGAAAAACCTTTGGATGAGAGGCCAGTTTGCCAGGATGTTGTAGTTTGTGGACTATGGAAAATTGGACTGCTTTGGCTTCATAAAGCTTCAGAGGCAATAGTTCTGAGATTTTTGTGCAGCGTCTCTGGGGACCCCACTGTGAAAATGGCAGAACAATATGGGAGCTGGGAAGTTCAGGTAATCACAATGGGAAATAATAGAACCCAGCAGCTGGTAAAGGCTTTTAGATATTAAAGTAATGTATTCATTTGGCAACCAAAGCAGAATGGGAAATGAGAGAAGTTCCTTATTTACTGGCAGTCACTTAGTAACAGGTTGTACATTTCCAGCCACTCTGAGGAAGATGAGCCTAGCCAACACCAACGGGAGTACCTGCCAGATGGTAAGTAGCCACCAGGGAAAAGAAGAATGCAACTGAACAACCAACTCCCCATTTGTTGCAAAGTACCTTTTCTACACTCAATCCCATTTGACAAAGCAAAGAGCAAGGGAGATGTGAGAAAGTACTACTGATGACAGTTCCTGTAGCAGTAACCTTTACTCTTGTCCTAAAATAGAAAAAATGAAAATAATTTCTTCAAATGTGATTTTCATAACTATGCATTTGTCAGAATTTCTTCAAACATGATTTTCATAACTATGCATTTGTCATTTTGTAGCTAAAAACAAAACATAGAAATTCAATTAATAACCTACCCTTTAATTTTGGATTTTTATGATCGAAAGAGCACCCATGAAGGCATGTCTAATCATAATGTGGTTTTTCTCTTGACTGGTGTTTGAAGGAGAGTCTAGGCTGAGAGGTATTTATTGCAAGAGGTGAATGCAGGTGAAAAATAAGTTCAAGTATATTCACAATTAATATTAAGATCCAAAACTTTTTCTTGACTTATCAAAATGTAAATAATGCCAAGAAGCACACTGCAAGAGATCCCCTCATAAGTCCCTGTCACCAGGGCCTTGGGTCCCAATTACAGAGCTGTGCAGACTCTTGGTGGCTGCTCTGGTTGTGACCAGCAGCAGCAGGCTGGAGACTGCCCAAGATGATGGAGTTCTGAGAGGAATGGGGACTGCCATCACTGTTGCTTCGGTCAGCCATTGTCCCCTGCCCCCGGAGACTGGGTGATTTGGATCAGTAGGAATTCCCCACAGCACAGCACAGCAGCTGTGCAGATTGTGGCCAGACTGCTTCTTTAGGTGGGACCTGGATCCATCCCTCCTCACCACGTGGGACCTCCGTATAGGAATTTCAGCACTCCAGCCAGGGGTTTAGGGACAGAACTCTGATCTCCCTGGGATGGAGCTCCTGGGAAGAGGGGTGGCTGCAGTCTCCGCAGTTCAATGGACTTAGTCTTTCCTGCCTGCTGGCTTTGAAGAGTCCGGGCAGCCAAGATGAGGGGTATTCCCCACAGTGCAGCGCACCTACTCCACCAGGGGGCAGCCAGACTGATTTTTTAAGTGGATCACTGATCCTGTGCCTCCTCACTGGGTAAGACCTCACAACAGGGTATGCCAGACACCATATACAGGAGCATTTTGGTGGGAATCAGGTCAGTGCCCCTCTGGGATGGAGCTCCCAGAGGAAAGAGCAGGCAGCTATTTTTGCTGTTCTTCAGACTCCACTGGTGACACCTACAGGTTGGGGGGGTGGGACCCAGGGGAATAGGGTCTGGAGTGGACCCCAGAAAACTGCAGCAGCCCTACAGAAGAGGGGCCTGACTGTTAACAGAAAAAGAAACAAACAGAAAGCAACAACAACAACATCAACAAAAAAGAGCCTACAAAAACTGCATCCAAAGGTCAGCAGTGTCAAAGATCAAAGGTAGATAAATCCACAAAGATGAGAAAGATTCAATGCAAAAACACTGAAAACTCAATCAGCCAGACTGCCTCTTCTCCTCCAAATGATAGCAACATATCTGCAGCAAGGGCACAGAACTGGGTTGAGGCTGAGATGGATGAGTTGATCACAGAAGAAGGCTTCAGAAGGTGGGTAATAATGAACTTGGCTGATCTAAAGGGGTATGTTCTAACGCAATACAAAGAAGCTAATAACCATGACAAAACATTACAGAAGGTGTTAACCAGAATAACCAGTTTAGAGAGGAACATAAATGACCTGGTGGAGCTGAAAAACACAACATGAGAACTTCAAAATGCCATCACAAGTATCAATATACTAAGTGGAGAAAAGAATTTCAGAGCTTGAAGACTATCTTGCTGAAATAAGACAGGCAGACAAGATTAGAGAAAAAAGAATGAAAAAGAAAGAAAAAAACTCCAAAAGCTATGGGATCATGTAAAAAGACCAAACCTATGACTGATTGAGGTACCTGAAAGAGATGGGGAGAATGAAACCAGGTTGGAAAACATACTTCAGGATATCTTCCAGGAGGACTTTCCCAACCTAGCAAGACAGGCCAACATTCAAATTCAGGAAATCCAGAGAAACTCAGTAAGATACTCCATGAGAAGATCAACCCAAGACACATAATCATCAGATTCTCCAAGGTAAAAATGGAATAAAAAATGTTAAGTGCAGCCAGAGAGAAAGGCCAGGTCATCTATTAGGTTGGTGCAAAAGAAACTGCATTTTTTCCCATTTAAAAGTAGTGACATTTTAAAATTTGCCATTTTAAAGTAATGACATTACTTTTAAATAGCAAAAACTGCAGTTATTTTGCACTGACTCAATACAAAGGGAAGCCCATCAGACTAACAGTGGACCCCTCAGTGGTAACCCTACAAGCCAGAAGAGAATGGGGACCAATATTCAGCAATCTTAAAGAAAAGAATTTATAACCGAGAATTTTGTATCTGGCCAAACTAAGCTTCATAAGTGAAAGAGAAATAAAATCCTTTTCAGACAAGCAAATGCTGAGGGAATTCACTACCAACAGGTCTGTCTTGCAAGAGCTCCTGAAGGAAGTATTAAATACAGAAAGGAAAAACTATTACCAGCCACTACAAAAACATACTGAAGTACAAAGACCACTGACACTATGAAGCAACTACAGTAACGTGTCTACAAAATAACAAGCTAGTATTATGATGATGGGATCAAATTTACACTTAACAATATTAACCTTAATTGTAAAAGGGATAAATGCCCCAATTAAAAGACACAGAATGGCAAGCTGGATAGAGTCAAGACCCAATGGTGTGCTGTATTCAAGAGATCCATCTCACATGCAAAGACACAAAGGGATGGAGGAAAATTTACCAAGCAAATGGAAAGCAGAAAACACAGGGGTTAGCAATCCTAGTTTCTGACAAAACAGATTTTAAACCAACAAAGATCAAAAAAGACAAAGAAGTGAATTACATAATGGTAAAGTGTTCAATTCAACAAGAAGAGCTAACTATCCTAAATATACATGCACCTAATACAGGAGCACCCAGATTCATAAAGCAAGTTCTTAGAGATCTACAAAGAGGCTAGCCTCCCACACAATAAAAGTGAGAGACTTTAACACCCCACTGTCAATATTAGACCGATCATCAAGACATAAAATTATCAAAGATATTGAGGACCTGAACTCAGCTCTGGATCAGATGAACCTGATAGGTATCTACAGAACTCTCCACCCAAAAACAACAGAATATACATTCTTCTTGGTGCCACATGGGACTTACTCCAAAATCAATCACATGGTTGAAAGTAAAACAATCCTGAGCAAATGCAAAAAGAACTGAAATCATAACAGTGTCTCAGACTACAGTGTAATCCAATTAGAACTCAAGATTAAGAAACTCACTCAAAATCACACAACTACATGGCAATTGAACAACCTGCTCCTGAATGACTCCTGGATAAGTAATGAAATTAAGGCAGAAAACAAGAAGTGTTTTTGAAACTAATGAGAACAAATGATGTACCAGAATCTCTGGGATGCAACTAAAGCAGTGTTAAGCGGGAAATTTATAGCACTAAAATGCCTACATCAAAAAGCAAGAAAGATCTCAAATCAACATCCTAACATCACAACTAAAAGAACTTAGATGGCCAAGAGCAAACAAACCCCAAAGCTAGCAGTAGGCAAGAAATAACCAAGATCAGAGTGGAACTGAAGAAGATAGAGACATGAAAAGCCCTGCAAAAAAAATCAATGAATCCAGAAGCTGTTTTTTTTTGAAAAAATTAATAAATAGACCTCTAGCTAGACTGACAAAGAAGAGAGAAAAATAAAATAGACACAATAAAAAATTATAAAGGGGATAACATCACTGGCCCCACAAAAATACAAATAACCATCAGAGAATATTATGAACACTTCTATGCAAATAAACAGAAAATCTAGAAGAAATGGATAAGTTCCTGGACACAGGAATAGCCTACCAAACAAAAAAAAGCCCAAGACCAGATGGGTTTACAGCTGAATTCTGCCAGAGGTACAAAGTGGAGCTGGTGCCATTTCACTGAAACTATTCCAAACAGTTGGAAAGGAGGGACTTCTCCCTAATTAATTTGATGAGGCCAGTGTCATCCTCTTACCAAAACCTGGTAGAGATACAACAACAACAACAAAAAACTTCAGGCCAATATCCCTGATGAACACTGATGCAAAAATCCTCAATAAAATACTGGCAAACTGATTCCAGCAGCACATCAAAAAACTTATCCACCATGATCAAGTTGGCTTCAGCCCTGGGATGCAAGTCTGGTTCAACATACACAAATCAATAAATGTAATTCATCACATAATCAGAACTAAAGACAAAAACCACATGATTATCTCAATAGATGAAGAAAAGGCCTTCAATAAAATTCAACATCCCTTGATGTTAAAAACTGTCGATAAACAGTTTTAGGTATTAAAGGAACATATCTCAAAAAAAATAAGAGTCTTATATGACAAACCCACAGCCAACATCATACTGAGTGGGCAAAAGCTGGAAGCATTCCTCTTGAATACAGGCACCAGGATGACCTCTCTCTTCATTCTTATTCAACATAGTACTGGAAGTTCTGGCTACGGCAATCAGAAAAGAGAAAGAAATAAAAAGTATTCAAATAGGAAGAGAGGAAGTCAAATTGTCTTTGTTTGCAGATGACATGATCGTATATCTAGAAAACACCATCGTCTCAGCCCAAAAGCTTCTTAAGCTGATAAACAACTTCAGCAAAGTCTCAGAATACAAAATCAACATGCAAAAATTCCAAGCATCCCTACTCACCAACAACAGACAAGCAGAGAGCCAAATCTTGAATGAAATCCCATTCACAATAGCTACAAAGAGAATAAAATATCTAAGAATACAGCTAACAAGGAAAGTGAAAGACCTCTTCAAGGAGAACTACGAACCACCACTCAAAAGAACCAGAGAAGACACAAACAAATAGAAAAACATTCCATGCTCACTGATAAAAAGAATCAATATTGTGAAAATGACCATACTTCCCAAAGTAATTTATAGAACCAATGCTATTCCCGCTAAACTACCATTGACATTCTTCACAGAATTACATGAAACAATTTAAAAATTCATATGAAATCAAAAAAGAGCTCATATAGCCATGACAATCCTAAGCAAAAAGAATAAAGCCGAAGTCATCATGCTACCCAACTTCAAACGATACTGTATACAGTAAGAAAAACAGCATGGTCCTGGTACAAAAACAGACACATAAACCAATGGAACAGAATAGAGAACTCAGAAATAAGACCATATACTACAACCATCTGATTTTGACAAACCTGACAAAAACAAGCAATGGGGAAAGGATTTGCTGTGTAATAAATGGTGCTGGGAGAACTGGCTAGCCATATGCAGAAAATTGAACCTGGGCCCCTTCCTTATAGCTTATAGAAAAGTTAATTCAAGATGGATTAAAGACTTCAATGTAAAGCCCCAAACAATAAAAACCCTAGAAGAAAATCTAAGCAGTACCATTCAGGACATAGGCATGGACAAAAATTTCATGATGAAAATGTTAAAAACAATTGTAACAAAAGCGAAAATTGACAAATGTGACCTAATTAAACTAAAGAGTTTCTGCATGGCAAAAGAAACTATCATCAGAGAGAACAGACAACCTAGAGAAAGGGAGAAAATTTTTGCAATCTATCCATCTGACAAATGTCTAATATCCAGTGTTTACAAGGAAATTAAACAAAGTTACAAGAAAAAAACCAAACAATCACATTAAAATGAGTAAAGGACATGAATAGACACTTCTCAAAAGAAGCCATTTATGTGGCAACAAACATATGAAAGAAAGCTCAACATCACTGATCACTCGAAAAATACAAATGAAAACCACAATGAAATACCATCTCATGCCAGTCAGAATGGCAATTATTAAAAAGTCGAGAAACAACAGATGCTGCAAGGCTATGAAGAAATAGGAACACTTTTACACTCTTGGGAGGAATGTAAATTAGCTCACCCATTGTGAAAGACAGTGTGGCAATTCCTCAAATACCTAGAGGCAGAAATACCATTTGATCCAGCAATTTCATTACTGGGCATATCTTAAAAATATATAAATCATTTTATTACGAAGATACATGCAAGCATATGTTCACTGCAGCACGATTCACAATAGCAAAGACATGGAATCAACCCAAATGCCCATCAATGATAGACTGTATAAAGAAAATGTGGTACATAAACACCATGGAATACTATGCAGCCATAAAAAGGAACGAGATCATATCCTTTGCAGCAACATGGTTGGAGCAGGAAGTCATTGTCCTCAACAAACTAACACAGGAACAGAAAACAAAACACTGCATGTTCTCACTTATAAACGGGAGATGAACAATGAGAACATATGAACACAGGGAGAAAAACAGCACATGCTAGAGCCTGTTGGGGAGGCTGGGAGAGGGAGAGCACCAGGAAAAATAACGAATACATGCTGGGCTTAATACTTAGGTGATGGGTTGATAGATGCAGGAAACCACCATGGCACAAGTTTAACTATGCAACAAACCTGCCCATTCTGCACATATACAATGTAACTTAAAATAAAATTAAAAAACATTTTCAAAAAACAATTTTAAAGGAGAATGATACTTTCTACAAAGTCCTTATAGGCTCCAAAGACCATAAAAATTGAAGACAGAGCGGTGTGGGTGAGCGTGGTGTCATTTTGGGGTGGACCCTTTTAACTATTTCTGGCCAGTGAGTTCTGACTGACAATGACCTATGTCAATTCTATAATGAGCAACCAGTAGGTCTGAGATGATGGCTACTCTGTCAGCCTGGGTTTTCGAGTGCTAAAGATGAACAGTACACTTCTGACCTACTGTAGACATGTAGTATGAAAAAGAAATGTACCTTTGTTAAACACTGATATTTTGGGTGTTGTTTATTACCAAAGTATATTCCAGCCTATCCTTATAAAAGGGCTAACATTAAATTTTAGTGCAAAATATGAAAGTAGCATAAATATAAAGATGATCACAGGCAAACAGTGTATTTTAAAATTTCTTGTTACAGTGGCAATTCTGTCAATCAGTTCCACTCAAATGGTCAAGGATCCACCATAACTGTAAACAAGCAAATGGTTAAAATTAGCCTTAAGGATGGGGGTGCATAGGGTATGGTGAGTTTCTAGAAGAAATATTCAGTAGTTGGAGCAAACCTTATCTTAGTCTGACTCTCCTGCAAGCTGATAAAATTGTATAGGCAGAGCAGCTTTAGAGAATTGGAGCAAATGATTGAGGACCAAGAAGCTCTTAGGAACTTGAGAATCCCTTCTCTGTCAGCACCACCGTTCTTTATAAAGCTCCTTATGGGTATGAAGCCAGGTGATGCTATCAGTGTGCCAAGACAGAGGCAAACACGTACTCATTTTTTTTCCAACATGTATCTCATCACATTCAACTTATTTATAATTGTGGACAGCAGCCTATGTAGGGATGATAGTCAGGGCCTCCTTCTACATGAACTCCCACTAAATCCCCAATATTCCCTTATTTATAGGCAACCACATAAATTATTGGCAAACGGGAGCAATTAAGAGTGAAAGAAGATGCGACAATTATGCTGGGAAAACAGGTGTCAACCAGGAGGTATACAGTCATCCTGTTAATAACTCCTGGGCCTTTAAGTATAATACTGCCATTAAAAGACAGTTTTGATAATTTATCTAACAATTGTTCACTTTGTATTTGTTTCCAAATGTATTAGTATGGAGTTGTTCGTAGGATTTTTATCATGTCATTTATATTTACTATTTTTAAAAAGATTCCAAACAGAGTTTCTTTGTACCATGTCTTTTCTTTCTTAACCAGTCTTGCCAGAGCTTTTTCCATTTAAATGCTTTTCAAAGAACCACTTTTGACTTTATTAATCTTTTCTATTATATTACTGTTTTTATTATATTATTTTCTCATTTGTATTTCTTTCTCCTTCTTAGAATTACCTTTGTTGTGTTTTGATTTTTGTCTTTTTTTTTTGAGTTGAAGACTTAAAATTTTCAACCTCTCTTCTTTGTAATATAAGAATTTAAACCTATGTATAGTTCTTTAGGCACATTCCATAAGTTTAAAATGTCATCCTTTCCTCCCCAGGTTCTGCCTACAAAGAATAATTCTGTTATTGATATTTTTGTTTGTTCTTTTGGTATACATATATACTCATTTCTGTTGGGTATATACATACATTTGGAATTACTGAATTCTAGGATGAACATAAGTTCAGCTTTAGTACCATTTCCCCAAATAAGTTACATCAATTTATACCTCCACCAGTAATATATGATAGTTTCATGTTTTGTCAGCTCTTGGTACTACCAAATATTTTCACTTTAGCATGTGAAGCTTGGGTACTGGTACCTGATTAGTACCAGTATTTTGATTTATATTTTTCTGATGACTAATGAACACTAGCACTTTCATATGCATTTATTACTTTTGGATAATGTTTTCTGTGAGGGGTGTATTATTTTTATTTTTACTGTTTTTATATTTACTGAATTGTTTGTTTTTATTTTTACTGATTTATAGGAGTTTCTAAAATGTGTAATGATTTTTAAATATAAGAATTGGAAATATCTTCTCTTATGCTGTAATTTGCTTTTTATTCCACTAATAATGTGTTTTAATGATGCTGCCAATGACACAAACATAATTTCTTGATATTAATGCAATCAATGAATTAATCTTTTTGTTTAAACTCAGTGATTCTTGTGTTTAAGAAATCTTTACCAACCCAAGTCAGATAGGTCATATAGGTCCATAATATAGGATATCAACCCAATATCTTATATTAACATCTAGAAATTTATTGCTTTAACATTTAAGTATATAATCCATCTGTAATTAATTTTTTTGTGTATAGTATGAGGAAGTACTGCATAACCATATTTTTCATATGGTAAATCAATTGATCCAGTGCTACTTATTGGAAAAGTCTTCCTTCTTAACCATTGCAATGCACTGGCAATGTTGTTACCAAGTGACCACATATGCATAGATTTGTTTCTTGAGTCTGTTTTGTAATATTTCTTTACTTATCTATTCATACACAAATGTCACTTGGCTGTAATTGCTGTCATTTTGTTATAAATGTTGATATCTGATAGTATAAGTCTTCCAACATATCTCAAGATACTTTGGTTATTCTTGGTCCTTTGGAATTGTATCTTATTTTAGAATCAACTTGTCAAATTTCTAAAACAAAAAACCCCCACAAAATCTGCTTGGATTCTGATTTACATTTTACTATTACTATAGATCCATTTGGAGGAATTAATTTTTTACAACCGTGAATCTTCCAGTTCATGAACATGATATATCACTCCTTTTATTTAGGTGTTTAATTTTGTTTAGTAATATATTTTTAGTTTCCTATGTAGATATCTTACACATTCTTAATTAGATTTAAACCTAGGTATTTACTTTTTTGATACTTGTAAAAAATATATTTTAAAAAATCTCATTTCCAAACATTCATTCTAAACATTCAGGCATGCAATTGATTTTTATATATTTATCTAAAGATATTGCTAAATTTTGTTTATCCATAGATTCCTTTGAATTTTCACTATAAGCATAATGTCATGTGTGAGTAATAACAGTTTTATTTCTTCTTTTATAATCCTTATTATTTCATTTTTTTCTGACCTCATTGCACTGGCTAGGACTTCCAGTACAATACTGAAAAGAAGTGGTGATAATAGACATTATCTCATACTAAATCTCAGGAGATGAGCTTTCAACATTTTAACATTTATTGAAGGGGATTTTGTTGGCTTTGGTTTGTTTATTTTTTAGGCTCCTATTTCTCTTGGCTAATAGTTTTTTTTTTAAATGAGTGAGTTTTTGTCAAATGCTTTTTCTGCATCTAATTTGATGATTATATGATTTTCTCTTTTATTCTGTTAATTCTAATAATTTTTATTAATTTCTCTTTGAGCCTATAACATAAATTATGTTGACTTTTAAATACTTACTTTATTGAAGAATAATTTACACATGATAAAATGCACTCATTTTAAATGTACATTTTAATAAATTATGCAAAATTTGTACACTTGTATAATCCACAAAACAATTAAGATACAAATGTAGAACATTTTCCAAACTTATCTTCCCTGTCAATTTCCCTTGGCCTTAGCCCCAAACAATCACTGATCTAGTTTTTGTCACCACAGAGTAGATTTATCTTTTCTAGAGTTTCATATAATGGAGTTATATAGTTTGTATTCTTTTGTGTCTGGCATCTTTTGCGCAGCATAATGTTTTTGAGAGTCATCCATGTTGCCTATATCAACAGTTCATTTTCTTTTTGTTGTGGGATAATTGTCCATAATATAAACATATCACAATTTGTTTATTCATTCACCTGTTGATGAAAAGTTTTGAGCAATTGTGAACGATAGATAGAAAAGATTTAGAGAAATTATGGCTTTCAAAGCAACAGTAACCCAACCTTCCTATGCTAATAGAAATATTAATAATATAAAATGGGTACATATATATAATAGAAGTAATTACTCTAGAATTATTTCTTAAATTTAACTTTTAAGTTCAGGGGTACATGTTCAGGTTTGTTACATAGGTAAGCTTGTGTCATGGGGGTTTGTTGTACAGATTGTTTTGTCACCCAGGTATTAAGCCTAGCATCCCTTAGTTATTTTTCCTGATGGTCTTCCTTCTCCCACCCTCCATGCTCTGAAAGGCCTCAGGGTATGTTCTTCTCTTCTATGTGTCCATGTATTCCCATTATTTTGCTCCCACTTATGAGTGAGAACATGCGGTATTTGGTTTTCTGTTCCTGTGTTAGTTTGCTAAGGATAGTGGCCTCCAGCTCTGTCCGTGTTCTTGCAAAGGACATGATCTAGATTGATTACCACTGGAATATAAATTCCATGAAAACAGTCTGTCCTGTTTACGAATATATCTTAATTACCTATTATAACATAGTTAATGCCCATTAAATATTGAATGAATTAATGAAATACTGTTGAAGATTTTTTAATTTGTTTTCTCATCTCAGATTTATACTCTGTCTCAAAGTTAAATTAGTACTTTGTACTTTATAGTTTTAAAAGACAAAGTATAAAAGGAAGAGTGTTTAGATTTGGATGTATAATGAAAACTAGCCACCCTACCCTAAACATTTTATTTCTTATTTTGTGGGTTTAAAAAAATCATGAGTGGGTTTAAATTATGAGGACCAGGGATGAGAACTTTAATTTCAATATTTCTAGGTTAAAACTTTATATTATTAATAAAATTTCTGAATATCATCGATTTACTGAAAGCAATATTATTCTTTATTGTTGTCAGTACAACTTTTCTAGAGTTGGAACATGGGAATAAATTCCCATGTTATTTATTTTCCTAGGCATTCCATCTTCTACTATTATGCATTTTGTCAAGTTGAGCATATATCAGAAGTCTCTGCTTACAGCAAACATACTCAGAGTTTCCAAAGATATAAAGGTAAAAATCAGGAACATAAATAGAAAGAAGACATAGAGTCTAATCAATTTATTTTTAAGCCATTATGTAACGTATTTATAACTCCTAGGCTCTGGGTATATGAAGTTAGAGTTTTAAACATATATGCCTATATGAGATACAATGATTTTCCTCAGGTGATATAAATTGATCAGAAATGCGGTGTAACATACATTTCATGATATTGGCATAAATGTGCAAGTGTCATGTGTTGTGGCCTTAGGAAAATGGCTAAATAGTATTTCTTTTATTAGATTGGATTCAATTAAATGAACAAATTTCATTGACATTTTTAATTAAAATTTTTATTTTGAGATAATTATAGATCCACATGTGGTTGAAAGAAATAGTAAAGAGATATGCTGCATACTAAATTTTCCTCAATGGTAGCATCTTACAAAAACATAGCACCATATCTCCACCTGGATATTGACATTGATACATTAAAGATGTAACATAGTTCCATAACAATCAGATTCTTGATATCACCTTTTTATAGCCACATCTGCTTCCCTCCTTAATGCTGGCAACCAGAAATTTGTTCTCCATTTCTCTAATTTTGTTACTTTTACTAAATAAATAAATAAATAAAAGTATCTCTACTTATAGATGAAATTTTTTTTCTATAGAAAATCTCGGGTGGAGCCAAGATGGCTAAATAGGAACAGCTCCAGTCTACAGCTCCCAGCATGAGCGACACAGAAGATGGGTGATTTCTGCATTACCAACTGAGGTACCAGATTCATCTCACTGGGGAGTGTCAGAAAGTGGGTGCAGGACAGTGGGTGCAGTGCACTGAGCATGAGCCAAAGCAGGGCGAGGCATCACCTCACCTGGGAAGCACAAGCGGTCAGGGAATTCCCTTTCCTAGTCAAAGAAAGGGGTGACAGATGGCACCTGGAAAATTGGGCCACTCCCACCCTAATACTGCGCTTTTCCAATGGTCTTAGCAAACTGCACACCAGGAGATTATATCCTGTGCATAGCTCAGAGGGTCCTACACCCATGGAGCCTTGCTCATTGCTAGCACAGCAGTCTGAGATCAAACTGCACGGTGGCAGCGAGGCTGGGGGAGGGGTACCCGCCATTGCCGAGGCTTGAATAAGTAAACAAAGAAGCCTGGAGGCTCAAACTGGGTGGAGCGCACCGCAGCTCAAAGAGGCCTGCCTGCCTCTGTAGACTCCACCTCTGGGGGCAGGCCATAGCCAAATAAAAGGCAGCAGAATCCTCTGCAGACTTAAATGTCCCTGTCTGACAGCTTTGAAGAGAGTAGTGGTTTTCCCAGCACATAGCTGGAGATCTGAGAATGGACAGACTGTCTCCTCAAGTGGATCCCTGACCCCCAAGTACCCTAACTGGGAGGCACCCCCAAGTAGGGGCAAACTGACACCTCACACAGCCGGGTACTCCACTGAGACAAAACTTCCAGGGGAATAATCAGGCAGCAACATTTGCTGCTCACCAATATCTGCTGTTCTGCGGCCTCCGCTGCTGATAACCAGGCAAACAGGGTCTGGAGTGGACCTCCAGCAAACTTCAACAGACCTGAAGCTGAGGGTCCTGACCGTTAGAAGCAAAACTGTCAAAGAGGAAGGACATCCACACCAAAACCCCATCTGTACGTCAACATCATCAAAGACCAAAGGTAGATAAAACCACAAAGATGGGGCAAAAACAGCAGAAAAACTGGAAACTCTAAAATTCAGGACACCTCTCCTCCTCCAAAGGAACACAGTTCCTCACCAGCAATGGAACAAAGCTGGATGGAGCATGACTTTGATGAGTTGAGGGAAGAAGGCTTCAGACAATCAAACTACTCTGAGCTAAAGAAGGAAGTTCGAACCCATGGCAAAGAAGTTAAAAACCTTGAAAAAAAATTAGACTAATGGCTAACTAGAATAACCAATGTAGAGAAGTCCTTAAAGGACCTGGTGGAGCTGAAAACCAAGGCAAAAGAACTATGTGATGAATGCACAAGCCTCAGTAGCCGATATGATCAACTGGAAGAAAGGGTATCAGTGATGGAACATCAAATTAATGAAATGAAGTGAGAAGAAAAGTTTAGAAAAAAAAGAATAAAAAGAAACAAAACCTCCAAGAAATATGGGACTACGTGAAAAGACCAAATCTACATCTGATTGGTGTAACTGAAAGTGACGGGGAGAATGGAACCAACTTGGAAAACACGCTGCAGGATATTATCCAGGAGAACTTCCCTGATCTAGCAAGGCAGGCCAACATTCAAATTCAGGAAATACAGAGAATGCCACAAAGATACTCCTCGAGAAGAGCAACTCCAAGACACGTAATTGTCAGATTCACTAAAGATGAAATGAAGGAAAAAATGTTAAGGGCAGCCAGAGAGAAAGGTTGGGTTGACCACAAAGGGAAGCCCATCAGACTAACTGCTGGTCTCTCAGCAGAAACTCTACAAGCCAGAAGAGAGTGGGGGCCAATATTCAACATTCTTAAAGAAAAGAATTTTCAACCCAGAATTTCATATCCAGCCAAACTAAGCTTCATAAGTGAAGAAGAAATAAAATCCTTTACAGACAAGCAAATGCTGAGAGATTTTGTCACCACCAGGCCTGCCCTAAAAGAGCTCCTGAAGGAAGCACTAAACATGGAAAGGAACAACCGGTACCAGACACTGAAAAAACATGCCAAATTGTAGACCATCAAGGCTAGGAAGAAACTGCATCAACTAATGAGCAAAATAACCAGCTAACATCATAATGACAGGATCAAATTCACACATAACAATATTAACCTTAAATGTAAATGGGCTAAATGCTGCAATTAAAAGATGCAGACTGGCAAATTGGATAAAGAGTCAAGATCCATCAGTGTGCTGTATTCAGGAAACCCATCTCACGTGCAGAGACACACATAGGCTCAAAATAAAGGGATGGAGGAAGATCTGTCAAGCAAATGGAAAACAAAAAAAGGCAGGAGTTGCAATCCTAGTCTCTGATAAAACAGACTTTAAACCAACAAAGATCAAAAGAGACAAAGAAGGCCATTACATAATGGTAAAGGGATCAATTCAACAAGAAGAGCTAACTATCCTAAATATATATGCACCCAATACAGGCGCGCCCAGATTCATAAAGCAAGTCCTTAGAGACATGCAAAGAGACTTAGACTCCCACACAATAATAATGGGAGAGTTTAACACCCCACTGTCAACATTAGACAGATCAATGAGACAGAAAGTTAGCAAGGATATCCAGGAATTGAACTCAGCTCTGCACCAAGCAGACCTAATAGACATCTAGAGAACTCTCCATCCGAAATCAACAGAATTTACATTCTTCTCAGCACCACACTGAACTTATTGGAAAATTGACCACATAGTTGGGAGTAAAGCACTCCCCAGGAAATGTAAAAGAACAGAAATTATAACAAACTGTCTCTCAGATCACAGTGCAATCAAACTAGAACTCAGGATTAAGAAACTCACTCAAAACTGCTCAACTACATGGAAACTGAACAACCTGCTCCTGAATGACTACTGGGTACATAACGAAATGAAGGCAGAAATAAAGATGTTCTTTGAAACCAATGAGAACAAAGATACAACATACCAGAATCTCTGGGACACATTCAAAGCAGTGTGTGGAGGGAAATTTATAGCACTAAATGCCCACAAGAGAAAGCAGGAAAGATCCAAGATGGACACCCTAACATCACAATTAAAAGAACTAGAAAAGCAAGAGCAAACACATTCAAAAGCTAGCAGAAGGCAAGAAATAACTAAAATCAGAGCAGAACTGAAGGAAATAGAGACACAAAAAACCCTTCAAAAAATCAGCGAATCCAGGAGGTGTTTTTTTGAAAAGATCAACAAAATTGATAGACCGCTAGCATGACAAATAAAGAAGAAAAGAGAGAAGAATCAAATGGATGCAATAAAAAATGATAAAGGGGATATCAGCACTGATCCCACAGAAATACAAACTACCATCAGAGAATACTGCAAACACCTCTATGCAAATAAACCAGAAAGTCTAGAAGAAATGGATAAATTCCTTGAAACTTACAACCTCCCAAGACTAAACCAGGAACAAGTTGAATCTCTGAATAGACCAATAACAGGCACTGAAATTGAGGCAATAATTAATTGCTTACCAACCAAAAAAAGTCCAGGACCAGAAGGAATCACAGCTGAATTCTACCAGAGGTACAAAGAGGAGCTGGTACCTTTCCTTCTGAAACTATTCCAATCAATAGAAAAAGAGGGAATCCTCCCTACCTCATTTTATGAGGCCAGCATCATCCTGATACCAAGGCCTGGCAGAGACACACAAAAAAGATAATTTTAGACCAATATCCCTGATGAACATTGATGCAAAAATCCTCAATGAGATACTGGCAAACCGAATCCAGCAGCACATCAAAAACCTTATCCACCATGGCCAAGTGGGCTTCATCCCTGGAATGCAAGTCTGGTTCAACATACGCAAATCAATAAATGTAATCCAGCATATAAACAGAACCAATGACAAAAACCATATGATTATTTCAATAGATGCAGAAAAGGCCTTTCAGAAAGTTCAACAATGCTTCATGCTAAAAACTCTCAATAAATTAGGTATTGATGGGACATATCTCAAAATAATAAGAGCTATCTATGACAAACCCACAGCCAATATCATACTGAATGGGCAAAAACTGGAAGCATTCCCTTTGAAAACTGGCACAAGACAGGGATGCCCTCTCTCACTACTCCTATTCAACATAGTTTTGGAAGTTCTGGCCAGGTCAATCAGGCAGGAGAAGGAAATAAAGTGTATTCAATTAGGAAAAGAAGTCAAATTGTCCTTGTTTGCAGATGACATGATTGTATATCTAGAAAACCCCTTCGTCTCAGCCCAAAATCTCCTTAAGCTGATAAGCAACTTCAGCAAAGTCTGAGGATACAAAATCAATGTACAAAAATCACAAGCATTCTTATACACCAATAACAAACAAACAGAGAGCCAAATCATGAGTGAACTCACATTCACAATGGCTTCAAAGAGAATAAAATACCTAGGAATCCAACTTACAAGGGATGTGAAGGAGCTCTTCAAGGAGAACTACAAACCACTGCTCAATGAAATAAAAGAGGATACAAACAAATGGAAGAACATTCCATGCTCACGGGTAGGAAGAATCAATATTGTGAAAATGGCCATACTGCCCAAGGTAATTTATAGATTCAATGCCATCCCCATCAAGCTACCAATGACTTTCTTCACAGAATTGGAAAAAACTACTTTCAAGTTCATATGGAACCAAAAAAGAGCCCACATCACCAAGTCAATCCTAAGCCAAAAGAACAAAGCTGGAGGCATCACGCTACCTGACTTCAAACTATACTACAAGGTACAGTAACCAAAACAGTATGGTACTGTACCAAAACAGCGATATAGACCAATGGAACAGAGCAGAGCCCTCAGAAATAATGCTGCATATCTACCACCATCTGATCTTTGACAAACCTGAGAAAAACAAGCAATGGGGAAAGGATTCCCTATTTAATAAATGGTGCTGGGTAAACTGGCTAGCCATATGTAGAAAGCTGAAATTGGATTCCTTCCTTACACCTTATAAAAAATTAATTCAAGATGGATTAAAGACTTAAATGTTATACCTAAAACCATAAAAACCCTAGAGGAAAACATAGGCAATACTATTGAGGACATAGGCATGGGCAAGGACTTCATGTCTAAAACACAAAAACAATGGCAACAAAAGCCAAAATTGACACATGGGATCTCATTAAACTAAAGAGCTTCTGCACAGTGAAAGAATCTACCACCAGAGTGAACAGGCAACCTACAGAATGGGAGAAAATTTTTGCAATCTGGTCATCTGACAAAGGGCTAATATCCAGAATCTACAATGAACTCCAACAAATTTACAAGAAAAAAACAAACAACCCCATCAAAAAGTGGGCGAAGGACATGAACAGACACTTCTCAAAAGAAGACATTTATGCAGCCAAAAAACACATGAAAAAATGCTCATCATCACTGGCCATCAGAGAAATGCAAATCAAAACCACAATGAAATACCATCTCACACAAGTTACAATGGCGATCATTAAAAAGTCAGGAAACAACAGGTGCTGGAGAGGATGTGGAAAATGGGAACACTTTTACACTGTTGGTGGGACTGTAAACTAGTTCAACCATTGTGGTAGTCAGTGTGGTGATTCCTGAAGGATCTAGAACTAGAAATGCCATTTGACCCAGTCATCCCATTACTGGTTATATACTCAAAGGATTATAAATCATGTTGCTATAAAGACACATGCACATGTATTTTTATTGTGGCACCATTTACAATAGCAAAGACTTGGAACCAAGCCAAATGTCCAACAATGATAGACTGGGTTAAGAAAATGTGGCACATATACACCATGGAATACTATGCAGCCATAAAATATGATGAGTTCATGTCCTTTGTAGGGACATGGATGAAGCTGGAAACCATCATTCTCAGCAAACTATCACAAGGACAAAAAACCAAACACCGCATGTTCTCACTCATAGGTGGGAATTGAACAATGAGAACACTTGGACACAGGAAGGGGAACATCACACACCGGGGACTGTTGTGGGGTGGGGGGAGGGGGAGGGATAGCATTAGGAGACATACCTAATGTTAAAGGACGAGTTAATGGGTGCAGCACACCAACATGGCACATGTATACATATGTAACTAACCTGCACATTGTGTACATGTACCCTAAAACTTAAAGTATAATAATAAAAAAAAAAAGAAAATGTAAAGGGGGGGAAAAAAAGAAAGAAAATCTCAAGGAATCTAGACGAAACCTCCTAGAATTAATAGATAGGTTCAGCAAGGCTGTAGGATAGAGATCAATATGCAAATATTAATAGCATTTGTATATACTAGCAATGAAAATCTAGGCACTGATATTGAAAATACAATATCGTTAACATTTGCTCCGAAAAACTAAGAAAGAAAATAAACAGGTATGTTTCTGTTATGGGAATCACTGGGTTAAAGTGTTATAGAGCATCCTGCTCTGGGGTGGTGGGGGGAGGAAGCAAGGCCCAGAATATTTCAGGCATTCCTTTCCTATCTCAAAATGCTGCATTCTCAGTGCATTCTACAGTTATTCTGAGAACCATGGGCAAGAAAAGGAAGGCTGGGTTAGCCAAGGCCATCTGAGGACTGTCCTGTAGCTTTCATAGTTTTTGGTAAGAAATCTATTTGACGTTCAAATTGCCCTTTTTGTATAGTTAAGGTGTTGTTTTCCTCTGGTTACTTTCAATATTTTTTTGTCTTCAGTTTTCAGCAGTTTAATTATGATAGTTTTTGAAAGTGATTTATTTGAGTTTAACCCATTGATATTTCCTCAGCTTCTTGAATTTGTAGGTCTGTATTTGTTGTCAAATTTTCAAAAATTTAGCAATTATTTTTTCCAATATTTTTGTAGTTCCCTCCTCTTTCTTCTCTTGTTATGGGTCTCTAGAATCACAAATATTATATCTTTTGTTATATGCCTAAGGCCATCTTAGATGCCTAACGCTATGTTCCTTTTTTCAGTCTATTTTTTCTCTGTAGTTCGAATTGAGTAATTCTGTTGTTCTAATTTCTAATTCATTAATATTCTTCTCTGAACTCTTCAAAGGGCATCTGCCATTTAGCCCATCTGCTGCATTCACTGCATTATAAATTTTAGTTATTACTTTAAATGCTAAGATTTCCATTTGACTCTTCTTGGTGTCATCTTTCTTTACTAAGACTTTCTGTATCCTTGTGTAAGCTATTTTTAAAAACATTGTTTCAATTGTGTTTATAATTGCTCCTTGAAGCACTTTTATCATGGCTACTGTAAAGTCTTTGTCAGATAATTGTAACATCTCTTTATCACAATGTTGGCATCTATTGGTTGTCTTTTTAAATTTAATTTGAAGTCTTCTTTGTTCTGATATGACGGCTGAGTTTTTTTTATTGAAACCTGTACTGTTGGGGAATTATGTTTTAAGAGTCTAGATCTTAATTAAACCTCTTTTAGTTGTTTTATTGTATGGCTCTGACAGGGGAGCTGACATCAATCAGAAAGGTCGGTAGGATTTGCAGAGCAATGGTGTTTAAGCCCTCAGGGAAGATCGGAGGAGTTGCTCCCAAGAATTGACTGACCCCTACCTCAAGTCTATAGAGGGAATGGGGTGATTGTCTCAGGTGGCAGGAGGTACAGAGTATAAAGAATGCCTGCTGCCTCTTGCCACCCTCAAGTACTGTAGACAACAGGTAGCACTGCTGTTGGAACATGAATAAGCAATAGCCAACACATGGGTCCACACACATGGCTCAATCTCAGGGTTGGTAGTGGAATTTTTATGGACCAAAGACCTGAACTCATTCTGTGTCCAGTGTGAGTGAAAGTTACACAAATCCTTATGCCAGTATCATTCTATCTGCTTGCTTTCCCATTATCCTACAAAAGAAGAAGCATGCTGGCCAATGAGAGCAATCTCTTAACAGACTTCCCCACTGAAACCTAATGTGGGCCCAGTACAACACCACAGTCTCAAGTCCCAGAGCTCCTCAGGGCTTCTGCCTAACCCCATGTATAGGTTAGAGTCTTGGAAAAGAGAAAGAATGATGGAGCCCAGGTGGTTGCCAGTCCAGGGTTATATACCATTTCTGGGGGGCATAATTGATCAGTCCCAGGCACTAGAGGAGACTTCAAACATTTTGAAGAAGGCGCTCCAAAGAGTGGGGACCACCTGAGGTATTTGCCTACATCTATGGGTAGAACAGATCCTAGGTTTTAGTCCTACTTCACTCCTGACAAGCTGTATGCCTTTGGATAAGTCATTTAATATCTCTGGGTCTCCATTTCATCATCTGTAAGGTAAAGTGATTGACTCAATGATCAGTCATATAGTAAATTGAAAAATCTCAACCTTCTTGGTATGTAGTAATCAAATTGAGTCTCATTTGAATTAGTTAGTTTTGATCTTCAGCCCCTCACCCCTGGGCTGGGTGAAAGTGAGGGCAAGGTTGTCATGAGAACCTGTGGAATAAGCACTCCAGGTACTGGGTTCAGGAGATTCCTTCCCTCCACAGACAAGGCTGTACACAGACAGGGCTTACTTTGGGCATATTATGCCCAAAACCTTCTTGCTCAATTTTAAGGTCAAAGAGAAGTCCCCGGACTTACTTGGAATTCACCTAAAGCAAGAGAATAAAAACTTTAGCCTTAAATTATAAAGCCCCTAGAGAGAGAATGAAATTTAAGTATTCTGGTTTCCATAGGAAACATCATCCCTATGGTGAGGCGGATAATTTGGACTGCATTAGTCTGCTGCCTTAAGTTCAGATAACACACTTTATTTGGTCTCCAGGTTCAGAAGCAACTTTCTGATGAGGATTTGGTCTCTGTAGATCTGCCCTGAGGGCAGACTCTGTGACAGCATATTTCTCATTGTAATTTAACAAATTGGCTTTCTGGTTCTATGCTTTGATCTCAGAGAACTTGGTTAATGTGTGGCAGCCCCTGAGGGACAGTATTACATTAGGAATGCTGACAGATTCCCCTTACAAACCTATTAACCTAAAGCTCCATGCACTATGCCTGAATCATAGTAAATTCATCAAGTTTACATATACCAACAAATGCAGTCTCTCAGAACCAGCTTGCCAGCCTGGTCCAGCAAGCAGTTACCTTCTCTGCATTGCTAGAGGATCCAGCTGTTCTATTTTGGTGCTAATTTATATACTGGCCAGCTACATTTTGATGCTACTAATCTTAGCCCCCAAATGTGTAACTCTCGAGTAAGATATTCCCAAGAAGGATGTAAAAGAGTAATTATCAAAAGAGAAACATCAAATGTTTCTAACCCTTACAACTTTGTGATCCTAGACTCACAAGCGCTAACATTGGAGAGGAGCCATTGCAAGACTCAGGTGGCTGAGAATCTGGTCTTTTTCATGAGCAGAAAGCATGGCCTATGAGCTCTGGCCTATGAATCTTGAGATCTATCTTTGCCATTTAGCTAATGATGCCATCTTGGAGAAATCACTTATCTTCTAGGTCTCATTTTCCTCACTTGTAAAATAAAGAGATGAAGGCAGATGGTCTTATCAGGTATTTATACCAGTAAGATTCTATTAATCTCCATTAAACTCATCAACAGAAGGAAGAAAAAAGGAAATGCACATGCTTGTATTTCTAGGGTATTATTATTATTGGCATTGATATAGTCTTGGACAAAAGGAGCAGTTGCATTGTGTCTTTAAATTTTGTTTTTCTATATGCTTCTGCTGTATGACTTCTTTTTCCCAGTTATGTGGATAAGCTTTAGACAGTCTGAGAGTCTCTTTATTTTGGCTGCTAAGTTTTGAGTGTATGTATGTATGTTTTCTCTGAAGAATGCTGGTAGTTTTATCCCCCTTATCCACAGGGGATATGTTTCTAGACCCCCAGTGGATGCCTAAAACCACAGATAGTACTGAACCCTATATATACCATATTTTTTCCTAGACATACATACTTATGATAAAGTTTAATTTACACATTAAGCATAGTAAGAGATTAGCAACTAATAAAATAAGACAATTATAACAATATGCCAGCATCATTACCCTTGTGCTTTGGAGCCATTATTAAGTAAAATAAGAGTGACTTGAACACAAGCACTGTGATATCACAATAGTCGATCTGATAACTGAGATGGCTGTAAAGTGACTAATGGGTGGGTAGCATGTGTAGAGTGGACATGCTAGACAAAAAGATAATTCATGTCCTAGGCAGAATGAGTCAGAACAGCACAAGATTTTATCATGCTATTCAGAATAGCATGCAATTTAAAACTTATAAATTGTTTATGTCTGGAATTTTCTATAAAATATTTTTGGACCATGGTTCACAACGGGTAAGTGAAATGAGACCATCGATAAGTGGGACTACTGTAATTTATCAAAGGGACCTGCAGACTTCAAAAGGCTTAAAGCCACTGATCTCAGTTCATTTGTGCTGTAATAACAACATAACACAGACTGGGTAATTTATAAAAAACAGAAATTTATTTCTCACAGTTCTAAAGGCTGACAAGTTCAAGGTCAAGGCACTGGCATTCTGTGTCTGGTGAGAGCCTTCTTGCTGCATCCTCTCATGGTAGACAGTGGAAGGATAAAAAGAGCCTAGTTAGTTCCCTCCAGCCCTTTCATGAGGCACTAATCCCATCCATGAGGGTGGAGCCCTTATGGCCTAATCATCTTCTGAAGGCCCCACCTCTTAATACTTTTACATTAGAGATTAAGTTTCAACATAAATTTTGAAAAAGACACAAATATTCAAACCATAGCACCCTGCATATCAAAGTTTATTAAAGGTATGATAGAAACTAATTCCCTGGATTGAATTGCATCGACTTGATGTTCCCATTAATTTTTAAATCTTTAGACACAAATAATTCCAATTAGGAGGCAGCAGTTTTATGCCTAATTGAATCATCTTCCCATCTAGGCATAGAAGAAAACAATTGTCATGATAAGTCTGATATAATTATATTATCATTAATAAGTGTTAAGCCATTATTAAGTTAATTTTTCATTTCACTGAAAGTCTGTATAAAGAAAGCCATCAAATAGAAACGGTCATTTCATGTGAGTTTATAATATTTGTTTTTGAATAGTGAGAAATAAAAGTAACTTAATGAAAGAATTTTCTTTGCAAAAATATTACATTTCACAAAATAATTTCTAAGCAGATGAATTCAAATCAGCTGAGACGTACAGAACAAAGGAACGCAGATCTAAAGAAAAGAAATGATTACAAAATAATTAATCACCCAGTTATTCACTTCCCATAAAATATTTTGCTTCATATGATGAAAATCTCTATTATTTGAAACAAACGTTAGCATAACAGATGACAAATTTTAAAACATCAATTTTATTTCAAGAGACATGAACTGTATCTGTAGTTAAGAAATGAAAATTGATTGGGGATAATTCTGGATCAATGTAAGATTGTAACGTGTTGAATCTGAGTTTCAGAGAAGCATTGTCCATCAAGCATGAATTAATGGAACATTAAATTAGAACAATTAACTTTCTAGTCCACTATTATTTTGGGGCCAAGCATAAGGCCCTAGGATTCAGATTATTGAACTTGCTATTCATATCATATTCATATAAAGGCAAGACATTTCTTTACAATAATTTTAGTCAAGCAACAGATCTTAACAGCACTAATTTCATCAATATAATAAAAAATGTCTAACATCTATTGTACTAATTGACAAAACATTTTTAATCAGAGTTTTAAAAATTAGATAAAATACTTGAAGTAGCTGCCTCTGGTATGTGGCCTTTTCAATATATGTTAGCTGACCTCCCTTTGTTACCCAGTGTAATGCCTTCATGACTTAGCTGAATTTCTGCCCTGCCTTAACTCTGCTTCTCTGCTTATCTTTAAGAAACAGGAGGCCTGCCATCAGAAGATACCCCTCATAATTAAACCAGCTGAAGCTCATGGGGGAATCCAAGATGGCAGCTCATTTGACCTTTGAAGAACTTCAAAATTAATTATAATCTAATTTCCATGTTAAATGACACTCTCAGCAGTGCCATGACAGTTAACAATCACCATGACAATGATTGGAAGAAACCATAAAGGGACAAAAAGGAAGGTGACACACCAGTTCTGAGAAGTTCTCCATTCATTCCAAGAAAAGATATGAATATTCCTCCCCTTGCTCTCAATGCCCAATTCTTTTCTTAAATATGCCCTATATCTGTGGCTTCCAAGCTCTTACAAGTTGAATGGTTGATTTGTGAGCCACACTCCCACTTCTCAATTCTATGGTCATCAAATAAAAGCCTGTACTGCTTGACACTCACTTTCAGTTTTGCTTATCAGCGTTGTGGCAAAGAACAGAAAAGAACCCATCTTTTGGGTGAATAGATTTGTCAATAACATTCTCAGAGAATATGTCTAACTGGGGCAACTAAACACCTCTATGATGCAAGTTAAAACCAACTGATAAACACATAAATCACATTGTCTAAACTGAATATTTAAAAGCAAATTACAAAAAAATTGGTGGATAGGAGGCAGAGCTAACTTGCAGCTTCCACTCAGACACACAGAGGAGTATGTGGAGGCCCACATCATGAACTTTTGCTCCAAGAACTATGGAAGAACATACCAGGAAAGCCAAAAGAACACAGAGACCCTTTGAAGGGAAGCAGCTTGCTTTTCAGTGAGACAGCCAAAAAACTGAGTGCCTAAAGTGTGAGAGGGGAAACCTTTGCCTCCAAACACACATCCTCACTGGGGAAACTGAAAGCCCAGATCATGGGAGAAGAATCTGAGCTTATGTGGAGCTGAGACAACTTTAGAGAGCTGACCAAAATATAGAGATAGAGGAAGCGGCAGGAAGAGCCCTGTGAGCACTCTTCTGTCCTCAGGAAAGCCATTCCTAACTTTGTTTTGCAGGGGTCTGTGGGGAAGGCTGCCAGTGGAACCAGGGAAAGACCACAGGGAGAATGGAACTTACAGCTGAACTTGGTAACAATTTCCACCACATGCTAAGTATCCTGGACAGAATCTGGGGGAGGAGTGAACAGAGAGTGCAGATATTGGCACAGAAACCACAGCAGGTGGGGAGGCACAAACTCTGAAAGCCCTGCTTGCTTTCTCAGTGGTGAGGCTCTGGGGCAAGTTCTCAGCCCTGCTCATCTACTGCCTGGAAATAAACTTGGTGCTGTTGTGGGGACATGGTGGGAGTGAGACTGGCCTTTCAGGCTAACTGGGAGCTGGGTGAGACCTGTCACTGCTGGCTTTCCCCCACTTCCCTGGTGACCGGTATGATGCCTCTGATCTCAGTTCATTTGTGCCGTGATAACAAAATAACACAGACTGGATAATTTATAAAGAACAGAAACAAAGAACATAACTCCATCAGCCTGAGAATCACACCCCCATCTCCCACAGCAGCTGCAGCAAGCCTCACCCAGGGAGAATCTGAGCTCAGACATGCTTAACCCTGCCTCACCCAATAGTCTTTCTCTACCCACCTTGGTAGCTAAAGACAAAGGACATATCTCTTGGGAGTTCTACATTCCTGCTCACTCCTTGAGAAACCCAAATACTTATCCAGGCAACCCTAGGATAAGCTTGTATCCTCCCTATAATACCACAGCTGATGTTCTTTTGAAAGTGCCACCTACTGGCTAGAGGCCAACCAACAAAAAACCAGTGCACTAAACAAAACTACAACCAAAGACCCTCACAGAGTCCACTCCCCTGCTACCTCCATCAGAGCAGGTGCTGGTATTCATGGCTGAGAGACCTGAAGATGGATCATATCACAGGACTCTCTGAAGACACTCCCCAGTACCATCCTGGAGCCTGGTAACTCCACTGGGTGGCTAGACCCAGAACAGAAATATCAATCACTGCAGTCTGTCTCTCAGGAAGCCCCATACCTAGGGGAAGGTGAAGAGCACTACATCAAAGGAGCACCCTATGGGATAAAAGAATCTGAACAACAGCCCTTGAGCCCCAAATCTTCCCTCTGACATAGTCTACCCAAATGAGAAGAAACCAGAAAAACAATTCTGGTAATATAGAGATGAAGCCAGCTGGGCTTCTGGGTTGGGTGGAGACTTGGAGAACTTTTCTGTCTAGCTAAAGGATTGTAAACACACCAGTTGGCACTCTGTGTCTAGCTAAAAGTTTGTAAACACACCAATCAGCACTCTGTAAAAATGCACCAATCAGCACTCTGTGTCTAGCTAAAGATTTGTAAATGCACCAATCAGCACTCTGTAAAATGGACCAATCAGTGCTCTGTAAAATGGACCAATCAGCAGGATGTGGGTGGGGCCTAATAAGGAAATAAAAGCTGGCCACCTGAGCCAGCAGCAGCAACTCTCTCGGGTCCCCTTCCATGCTGTGGAAGCTTTGTTCTTTTGCTCTTCACAATAAATCTTGCTGCTGCTCACTCTTTAGGTCCTCACTACCTTTATGAGCTGTAACACTCACTGTGAAGGTCTGCAGCTTCACTCCTGAAGTCAGTGAGATCACAAACCCATTGGGAGGAATGAAAAACTCTGGATGTGCTACCTTTAAGAGCTGTAACACTCACTGCAAAGGTCTGCGGCCTCACTCCAGAAGTCAGTGAGACCATGAACCCACTAGGAGCAAGAAACTCTGGAGACATCTGAACATTTGAAGGAAGGAACTCCGGACACACCATCTTTAAGAACTGTAATACTCACTGTGAGGGTCTGAGGCTTCATTCTTGAAGTCAGCAAGACCAAGAACCCACCAGAAGGAACCAATTCCGGACACATTTTGGCAACCCAGATGGGACAATCACCAAGTGGTGAGTACCATCAGACCCCTTTTGCTTGCTATTCTGTCCTATTTTTCCTTAGAATTCGGGGGCTAAATACCAGGAACCTGTTGGCCAGTGTAAAGTGACTAGTGCGGCCGTTGGGTGTCAGGCTTCCTGGGAAAGGGCTCTCTAACAACCCCCGACTTTACAGAGTTAGGAGTGTTGGTTTGCCTGGAACCAGCTTCCAGTTTTCCTGTACTTCTGGGCTGAACCAAGCATTGACAGAGAGGAAAGCCATTCAGCTCTGGGGTCCCGACAACAAGTTGGTTGATCCTGCAGCCATGAATGGAACTCTCAAAAACAGGTTGCCCAAGCGAGACTTGCCCATCTATCCTATCTATCCTGACCCTTGCCTCCTGGGTTCTAATGCCTGTCAGACAAACTTCCTCTCGCCTCTCTTCTCCGAGGCTAGTCCTGCTTCTAAAAACCACTCCCTGTCTCTGGTGCTTTTCTAGTTTCTCCTGTAAGAATGATTTCTAGTATAAACTTCAGGACTCTGTTACCTTCTTTAGGCACCTGGGCTCACCAATCAGAAAGACATAATTTTTGCCCAAAGCCCCATTGGGGTGGGGGACTATCTGGAATTTTAGGATCCCTCCTCAGACAAGCAGGCCTAACAAAAGCTATTCCTGAAACTAGGATATGGAGAGCCTCAGAAATGATATCCTCCACATAAGTGAGGACAAAAGGCATCACTCTTCCAACTCTGGAGATCCCTTCCCTCCCTCAGAGTATGGCCCTCCACTTCATTTTTGGGGCATAACATCTTTATAGGACAGTGGTAAAGTCCCAGTGCTAACAGGACAATGCTTAGGACTCTAACAGGTATTTGAGAATGCACCAATAAGGGCTACTAATCTGACATTCCTCGGTCCTCCTTGTGGTCTAGGAGCAAAATTAGTTTTTCTGCTGCTGCATCGATGAGTGCAACTATTCTGATCAGTAGGGCCCAGGGACTGTTGTGGGTTCTTGGGCAAGAGGTGTTTCTGCTGCTGCATCAGTGAGCACAACTATTCTGATCAGCAGGGTCCAGGGACCATTACAGGTTCTTGGGCAGGGGGAGAAAAAAACAAACCAAAACTGTGGGCAGTTTTATCTTTCAGATAGGAAACACTCAGGCATCAACAGACTCACCCTTGAAATGCATCCTAAGCCACTGCAACCAATTTGACCTGCAAACCTTGAAAAAGAGGCAGTTCATTTTTTTCTGCACTATGGCTTGGCCCAATATTCTCTCTCTGATGGGGAAAAATGGCCACCTGAGAGAAGTATAAATTACAATACTATCTTGCAGCTTCACCTTTTCTGTAAGGGGGAAGGCAAATGGAATGAAATACCTTAAGTCCAAGCTTTCTTTTCATTGAGGGAGAATCCACAACTATGCAAAGCTTACAATTTACATCCCACAGGAGGACCTCTCAGCTTACCCCCATATCCTAGCCTCCCTATAGCTCTCCTTCCTATTAATGATAAGCCTCCTCTAATCTCCCGTGCCCAGAAGGAAACAAGAAAAGAAATCTCCAAAGGACCACAAAAACCCACAGGCTATCTTTTATGTCCCCTTCAAGCTGTAGGGGGAGGGGAATTTGGCCCAACCCGGGTACATGTCCCCTTCTCCCTCTCTGATTTAAAGCAGATCAAGGCAGACCTGGGGAAGTTTTCAGATGATCCTGATAGGTACATAGATGTTCCACAGGGTCTAGGGGAAACCTTCAATCTCACTTGGAGAGATGTCATGCTATTGTTAGATCAAACCCTGACCTTTAATGAGAAGAATGTGGCTTTAGCTGCAGCCTGAGGGTTTGGAGATACCTGGTATCTTAGTCAAGTAAATGATAGAATGACAGCTGAAGAAAGGGACAAATTCCCTAACTATCAGCAAGCCATCCCCAGTATGGATCCCCACTGGGACCTTGACTCAGATCATGGGGACTAGAGTCATGAACATCTGTTGACCTGTGTTCTAGAAGGACTAAGGAGAATTAGGAAAAGCCCATGAATTATTCAATGATGTCCACCATAACTCAGGGAAAGGAAGAAAATACTTCTGCCTTCCTCGAGCCGCTACGGGAGGCCTTAAGAAAATATACTCTCCTGTCACCTGACTCACTGGAGGGCCAGTTGATCCTAAAAGATAAGTTTATTACCCAATCAGCCACAGATATCAGGAGAAAGCCCCAAAAGTGAGCCCTGGGCCCTGAACAAAATCTAGAGGCATTATTAAACCTGGCAACCTCAGTATTCTATAATAGGGACCAAGAGGAACAGGCCCAATGAAAAGCAAGATCAGAGAAAGGCTGCAGCCTTAGTCATGGCCCTCAGACAAACAAACCTGGGTAGCTCAGAGAGGACAGAAAATGGAGCAGGCCAATCACCTGGTAGGGCTTGTTATCAGTGAGATTTACAAGGACACTTTAAAAAAGATTGTCCAATGAGAAACAAGCTGCCCACTTGTCCATGTCTGCTCTACCGAGGCAATCACTGGAAGGCACACTGCCCCAGAGTTCAATGGTTCTCTCGGCTGGAAACCCCCAATGAGATGATCCAACAACAGGACTGAGGGTGTCCAGGGCAAGCGCCAGCTCATGTCATCACCCTCACTGAGCCCTGGCTATGCTTAACCATTGAGGGCCAGGAAATTGACTTCCTCCTGGACACTGGTGCAGCCTTCTCAGTGTTAATCTCCTGTCCTGGACGACTGTCATCAAGGTCTGTTACCATCCGAGGAATGCTGGGACAGCCTGTAACCAGGTATTTCTCCCACCTCCTCAGTTGTAATTGGGAGACTTTGCTCTTTTCACATGCCTTTCTTATTATGCCTGAAAGTCCCACACCCTTATTAGGGAGGGATATATTAGCCAAAGGTGGAGCTATTATTTACACGAATATGGGGAACAAGTTACCCATTTGTTGTCCCCTACTTGAGGAGGGAATCAACACTGAAGTCTGGGCATTGGAAGGACAATTTGGAAGGGAAAAAACTGCCCAGCCAGTCCAAATCATGCTAAAAGATCCCACCACTTTTCCTTATCAAAGGCAATATCCCTTAAGGCCTGAAGCTCATAAAGGATTACAAGATATTGTTAAACATTTAAAAGCTCAAAGCTTAGTAAGGAAATGCAGCAGTCCCTGCAACACCCCAATTCTAGGAGTCCAAAACTGAGCGGTCAGTGGAGACTAGTGCAAGATCTTAGACTCATCAATGAGGCAGTAATTCCTCTATATCTAGTTGTACCCAACCCCTATACCCTGCTCTCTCAAATACCAGAGGAAGCAGAATGGTTCACTGTTCTGGGCCTCAAGGATGCCTTCTTCTATATTCCCCTGCACTCTGACTCCCAGTTTCTCTTTGCCTTTGAGGATCCCACAGACCACATGTCCCAACTTACATGGATGGTCTTGCCCCAAGGGTTTAGGGATAGCCCTCATCTGTTTGGTCAGGCACTGGCCCAAGATCTAGGCCACTTCTCAAGTCCAGGTACTCTGGTCCTTCAGTATGTGGATGATTTACTTTTGGCTACCAGTTTGGAAGCCTCATGCCAGCAGGCTACTCTGGATCTCTTGAACTTTATAGCTAATCAAGAGTACAAGGTGTCTAAGTTGAAGGCCCAGCTTTGCCTACAGCAGGTCAAATATCTAGGCCTAATCTTAGCCAGAGGGACCAGGGCCCTCAGCAAGGAATGAATACAGCCTATCCTGGCTTATCCTCACCCTAAGACATTAAAACAGTTGCGGGCATTCCTTGGAATCACTGGCTTTTGCCGACTATGGATCCCTGGATACAGTGCGATAGGCAGGCCCCTCTATACTCTAATCAAGGAGACCCAGAGGGCAAATACTCATCTAGTAGAATGGGAACCAGGGGTGGGAACAGCCTTCAAAACCTTAAAGCAGGCCCTAGTACAGGCTCCAGCTTTAAGCCTCCCAACAGGACAAAACTTCTCTTTATACATTACAGAGAGAGCAGGGATAGCTCTTGGAGTACTTACCCAGACTCGTGGGACAACCCCACAACCAGTGGCATACCTAAATAAGGAAAATGATGTAGTAGCAAAAGGCTGGCCTCACTGTTTAAGGGTAGTTTTGGTTGTGGCCTTCTTAGTGTCAGAGGCTATCAAAATAATACAAGGAAAGGATCTCACTGTCTGGACTACTCATGATGTAAATGGCATATTAGGTGCCAAAGGAAGTTTATGGCTATCAGACAACCACCTACTTAGATACCAGGCACTACTCCTTGAGAGACTGTTGCTTAAATACATACATGCATGGCCATCCACCCTGCCACTTTTCTTTCAGAGGATGGGGAATCAATCGAGCATGACTGCCAACAAATTATAGTCCAGACTTATACTTCCTGAGATGATCTTTTAGAAGTCCCCTTAGCTAATCCAGACCTTAACTTATATACCGATGGAAGTTCATTTGTGGAGAATTGGATATTGAAGGGCAGGTTATGCCATAGTTAGTGATGTAACCGTACGTGAAAGTAAGCCTCTTCCCCCAGGGACCAGTGCCCAGTTAGCAGAACTAGGGGCACTTACCCAAGCCTTAGAACAGTGAAAGAGAAAAAGATTAAATGGGAAAGGGAAAAAGAATAAATGTGTATACAGATAGCAAGTAGGCTTATCTAATCCTACATGCCATGCTGCAATATGGAAAGAAAGGGAGTTCCTAACCTCTGGGGTAACCCCCATTAGATACCACAGGAAATTATGGAGTTATTGCACACAGTGCAAAAACCCAAGGAGGTGGCAGTCTTACCCTGACAAAGCCATCAGAAAGGTGAAGGAGAAAATGCAGAAGGAATCTGTCAGGCAGATGCTGAGGCCGAAATTGCTGCCAGGCAGAATCTCCCATTAGAAATACCTGCAGAAGGACTGTTGGTATGGAACAACCCCCTCCAAGAGATTAAGCCCCAGTATTCCCTGACTGAAACAGAATAGGGAGTTTCACAGGGGCATAGTTTTCTCCCCTTGGGGTGGTTAAGGACAGAAGAAGGAAAGGTACTTATACCCAAAACCAGCCAGTGGAAAATACTTAAAACCCTCTACCAAACTTTTCATATGGGTATTGAAAACACTCATCATATGGCCAAATCCCTATTTACAGGGCCAAATGTCCTCCAGATCATCTGACAGGTAGTCAAAGCCTGTGAGGTGTGCCAAAGGAATAATCGCTTGGTCCATCATAAGGCCCCTTTGGGGGAACAAAGAATAGGTCACTATCCTGGAGAGGACCTATGCCTAAGTCAAAGGGATTTCAATACTTGTTGGTCTTTGTTTGTACCTTTGCAAATTGGATAGAAGCTTTCCCCTGCAAGACAGAGAAGGCTCAGGAACTGACTAAGTCCTAATTCATGAAATAATTCCTAGATTTGGGCTTCCCCAAAGCTTATAGAGTGACAATGGTCCAGCTTTTAAAGCCACAATAACTCAGGGAATTTCCAGGGCATTAGGGATACAATATCATCTTCACTGCGCCTGGAGGCCACAATCCTCAGGGAATGTCAAGAAGGCAAATGAAACACTCAAGAGGCACCTAAGGAAATTAACACAAGAAACTCATCTCCCATGGCCTACTCTCTTGCCTGTGGCCTTACTAAGAATCTGAAATTCTCCTCACAAAATAGGGCCCAGTCCATATGAAATGCTGTACGAATGACCTTTTCTCACAAATGACCTCCTACTTGATCATGAAATGGCCAACTTGGTCAAAGATATAACTTCTTTGGCAAAATATCAAGAAAACCTTAAAAACCTACCTGAAGGATGTCATAGAGAAAAGGGAACAGAGTTGTTTCAACCAGGAGATCTAGTGTTGGTCAAATCTCTCCCTTCTACCTCCCCATCTATGGACTCTTTGTGGTAAGGACCATACTCGGTAATCCTCTCTACTCCCACTGCAGTTAAGGTGGCAGGAGTGGAATCTTGGATTTACCACATCCAATATAAATTTTGGACACCCCCTGAGGAACCTGTGGGACTGTCAGCTCAGGAGTCCCAAGATCAGCCAGACCAGCCTCGATACACCTGTGAACTGTTGGAGGACTTGCATCTCCTATTTCAGAAGGAAACATCCCAGACTAAAAAGGCTCCTACCACTGATCCTGAAGAAAAACTCCTTCCTCCTTAAAAAAGATAAGTGAAAACCTATATAATCTTTATCTTTAACACCTCTCCTTGCCCCTTTAATGGAATTCTTTTACTATTTCATCATATTGTTAAGTAGTATACTAACCATACCCTTTGCAATAGGACTATATACAGTAAGTAGCTCCTGCTGGGATGAAAATCCAAATCACATCAACCTTCTTTCTATATTCCTTCCTTCTGACAGCGATTTACTTCTACCTTTAACTCAGACTGGATAAGATGATCTCATCTTCCAGAGCACCCTCTTTACCTTCCTATTTACTCTTTGCCTATCTATCCCTGCTGCTTCCTTGGATATCTCATACAATCACCCCTCCCCTTCCACTAGCTCCTAATTACCTCTACAAGACTCTCAACTTAACCCACTCTCTGTTAAACCAGTCCAATCCTTCCCTGGCAAATTGCTGTTGGCTTTGTATCTCTCTATCAACTTCTGCTTATGTTGCCACTCCCATTCCCGCAAAAAAATTGGGTTTTTACCAACTTAACCTACCACCCTCATTATGAAGGAAAAGACCCTTTCTGACTTCTAAATATGCAATCATTAGCTGACTTCCCCATCTCTGATAGGACCAAGAGTACCCTAACAGGACGTGCATTCCAACTTTTACGTTCTTACATTTCCAACCTCACCTATTACACAAGCAATGAAAAGCCCATACATGGCCCTATAACTATGAGTACCATCCTAATTTTCCAAGCCCCTTTATGCATCCAACACAACCTATTATCAGGCCTGCCCCTGGGGCACCTACTACCCCATCAGTGTAATATCACCCTACAACTTCAAGTCCCAACTGATCATAGGAACTTCCGAGTCACCCAAACAATTCCATTCAGATGGCTTGTCTGATTCTCAGGGCCCCCCAAAATCATCAACTCCTCCCTGCTTAACAAACAGTCCAGGTTTTGTAATGGCAAACATACTCCCTGTATGACCATTCACCCCTGGACATCCTACAGAAGTGCCCCCACCACTAGTGAATGCCTTCTCATCCCCTCTTTCAATCACACTCTCGAATGGTTCCTAGTAGGTATGAAATGGTTTTTTCTCCAATAGGAAAATAGAATATAGGTAGCCACTCAGTTTGCTCCCAACACCCCTTTCCAGCCATTCACTGGAGCTACCTTTGCAAATACTCTAGGAGTATGGGAAAATGAAAACAACAAACTCACACATCTTTTTAACAAAAATAACCAGTTCTGTCTACCCAGAGAAGTATATTCTTCTTATGTGGATCATCGATGTATATCTGCCTCCGCACTAACTGGAAAGGCACCTGCACCTTAGTCTTTCTAAGTCCCAACATTAACATTTCCCCCAGGAAATCAGACCCTATCAGTACCCCTCAAAGCCCAAGTCTGTCAGTGCAGAGCCATACAACGAATACCCCTACTTATAGGGTTAAGAATGGCTACTGCTACAGGAACTGGAATAGCCAGTTTATCTACTTCATTATCCTACTACCACACACACTCAAAGTATTTCTCAGACAGTTTGCAAGAAATAACGAAAGCTATCCTTACTCTACAATCCCAAATAGACTCTTTGGCAGCAGCGACTCTCCAAAACCACTGAGGCCTAGACCTCCTCACTGCTGAGAAAGGAGGACTCTGCACCTTCTTAGGGGAAAGTGTTGTTTTTACACTAACCAGTCAGGGATAGTACGAGATGCTGCCTGGTGTTTACAGGAAAAGGCTTCTGAAATCAGACAATGACTTTCAAACTCTTATACCAACCTCTAGAGTTGGGCAACATGGCTTCTTCCCTTTCTAGGTCCTGTGGCAGCCATTTTGTTATTACTCGCCTTCAGGCCATTTTTAACCTCCTTGTCAAATTTGTTTCCTCTAGGATCAAGGCCATCAAGCTACAGATGGTCTTACAAATGGAAACCCAAATGAGCTCAACTAACAACTTCTACTGAGGACCTCTGGACTAACCAGCTGGCCCTTTCACTGGCCTAAAGTGTTCCCCTCTTGAGGACACTACAACTGCAAGGCCCTTTCTTTGCCTCTATCCAGCAGGAAGTAGCTAGAGTGGTCATCACCCAATTCCCAACAGCATTTGGGGTGTCCTGTTTAGAGGGGAGATTAAGAGATGAAGCTGGCTGGGCTTCTGGGTGAGGTGGGGACTTGGAGAACGTTTCTGTCTAGCTAAAGGATTGTATACACACCAATCAGTGCTCTGTGTCTAGCTAAATGTTTGTAAACGCACCAATCAGCATGCTGTAAAAACGCACCAATCAGCACTCTGTGTCTAGCTAAAGGTTTGTAAACGCACCAATTAGCACTCTGTAAAAACGGACGAATCAGCACTTTGTAAAATGGACCAATCAGCAGGATGTGGGCGGGGCCAAATAAGGGAATAAAAGCTGGCCACCCAAGCCAGCAGCGGCAACCCACTTGGGTCCCCTTCCAAGCTGTGGAAGGTTTGTTCTCTTGCTCTTTGCAATAAATCTTGCTGCTGCTCACTCTTTGGGTCCACACTACCTTTATGAGCTGTAACACACACTGCAAAGGTCTGCAGCTTCACTCCTGAAGTCAGCAAGACCACGAACCCACCAAGAGGAACAAACAACTCCAGATGCGCCAACTTTAAGAGCTGTAACACTCACTGCGAAGGTCTGCAGCTCCACTCCTGAAGTCAGTGAGACCATGCACCCACCAGGAGGAACAAACAACTCTGGATGTGCCATCTTTAAGAGCTGTAACACTCACTGCAAAGGTCTGCAGCTTCACTCCTGAAGTCAGCAAGACCATGAACCCACGAGAAGAAAGAAACTCTGGACAAATCTGAACATCTGAAGGAATAAACTCTGGATACACCATCTTTAAGAACTGTAACACTCACTGCAAGGGTCTGTGGCTTCATTCTTGAAGTCGGTGAGACAAAGAACCCACCAGAAAGAACCAATTCCAGACACAATATGACAAAACATGACTCTTTACCACTCCCCCAAAATCACAGTAGCTCACCAGTAATAGATCCAAACCAAGAAGAATTCTCTGAATTGCCAGAAAAAGAATGCAAAAGGTTGATTATTAAGCTACTCAAGGAGGCACCAGAGAAAGACAAATAACAACTTAAAGAAATTAAAAAAAAAGAAGATACAGGATATAGATGGAAAAATCTCCAGAGAAATAGATAGCATAAATAAAAAACAATCACAACTTCTAAAAATGAAGGACACACTTAGAGAAATGCAAAATACAATGGAAAGTCTTAGAAATAGAATCAAACAAGTAGAAGAAAGAACTTCAGAGCTAGAAGACAAGCTTTTGCATTAATGCTATCTGACAAAGAGAAACAATTAAAAAATTTTAAAAAAATGAGCAAAGCCTCAAAAAAGTTTGGGATTATGTTAAACAACAAGACCTAAGAATAGGGGGAGGAGCCAAGTGGCCGAATAGGAACAGCTCCAGTCTACAGCTCCCAGCATGAGCGACGCAGAAGACAGGTGATTTCTGCATTTCCATCGGAGGTACTGGGTTCATCTCACTAGGGAGTGCCAGACAGTGGGCGCAGGTCAGTGGGTGCACGCACCATGTGCGAGCCGAAGCAGGGCAAGGCATTGCCTCACTTGGGAAGTGCAAGGGGTCAGGGAGTTCCCTTTCTGAGTCAAAGAAAGGGGTGACAGACGGCACCTGGAAAATCGGGTCACTCCCACCCGAATACTGCACTTTTCCGACGGGCTTTAAAAACGGTGCACCACGAGATTATATCCCGCACCTGGCTCCGAGGGTCCTATGCCCACGGAGTCTCGCTGATTGCTAGCACAGCAGTCTGAGATCAAACTGCAAGGCGGCAGCGAGGCTGGGGGAGGGGCGCCCACCATTGCCCAGGCTTGATTAGGTAAACAAGGCAGCCTGGATGCTCGAACTGGGTGGAGACCACCACAGCTCAAGAAGGCCTGCCTGCCTCTGTAGGCTCCACCTCTGGGGGCAGGGCACAGACAAACAAAAAGACAGCAGTAACCTCTGCAGACTTAAATGTCGCTGTCTGACAGCCTTGAAGAGAGCAGTGGTTCTCCCAGCATGCAGCTGGAGATCTGAGAATGGGCAGACTGCCTCCTCAAGTGGGTCTCTGACCCCTGACCCCTAAGCAGCCTAACTGGGAGACATCCACCAGAAGGGGCACACTGACACCTCACATGGCAGGGTACTCCAACAGACCTGCAGCTGAGGGTCCTCTCTGTTAGAAGGAAAACTAACAAACACAAAGGACATCCACACCAAAAACCCATCTGTACATCACGATCATCAAAGACCAAAAGTAGATAAAACCACAAAGATGGGGAAAAACCAAAACAGAAAAACTGGAAACTCTAAAAAGCAGAGCACCTCTCCTCCTCCAAAGGAACGCAGTTCCTCACCAGCAACGGAACAAAGCTGGATGGAGAATGACTTTGACGAGCTGAGAGAAGAAGGCTTCAGATGATCAAATTACTCTGAGCTATGGGAGGACATTCAAACCAAAGGCAAAGAAGTTGAAAACTTTGAAAAAAATTTAGGAGAATGTATAACTAGAATAACCAATACAGAGAAGTGCTTAAAGGAGCTGATGGAGCTGAAAACCAAGCCTCGAGAACTACGTGAAGAATGCAGAAGCCTCAGGAGCTGATGCAATCAACTGGAAGAAAGGGTGTCAGCAATGGAAGATGAAATGAATGAAATGAAGCGAGAAGGGAAGTTTAGAGAAAAAAGAATAAAAAGAAATGAGCAAAGCCTCCAAGAGATATGGGACTATGTGAAAAGACCAAATCTACGTCTGATTGGTGTACCTGAAAGTGATGGGGAGAATGGAACCAAGTTGGAAAACACTCTGCAGGATATTATCCAGGAGAACTTCCCCAATCTAGCAAGGCAGGCCAACATTCAGATTCAGGAAATACAGAGAACGCCACAAAGATACTCCTCGAGAAGAGCAACTCCAAGACACATAATTGACAGATTCACCAAAGTTGAAATGAAGGAAAAAATATTAAGGGCAGCCAGAGAGAAAGGTCGGGTTACCCTCAAAGGGAAGCCCATCAGACTAACAGCTGATCTCTTGGCAGAAACCCTATAAGCCAGAAGAGAGTGGGGGCCAATATTCAACATTCTTAAAGAAAAGAATTTTCAACCCAGAATTTCATATCCAGCCAAACTAAGCTTCATAAGTGAAGAAGAAATAAAATCCTTTACAGACAAGCAAATGCTGAGAGATTTTGTCACCACCAGGCCTGCCTTACAAGAGCTCCTGAAGGAAGTACTAAACATGGAAAGGAACAACCGGTACCAGCCGCTGCAAAATCATGCCAAAATGTAAAGACCATTGAGACTAGTAAGAAACTGCATCAACTAATGAGCAAAATAACCAGCTAACATCATAATGACAGGATCAGATTCACACATAACAGTATTAACTTTAAATGTAAATGGACTAAATGCTCCAATTAAAAGACACAGACTGGCAAATGGGATAAAGAGTCAAGACCCATCAGTGTGCTGTATTCAGGAAACCCATCTCATGTGCAGAGACACACATAGGCTCAAAATAAAAGGATGGAGGAAGATCTACCAAGCCAATGGAAAACAAAAAAAGGCAGGGGTTGCAATCCTAGTCTCTGATAAAACAGACTTTAAACCAACAAAGATCAAAAGGGACAAAGAAGGCCATTACATACTGGTAAAGAGATCAATTCATCAAGAAGAGCTAACTATCCTAAATATATATGCACCCAATACAGGAGCACCAAGATTCATAAAGCAAGTCCTGAGTGACCTACAAAGAGACTTAGACTCCCACACATTAATAATGGGAGACTTTAACACCCCACTGTCAACATTAGACAGATCAATGAGACAGAAAGTCAACAAGGATACCCAGGAATTGAACTCAGCTCTGCACCAAGTGGACCTAATAGACAACTACAGAACTCTCCACCCCAAATCAACAGAATATACATTTTTTTCAGCACCACACCACATCTATTCCAAAATTGACCACATACTTGGAGGTAAAGCTCTCCTCAGCAAATGTAAAAGAACAGAAATTATAACAAACTGTCTCTCAGACCACAGTGCAATCAAACTAGAACTCAGGATTAAGAATCTCACTCAAAACTGCTTGACTACATGGAAACTGAACAACCTGCTCCTGATTGACTACTGGGTACATAAGGAAATGAAGGCAGAAATAAAGATGTTCTTTGAAACCAACGAGAAGAAAGACACAATATACCAGAATCTCTGGGACACATTCAAAGCAGTGTGTAGAGGGAAATTTATAGCACTAAATGCCCACAAGAGAAAGCAGGAAAGATCCAAGATGGACACCCTAACATCACAATTAAAAGAAGTAGAAAAGCAAGAGCAAACACATTCAAAAGCTAGCAGAAGGCAAGAAATAACTAAAATCAGAGCAGAACTGAAGGAAATAGAGACCCAAAAAACCCTTCAAAAAATTAGTGAATCCAGGAGCTGGTTTTTTGAAAGGATCAACAAAATTGATAGACCGCTAGCAAGACTAATAAAGAAAAAAAGAGAGAAGAATCAAATAGACACAATAAAAAATGATAAAGGGGATATCACCACCGATCCCACAGAAATACAAACTACCATCAGAGAATACTACAAATACCTCTATTCAAATAAACTAGAAAATCTAGAAGAAATGGATAAATTCCTCAACACATACACCCTCCCAAGACTAAACCAGGAAGAAGTTGAATCTCTGAATAGACCAATAACAGGAGCTGAAATTGTGGCAATAATCAATAGCTTACCAACCAAAAAGAGTCCAGGACCAGATGGATTCGCAGCCAAATTCTACCAGAGGTACAAGGAGGAACTGGTACCATTCCTTCTGAAACTATTCCAATCAATAGAAAAAGAGGGAATCCTCCCTAACTCATTTTATGAGGCCAGCATCATTCTGATACCAAAGCCAGGCAGAGACACAACCAAAAAAGAGAATTTTAGACCAATATCCTTGATGAACATTGATGCAAAAATCCTCAATAAAATACTGGCAAACCGAATCCAGCAGCACATCAAAAAGCTTATCCACCATGATCAAGTGGGCTTCATCCCTGGGATGCAAGGCTGGTTCAATATACGCAAATCAATAAATGTAATCCAGCATATAAACAGAGCCAAAGACAAAAACCACATGATTATCTCAATAGATGCAGAAAAAGCCTTTGACAAAATTCAACAACCCTTCATGCTAAAAACTCTCAATAAATTAGGTATTGATGGGACGTATTTCAAAATAATAAGAGCTATCTATGACAAACCCACAGCCAATATCATACTGAATGGGCAAAAACTGGAAGCATTCCCTTTGAAAACTGACACAAGACAGGGATGCCCTCTCTCAGCACTCCTTTTCAACATAGTGTTGGAAGTTCTGGCCAGGGCAATTAGGCAGGAGAAGGAAATAAAGGGTATTCAATTAGGAAAAGAGGAAGTCAAATTGTCCCTGTTTGCAGACGACATGATTGTATATCTAGAAAACCCCATCGTCTCAGCCCAAAATCTCCTTAAGCTGATAAGCAACTTCAGCAAAATCTCAGGATACAAAGTCAATGTACAAAAATCACAAGCATTCTTATACACCAACAACAGACAAACAGAGAGCCAAATCATGAGTGAACTCCCATTCACAATTGCTTCAAAGAGAATAAAATACCTAGGAATCCAACTTACAAGGGATGTGAAGGACCTCTTCAAGGAGAACTACAAACCACTGCTCAAGGAAATAAAAGAGGATACAAACAAATGGAAGAACATTCCGTACTCATGGGTAGGAAGAATCAATATCGTGAAAATGGCCATACTGCTCAAGGTAATTTACAGATTCAATGCCATCCCCATCAAGCTACCAATGCCTTTCTTCACAGAATTGGAAAAAACTACTTTCAAGTTCATATGGAACCAAAAAAGAGCCCGCATCGCCAAGGCAATCCTAAGCCAAAAGAACAAAGCTGGAGGCATCACGCTACCTGACTTCAAACTATACTACAACGCTTCAGTAACCAAAACAGCATGGTACTGGTACCAAAACAGAGATACAGATCAATGGAACAGAACAGAGCCCTCAGAAATAACGCCGCGTATCTAGAACTATCTGATCTTTGACAAACCTGAGAAAAACAAGCAATGTGGAAAGGATTCCCTATTTAATAAATGGTGCTGGGAAAACTGGCTAGCCATATGTAGAAAGCTGAAACTGGATCCCTTCCTTACACCTTATACAAAAATCAATTCAAGATGGATTAAAGACTTAAACGTTAGACCAAAAACCATAAAAACCCTAGAAGAAAACCTAGGCATTACCATTCAGGACATATGCATGGGCAAGGACTTCATGTCTAAAACACCAAAAGCAATGGCAAAAAAGCCAAAATTGACAAATGGGATCTCATTAAACTAAAGAGCTTCTGCACAGCAAAAGAAACTACCATCAGAGTGAACAGGCAACCTACAAAATGGGAGAAAATTTTCACAACCTACTCATCTGACAAAGGGCTAATATCCAGAATCTACAATGAACTCCAACAAATTTACAAGAAAAAAACAAACAACCCCATCAAAAAGTGGGCGAAGGACATGAACAGACACTTCTCAAAAGAAGACATTTATGCAGCCAAAAAACACATGAAAAAATGCTCATCATCACTGGCCATTAGAGAAATGCAAATCAAAACCACAATGAGACACCATCTCACACCAGTTACAATGGCAATCATTAAAAAGTCAGGAAACAACAGGTGCTGGAGAGGATGTGGACAAATAGGAACACTTTTACACTGTTGGTGGGACTGTAAACTAGTTCAACCATTGTGGAAGTCAGTGTGGCGATTCCTCAGGGACCTAGAGCTGGAAATACCATTTGACCCAGCCATCCCATTACTGGGTATATACCCAAAGGACTATAAATCATGCTGCTATAAAGACACATGCACACGTATGTTTATTGCGTCATTATTCACAACAGCAAAGACTTGGAACCAACCCAAATGCCCAACAATGATAGACTGGATTAAGAAAATGTGGCACATATACACCATGGAATAGTATGCAGCCATAAAAAATGATGAGTTCATGTCCTTTGTAGGGACATGGATGAAATTGGAAATCATCATTCTCAGTAAACTATCACAAGAACAAAAAACCAAACACCGCATATTCTTACTCATAGGTGGGAATTGAACAATGAGATCACATGGACACAGGAACGGGAATATCACACTCTGGGGACTGTTGTGGCGTGGGGGGATGGGAGAGGGATAGCATCGGGAGATATACCTAATGCTAGATGACGAGTTAGTGGGTGCAGCGCACCAGTATGGCACATGTATACATAGGTAACTAACCAGCACTATGTGCACATGTACCCTAAAACTAAAAGTATAATAAAAAAAAAAAACCTAAGAATAATTGGTATTCTGGAGGAATAAGAGAAATCTGAAAGTTTGGAAAACATATTTGAGGGAATAATTGAGAAAAACTTCCCTGGCCTTGCTAGAGATCTAGACATTCAAATACAAGAAGCTCAAAGAACACCTGGGAAATTCATTGCAAAAAACATCTTTGCCTAGGCACATATTCATCAGATTATCTAAAATCAAGATAAATGAAAGAATCTTAAGAGCTGTGAGGAAAAAGCATCAGGCAACCTATAAAAGAAAACCTAGCAGATTAACAGCAGATTTATCAGCAGAAACCCTACAAGCTAAAAGGGATTGGGATCCTATTTTTAGCCTCCTTAAACAAAACCATTATTAGCCAAGAATTTTGTATCCAGTGAAACTAGCATCATAAAGGAAGGAAAGATACAGCCTTTTTCAGACAAACAAATGCTGAGAGAATTTGCCACTATCAAGCTAGCACTACAAGAACTGATAAAAGGAGCTCTAAGTCTTGAAATAAATGCTTAAAATACACAAAAATAGAACCTCCTTAAAGCATACATTTCACGGGAACTATAAAACAATGATACAATTAAAAAAACCCACCAAAGTATTGAGGCAACAAATAGCATGATGAATAGAATAGTACCTCACAGCTCAATACTAATGTTGAATGTAAATGGCCTGAATGCTGCACTTAAAAGATACAGGATGGCAGAATAAGAAATTGTGTCCGGAATTGTTTCTTCCAGTGGGTTCTTGGTCTTGCTGACTTCAAGAATGAAGCTGCAGATGCTCACAGTGAGTGTTACAGTTCTTAAAGATGGAGTGTCCAGAGTTTGTTCCTTCAGATGTTCAGATGTGTCCAGAGTTTCTTCCTTCTGGTGGGTTTGTGGTCTTGCTGACTTCAGGAGTGAAGCTGCAGGCTTTCTCAGTGAGTGTTACAGCTCTTAAAGGTGGCGTGTCCAGGGTTGTTTGTTCCTCCTGGTGGGTGTGTGGTCTCGCTGACTTCAGGAGTGAAGCCACAGACCTTTGCAGTGAGTGTTACAGCTCTTAAAGATGGCACGTCTGGAGTTGTTTCTTCCTCTTGGTGGGTTCGTGGTCTTGCTGAATTCAGGAGTGAAGCTGCAGACCTTTACGGTGAGTGTTACAGCTCATAAAGGTAGTGTGGACCCAAAGAGTGAGCAGCAGCAAGATTTATTGTGAAGAGCAAGAGAACAAACCTTCCACAGCTTGGAAGGGGACTCAAGTGGGTTACCACTGCTGGCTTGGGTGGCCAGCTTTTATTCCCTTATTTGGCCCCACCCATATCCTCCTGATTGGTCCATTTTACAAAGTGCTGATAGGTCCATTTTTACAGAGTGCTGATTGGTGCGTTTACAAACCTTTAGCTAGACACAGAGCACTGATTAGTGCATTTTTACAGAGTGCTGATTGGTGTGTTTACAAACCTTTAGCTAGACACAAGGCACTGATTGGTGTGTTTACAATCCTTTAGCTAGACAGAAACGTTCTCCAAGTCCCCACCTGACCCGGAAGCCCAGCAGGCTTCACCTCTTAATCACCAACCAAGTACCTGCCACCTTCAAGAGACTCACCTAACACATAAGGACACACATAAACTTAAGGTAAAGGGGTGGAAAAAGATATTCCATGCAACAGGACACAAAAGCAAGAAGGAGAAGCTATTCTTCTATCAGACAAAACAAACTTTAAAGCAACAGCAGTTAAAAGAGACAAAGAGGGACATGATATAATGATAAAAGAACTAGTCCAACAGGAAAATATCACCATCCTAAATATATAGGCACCTAACACTGAAGCTTCCAAATTTATAAAACAATTACTAATAGACCTAAGAAATCAGATAGACAGGAACACAATAATAGTGGGGGACTTCAATACTCCACTGACAGTACTAGACGGGTCATCAAGGCAGAAAGTCCACAAAGAAATAATGGACTTAAACTACACTCTAGAAAAAATGTACTTAAAATATATTTACAGAACATTCTACCCAACAACTGCAGTATGTACACATTGAACATTCTCCATGATAGACCATATGATAAGCCACAAAACAAGGCTCAATAAATTTAAGATATTTGAAATCATATCAAGTACTCTCAGACCACAGTGGAATAAAATTGGAAATCAACTCCAAAAGGAATCACAAAATCATGCAAATACATAGAAATTAAATAAGCTGCTCCCGAATGATCATTGGGTCAATAATGAAATCAAGATGGAAATTAAAAAGTTCTTTGAACTGAATGATAATAATGATGCAACCTATCAAAATCTCTGGGATACAGCAAAATGGTGCTAAGAGAAAAGCTCATAGCATTGAATGCCTACATCAAAGGTCGGAAAGAACACAAATAGGCAATCTAAGGTCATGCCTAAAGGAACTAGAGAAATAAGAACAAACCAAACCCAAACTCCACAGAAGAAAAAGAAATAACAAAGATCAGAGTAGAACTAAATGAAAGTGAAACAAAAAAATACAAATGATAAATGAAACAAAAAGTTGGTTCTTTGAAAAGATATATAAAATTGATAGACCATTAGCAAGATTAACCAAGAAAAGAATAGAGAGGATCCAAATAAGTTCAATTGGAAATGAAACAGAAGATATTACAACTGACACCACAGAAACACCAAAGATTATTCAAGACGGTTATGAACACCTTTACACACACAAACTAGAAAACCTAGAGGCGATTCATAAATTCCTGGAAATATACAACCCTCCTAGATTAAACCAGGAAGAAATAGAAACTCTGAACAGACCAATAAAAAGCAGCAAGATTGAAATGGTAGTAAAAAAAATGCCAGGAAAAAAGTCCAGGACCAGGTGGATTCACAGCTTAATTCTATCAGACATTTGAAGAAGAATTTGTACCAATCCTGTTGACACTATTCTAAAAGATAGAGACAGAGGGACTCCTTTCTAAATCATTCTATAAAGCCAGTATCACCCTAATACCTAAACCAGGAAAGGACATAACAAAAAAGAAAACTATAGACCAAAATCCATGATGAACATACATGTAAAAATCCTCAACAAAATACTAGCTAACTGACTCCAACAACATATCAAAAAGGTAATCCACCATGATCAAGTGGGTTTCATACCAGGGATGCAGGGACAGTTTAACAGTAAGTCGAATACACCAAGTTAACAGAATTAAAAACAAAAATCAGATGATCATCTCAATAGACACAGAAAAAGTATTTGACAAAATCTAGCATCCTTTATGATTAAAACCCTCAGCCAAACTGGCATAGAAGGGACATGCTTTATGGTAATAAAAGCCGTATATGACAAACCCACAGCTAATATTATACTGAATGGGGGAAGTTGAAAACATTCCCCATGAGAGCTGGAACAAGACAAGAATGCCCACTTTCACCACTTCTATTCAACATAGTACTGGAAGTCCTAAACAGAGCAATCAGGCGAGAGAGAAATAAAGGACATCCAAATTGGTAAAGAGGAAATCAAACTGTTGCTGTTTACTGATGATATGATTGCATACCTAAAAAACCTTAAAGACTCATCCAAAAAAGCTCCTAGAACTGATATATGAATTCAATAAAGTTTCAGGATACAAAATTAATGTACACAAATCAGTAGCACTGCTATACACCAACAGCGACCAAGCTGAGAATCAAATCAAGAACTCAACCTTTTTTACAATAGCTGCAGAAAACAAAATTCTTAGGTATATACCTAACAAAGAGTTGAAAGACCTCTTCAATAAAGTTTTAGGATACAAAATTAATGTACACAAATCGATAGCACTGCTATACACCAACAGCGACCAAGCTGAGAATCAAATAAATACTCAACCTCTTTTACAATAGCTGCAGAAAAAAAAATACTTAGGAATATACATAAGCAAGGAGGTGAAAGACCTCTACAAGGAAAACTATAAAACACTGCTGAAAGAAATCATAGTCCATGCAAACAAATGGAAACACAACCCAAGCTCATGGATGGATACAATCAATATTGTGAAAATGACCATGCTGCCTAAAGGAATCTACAAATTCAATGCAATTTCCATCAAAATATCACCACCATTCTTCATAGAACTAGAAAAAGAACTCTAAAATTCATGTGGAACCAATAAAGGCCCACATAGCCAAAGCAAGGCTAAGCAAAAAGAACAAATCTGGAGGCATCACATTACCTGACTTCAAACTATACCATAAGGCCACAGTAACCAAACAGCATGGTGGTGGTATAAAAAATGGAATATAGGCCAATGGAACAGAACGGAGAACCCAGAAATAAAGCCAAATATTTACAGCCAACTGATCTTTGACAAAGCATACAAAAACATAAAGTGGGGAAAGGACAACCTATTCAACTGTGATAATCAGCAAGCCACATGTAGAAGAATAAAACTGGATCCTTATTTCTCACCTTAGAAAATCAAGTCAAGATGGATCAAAGACTTAAATCTAAGACCTGAAACAATAAAAGTTCTAGAAGATAACATTAGAAAAACCTTTCTGAAATTGGCTTAGGCAAAGACTTCATGACCAAGAATCCAAAAGCAAATGAAACAAAAACAAAGATAAATAGATAGGACTTAATTAAACTAAAAAGCTTTTGCACAGAAAAAAAAAAATCAGCGGAGTAAACAGAGAACTCACAGAGTGGAACAAAATCTTCACAAACTATGCATCCAACAAAGGACTAATATCCAGAATCTACAAGGAACTCAGTTTTCTCTTCAAACAAATCAGCAAGAAAAAAGCAAAAAATCACATCAAAAAGTGGGCTAAGGGCATGAATAGACAATTCTCTAGAGAAGATACACAAATGGCCAACAAACATATGAAAAAATGCTGAACATCAATTATCAGGAAAATGCAAATAAAAACCACAATGTGATACCACCTTACTCCTGCAAGAATGGCCATAATCAAAAAATAAAAAAAATAAGAGCTGTTGGAGTGAATGTGGTCAAAGGGGAACAATTTTATACTGCTGGCGGGAATGTAAACTAGTACAACCCCTAAGGAAAACAATGTGGAGATTCCTTAAAGAATTAAAAGTAGATCTACCGTTTGGTCCAGCAATTTCACTACTGGGGATCTCCCCAGAGGAAAAGAAGTCATTATGTGAAAAAGATTCTTGCACAAGCCTGTTTATAGCAGCACAATTTGGAATTACAAAAATATGGAAGCAGCCCAAATGCCAATCAGTCAATGAATGGATAAAAAAATTGTGGAATATATACCATAGAATACTACTCAGCTGTAAAAAGGAATGAAATAATGGCATTTGCAGCAACCTGGATGGAATTGGAGATGATTATTCTAAGTGAAGTAACTCAGGAATGGAAAACCAAACATTGTATGTTCTCATTCATAAATGGGAGCTAAGCTATGAGGATGTAAAGGCATAAGAATGACACAATGGGCTTTGGGGACTTGGGGGAAAGGGTAGGAAGGGGATGAGAGATAAAATACAAAACATAGGGTACAGTGTACCCTGCTTGGGTGATAGGTGCACCAAAATCTTAGAAAGTACTACTAAAGAACTTATTCATGTAACCAACCACCACCTGTTCCCCAAAAACCTATGCAATAAAAAATAAATATTAAAATAAAAAGCAAATTACAAACAGTATAAATTTCTATTCCTAACTATTTTTGTGTGCTTCTCTAAAAAATAAGATTGTCATTTTACATGGCCAAAATAACAGCATTACATTGAATAAAATTAATGTCTTTTATAAGTACTCATACTCATTCCATATTCATATTTTTCCAATTTTTCTTTCTTAATTTCTCTCGAAGCTGATTTGTTAAAATCCAGATCAATCCAGTGTTGCACTTTGTATCTCGTTTTCACGTATCTTACATTTCTTTCAATGTTTACTAGTATGTTTTGTGCTTTCACTCTTTTCATGCCATTTATCTGGTAGAATCTCTTTTTTCTAGTATTTTCTTGAGGTAATTGACAAATAAAATTGTATGTATTTAAGTTGTACAATGTGATTATTATATATACCTACGCACTGTGAAATGATTAATACAATTAAGTTAATTAACATATCCATTGTCTCACATATTATCTTTGTGTATGTGTGTGTGTGTGCTGAGGACACTTAAGATCTACTCTCAGAAAATTTCAAGTATACAGTATAGTATTATTAACTATAGTCACCACATTGTACATTAAATCTCCAGAACTTATTCATCTTATAACTGGAAGTTCATACTCTTTGACCAACATCTCTCCATTTCCTTCACACCTCAACCTCTAGCAAACACCATTATACTCTCTGTTGACATGCATTTGACGCTTTAAGATTCCAAGTGAGATCATACGGTGTTCATCTTTTGCCGTCTGTCACTTAACCATAATACCTTCCAGATTAATCCATGTCATCACAAAGGCAAGATTTCTTTCTTTTTTTGTGGCTGAATTATATTGTTTTATATATGAATGAAATGAATACACACACATTCTATCTAAAATAAATCACATTTCTTTACCCATTCATCTGTCAACAGACCCTTAGGTTGTTTCCGTATCTTGGCTGCTGTGAATAATGCTACCTTGAACATAGGAGTGCGGTTTTCTCTTCAAGATACTGATTTTAGTTTTTGTTTTTGAATGAAGTATCAACTTTTGGACTCTTGTAATTGCTTTATAAATAATGTCACTTAGGTTGTTCTCATTTCCCCTGTCAGAGGTCAAGTCTACAGACATTTTAAGGTTAAAGTTAAACATTTTGAGAAAAATACATTTTAGGTGATTTGTACCTTTTTTCACTTTTGATTATCATTATGAAGTCATGGGTTATAAAGTGAATTAATTGCATTTTACTCTTCCCAGTATGATGCTCAAATTGTTACAACTTTGGCTTGTTTCTGAGTCCTTTTGACATTACCTCATTAATTTTTTATTTTTTATTTTTTATTATACTTTAAGTTTTAGGGTACGTGTGCACAACATGCAGGTTTGTTACATATGTATACATGTGCCATGTTGGTGGGCTGCACCCATTAACTCTTCATTTAACATTAGGTATATCTCCTAATGCTATCCCTCCCCCCTCCCCCCACCCCAAAACAGGCCCCGGTGTGTGATGTTCCCCTTCCTGTGTCCATGTGTTCTCATTGTTCAATTCCCACCTATGAGTGAGAACATGCGGTGTTTGGTTTTTTGTCCTTGCGATAGTTTGCTGAGAATGATGGTTTCCAGCTTCATCTATGTCCCTATGAAGGACATGAACTCATCATTTTTTATGGCTGCATAGTACTCCATGGTGTATATGTGCCGCATTTTCTTAATCCAGTCTATAATTGTTGGACATTTAATTTTTTAAAGTCCTTTGCTTTCTGGAACAAAAAGTTATTCCAGACTCATCTTGTAACCTGATTCTCCAGACAGAGTATCATTGAATTATCCAGAGAGCCCACTTTTTTTTTTTTTTTTAGCAGAAACTAGTATTAGAAACCAAAATTAAAGTGTTATGAGTGCATAGCATGTTGAGTTCCATGGGTATCATTGCTGTATTTCACCCAATAAATATATACGGTATTTTCCAAAAAGCTTGAGTTTGTAGAGACATTTCTAATTTAGTACTAGTATTTCATCATTTCTATGTAACTTCTTTGTATCTATCATTACACTTCCTTTTCTCTTATGCTTGAGACTTGTATGTGAATAATATAAATATACCTATTATTTTATCCAATACACCTTTAAAATAACAGTATTAATATTTCCAGTAACACTTGAAGTGGTCAACAAAGTTTAAACATTTATTTTCATTCTTAGAATGCATTATTCTGCTGACTATGAATAAAATACTATATTTAGAAGTACTTGGCATAATTTGTTACTAAGTGAGGTTGTATAAGTACTTGTGTAATGTCGCCATTGATTCAATTATTTCATTTTGTTTTCAATTTGAGATGGTGGCACGACACTTCAAAGTTCATAGAAGTGAATGCAGTTTAGCTGTTACAAACCTTTTCTTGGTGAAGCTATTGATTTTGGTTGGGAGCAGCATTGCCAATCTACTTTGAGAAATTTAAAATGTAATTTTTAAAGCTTATTGTAAGTTTTGTTTCACTGAAATCTCACTTATGGTCATATGAGTTTCTGGCCTATCAAAAAAGGACTCTAAGCTCAGTTATAAGTGAAGATCTCATAAATATTAATTTTGCCAAGTAAACCAATTCTGCCTTTTATTCTGCAATATCTAGTCTATCAAAAATTTTACATTTTCATGAGTCAATTACATTTTTAAAATTAACCTTTTAATTTTCAGAATATTATAGATTCATATGCAGTTGTAAGAAAAAAACTACAGAGAGATCTTGTGTATTCTTTACTCATTTTCCCTTAATCACAGCATCTCACAAGAGTATAGTACAATTATTACATCCAGGGTGTTGATGTTGAAACTGATGAGACACAGAACATTTCTATTAAAGCAAGAATCCCTCATACTGCTACTTTATAGTCATACCCACTTCCCTCTCATCCCCCACCACCATCCATGCCCATGCGGGGTACTAATCTGTTCTTCATTTCTAAATTTTGTCATTTCACAAATATTATGTACACAGTACACAACATTTTGGTCTTGGGGATTGGCTTTTTCATTCAGTATGTGTCTCAGGAGATTATGTCTCCAGGTTGATGTGTGTATCAGCTGTTTAACCCTGTTTATTCCTGAGGGGTACTCCATTATATGGAGTACCATGGTTTGTTTAACCATTCACTTGTTAAAAGACATCTGGTTTCTTTCCAGTTTGGGAGTATTACAAGTAAAGCTGCTATAATGATCATGTACAGGCTTTTGTATGAGCCATAAGTCTTCGTTTCTTTAGGATGAATGTGCAGAAGGGCAAAGCTAGGTGATATGTTCATTACATGTTTAACTTTTAAGGAACTATCAAACTGTTTTATAGAGTGGTGGTACCATTTTACATTCCCACCAACAAGATGTGTGTTATCTATCTGTGTTGTCACTTTAAAAAGTTGTTAGCATTTTTGACAGATTTGTAGTGATTCTGATTGTGAATTAGTTTGTCTCTAATTATATTTTTTGTATACTTGTGTGTATCTTCTTCAGTAAAATGTCTCTTTATGTCTTTTGCCCATTTTCTAATTGGATTTTTTTGTTTTTTTGTTTGTTTTACCATTGATGTTTGAAAACTCTTTGTATATTCTAGGTACTAGTCTTTTGTCAGATTATGTTTTGCAAATATTTTTGCTCATATTCTAACTTGTCTTTTTAACCTTTTAACATTTCATTAGTGAGCAAAGATGCTTAATTTCACTAAAGTCCTATTTATCCATCATTTTCTTTAATGGATCATGCTTTTGATGTTTAAAAGCTCTTTGCCTAGCCCTACATCTTTAAAATTTTCTCCTATGTTTTTAGATAAAAGTTGTATGCTTTTATGTTTCCATTTTAGTCTCCATGATCTATTTGTATTAATTTTTGTATACAGTTCAGATTCTTTTTTTCGTTGCTCTTGGATGTCCAATTGCCAGCACTATTTGTTGAAAAGGCTGTCTTTTCTCCACTGAACTGCTTTTGTACCTTTGTCAAAAATCACTTAATCATTTGGGCATATTGGTGTGAGTCTATCTTCTGAGTTCTCTATTCTGTTTATTAGTTTCATTTTATTTGCCTTCTGTGGTATTCTTGAACATTTTTAGAATTCCACTTGAATTTCTCTATTGTGTTTTCTTTATGTAGCTTTTTAAAGTAGTTGCTATAGATATTACATAATATATACATAACTTATGACAGTCTACTTAACTCATTTTAATCAGGTAAAATAAATTGTAGAAACCTTACCACCCTTCATATTCCTTTGTTCTCCCCCATTTATAGTATTTCCTCAACATACATTTAAAACCACATCAATGTTATATTTTTTGTTTCAATAATCAAACATAATTTGGACATCTCAAGAGGAGAAAAAAAGTCTATTGTATTATTTATCCTTATTTTTACTTACTGTGTTCATTTTCCTATCCTCATGTTTCAAGGTTCTTTCTTCTAATTTTTTTTCTCTGTTTAGAGAATTCTCAGTAACCATTCTTTTCTGGTAGCTCTACTTATGAAAATCTTCTGAGGAGGTCTCAGTTTCTCCTTCATTCCTGAAGGGTATTTTCATGGGGCTAGGATTAGAAATAAAGTTTTTTTTGTCTTTAAGCACACAAAATTTATTGGTTCTTCATGATTTCTGGAAAAAATCTGCTGTTATTTGGATTTTTTTTTCTACAGGAAAGATTTGGATTTTTTTTTACTATAGGAAAGTTGTCATTTATCTTTTTTACTATAGGAAAGACATCATTTATCTTTCACTACTTTCAGAATTTTTGTGTGTGTTTAGTTTTCAGAATTTGACTATGACTGTGTTTTTCAGCCTGCCCTCTTTCTCTCTGCTTCCTATGACTCTGATGACACAGTGTTAAATATTTTGTTATAACCCCACAGGTCCCTGAAAGTCTGTTTATTTCTTTTTTGGCCTATTTTCTCTGTGATATTCAGTTTGAGTAATTTCTGTTGTTCTAATTTCCAGTTTATGGATTCTTTTTTCTGTCCCCTTCATTCTACGGTTTAACTCATCCATTGGCTTTTTATTGCAGTTACTATAATCTTTGGTTTTAAAATTTCCATATGATTCTTCTTAATTTCTTCTATTTCTTTGCTGAAATTTTCTATTTTCTTTATTTGTTTTAAGCATGTCCATAATGGTTCATTTAACTATTTTTATGATGATTGCGCTAAAATTTTTGTCAGTTAATTCTAACATCTCTGCCATCTTAGCGTTGGTGTCTGTCTAGGAAATAACTAACTTTAGCCAAAGAAAGGTCTGGCCTTTCCTGGGACCACTGGGAAGTAAACTCTAGGGTCTTGGGGTACCAGACCTCATAGGTGTATCTTTTCAGGGAAGGTGGTTGGCTATGTTAAACATAGTTTAACCTTGTAATTTATGATTGATTCTGAAAACTACTCAATGTTGATGAAAGAAATAACAAAGGATTTAAATAAATGGAGATTTTTACCTTGATCATTGATTGGATAACTCAAAATACGTCAATTTACCCCAAATTTATATACAGATTTAACACAATTCCTATCTATATCCCAGCAAGTTTTTTGGTAAATATTGACAATATTATTATATAATTTATATGAAAATACAAAGAATAGTAATTCATAACAGTTATAAAACAAAAGATTAAAGTAGGAAGAATAAGTCTACCTGATTTTCAACTTTTTCTATAGCTACTATAGTCATGACTGTGTGGTATTTGTGGAAAGATAGAGACATAGAAAATAGAATAGAATAGAATAGAATAGAATAGAATAGAATAGAATAGAATAGAATAGAATAGAATAGAACAGAATAGAGAACTTAGAAATAAACCCACACAAATATGCTCAACTGACATTTTACTACTACTATTATTATGATTATGCAAATGATTTCTGACAAAGATGCTAAAGCAATTTCATGAAGAAAAGATAGTCTTTTCAATAAATGGTACTGGAGTACTGAAGCAATTCAACATCCATAAGCCAAAGAAAAAAGAAGTCACATGAATTAAGTTACTTATACAATAAATAACTCAAAATGAATCATGGACTTCAATGTAAAATGTAAAACTATACAACGTTGAAAAAAATAAATATGCAGGATCTAAGACTGGCCAAAGAGTTCTTAGATTTGACATGGCTTAAAAAAGGAAAAGTCGACAAACTGGCCTTTATAAAAATTAGACTTTTGTGCTGTGAAAGATTGTGAAGAGGATGAAAAGACAAGTTACAGTGTAGGAGAACATGTTTTGAAATTATCTGACAAAGGACTAGTATCTAGACTAGATAAGGAGCTCTCAGGATTCAACAGCAAAAAAGCAAGCATTTCATTTAGAAAATGGGCAAAAGTCATGAAGGTATATTTCCCGGGAGTATATATAGATGGCAAATAAGCACATAATAAGGTATTCAACAACCATAGGTATTGAGAAAATGTTAATGAGTATATGATATGACTATACACCTGTCAGCTTTGCTAAAATAAGAAGTAGTGATAATACCAAATGTTGGTGAGAACATGGAGGAACTGGATGTCTTATACATTGCTGGTGGAAATGTAAAGTGGTACGGGTACTCTGGAAAACAGATTGGCTGTTTCTTAAAAAACTAAATATGCAACTACCATGTGACCTGACATTGTCCTTATTGGCATTTTTCTGAGAGAAATGAACACTTATCTGTATATGAATGTTTGTTTGTAATAGACAAACACCAGAAACAACCCAGATATGCTTCAACAAGATGGTTAAACAAACTTTGGTACATCCATCCCATGGAATACTATTTAGCAATCAATGTTGATCCATGCAACAACTTGGATGAATTTCAGAGAGTTATGCTGAGTGGGAAAAGCCAATTATAAACGGTTACTTACTATATAATTCCATTTATATAACCTTCTTAAAATGATAAAATTTTAGAGATGGAAAACGGATTAGTGGTTGCTGAGGGTTAAGAGGGGGATGAGGATGGGAGGGAAGTAGATATGGTTACAAAAGGGCAACATGAGGGATCATTGTGTTGATGGAAACATTCTATATCTTGACTGTTTCAAAGGCAATATCCTGGTTATACTATTATGCTATAGTTTGCAAGATGTTACCACTGGGGGAAACAGGATAAAGGATACTTGGGATCTCTCTGTACTATTTCTTTTTTCTTTTTTTCTTTTTATTTATTTATTTATTATTATACTTTAAGTTTTAGGGTACATGTGCACAATGTGCAGGTTAGTTACATATGTATACATGTGCCATGCTGGTGCGCTGCACCCACTAACTCATCATCTAGCATTAGGTATATCTCCCAATGCTATCCCTCCCCCCTCCCCCCACCCCACAACAGTCCCCAGAGTGTGATGTTCCGCTTCCTGTGTCCATGTGTTCGCATTGTTCAATTCCCACCTATGATTGAGAATATTTTAGGTATTGACGGGATGTATTTCAAAATAATAAGAGCTATCTATGACAAACCCACAGCCAATATCATACTGAATGGGCAAAAACTGGAAGCATTCCCTTTGAAAACTGGCACAAGACAGGGATGCCCTCTCTCACCGCTCCTATTCAACATAGTGTTGGAAGTTCTGGCCAGGGCAATTAGGCAGGAGAAGGAAATAAAGGGTATTCAATTAGGAAAAGAGGAAGTCAAATTGTCCCTGTTTGCAGACGACATGATTGTATATCTAGAAAACCCCATCGTCTCAGCCCAAAATCTCCTTAAACTGATAAGCAACTTCAGCAAAGTCTCAGGATACAAAATCAGTGTACAAAAATCACAAGCATTCTTATACACCAATAACAGACAAACAGAGAGCCAAATCATGAGTGAACTCCCATTCACAATTGCTTCAAAGGGAATAAAATACCTGGGAATCCAACTTACAAGGGATGTGAAGGACCTCTTCAAGGAGAACTACAAACCACTGCTCAAGGAAATAAAAGAGGATACAAACAAATGGAAGAACATTCCATGCTCATGGGTAGGAAGAATCAATATCGTGAAAATGACCATACTGCCCAAGGTAATTTACAGATTCAATGCCATCCCCATCAAGCTACCAACGACTTTCTTCACAGAATTGGAAAAAACTACTTTCAAGTTCATATGGAACCAAAAAAGAGCCTGCATTGCCAAGTCAATCCTAAGCCAAAAGAACAAAGCTGGAGGCCTCACTCTACCTGACTTCAAACTATACTACAAGGCTACAGTAACCAAAACAGCATGGTACTGGTACCGAAACAGAGATATAGATCAATGGAACAGAACAGAGCTCTCTGTACTATTTCTTATAACTGCATACAAATCTACAATTATGTTAAAATAAAAAGTTTAATTAAAAAAAGTGATATATCATAGGGGCCCCATACCCATAAACAAAGCAACAATGGACAATCTATACTAAAAAATATATTCTGTCAGAATACTCCATGTTTCTCACACATTCATCCATGCCCACACACACAAATATGATTCTGGTTCCCGGGGGTGGATTTTATTTCCTACTTAAGGTTTTCTGTGAATCTCTGACAAACTTCTATTTGACTCTCTATATTCATGGATATAGACAAAATACAGGCAATCTTGATGTCTGCCCTTATATCTAAAGTCTCTTTTTAAATTACAAATAATTCTTGTCATCTTCTGACTAAAGGTAACTGGAAGTCAGAGAAAGGAGTTCTTATGTTTAGAGACAAATCTGAGTTGTTTGTTTCCTCTGGGAGAGGAAGTAAGAGTGGTGTTACATATGCATGTCCAGCCCATCTCACATCCAGCCTAAAACAGTGATTTACATCCATGTGCAATTCTCTAGCCTAGTGGGAGAGAGTTTTCTTAAACACACTATAAGTTTCATCCTCATCAGTTCTGGGCCAGTACCCTCAACAGGCCTGTGGGCTCCCATGTGCCTGAAGAGGTGTTACAGGTTGTGTATCTCACCCTGGCCTCTATGCCCACAGTTGTCTGGTTGTCACAGAAGCTGACTCCATGTGATGTGGACTGAGGTTCTCTCCAACCGTATTAGTCTGTTCTCACGCTGCTGCTAATAAAGACATACCCAAGACTGGGTACATTATTTTAAAAAAAGATGTTTAATGGACTCACAGTTCCATGTGGCTGGGGAGGCCTCACAATCATGAAGGAAGGCAAAGGAAGAGCAGTCACATCTTTCATGGTGGAAGGCAAGAGAGCCTGTGCAGGGGAACTGTGCTTTTACAAAGACATCAGATCTTGTGACACTTATTCACTCTCATGAGAACAGCATGGAAAAACAAAATCTGCCTCCATGGTTCAATTACCTCCCACTAGGTCCTTCCTATGACTCATGGGGATTGTGGGAGCTACAATTCCAGATGAGATTTTGGTGGGGACATAGCAAAACCATATTACCAACTATGAATGTTCAGGATCTAGAGAGCGGCTGCTATGCTTTTTTCCCTTTTTCACAATTACCCTGCCCTGCCAGCAAATTGGAAGCCTAAATTTTGACTTCTTAGTAATGACATTAATTTGTCCTGTTTTATGACAGGTGGTAGCCTGCTCTGGGTTCTGTTCTGGCATTTCCATGTGTTGACTGCACTGTGTGACTTGAGCAAAACACATAGTATCTCTGGGCTCCAGGTTCCCTATATGTAAACTGGTGATAATAGCAAAATTAATGCCCACTCTGCTAACTTTAGAGCATAGTGACAGAAATTATATCAGATAATTTATGTGTAAGCTCAAGGCAGATATTAGATATTCTATAACATCAGGTCTAGTATTTAGAACTGACATACCCCTAGGTCACAGAAAATGGAGATAAGAACCCCAAATTTTGCCCTTTTGAGCCAAACTTGCCACTTACTATTATGTAAAGTAGAGAAAGCACCAGAAAAGAGTCACTAACGGTAATTCAGGGTCACATTAACTTCTTCAAATTGCCTCGGAATCTTATTTTGATATTCTTTTCCTGAAAAATTATTGCTTCCCCTCAGCTGGACTTGTGTTAATGTGCAGGCTACCTGGTGCAGGGAAACAAACACAGAGTCTGGGTTCTGAGGTCTAAACCTCAGATTGAATCCAGGCTGTCACTCTCGGCCTGCATGACGTTAGATAATCCATGGTACATTTCTGATCTTAGCTTACTGTTCTATAGAATGTATATTATGAAGCATTTCTTAGTTTTTGTTTTGAAAATGAAATAAAATGTGTTTAAAGTGTGTTTGTGTGTGTGTGTGTGTGTGTGCATATGTATGTGGCTCAATAACTGGCACAAATAAGAATTCTAAGTCAATATTAACTTTATCTTTATAAAAATTAGTAAGCAAAGAGATTAAGACCAATGTAGCTTTATTTATTTGTTTCTTTTTATTAGGGCTGGAAAAATTGAGTAGGAAAGCACATGCTTTCTACCAGGGATAGGAGACAATCTGAAGCTTCCCTGTCTTTGCACACAATGCTGCTGACATGTTCCCATTGCCTGGAACCCACCCCATCCTACTCTACCTGGCAAACTCCAAATTCCTGTGCAATACCCCAGTGTTGCTCTCCTCTAGGAAGTCTTCCCTTACATCAGCACAAAGAATAAAAGTAAACTAAGACTATGAGAATAAATGAGATCCTCCAGAGAGAGAGGGAGGAACAGGCAAAGACAGAAATCTACAGCAGCAACATCTGAGAAAAGAACAGAGGAAAAGCATTCTCCACAAAAGCCTGGGGAAAAAACAATACTGGTGGTAGTAAGCGGACCAGAAAGGGTTTCAGATAGGATGAAGTGATTAACAATGTCAATGGCACCGGACAGGAGGGCAGAGCCAGGAAGTCAAAAGACATCCAAAGGCAAGGTGAAGTGTCAAATGACATACTGGAGAAGCTACCGGGATTTATTTTTATGGCACATTTTTCATATGCAGACCCCCAGATTCTGGCTGGGGTCCTTTCACAGAATCTGTGACCTGGGGAGAGAATAGGAGTTGAGGCAACCACAGCAAGAAAAGCAGGAACATTCTTTTGTAGATATGCGGCATTATTTCTGAGGGCTCTGTTCTGTTCCATTGATCTATATCTCTGTTTTGGTACCAGTACCATGCTGTTTTGGTTACTGTAGCCTTGTAGTATAGTTTGAAGTCAGGTAGTGTGATGCCTCCAGCTTTGTTCTTTTGGCTTAGGACTGACTTGGCGATGCGGGCTCTTTTTTGGTTCCATATGAACTTTAAAGTAGTTTTTTCCAATTCTGTGAAGAAAGTCATTGGTAGCTTGATGGGGATGGCATTGAATCTGTAAATTACCTTGGGCAGTATGGCCATTTTCACGATATTGATTCTTCCTACCCATGAGCATGGAATGTTCTTTCATTTGTTTGTGTCCTCTTTTATTTCCTTGAGCAGTGGTTTGTAGTTCTCCTTGAAGAGGTCCTTCACATCCCTTGTAAGTTGGATTCCTAGGTATTTTATTCTCTTTGAAGCAATTGTGAATGGGAGTTCACTCATGATTTGGCTCTCTGTTTGTCTGTTGTTGGTGTATAAGAATGCTTGTGATTTTTGTACATTGATTTTGTATCCTGAGACTTTGCTGAAGTTGTTTATCAGCTTAAGGAGATTTTGGGCTGAGACGATGGGGTTTTCTAGATATACAATCATGTCGTCTGCAAACAGGGACAATTTGACTTCCTCTTTTCCTAATTGAATACCCTTTATTTGCTTCTCCTGCCTGATTGCCCTGGCCAGAACTTCCAACACTATGTTGAATAGGAGCGGTGAGAGAGGGCATCCCTGTCTTGTGCCAGTTTTCAAAGGGAATGCTTCCAGTTTTTGCCCATTCAGTATGATATTGGCTGTGGGTTTGTCATAGATAGCTCTTATTATTTTGAAATATGTCCCATCAATACCTAATTTATTGAGAGTTTTTAGCATGAAGGGTTGTTGAATTTTGTCAAAGGCTTTTTCTGCATCTATTGAGATAATCATGTGGTTTTTGTCTTTGGCTCTGTTTATATGCTGGATTACATTTATTGATTTGCGTATATTGAACCAGCCTTGCATCCCAGGGATGAAGCCCACTTGATCATGGTGGATAAGCTTTTTGATGTGCTGCTGGATTCGGTTTGCCAGTATTTTATTGAGGATTTTTGCATCAATGTTCATCAAGGATATTGGTCTAAAATTCTCTTTTTTGGTTGTGTCTCTGCCCGGCTTTGGTATCAGAATGATGCTGGCCTCATAAAATGAGTTAGGGAGGATTCCCTCTTTTTCTATTGATTGGAATAGTTTCAGAAGGAATGGTACCAGTTCCTCCTTGTACCTCTGGTAGAATTCGGCTGTGAATCCATCTGGTCCTGGACTCTTTTTGGTTGGTAAGCTATTGATTATTGCCACAATTTCAGAGCCTGTTATTGGTCTATTCAGAGATTCAACTTCTTCCTGGTTTAGTCTTGGGAGAGTGTATGTGTCGAGGAATGTATCCATTTCTTCTAGATTTTCTAGTTTATTTGTGTAGAGGTGTTTGTAGTATTCTCTGATGGTAGTTTGTATTTCTGTGGGATCGGTGGTGATATCCCCTTTATCATTTTTTATTGTGTCTATTTGATTCTTCTCTCTTTTTTTCTTTATTAGTCTTGCTAGCGGTCTATCAATTTTGTTGATCCTTTCAAAAAACCAGCTCCTGGATTCATTGATTTTTTGAAGGGTTTTTTGTGTCTCTATTTCCTTCAGTTCTGCTCTGATTTTAGTTATTTCTTGCCTTCTGCTAGCTTTTGAATGTGTTTGCTCTTGCTTTTCTAGTTCTTTTAATTGTGATGTTAGGGTGTCAATTTTAGATCTTTCCTGCTTTCTCTTGTAGGCATTTAGTGCTACAAATTTCCCTCTACACACTGCTTTGAATGCGTCCCAGAGATTCTGGTATGTGGTGTCTTTCTTCTCGTTGGTTTCAAAGAACATCTTTATTTCTGCCTTCATTTCGTTATGTACCCAGTAGTCATTCAGGAGCAGGTTGTTCAGTTTCCATGTAGTTGAGCGGCTTTGAGTGAGATTCTTAATCCTGAGTTCTAGTTTGATTGCACTGTGGTGTGAGAGATAGTTTGTTATAATTTCTGTTCTTTTACATTTGCTGAGGAGAGCTTTACTTCCAAGTATGTGGTCAATTTTGGAATAGATGTGGTGTGGTGCTGAAAAAAATGTATATTCTGTTGATTTGGGGTGGAGAGTTCTGTAGATGTCTATTAGGTCCGCTTGGTGCATTTAATAAATGGTGCTGGGAAAACTGGCTAGCCATATGTAGAAAGCTGAAACTGGATCCCTTCCTTACACCTTATACAAAAATCAATTCAAGATAGATTAAAGATTTAAACGTTAGACCTAAAACCATAAAAACCCTAGAAGAAAACCTAGGCATTACCATTCAGGACATAGGCGTGGGCAAGGATTTCATGTCCAAAACACCAAAAGCAATGGCAACAAAAGCCAAAATTGACAAATGGGATCTAATTAAACTAAAGAGCTTCTGCACAGCAAAAGAAACTACCATCAGAGTGAACAGGCAACCTACAACATGGGAGAAAATTTTCGCAACCTACTCATCTGACAAAGGGCTAATATCCAGAATCTACAATGAACTCAAACAAATTTACAAGAAAAAAACAAACAACCCCATCAAAAAGTGGGCGAAGGACATGAACAGACACTTCTCGAAAGAAGACATTTATGCAGCCAAAAAACACATGAAGAAATGCTCATCATCACTGGCCATCAGAGAAATGCAAATCAAAACCACTATGAGATATCATCTCACACCAGTTAGAATGGCAATCATTAAAAAGTCAGGAAACAACAGGTGCTGGAGAGGATGTGGAGAAATAGGAACACTTTTACACTGTTGGTGGGACTGTAAACTAGTTCAACCATTGTGGAAGTCAGTGTGGTGATTCCTCAGGGATCTAGAACCAGAAATACCATTTGACCCAGCCATCCCATTACTGGGTATATACCCAAATGACTATAAATCATGCTGCTATAAAGACACATGCACATGTATGTTTATTGCGGCATTATTCACAATGGCAAAGAGTTGGAACCAACCCAAATGTCCAACAATGATAGACTGGATTAAGAAAATGTGGCACATATACAGCATGGAATACTATGCAGCCATAAAAAATGATGAATTCATGTCCTTTGTAGGGTCATGGATGAAGCTGAAAACCATCATTCTCAGCAAACTATCGCAAGGACAAAAAACCAAACACCGCATGTTCTCACTCATTGGTGGGAATTGAACAATGAGATCACAAGGACACAGGAAGGGGAATATCACACTCTGGGGACTGTGGTGGGGTCGGGGGAGGGGGGAGGGATAGCAGTGGGAGATATACCTAATGATAGATGACACGTTGGTGGGTGCAGCGTACCAGCATGGCACATGTATACATATGTAACTAACCTGCACAATGTGCACATGTACCCTAAAACTTAAAGTATAATAAAAAAAAATTTAAAAAATAAAAAAATAAAAAAAATAAAAAATAAAAAAAAATAAAAATTTTGTGCAACTCAACCTATGAAGATATGATTTTGAGCGTCTGAGAAAATCATTTTTTCTTCTCAAAACCTGATTTTCACAACCATTATTTCCTTATAGAGCTTAAAAAAAAAAAAAAAAAAAGAAAGGCAGGAACATTCTTTTAAACACACTATTTATAAAGCCAAGGTCTAAACACAAGGTAAATGGATGGTGTTTTAAATCTTAAGTTCTATTGATTCTTCCTTTGGTACATAATGACTGCTGCTCCCATAAAGGAGAGAACTTGCTGAATTTGTGTACATTCAGCCTGTGTTTCCTTAAAACCTACACAAATGCAGTGAGGCCAGGGAGGTGTTAAAAATCCATTTATAAACAGGGCACTCATTGTTTTACTAATCATATGGTGCAGAACTAAGTGTAAACACATCATTGCCTTTGGCAATAGAGTGGCTGCCTTACCCTCAGTTTTAGCTGCATGGAGACTGAGAGGTGGACAGCGTGCAATCCCAGGTGGCAGTCAGGTGAATGGTCCATATCTGCAGGTTATTAACCAGGTTTCCTTTCCCTTTTAAAGCAAATGGTCTTGACTTTTCTAAAACTTCATAGAACTGCTGAGCTGGCTAAGGTCAAGGCGGAATGTGAGAAAAAAGCTAACAGATCTGGAGATGGGTGATTACAGTGGCTGGCACAGAGTTAGGACTCAGCTGTTTTTGGAATAAGTGAATGAACAAATTAGTACTAATGCACAGTGCCCAGAACTTTGTATGCATGCAGTATATTGTAGCTGCATTATTGCTTTAGTTACTTGCTGATCATTTTTTTCTCTTCTGTTTTCCTTCAATAATGTTAGGTTCTCTTGGTAATTTTAATAATCTCTTCCTCCACCAAGAACCTTTTAAATTAAAGAATATTCCAAAACCAGTGTTTTCTTCTATAAGAAGGATGAAAAATGGCTTTAGACAACTTTCTTTCTTTCTTTTCTTTCTTTCTTTTTCGTTCTTTTTCTTTCTTTCTACTTTCTTTCTCTGTCTCTCACTCTCTTTCTCTTTCTTTCTTTCTTTCTTTCTTTCTTTTTCTTTCTTTCGTCTTATTGTTGATCATGGTGATAGAGACAATGGTAGTGAAGCTGCAATGCCAAAGGCAGAAAGAACATAGCACAAAGTGGAAGGAAAAAAGAAAGCAGTTGAAGATCATGGCAAGACAGATTTAAAACAACTAGGAAAATGCAGAAAGAACTTAACAATCTAAATATTTGGTCATATAAAAAGGCAATAAGAAAACAAGGTAAGAAAATTTCTTCATGTCATACTGGACAAAATTGCATAGCAGGGAGGTAAGTAGAAGTCTAGTCTTACTATTCAGGGTTAACAAGGGAGAGGAATAAGAAACACTGATACTGGCAGGGAGTGGGGATCTGTGAGGGCACAGGACCAGCAATATTGTCCCCAGCTCTTGTTTGGATTCCAGTTCTGCTGGACATTCTAGTCCATCCTGACACCAATGGCCAGTACTCCTGGGACCATGTTGTCTAAATATTGAGCTACATGTGTCACCATCAGCTGGAGGTTCTAACTATTCTGTTCCAAGGGTCAGACCAGATCCTTGGAGACTGCCACTGGCTTGGAACCAAGCCAGTGCTCACTGCTTCTGGACTCAGCTCAGTCCAGAACCCCTGGGTTCTTGCTAACCCCAGTTTTCCTATTCTCAGCTCCCTCCCATGTCCTCACTAGCCCCTTTGTTATGCTTTCGGTGTACCTGTTGTTCATGTCTAGGGGGTTATGAGAGTCTAGAAACTGTTCTGGCTAATATCCAGTTTGGAAAATGTCATTATGCTTTGGGAAATGTAAGAGGGCGGAACGTTTGTGTGTTCAGCAGCATTCCAACAATGGAACTACATTCAGCACAACTTCAACCTGCTGCTTTTGTAGCAGCAATATTTGTACCTCAGAACCAGTAAAGAGAAATGAATGTCACTTTATAAAACCCTTCTTTGCCTGGTTTGGTGGCTCGTGCTTGTAATCCCAGCGCTTTGGGAGGCCAAGGCAGGCAAATAGCTTGACCCTGGGAGTTTGAGACCAGGCTGGACAACATGGTGAAACCCCGTCTCCACCAAAAAAAAAAAAAAAAAAAAAAAAAGAAAGAAAGAAAGAAAAATTAGCCATGCATGCTGGTGTGTACCTGTATACCTGTAGTACTAGCTACTTGGGAGGCCAAGGTGGGAGCATCACTTGAGCCCAGCAGGTCAAGGTTGCAGTGAGCTGGGAAAAAGAATAGTGGGTGAAAAGGAGGTCTTTTCAATTCTGCACTTATTTAGCCTCTATCAAGCCTGGCACTATACTACAAAGACCAAAAAGGCATAGTCCCTGACATGTAGGCGCCCATAATCTGGAAGATGAAATGTACAAACAAAGTAATTTTAAGTTCGTGTTTCTAGACTTAGTCTCCTCTATGATTTTTTGCCAAGATTATCACCTGGAGTTGTACCAACTTATTCTTGGTTCTGATTTCTACAAGAACACAAATAAGTGAACGCTTAGCTTTGCTTAAGGGGTACAGGAAGAGGGGAGGGTCAGGGACAATTATGGAGGCAAGTAGCGTTAAGCTTTCCCTTGAAGGATAAATTGTAGTTTATCATATTGCATACTCCATGAAAATAGGCATCTATTTTGCTCACCTTTGTGTCTCAAAACATTATCTGGCACAGAGAAAAAGGGCAATAGCATTCCTAGCAGAAGAAACACCCATTAACAGAGGCAAGAGAAGTGAGCTGCTAATGTATATTAGTTGAGGTAATGCTGTTATAACAGAAAAGTTTCAAAGATTCAGTGCTGCAACACAATACAAGTTTGTTTCTCACTCATGTAAATGCCTAGTGTGGATGTTCTTGGTTGGCTAGTGGCTTTCTTCCACATGGCAATTTAGTGTCCTGTGTTCCTCACATCTTGTGGCTGTACCATCACCTAGGGCCTCAGAGGGTTCACATGCAGCTAATGAGTGAGAAAAACAAGATGGAGAAAGCAAACCCCCTCATCTGGCATAACGACTTAATTTCCTTGAACATAAATGACACACAGCACTAGTCCGGGGGTGAGGACTAGTCTAGAAACAAGGGAAACTGGGAAATATAATCCTTGTTTGGGCAGCCACTTATCAGAAACCACTTTGTACTGTGAAAGCAGGGAACAGATTGTTGGTGGACAGTTAGCTTTCTCTGCAACAAGGAAGAGTGAGTTTAATGAGGCAGGAAAAGGGGATACAGGACAAAAGGGTATGAGGTAAGAGGAGGAAGGTAAGCAGCCTGAGGCCACATTGTGTTCATACACAGGCACTTATGCACATGCAAGATTCCAGAGGCAATGTGGAATTCTTCTCTACAGAAAGAACTTTATCTGTAGGAAGCTTAAGGTGCAGAGAAAAAAAACAAAAGAGACTTTTCATGTGACTTTTAAAATGAAGATCCAATGCTTGAAAGCTCCTAATGTTTCCATATTCCCACAGCACGTTTCTATTTCTCTCCAAAACCTCTTTGCATGGTGGAGACTTCAGGTGCATCTCTCAGATTGAAACATGTCTCCTTCTGCTTTAGCAGGCACCCAACCTAGTTGAAATCATTCTGGTCAAAATTTTCCCTTTTAATTTAACAGAAAGTCAAAATTTATGTTTATTGTTGCCAAGTATACTAGTAAAGTCCCCCAGCTACACATTTTTTTCAGTAGAAGGAAATTAGATGGGGCTAAAACACTTCAGGTGACACATACAAATATTTGCCATCTCTGAGGTTGTGTTCTGTAAAGAATTTTAACAACCCAAGGCTGGTGATGTCTCAGGATGTATATTTAAAACAGTTTGTTTAAGGACTGCATTTTAGAAATATATTTAAATGCTAACTTGGCACAACCTCCTCAAACATTCAAGATTTTTTTAAAAAGCACCTCATGCTCTTTTTCCTTCCAGACAATATTTTAAGAACTTAACCTTTTTATCAAACTGTAATACATTGTCAAATGACTCAGTGCTTGGTTCTATGATAGACTGTTGTTCAAAAATATCTAAATCTAGAAAATGTTTCTTGGTTTAGCAGTTCCTAATTTGCATCCACTCTGGCCTTCAAAAGTCATCCCTCCACCTTCCCAGCACACATGTTCTGACTGGGAAGACCCTGGTTTATGGAGACATGGTGAGAAAGCACCTAGGTAGTGGGAGCATGGTGTCTGGAGTGGAGGCATCTCGTCATCTTTCTCCTTGCTTACACTCATTTCTTTCATTGCACTTCCACAGATCTTCCTGCTTGTCTAGTGCATGTGTATAGAAGTGATCACTGAAGCCCAAGGATAAAAGTGAGTATTAAAGATAGAAAGTATCTCTAGAAGGAAAAGCCTTAGATAGATCCTAGGGGGATACTTATATTAAGGGGCAGAAGAAACAAAAGAGCCTGTGAAAGAGATAAGGAAGATGCCTTTAGAGTTTACCAGTGATACAATGGAGGTTGGAAGTCAGGTTGCAAAGTGGGGGCAGTTTGAAGAGAAGTTTGAAGAGAAAAGAAGGGGAAAAAAGGAGAGGAGAAAGGGAAAGATGCAAGAGTAGCTCAAGTAGCAGTGTTAAGAAAACATTTAAAGATACAGGGGACTCAAATATTTGTGTATGTGTGAAAAATAGATTGCAAATGCAATATAACAACAAAGAAAAGAGATTACTGATGACATGATATCCTTGAGGAGGAAGGAGTGCACAAGTGTATACAGAGGTGAGGACTAGTCATGTTTCTCTGTCTAGAAACAAAGGCAACTGGGAAATGTAATCCTTGGTTGGACAGCCACTTCTCAGGAATCACTCTGTACTGTAGAAGCAGTGAACGGATTGCTGGTGGACAGATAGCCCTCTTTGCCACAAGAAATAATGAGTTTAAAAAAGAGGAAGGGCGCTTCTTACAGGTCCCCAGATCAACATACTTTTATCAAAATCATTTTGCACACTCTGACTCCAATAACTCTGTGTATAAAGTTCTGGGAACACAGTCTGCATCTCCTGTCCTTGGCTTTATTTGTGCAGACATCTATCTCCTTAGCTCCCTCTGCCCTCTTCCTTAGGTCTATGGATCAAATATGTGTGAATCTCAACTCTACACTGTCTGACTCAAGCAGGAACAACTGCTCTCAAAAACCTGGTGATGATTATTTCAAATGTTTGCCATTCTCCCTTACCCTTCTCCCTTTTGGCAGATGTTCTTATCTAGCAGAACACTGAGACCCAGGCTTTTTGGTGAGAGCTCATCATATTCCATCTTCTCTCTCCTCCTTCTTCTCCTTCTTTCTTGTCCCAGAGAGAAAAGGATTCCTACTCCAGGGTGTTGATTGCATTTCCTGCTTCCTCCTCTTGGACGTCGTGTCATCAGTAATCTCTTTTCTTTATTGTTATTTTGCATTTGCCATCTATTTTTCACACATACACAAATATTCGAGTTCCCTGTATCTTTAAATGTTTTCTTAACGCTACTACTTGAGCTACTCTTGCGTCTTTCCCTTTCTCCCCTCCCTTTTTCCCCTTCTTTTCTCTTCTAAATTCTCTTCAATACTTGCTTTTCTCTCTTCTCTTCTCTAATGGCCCCCACTTTTCAATCTGACTTCCAACCTCCATTGTGTCACTGGTTCTTTTCCTAAGCTCTAAAGGCATCTTCCTTATCTCGTTCACAGGCTCTTTTGTTTCTTCTGCCCCCTAATATAAGTATCCCCCTAGGATCTGTCCAAGGCTTTTCCTTCTAGAGTTACTTTCTATCTTTAATACTCACTTTTATTCTTGGGCTTCAATGATCACTTCTATTCACATGTACTAGGCAAGCTGAAAGATTTACTCTTTCCATGATCCATCTAGCTACATTGTGATAAAACTGCTACAACTCAAAAACCTATAACTTAGAATGCAATTGAGCAATATTTCCATGGGAGGCATAATACAATTGAAGAAATACTTGTGTAAAAGCCAAGAGAAAGGGTTAGTGTCCTGACTCTGTTTCTGAATCTTGGTTTTATCATGTTAAGATACAAAGATTGAACACAGCCAATACCTAAAGTTTCCTTCAACTCACAAATCAAAGTTGATAATTTGTGTAAAGTACTTTAAGGAATTTTTCTAAAAAGATGATTTTAAGATTCTTCTATAACATTCCTGCATACAAGAAATTTGTATTAGTCCATTTTGCATTGCTATAAAGGAATACCTTAGATTGGGTAATTTATAAAGAAAAGGGGTTTAATTGGCTCATGGTTCTGCAGGCTGTACAAGCATGGCACCATCTTCTCAGCTTCTGGTGAGTGTTCAGGAAGCTTTTACTCATGGTGGAAGTTGAAGGAGGAACAGGTGTGTCACATGGTGAGACAGGGAGCAAGAGAGAGAGCAGGGAGGTCACAGACTCTTGAACAACCAAATATTGTGTGTACTCATTGCTGTGGGAAAGGCACCAAGCCATTCATGAGGAATCTGCCCCCATGATCCAAACACCCACTTGGCCTCACCTCAAACCTTGGGGATCACAGCTCAACATGAGATTCGGAGGCAAAAATATCAAAAGTATATTAATATTTAAGGAAATTAACTTATTTTCTCATTAAGATGGGGTCTTGCTGTGTCACCTAGGCTGGAGTGAAGTGGTATGATCATGGTTCACTGCAGCCTCTGCCTCGCTGGCTCAGGTGATCTTCCTGCCTTAGCCTTCTGAGTAGCTGGGACTACAGGTGTGTGCCACCATGTCTGACTAATTTTTTATATTTTATAGAGTCTGGGTTTCTGTATTTTGCTCAGACTGTTCTTAAACTCCTGGTCTCAAGTGATCATCCCACCTTGGCACCCCAGAGTTCTGGGATTACAGTCATGAGCCATTGCGCCCAACCAAAATTAACTTCTTATTAATATTTGTTATTAATTTGGGGAGGGAAAGAGAGGATAACTTTCAATTTACAGTTAGAAAAGAATTGATCTGCAGCTTGTTTAGAATTGAGACATAAGAGCTGGGGCTACCATAATAAAAATTAAAGTTATTATTTAAAAAAATCAATCCCTACATCTCAGATACTTAGGTGTGGAAAATGTTCATAAGTTTGGTTAAATTCACTTCTTCAGGGGGAAATTGTTACGTTTCATTTCTCATAGGTAATTGAAAAGTATAGTTTTTGTTAGATGCTAAAGTCTTCAATCAAAAATACTGCAAAATCTGACAAATTTCAGTGTTAAAAAATAAACTCCTTTTCCTTTTTAATAGGGTATGTCAGTAGAACTTCAAAATGTGTGGCTGACACAAGACCATTTCCCATGTCACCTTCATTCTTGCCCATAGCAGAATTGTGAGCAGGATTTCAGATGTAACACTTTGTCTCTGCTCAAATCATCCCTGACTAATGTTAAAGGTTAGCACTCAAAACCTCTGTGCTTCCTCCTGTTCCAAGACAGTGTGAGGTCAGCTTTCTAATGGTTTGCAAGATCTACTAGGACCCAGCTATATTAAAAGGTGAGTTTAAAAAGAAGAACAAAAAAGTATTCTAACATGTTAAGTAACTTGATTAAAAAAGAAAACTTCACATACAGTATTTACTTAGTCACACATTTTAAACAACAAGTTGTCTTTTAAGTTATATTCTGCAATGTAAGAACCCAGATTTACATAAATCCTGCCATTCAGTGCATTTAAATATTTAAAAAACTCCCTTTCTTGAATTTTGCAATCAGCCTTTTATTATTGGAAAGGCACTAATGGATAATTCAAAATAGTGTGTCATAAAAATTAAGATTATTTTTAGATCTCTCCACTGACATACATTTCTTATGTAGGAGAGACCTTCTCAGCCCAGATTGAAACCTCTTTCCTTGAGTTCTGCCACATGGGCTTTCCCTTTCCTGTATGCCTGTCTTCTCCCCAGCCCATCACTTTTAGGAAACTCCTTCCACCCTCATTGTCAATTCATAGCAGACCTCTTGGTAGGTCTAGAGAGGAGTTGTAATGACTAGAATAATGGTGAAATAAAAACTCATTAAACCTTTCCTCCTTCACTCACCATTTATGTGTCTGACCCATCATTCTTCACTCATCATTCACAGGAAGATCCCTGCCCCAGATCCCCACCTTTCTCAAGTGCTCTGACTCTTCATCTCTGTCTCAGTGATGGCATGTCCAGGAGGACAATGAATGATCTTCCACAATGTAGTCTATTCTTTCTCTTGATAATTAATCTGCTTCATTAAGTTTAGTTCTGGTTATTGTCTACAGAGTCCCACAATGAGCCACTATTTTGGTTTCATCTTTTTTTTACAGTCTATTCAATTTGGCAGTTTGTTTCTATCATAAAATTGAATATGGATATATCTAATATGGGAAATGGTTTCAATCAGAGAATGAAGATCAATAGCAAAGGTCAAAATCTTGACCAGTTTTATTAACTGACTCAGTGCTAAGAAAAAAGAGCATTGGACATAACTAATTCAAAGCCTCAACCTGCAAAATGACTCTAATAAAAATCCATAGCGAAGTGTTTGAATTTCAGAGGGCATTTCAGCTGGACTGAAAACTGCATAAGACAAATAGAGGACAAACAGAGTCTTCAGTATTAAAATTAAGATAATGAGGAGAGGTGCCACTTGCCAGTAAATTGTAAAGCAAATTTTGCAGAGATAAGCCAAAATACCCCCACTTTATCAGGACTTGACCATTTATGGAAAAGTCCCGATGCAGAAAAATTAGCATGAAGTTTAGCAAGTATAATAATATGCACTTATTTCATAGTCCAGAACACTTGTCAGATAAAAGAAATTATTTCCAATGAAATAAATTAGACTTATGTGCAGGGAGACTTAGCATCACCTAGTAGTAGGTAGATTGTATTTTCTATTATTTAACAGGAAGGAGAAAGATAGGTCAAAGGTGAAAGAAAGAAATTGCTAATCACTAGAATTGCCTGAAATCAGCCCTGGGGCTACCAGGAAAATGTAAGTGAACTATAAAACACAAAAGGTAGACCTCATGTCCCAAAGACAATGAGTCAAAACTAGAAAAAATTGCAAAAGACTCTAATTTTACTTTATGGTCTCCTTAGCTGCTGATGTTTCAAACATTCCACGGTCTCTCCTCAGTTCAACTCTGGCTCTCACGTGACCATCAGGACATAACCATTTGGTTGACTTCCTCAAACTTAGAATATCTTCACCTTAGCTTGACTATATGATGGGGTCTAAACACAAAATCCTGCTATCAGATTGGGTAAGAATGTACAGTGCTCATTAAATGCCTTGTTCAGTAATTTTTGTTTGTTTTTGTTTTCCTGTCAAGGAAAAAAAGCAGGCCAAAGACTTAGAGGCAGTGTATTAGTCCATTCTCACACTGCCATAAAGAACTATCTGAGACTGGGTAATTTATGAAGAAAAGAGGTTTAATTGATTCACAGTCCCTCAGGCTGCACAGGAAGCATGGCTGTGAAGCCTCAGGAAACTTACAATCATGGCAGAAGGGCGAAGGGGAAATAAGCACATATTCACATGGCAGAGCAGGAGAGAGAGAGAGCAAAGGGGGAAGTGCCACACACTTTTAAACAACCAGATCTCATGAGAACTCATTCACTATCATGAGAACAGCAAGGAGGAAGACTACCCCCATGATCCAATCACCTCCCACCAGGCCCCTCCCCTGACACATGGGGATTACAAATTGACATGAGATTTGTGTGCGTACAGAGCCAAACCATATCAGGCAGAGTCAATCTTTCTTTTCCTGTGTGAGGCAGCATCCCGTTGCCTATTTCTTGTGGTAGAGCAAGCAGTCCTCCTTAAGTCAGACAATAGCTGACTCCAAATGTGTATTAAGTTTAAGGATTCTTAAAATACTGTTCATGGATTTAGAAGGTGATTCACCAGTATTTTTACTATTAATAGGACACTACTTGTGAAATGTATACATTGGAGTATAAACTCAATAACACATTACTTTTTATTTTTGTTTCTCTTTGCTTTTAAAAAGTATTTTGTGGGGAGTGGCCAAGATGGCCAACTAGAAGCAGCTTAGATGTGTGGCTCTCAGGGAGAGGGACAGAAGGGCAAGAAATTCAGCACCTTCAACAGAAACATCCAGGTATTTGCATTGGGACTAATCAAGGAAAGAACTCAACCCATGGAGAACCAAGAAAAGCAAGGCAGGGCGATGGCCCAGCTGGGAGTGACACAGAGCCAAGGGAACCTCCCCAACTTGGGCAAGCAGTGAGTGAATGTGTAACCCTGGGAAACCACGCTTCTCCCACAGATCTTTGCAACCTTCAGGTCAGAAGATCCCCTTGTGAACCCATTCCACTAGAGTCTTCAGTCTGACACACAGAGCTACGTGGGGTGTTAGCAGAGCAGCCTCTCAGGCACACATAGAGACCTGGGAGCTGTAGATACTCTGACTTTCTGGGCGTCCAGGCAAAAGTAACTGCAACTCCAGCAAAGCGGGAATTTAGACCCCCATATTTACCCCTAGGAAGGAGGCTAAATCCAGGGAACTAAGCAGCAATGGTCTGCAGGCCCCATTTCCATGATGCCTCACAGGATAAGACCCACTGGCTTGGCATTCCAGCCAGTCACTTGTAGTAGTGTTGTGCCTCCCTGGGATGGAGCTCCTGAGCAGGAGGGGTGGGCCACCGTCTTTGCTGTTTGGGCAACTTACCTGTTCCAGCTTGCAGGCTTTGGAGTGTTTAACCAGGGGTGGCAGGGATCTCCTAGCACAATACAGCTGCTCCACCAAAACGTGGCCAGGCTGCTTCTTTAAGCAGGTTCTCAATGTGTTCCTCCTCACTGGGACAGACCTTTCAACCAAGGCCTCCAGCCACCCTTGCTGGAGGCATTCTCTGGCCAACAGAGATTTATAAAGTCCAGGGGTCAGAGCTCCCAGAGGGAGGAGTGGGCTGCCAGCTTGACTGTTTGGGTAACTTAGCTGTTTGTGTAACCTAGCTGTTCCTGCTTGAAGGCTTTGGAGAGCCCAAGCCTTTGGAGGCAGAAGCAATACCCCAGCACAGCACAGGTACTCTATTAAAGCATAGCCAGGCTACTTCTTTAACCAGGTCTCTGATTCCATTTCTCCTCAATGGGTGTGGCCTCCCATCTGAGGCCTCCAGCCACCCCTCATGGTGTTCTCTGGCCAACAGAGATTTGAAAAGTCCTGGAGACAGAGCTCCCAGAGGGAGGGGTGAGCCACTATCTTGGCTGTTTGGGCGACTTAGCTGTTCCAGCCTCCAAGCTCTGGAGAGCTCAAGCTAACTGGGGGTGGAAGCAGTACCCCCGCACAGCACAGCTGCTCTATGAAAGCATGGCACACTTTTCTTTAAGCAGGTTCCTGAACCCGTTCCTCTTCACTGGGTAGAACCTTCCAACCAGGGCCTACAGCCACTCCCACTGGTTTTCTCTGGCCTACAGAAATTTGGAAACTCGCTGGGACAGAAATCCCGGAGGGAGGGGCAGACCACCATCTTTGCTGTTTGGGCATCTTAACAATTCCCGCCTTTGGGCTGTGAAGAGTGCAAGCCAACAGAGGGTGGAAGTGGTACTCTAGAACAGCACAGCAGCCCCATGAAAATGTGGCCAGACTGCTTTTTAAAGTGGGTCCCTGACCCTGTTCCTCATCATTGGGTGAAGCATTCCTACCAGGGTCTCTGACTACAATAACCAGTCTCCAGCTGACAGAGGTTTCAGGCCTCCCTGGATAGAGCTCCCAGGTGGACAGGAAGGCCTCCATCTTTGCTGTTTGGGTGACTTAGCCATTCTAGCCTTTGGGCTTCAGTGTCCGAGGTTACCAGGGGCTAAAGTGGACCCTCAGCATAGCACAGCTGCTCTACATAAATGTGGCCAAGCTACTTTTTTAAGCGAGTTCCTGATCTCATTCCTACTGACTGGAGAAGACCTCCCATGCAGGGTCACCAGCCACCTCCTACAGGTGAGTTCAGGCTGGCAACAGGTCTGTGTCTCCTTGGGATGGAGGTCCCAGAGGAAGTGGCAGGCAGCTATCTTTGCTGTTTCTTAGCCTTCACTGGTGATATCTCCAGGTACTGGTAAATCTGAGATGACTAGGGAATGGAGGAGCAGATTCCCAGCAAAGAGCTAAATGATGACAAATGGGATCAAATTAAACTGAAAAGCTTCTGCACAATAGTAGAAACTATCAACAGAGTAAACAGACAACCTACAGAATGGGAGAAAATTTTTGCAAAGTATGCATCCAACAAAGGTCTAATATTCAGTATCTATAAGGAACTTAAATTTATAAGAATAAAACAACCCTATAAAAAAGTGGGCAAAGGACTTAAATAGACTTCTCAAAAGAAGACATTCATATGGCCAACAATCATATGAAAAAAATCTCAACATCACCGATCGTAAGAGAAATGCAAATCAAAACCACAATGAGATATGACCTCACACAAGTCGGAATGGCTATTACTAAAAAGTCAAAAAACCACAGATGCTGGCAGGGCTGTTTAGAAAAAGGAACACTTCTACACTGCTGGGAGTGTAAATTAGTTCAGCCATTGTGGAAGATAGTGTGGCGACTTCTCAAGTATCTAGAACTGGAAATACCATATGACCCAGCAATCCCATTACTGGGTGTATACCCATAAGAATATAAATCATTCTATTATAAAGACACATGCACGTGTATGTTCATTGTAGCTCTATTCACAATAGCAAAGACAGGGAAACAACCTAACTGCCCATCAATGATAGACTGGATAAAGAAAGTGTGGTATATATACAGCATAGAATACTATGATGCAGTCATAAAAAAGAACAAGATCATATTGTTTACAGCGATATCGATGGAGCCAGAGGCCATTATCTTTAGCAAACTAACACAGAAACAGGAAACCAAACACTGCATGTTTTCATTTATAAGTGGGAGCTAAATGATGAGAACATATGGACTCATATAGGGGAACAACACACCCTGGGGCCTTTCAGAGGGTGGAGGGTGGGAGAAGGAGAGGATCAGGAAAAATAATGGGTTCTAGGCTTAATACCTGGGTGATGACATAATCTGTACAACAAACCCCCATGACAGAAGTTTACCTAAGTAACAAACCTGCATTTTTACCCCTGAACAAGTTTTTAAATAAAATTAAAAAAAAATTTTTTTTTGTGAAATCCTCACCTGTTATCTTTCACTAATAGAAACTGTTTCAGATTCCACATCAGTCTTTTGAAAACCTATGACAGCATGACAGCTCATCTATTCACATCTAAGATTTATTTATTAATTGTCTATCAATCAAAAATAATTTTGAATAAGGATGTGGCTTGCTATTCAAAATTACTGGAGGCCCATGACAGTGCTTTTCAGAATGAAATATGGTTGTTAAATTGTAAAATGATTTAATCAAAATAGTTTAGCTATAGCTTTAACCAAGGTGACCATCTTCAAGAATTAATGCGGAAATGAATCTGGGTCTCTATTAGCAGGGCCTTCCCTTAGGGAGTGTTAATAGAGATGAGGTAGCAGCAGGGGACTAAGATTTGAATCCCTGAGTACTCAGTTCCCTTCTGAAGCTTCCAGATGCTCCTGGCAGAAGATACTTACAATGAGGCAGCAAGATCAGAGACTAGCAACGTCCCTTTAAATTTAAAGAGATTACTCAGTAGGAGTGAGCTTAGATGCAAAATCAGAAAAAAAAAATTGATGTTTCCTGTGCTATTGAGAGAACCCCATTGTAAGGATAAATCTCTTATAAAAAAAAGATAAAGTCATTACTCTCATATGAATACAGAGTGAACATCTGTCAAACATTTTAGTTAACCTATTAATCAATAAGGGAACAAATACGATGTTATAATCAGTTCAAAGGAGAATTCCAAGAACCATACATACATAGAGAACAAGCAAGCAATTTTTAGATGAATTTACAATCATGCCAAATGACTCTATCCAAAGGGATAGAATCAATTGCATTCCACCAGCACACATTTTTCCTGGACAAGAATCGTTTGCATTATCACCAGTTTTCTACAACTTACAGAGTTGTATAATAGCTCAAAGACAATGAAAAGCATGAATAACCCACTAGTGGAGGTAGACCTGGTAACAACTGATATAGTCTTTTCTTTTCAAAGTCTTTCACAATTTGTCCTGCTACCCTGTAGTCAAAGAATTCCCCAGATACCTAGGACCGAATATCCTCAATCTTATCTGCAGCCCTCAGACAATGGGCTGTACCTCGGGATCTACCATTTCCTGAATTTCCGTTTACAATCCAGCTTACTAACTTAATACTGCCTTGCTAATAGTGTTCTACCTTCTGTGACCCAATCAGTGACCTCAGGACACCATTATCCCTACAAGCACCATGAACAGGCTGGCTTGGACAGGGCTTATGCTAACTATTTTGTATGCATTATCTTATTTAGCCTCATAATGATTTTAAGATAATTATCATTATGCATATTCATAAATACAGAAAGTAAGGCTGGATGACCTTATGTAAGCTGTCCAAAATCCTATGGTTAACATAGGGCAGAGATGGAATTCAGATCTATCAACTTTCAAAGATTTTAACTGAGACACAACCGCTTCTCAGGGATGCTTCTAACTCCTTAATATCACTCAGTTAATGTCTTTGTCAGTAAGCATTCAACCTGTTCACTGGGCTAAAGCTTTCCCATCACAGGCTTTTGCATGCCTCAAGGCAAGATTTCTGGATTAGGTCGATTAGTGTGCACATGAAACTCCATATATTTATGATGAGGAAAGTGGCTTTACAAGCCTTAGAGGAGCAATGCAAAGAGAGGAAGAACACAGAATGGGCTCTGTGTGGTTCCAGTGCTTTGCTCACACCTTGATGATATCATGTAACACATTGCCTTGTATCTATCTGTTATAATAACAGCTAAGATTTATTGAATATATTTTATTTATTTAATGTATTTTATATCTTGTACTTTACATTCAATATGCCGTTTAATTCTTACAGGGTATGAACTGGGTAATATGATGCCTATGTAAACACAAGGAAACTGAGGTCTAGAAAAATAAGTAACTTGTCCACAGTCACAGAAAGAGGAAGTGACAGAGGTGCCCACTCTGTCCACTGTTGTGTCTTAAGGCCCTCTAGCCATGCACTTTTCTCCTTTTTGAGGAAGAAGAAGGATCTAGGGATCTTGTGAAGTGCTAATTGGGGAAGATTAATTTCCTCAGTTGAGTATACATTCAAATGGAGAAAAGACACTGAAATAAATGGACATCCCACTTTTCTTCTTTATACCCTGGTCTATTAGGACACAAATGGGTTACAGGATTAAGACGGAAGTCTCATTAGCTTAAGGTGGGAATTTATTAGTCCAAATCACTAGAAAGTCTTTGGCAGGCCTGGCTTCAAGCCCAGCTAGATTCAAATGTTCAATGTCATCTGTGTTCTTTACCCCTCTGCCTTTCTTTTTCCTCAGCTCTGCTTCTATTTAGATTTTGGCCTCATCTTTTCTACTGCAGTTATCTTCCTCAATGTGGCTTTGAAAGAAAGTGGAAAATATTTGTGGCTTTTATTATTTTTATAGTTTAAAATCTTATTGAAAGAAGGCTCTGTCTTTCCTAGCACCAAGGGGAAAATATTGTGAAAAACACTCTTTTATCCAATTTGGCTCACTGTGAGGAGGGGTGTGAATACTCTGATGGGACCATCTGGGTCAGGTGACCTCTTCTTTGTCAGAGGGTACAGATGAGACACTATGAAAGTGAGCACTCAGGGCCAGATGGAGGGATGGCTCCATCCACAAACGAAAGCAGGATGCTGTTGTCAAACAAAAAAAGGAGGAATGCTGGGCAGGCAAAAACAAGAGATGTCCATGGTGCTGATTTTCCCAGAGTATATTTACATTATAAATATAGTTTTTCTTTCAATTAATTACACACTTGACCCAATAAAAATAAATGAGTTTGTGATGATTTCCAAAACTACAAGTTATTCTTATATATAAATGATTCTGTAGTCCTTTCATCCCCTTTTAAGAAAACAAACAACTTTGAAAAACAAAATTGGCTTAGGGCTACTTTAAAACTTGGCCTCTGTTTGACCTTAAATATTTGTGTAGATCCTTATGATGATTTGATAAAACTAGGTATAGAACAGAGAAAAATGAAGCAGACAGAAAAATTAAGCCAGAAATGAAGAACATGCATCTACTTAAGCAATGAGAACTCCTTGGAGGGTGATATACAACCTGAGCAATTTGCAATGAATAAATGATAGGGATGTTATTAAACAGGTACTGTATAAATAACTATGTTCTTCATTTTGGTGAAACAGAAACAACTAGATTTTTCTTTCAAATGAAAAAGTTAATTGAACTTTTTAATGATAAATGTGGATTAATTCAAGAGTTAATAGGTTACAAAACTATGTTTACGTATTTTCTGAAGTCCCCAAATTATGACTAGAGTATTTACCAAATGTTCATCTGTAAGTCAGTTTCTGGGAACATGGAACATATTTTCCAGTAGAAATACTGTACTCATCGCTTGGGTGCTCCATGATAACTTATGAAAAGCTACTAGAATATATGTGACTTGTAATTTTATGAAAACACCTCTAATAATGTTTCCATGGGAAAAGATGGTCAGGCCTGTAATTTGGGATTCTAGCCACATAGTTTCCATCTAGTCATCCTATCCCATCTTCTCTGGATGAAAAAGTGAAAATTTTCTTAGCTCCAGGTCTTTAGCATCTCTGATTAGCTGATAGGCAAAGGGGGATTAAGGCTGAACAACAGAAGCATTGCAAGGAGGCCAGAGCAGGGGACAGAAAGGAGACAGTGCAAGGCAAAGGACTTGGGAATCCACTAAAAAGCAAAAACAAAAACAACACCTCTCCCCTCACCAAAAAAAAAAAAACAAAAAACAAAAACAAAACAAAAAAACAACTCAGTTCTTGAAACCTTAGCTAGAAGCATAGGCTGGTTAGGCAGGTAAGTGATTGCTAAGCTGAATGAAGTGTTGATAAAAAGACTTCCACTAGGGATTGGTGATAAGGGTTGTCCAGATAAAATTCACAGGCCAAGTTGAAGACAGGATGGCTTTTCAATAAGCTGTGCTTAGAGAGCAAAATATTGAAATCAAGAAGGCAAGTAGCTCTCTGGCTGGGAATCAGTGCCCAACAAACCAAAACCATAGCTGGAAGAGCAGCTGCTAGAGGAAGGGAGACTGATCAACAAGAGAGACAAAGAGCTGAATCAAAGAACAAGCCAGATTGGGAAACTGATGCAAATGAATGTAAGGAATAGGTGAGGCTAGGAGGCTAATTATTTCTGGGCAATATTCTTGGGTTTTAATGATCTGAATTAAACTGTGTGACCCACTCCTTCATTACAGAAAACCTGGCACTTCCCATATGGATCTTAAGGATGGTTCTCATAGAAGACAGAGATCCAAGAGGACAAATTTATGTGTGAGAATATGGCAACAAGGGGAAGTTGGTAAATACATTTTAAATAGACCTACCTTGACTTCCGGAACACTGTTTTCATTTTCATCTATCCCGTGTAGCTGCATCCTAACTAAAATTCTCTGTTAGTTTTATTTTCTAGTAGTTGTCCTCTTCTCTACTCTTTTTTTTTTTTGTATTTTCATTTATTAAACAGACCCTTTATTTTCAAATGTTCTCCCTCCTTTCTTGTTTTGTGATAGGCATGCAGTCCTTCTGAAGTTTTTAAGGGTATTTGTTGCTTGTATTGGTGGAAGAATGGGATGGGATAAACAATACCCCTTCTAAGCTTTCTTCGTCTATTCCTCATTTTCCCTGTATTTCCTGCAAAGAAACAAAAAGCTGCAGATACATGCCAGTGGTCTTTGTACACAGACAATGAAGGCAGAGTCTGACTCATTTTAAAGAAAATCCAGGTGGCATTAATCTAGGTGTTTCTTCCTAGAATCCAAGGTAGTCATGATGGCTCAGGAGAGAGAAACAGACCAGGCAGGGGCAGCTAATTCCACTCAGAAATGTGAATTTTCCCTATGTAAAGTGTAAGAATCCAACGGCAGGGAAGTATCACTTGTCTCCAAGCAAAGAACGTTGTAAAAAGTGCATTATCAAAGAACAGCTATCTAAAATTGAAGTCACACTCTGGAGAAAACTTGAAGGCATAAGACTGACATCATACTATGTGAATACTTTAGGTTTCAGTGGAGTATAAATTAGTTTTGTCTCGTGGGAAAAAGTCAGTCATTATTCTATCACTACAGTTATTTTGAAGTACCTGCCAGTCTTCTGATAGGAATTAAATTTAATCACAAGCTATGTGATGACTAATTTTTTCCAGGTTTATTTTGAAGCTTTTTGAAAATTTAAATTACAGAATACATTGAGCAGAGGAAAGTTCAATTTTAATCACTAAAAACAAATACAACCATTCCTCTTTACTACTTGATGGTTAAATACCCTCTGATCAATTTTCTTCTCAGTGTGGCAGGCAAAATATTCTTGTGAATCCCTTCATAGTGACTATACAAAGAAGCAACCAGCCCATAGCATTGTAAAACACTTTCTTCTTTTCCTGGGCCTTAAAATTATATGTTCCACTACAGTCTACCTAATTCCTGATGTTATTTTGCAGCCTTGTGCAATTCAGGCATTTCCTTTTCTATATCTGCTTAGAATGTAACAGCTGAAGTGATAATAAAATAAAATTGGTCATAAAGTAGTTCATGTATTCCTTAAGGTCATATAACTTAGATTTTTATTGTTACACATGATATAAAATCACCTTCAATATACTTTCTGGAATATTGTACTAGCTCCTGCTGTTTAAAGACTTGTTAAGAAAAATAGGGATGTCCTGATTAAATACAATTAAAAAAATGATTCCATAACTATTAATACAATAAAAGGCCAACCTGCTTTTACATTGGAGCCTACACTTTAAAATCACTTATTAATAATGGTGGATTCAACTCTTTACATGTTGAACTAAGAAATTATAAATTTCCCTAAAATGACAAGTTATAAGGTGAAATTATAATACTTATTTTATTGTATTATTATATTTATTATTAAATAATAAGTAGTTAAACAATTATTATTACTAAAAGATTCTATTGAAACTGATGAGGGGAAGAGATATGTGGGAGAAGGGAGTGTCTTAACTATTCCTCCTGACACAGAGCACAAACTGACCTAAAGGGAAGATGATTAATTGTCATCTCAATCATAATTTTCAGGAGCATCTTCCAGTAGGATCATGGCAGCATCTTAGCTCTGAATCATCCTTCTTCCTCTTTAGCAAACCATACAGAGAAACACAAACAAAAACAAACACACACAATTCAAAAACTACAAATTTAGGGAAAATTGAAGAGAAAGAAAAACTACAAATTGCAGGACACATATTTGTGTGACCCAGAGCACCTAAGACCAGTAGAACCTGAATGGGCAGAGCTATGGTCTGAATGTTTATGCCCCTCCAATATTTATACAGTAAAATCTAATCCCCAAGGTATTAAGAGGTTGTGCATTTGAGAGGTGATTATTTCTTGAGGGATCTGCCCTCATAAACGGGATCAGTGCCCTTACAAAAGAGGTTTGAGGGAGTCCTTTCATCCTTCAAAGGACACAGTGAGAAGGCGTTATCTTTGAAACAGAGAGCAAGCCCTCATAAGACATTGAACCTGCTGACAGCTTGGCCTTGGACTTCCCAGCCTCCAGAACCATAAGCAATGAATTTTGTTTATAAATTACCCAGTCTAAGAAATTTTGTCATAGTAGGCCAAAAGGACTGAGACAGGTAGCAACAAATATATCAGTTACTTTTTCATTTTCCCTTTTCATACTTTACTCTTTAGAAGGAAGTCACTATGTGCAGCCTACAGTTAGGGAGTAAGGAATTATGCTTCACCTCCTTGAAGAGAGAGTATCTGCATGAATTATTTGAATTCTTCCATATGGAAGATTTGTCTATTCTCCCTTCTTCCCATTTGCTTACTAATTCAGTCAATCATTTCTTTGTATTACTGTGGACTTGTGGATATTTATTTTATATTTTGGGTTACAATTTAATGTTATGTTATGCATTTTGTTGCCCAAATTGTTCTAGCTTTGAGCATTGGGAGCTGTTTCAGTTGGCTCCTCTGTTCCTCTGAAATATCCTCAATGTTATGTTGCCTCCATCCCCAAAATCCATAACTTGGTCTAAGTATAAGAAATTAGACAAATCCTAACTGACGGACACTCTGCAAAACTCCTCAATAATGTCAACATCATCAAAACCAAGGAAACTTTGAGAAATTATCAGTCTAGAGGAACCTAAGGAGATATGAGGACTAAAGATAATGTGGTTTCCTGAATGTAATTCTGGAACAGAAAAGGGACATAAAGTAAAAACTAAGGAAAGCTGAGTAAAGTACAAACTTTAGGTAATTATAGCGTAACAATATTTATTAGTTGTGACAAATACACCACACTAAACTGAGATACTAGTAATAGCAGAAAATGGTGTGGGTTATGGAAACTGCTGTCTTTGCAACTTTTCTTTAAATCTAAAGCTATTTTAAAATAAAAACTTTACTGAATAAGAAAAAGATTATAAATTATAACCAGAAAAACTTTAGGAACAAATGAGAGAGTAAACACACTGAAGACTTTGTGGATGATGAGGGACTCTAAATTTTTTAGTAGAAAATTAAAAAAATGCTAATAATTCAGTTCCAGAAACTGGAAAAAGCCTAACAAAAGTTAAGATTTTTTAAAAAGGGAAAATATTTATTTAAAAAAATAGAAATTAAATTGTGGCAAAACAGGAGACAAATCATGAAAGCAAAAGCTTTTTTTTTTTTTAAATCAATGAAGTAGAAATAAAATTCTGGAAGGCTTAGTTAGTTAAGGAAAAAAAATACATAAAACACGAATAATAAATATTAGAAATGGGAAAAGGAACATAACTACCCATATGATATGGATTAAAAATTTTAAGAATACTTATAATTCTTCCAGTATGAATAGTCTATCCATATACAAATTACTTAACAAGAAGAAATACTCAGAGAAACAGAAGGCTGGTAACAGCAGAGGTCAGAGGAAAATGGAATAATTTCTTTAAAGGACTGAGGTAAAACAATTTTCAACATATAATTATCTAGTGAAATTACCATTCAATAATGAGGGTAAAATCAGATTTCAAACAAAAATGAAAAAGGAAATGAACAAATGAGTATATATTAGAAAATAGAAATAATAAAGAGAACAAAAATTAGTTAAATAGAAAACAAAGAAAAACAGAGACCATCAACAAAACCAGAGGTTAGAAAACCATGACCCATGGACCAAATTGAACCTGTGTTCTGTATCTGTATAGCCCAGGAGGGAAGAATGATTTTTACTTTTGTAAATGTTAAATGAAAAACAAAACAGAGCAAGATGGCTGACTAGAGGCATCCAGCACTTGCCTCTTCCATAAAGGACCAAAACAACAAATAGATAACTACATATTAAATAAAGCATCTAAAAGTGAACAAAGGAATTCAGCAAGGAAGTGACAAAGACCCTATGAGACACAGAAACTCAAGATGGCAGCATAGAGAGGAAAGTGAAGCAGGCAGCCAGGATCAGTTAGGAGCCAAGAGGGACTCCTCGACGCAGAGAAGAAGTAAGCTGGAGACTCCCAGCGATCCACCTTTCCACTACAGAGGGAGCATTTCCAAACTCACTCTATGAGGTCAACATTATGCTATCAGAACCAGACAAGGACACAGCAACAACAAAAAGCATCCCTGATGAACACAGACATAAAAATATTCAACAAAATACTAGCAGCACATCAAAAAGATAATACCCCACAATCAAGTGTGATTTATTCCAGGGATGCAAGGACAACACATTAACAGAATGAAGAACAAAAACCAAAGGGTCATATCAATAGGTGCGGGAAAAGCATACGATAAAATGTAACATTCCTTTATGATAAAACCTCCCTACAAATTGGGTATAGAAGGAACATACCTCAACACAATAAAGACTATACATGCCAAACTCACAGCTAATATCATATAGAACAGGGAAAAGCTGAAAGCTTTTCCACTAAGAACTGAAACAATATAAGGATGCCCACTTTCACCATTGGTATTCAACATAGTACTGGAACTCCCAGCAAAGCAATTAGAAAGAAAGGACCCCCAAATTTGAGGAGGAAGTCCAATTGTTCCCCTTTGCAGGTGACATATTATATATGTAAAAAAATTCCACAAAAATATTCCCAGAACTTACAAATAAATTCAGTAAAGTTGCAGATTACAAAATCAGTAAGATTTCTACACATCAATAAGAAAGCTGAAAAAATCAAGAGAGAAATTGTATTTACAATAACTACAATAAAGAAGAAAACGCCTAGAAATAAATTTAACCAAGAAGATGAAGGATATGTTCAGTGAGAACTACACAACAGTAATAAAATAAATAGTAGAGGATACACACACACAATGGAAAGACACCCCATGCTTATATAATGGAAGAATTAATATTATGAAAATGACCATAATATCCAAAGCAGTTTACAGATTCAATGCAATCCCTATTAAAATACAAATGACATTCTTCACAGAAATAAAAACAGAATAGTCCTAAACTGGATATGGAACCACAAAGACCCCAATATCCAAAGCAATACTGAGCATAAAGAGCAAATCTGAAGACATCACACTACCTGACTTCAAAGCCATAGTAAGAACAACAAGAACACTTGGTATTGACATAAAGACAGACACAGACCAAAGGAATAGAATAGAGAACCTAGAAATAAATCCATGTATTTACTAATATTTGACAAAATGAGTCGATGACATACATGAAGGAAAGAACAGTGTCTTCAATAAATGGTGCTGGGAAAATTGCATATCCATATGCGGAAGAATAAAACTAGGCTTCTGTGTCTCACCTCATATAAAACAACTCAACATGGATTAAAGACTTACATGTGAGGCCCCAAACTATAAAACTATTAGAAGAAAACATTGGGGGCATTCTTCAGGACATTGTTCTTGGCAAATCTTTTATGAGTAAGACTTCAAAAGCACAGGCAACAAAACCAAAAATAGACAAACGAGACTATATCAAACCAAACACTTCTACATGGCAAAGGAAATAATCAACAGAGTGAAGAGCCAACATGTGGAATGAGAGATAATACTTGTAAACTGTTCACCTGGCAAGGTACTAATATCCAGAATATATAAGTAATTCAACTCAACAGCAGAAAAATGAAAATACCTAAATAATCTGATTAAAAAGTGGTTAAAGTATCTGAACACACATTTCAAAAGAAGACATATAAGTGGCCATCAAATATTAATATTTAAAAATAGTTCACCATCACTGATCATCAGGAAAATCAATTGAAAACCACAGTGAGATATCATCTCACACCTGTCAGAATGGCTATTATTAAAAAGACGAAAAATAACAAATGCTGGAGAGGATGTGGAGAAAAGGGAACTCTTATATACTGAAGCATATATCCAAAGGAAATGATATTAGTATGTTGAAAAGATATCTGCGTCCCCATGTTTATTGCAGCACTTTTCACAAAGTCAAGATATGGAAACAACATAAAATTTCATCAACAGATAAATAATGAAAATTTAGTAAGTATACACATTGGAATACTATTCAGCCATAGAAAAAAGAATGGAATTTTGTCACTGCAGCAACATGGATGAGCCTGGAGAACATTATGTTAAGTAAAATAAGTCAGGCACGAAAAGATAAATACTGCATGTTCTCAATTCAAATGTGAGAGCTAAAAAATGTTGAATTCATTAAAGTAGAGAGTAGAATTGTATTAAAGGTTAAGAAGGGTAGGGGGAGGGAGGGATGGGGAGAGATTGGTTAATGGAGTCAAAATTACAGCTAGATAGAAGAAACAAGTCTTAGTGTTCTATAGTCAGATGAATATATATAGCAATAATTTATGGCATATTTGCAAAATATTAGAAGTGAGGATTTTAGTTTTTCCAGCACAAATAAATTATGTTTTCAGTAATGTATATGCTAATTCCCTTGATCATTACACATTGTATACATGTATCAAAGCATCACTCTGTGTCCAATATACATGTATGTATCAACTAAGGAAACAAAGGGAAATATACAACAGAGACTATGTGGTCCATGAATCCTAAAATATTATCTATTATTTTATTAAAAATATTGTTACTCTCTAATTAACCCAAAAGGTGATTATTTGAACAGGTTATTAAAAAGACTAACCTCAGGATAATAATTACCAAGAAAAAAGAAATAAAGCACAAATACATTATATAGGAGTAAAAGGCAGTGTATAGTCATAAATAAGTAGAAAGGATTTGTGATTTCCATTCTGAGAAATATCAAAATTATATCTACAAATACTGTCACTTATGCATTCCTTCTTTTTCTTGAACTGTTAGTTATCTGTTGAATATTCTTATTCTATCCTTCATATTTCTTAAGTTTCCATTGTATATTTTTAATCTTTTTATCTCTGTACTGTTCTTTGGATTATTTTTTCAGATTTATCTTTCAGTTCACTAATTTTCTCTTCAGCTTTGTCTAACCTGTTACTCTATCTTCTGATAGATTATTTTTAACTCTAAGTGTTTCTTGTTCAAAATTGCCTTTCTTCACAGCATTTGATCTTTTTTTAAACCACAATTCTATATTTTCTTTCAGATTATTGTTCAAATATTCTAAGATTTTCAGACTCTAAACCTATTTGTGTGTCTGCTGATTTTCCTTCATGGAGCATTATCTTATCAGTGTGTATGTGTGTGGTGGTGGTGGGAGGGGATGTTTAAATTTGTGTGTGCTGCTGTAAAAACTTTTCTAATTTCTAATTTTTAGCAGGGATTGATTTTTTCTGAGGGAAATCTGTTTATATCTATTCAGTATAATGGCAACTGGAGGTTTGTATAGATGTCCTTCAAATTGAAGTTGTTCTCTATTACTCCTAGATTCCTAACTGTTTTAAAAGTCATGAATGTAAGTATTGAAACTTAATAAATATTTTTCTGCAACTATTAAGAAGAGTATATAATTTTTCTCCTTTATTCCATTAATATGGTGAAGTATACAAATTGATTTTTAAATGATAAAGTTTTACATTTTTAGGATAAATTCTACTTACTCATATTGTACTTTCCTTTTTAGTGTGTTTTTGGATTTGATTTAATAATGTTTTTAAAAGTTAGTTATGCTGGGCACAGTGGCTCATACCTGCTGGGGCAGGAAGATCACTTGAGACCAGGAGTTTGAGACCAGCCTGGGCAACACTGTGAGACCTCATCTCTACAAAAAGTGAAAAAAACAAAAGACAAAAAATAGCCAGGTGTAGTGGTATGTGCCTGTATTCCCAACTACTCAGGAGGCTGAGGCAGGAGGATTGCATGAGTACCGGAGTTTGAAGCTTTAGTGAGCTATGATCATACCACTGCACTCCAGCCTGAGCAACATAGCAAGACCGTCTCTACAAAAATAAATAAACAAATAAATAAATAAATAAATAAATAAATAAATAAAACATAGTAAATGGCTTTTTCTGTAATATGTTTGACAGGTTTTAGCATAGAGTCAAGCTGTTCTCTTAAAATGAGTTGTTCACTATTCTCTGTTTTCTAAGAATGTTTCTGTAAAATAGTTGTAATTTTTTTTCTTGAATGTTTGATATAATACACTATTGAAAACATCTGTCCCTGAAGTTCTCCACAGGTTTTTGTTTGTTTGTTTTTTGCTTTTTTGAGACAGAGTCTTACTCTGTTGCCCAGGCTGGAGTGCAGTGGCGTGATCTTGGCTCACTGCAACCTCCACCTCCCAGGTTCAAGCAATTTTCTGCTTCAGCCTCCCGAGTAGCTGGGACTACATGTGCGCATATCATGCCCAGATAATTTTTGTATTTTTAGTAGAGACAGTGTTTCACCATCTTGGCCAGGCTGGTCTTGAACTCCTGACCTCATGACCCACCCACCTCTGCCTCCCAAAGTGCTGGGATTACAGGCATAAGCCACTGTGCCCGGCTTTCCAGGGCAACTCAGATTTTCTCTTTTTTTCTTTTGTCAATTTTAATTACTTGCATTTTTTAAAAAAAATTCCATTTTACCTAAATTATTGAATTTGTTGGAATAAAGTTATTCTTAATATCCTCCTATATCTATGTAATGTGTATAGGATCTGGGATGATCATCCCTTTTCATTTCTAACAGTTTTTCATTCCTAACAGTTCATTCCTAACAGTTTTCATTTCCCAACAGATGTTGGTGATTAGTGTTTTCTCTATTCTCTTAACCAATGTAGCTAGAGGTTTTCAATTAAAAAAAATGTTTTCAAAGAACTATATTTTATCTTGCTAATTTTCTCAATTGTCTGCTTTTTCTTTAATTGATTTATTCTCTTTCTTATTTTATTTCTTTGAATTACTTTTGGTTTACTTTATTTTTCTTATGTTTAGCTTCTGAAGGTAGAACTTTGAGTTCATTTTATTTTTTCCCTTTCTAATATAAGCATTTAAAGCTGCAAATTTTTATCTAATAAGTGCTTTAGCTGGATTTCAAAATTTGGTATGTTGTTTATGTTACTATTAATTTCTAAATATTTTCCAATTTTTTGTGATTTTTGTCATTGATCCTTGAATTATTTAGAACTGTGTTTTTTCTTTCCAGATATTTTGGATTTTCCTAGATATTGCTTTGTTATTAATGTATCAGTTTGATGTTCTCTACTATTTCTAACTTGATAATATTTTTATTTTGATTGAAATAATACAGAGTATGTTCTTTTACCACAAAATAGTTAAATTTTTAAAAATGTATTGATACTTATTTTCTGGCCCAGAATACAGTCTAGCTTCATGATAGTAAAATGCACTTGAAAAAAATGTTCACTATGCAGTCGTTGGATGTTGTATTCTATAAACGTTAAGTAGATCAGAGTGGTAGACAGTGTTGTTCAGATTTATGTCTCTTCTAAATTTTTTATTTGATCTGGTTGTTTTGGAAATTGCAAAAAGAGGTATTGAAGTATTGTACTATAATTTTGAAATTGCCTACTTTTCAATATTCAATTTTTTTTATTCCTGTATTTTGAGATTCTTTCATTGGGTTCACACAAATTTGGAAGTTTTATGTCTTCCTGATGGATGACATTATCATTAGGATATGCTCCTATTATTAGTAATACTTTCTCAGTATTTTATCTGAGTATCTATTTTATCAGGTATTAATAGAGCCACTCTATTCTTTTTATGCTATTTGCATATAGTATCTTTTTTATCCATATACTTTCAACAGTCTGTATTTATATTCAAAGTATATCTCTTTTAGGTTTATAGTTAGCTTTGATTTTTAAAAACCTATTCTTTCAATATCTGTTCTTTCCTGAGGTATTTAGAACACTGACCTTTAATATAATTATTGACAGCTGCATTCATATCTGCATATTCATTATTTGCTTTTTATTTGTTTCCCCTGATTTTTGTTTTTTTGCTCCCACTTTCCTGCCTTTTTGGGGATTATTTTAAAATGTTAATATTCCATTTCCATTTTTCAATTGGTTTACTTGTTGTATTGTTACTTTTTCAGGGGTTGCTCTAGATATTACTGTCTCTCTCTCTCTCTCTCTCTCTCTCTCTCTATATATATATATATATATATATATATATATATAAATAATTTTTCTGGAAGGAATAGAGTTGATATTATACTACTTCATTGAAAACTTTGAAATCTTTCCATCACACAGGCCCTTTACTGCTTTTTTGTTTTTAGTTTTAATGTTATACACATTACATCTATGGATATTAAAAACCACATCAGAGTCATCTACAATGTTTGCTTTAAACAGTCATACATATTTTAAAGACCTTAAAGTTCTTTTTATATTTATTCATATAGTTAGCATATGTGATGATCTTCCTTCATTCTTGAAGATCCAGTTTTCCCTCTGGTATCATTTCCCTTCAGCTTAAAGTACTTTCTTTCCAATTTCTTGTACATCGCTGGGCAACAAATAACTATTAAGTTGGCTTTATCTGAAAAGTTTTCATTTTACCTTCATTCCTGAAAAATATTTAATGGATGTCAAATTCTTGGTCACAGCGCTTTCCTTAAGCATTTTAAGGTATTGCTTTTTGGTGTTCATAGTTTCTGATGAGAAATCCATTACCACATGGATCTTGTTCTCCTGAGTGCAATGTTGCTTTTTTATCTAGCTGCTTTCAAGACTTTCTTAGCTTTGGATTGTGATTATGTGTCTAGGAAAGATTTTCTTTGAATGTAACCTGTTTGGTATTCATTGAAATTCTTGAATTTGTAAATTTACATATTTAATCAAATTTGGGAAGTTTTTGCACTATATATATATTTGACTCTAATTTTTTTTTCCTCTTTTTCTGAGACACCAACTACATGTATGTCTAACCCTTGGAATTTTTTGACAAGTGTCGGAAACCTTGTTCTTTTTATTTTAATATTTTTTCCTCTGTATTCCTTAAATGGAATAAAGTCTATTGAACTATTTTCAACTTCACTGACACTTTTGGGGTGCTCAACCAGTGAATTTTTTGTTTCAAATAGTATGTATTTTACTTCTAAAATTTCATTTTTTTAATAGTTTCTATTGCTTACCTGAAATTTCTCATTTTTTAATTCATTTCAATTATTTTCTTCCTTTTACATCACAGAGCTTAATTATATAGGTGCTTTTAAGTTTTGTCTGTTAATTCCAGTATCTGGGTCATTTAAGAGTTGTTATGTGTTAATTATATTTTCCCTTAAGAATATTTTCGGCTGGGCGCGGTGGCTCAAGCCCGTAATCCCAGCACTTTGGGAGGTCGAGGCGGGCGGATTACGAGGTCAGGAGATCGAGACCATCCTGGCTAACACAGTGAAACCCCATCTCTACTAAAAATACAAAAAATGAGCTGGGCATGTTGGCGGGCGCCTGTAGTCCCAGCTACTCAGGAGGCTGAGGCAGGAGAATTGCTGGAACCCGGGAGGCGGAGCTTGCAGTGAGCCGAGACAGCTCCACTGTACTCTAGCCTGGGTGACAGAACAAGACTCTGTCTCAAAAAAAAAAAAAAAAAAAGAATATTTTCTTGGTTATTCACGTGTGTGATTTTGAATTGCCTTCTCAGCATCTTGAATGTTAAATTGTGTAGAAACTGTGTATCGTTGCAATCACCTGCTGAAAGTTAATGCTTTTCATTAGGACGCAATACACATGATTAGGTTCAGAGTGTAAATTCTGTCTTGCTTTCTGTGGGCAGTCTTTCAACTCTCACTTCAGTTTTTAAAGCCTTTGCTAACTGGTTTGGATCTGTTTCATCCAGGCATGGTTGAGGGGTTAGGTTAAGATTTATGCAAGTATTTCAATTCTCAATTCAATTTCCCAAGTCTTTACTTTGCTGGTTTGAGTTGGTCCTACACATATGGATTAAGGATTAGGCTGAGGTTTGTATGGGTTCTCACACTTAAATAGGGATTCTTCAGCTTTCTTTCTTCTGTGATTTCTACTTCACTGTCAGACCTTCCTGAGCTCCTTTCGAAGGTAACTCTGTCTGCTGATGAGACAGCAGGATTTCTATTATATTTTTAGCTGCATCCTGCAGGCTGCTTCACTCCCTGATAAGGCCTAGTCAAATCCACTCAAGAAAGGAGAAAGTCAAGGAGGAAGTCACCTCCCTGTAGGTCACTTCTTCAAGGTTTATCTCCCCTTCACAATTTGCTAGCTTTTGTTTACAGTTCAGAGTCCTCAGGTAGTTTTTTTTTTTTTCTGCATTTTGTTTATTGTTCATAGTTGTTATCAGTAGGAAAGATGAGCTATAAGGGGCTTATGCCACAATACCTGTATTAGAACTTCCTCCAACATTGTTTTTTAAAGAAAGAATATAATACAATATAAAAGGTCACAGAAGGAAAATTGTTTTTTTAAAAAATGGCGTATCCCTAAAAGGATACTTACATGTCACTATATCAAATATTGTAGCCGTATTGTTGATATTTAATATAGTCTATGAGATAATGTTAAGTAAAATGCATAAATCACAGAACTATGAATCCCTTTTAAAGATAACACACACATAAATACACATATATGTTAACGTATCACAAAGCTTCTGGTTGGAAATGTAACAGTTGAGTGGTTATCTCTGCTATGGTAGGTTGACTTAAATGGGAGAGATACAGAAATAATTTTTGTTAGGTATATTCCTGTATTAACATCTTTTAAAGAAGCCCATATATATCTATAAATTTTACAAAATCATCATAAAATACATTTAAATGCAATTTAAAATAGAAAAAGCAAAGTTTTAAATAGATAAAATATTTTAGATTATAAAGCTCTTTAAAATCTGACATCCTGTAAATTTTACAGGTATTCAATAAAGAATTTTCTTTGTTTGTTTGTTTGTTTTAATTGAATGATCAGGACAAACCGCTTTGGTAAAGCACTGGGCTGGAATTTAGGAGATCCATGCTCTATCCCTGGCTCTGCCTTAATTAAGTCTCTTAAACGATCTTGGGCTTCAGTTTTCTTACCTGTAAATTGAGAGATTCTGAATTTTTCTGATCTCCAAGGTCCCTTCTTGCTCCAAGACTTTATTGAACCCTATATAATAGCATCAGACGTTTGGGTGTAGAAAAGTAAGAGGCAACTCCTGGCAGATGCTTTCAGCCTGTGGCACAGTCAACCTGAAATCGTGATCTATGTGACAGCATCCTGTGAACTGCAAACCAACAAACTAAGCCTGAAAATTGATTGTAAAACAGTGCTCCTTATAAAGCAAACTTGTAATTGCCTTCTCTAAAAAGAAAGTGACCCTCAGTGGACAAAGAACTAAAAATTATGAAATTGTGTTATTATCTAGTGAAATATTTTTTTTTCTAGTTAGGAAACAATTAGAAGAAGGTGAAGAAGAGAATGAAGCAAGTATGTGAATGAAAGGACTTTGCATTTGTTTAATGCAATGTGGTTGGCTTATTACTGAAATCATCTTGTTTTTATTAATACTTTATAATAAGTGATTGGAGGAGTTAGCTGGATATAATTATACATGATGCAAAGAGGTTTACATCACATTATGGTCATGTATATGCTAGTTCTTTTTTAGTTAAAGCTAAGATTAATTATGCTTTCTCCTAATAAAGTAGCTTAATGAAATGAATACAAGCTTTAATCGACAATGATCTGGCACTAGATCTTGGTTTTTTGTTTACCCACCATTTAACTTTGGATGGATCATTTATTCTCTCTGGGCCTTAGTTTATCTTGTTTAGCTAACTCCAAAGTGTTCATGAAGAATTTTTCACATGTGTAATCTCATTCGTGTCTCACAGTGAGAGAAATAGGTTTGTTAGATGTCATTGAGTGACAGTAAAATAGTGTCTGTGAGCCCCATAAGAACACAGAGAGATTTGATACAGAGTCCCATAGATGACCCATTCAGGAGTTTTGAGGCAGTGCTTATTCATATGTATATATAATACATATAATTAAATCATCCTGCTCCCCATGCTAGTCTTTTCCTGCAATATGGTTCTCAAAGTGTGGCCCTTGAACTTGCAGTGCCAGCAACATCTGGGAACTTGTTAAAAATGCACATTTTTTGCCCCCACCCCCCCCAACCAAGACCAACTGAAGCAGAAACTCTCGGTGTAGGGACCTTGCAATCTGTGTATTTAAAAGACCTCCAGATGATTCCGGTACACGTTAAAACTTGAGCACCACACTTGTAAGAAATCCTTTCACCTGATTCTGTGTGAAACAATCTGAATAGAGGTGGAGGCTTTTTTGCCCTTTCTTTTGCAGACTCATTTCACCTGAGTTGATATCTTACTCTACTTCCCTGACTTCTCATTTGTCTCTGGAAGGTCACAGCAGTCTTTTCTTTTTCTTTCTTTCTTTTTTTTCTTTTTTTAAAAATTATAGGCTTTGTGTGCCCTTCATTTATCCCATCTCCAGAGATATTTTGTTTTATCCTGTTCTCAGACTTCTTAACATTTCTCTCCATCAAAGAAATTTTTTCCCCTTTACTTCTAGCTGCCCTGCTGTACATTAAGAATAAAAGTATTACTGGAAAGGTCCTCAGGGTGCACCCTATCTTGAACAAATGTGGCTGAGTATGACGTTTAGCATTTATGTGATCCTTAGCTCCTATCTCTTGTCTGAGATCAGACAAGGATACCTCCTATTTTAGATATCTCAGCTGTCTATGTCAGAGACTAAAGAAAATCTTAGGGGGAGATTAACCACTGAATAACTACTTAAATGTATCTTTGGGGACTAGTACTTTGGAGTTTGCTTTGGAATAGAAACGTAGTCTCTTCAATACTACAGGTGTGTGTGTGTGTGTGTGTGTTTGTGTGTATTTGTGTGTGAATTGGGAGTGGGAGATGGGCTTGCCCAGAGGGAGGGCAAGGTTGGAGGAAGTAACAACAGCTGACCATCCACCTTTACGGTATAAGTGCAGATCCTCAGCAACTCATTTGCTGGTTTTCATCAGTGTTTCCACTGCTGCTTGGCCTCCTACCACGATTTTGCATTCAGATTTCTAGCAGTTTATATAACAAGGATATGTACTTTTAACTTCCAAAGCCCTTTGGCTTACTGTGCTGGGCAGGACACAAAACCTCACTATGTCTTATAGTAACTCGGCTTTTTAATGCCCCTTTGAAGAAAAGAACCATGTACTTGCCTGAAAATTAACCCAGTCACCCTCACTGTGTTGGAATAACCCAGGGAGCAAGAACTGAGCCAAAATTGTCCGGTAGGAGCACTCCGTATTAGGTGATGCTTAATCAAACTACTACTTAACTCTTGGCTGCTTAAAGGAGACTGAAGATGAGAATATGATAGCAATAGAACTGCAAACACACGCACACAATAAAGAGGGAGGTATCAGAACAAATAGTGCTAAAATGTAATTACTGTTCCATTAAAAAAAAACCCTATCTCTCTTAAGCTTTTCCAAGTTTGTTTCTGTCCCTTGTAACATAAAAAACAAAATTAGCACGTAAATGCTATCTCATTTTTAAAATATGCACGACTACATAGATTTTTAAAATTTACAGAGCAGTTTTTTTTTTTTTTTTTTTTTTTTTGAGACCGAATCCTCGCTCTGTCGCCGAGGCTGGAGTGCAGTGGCGCGATCTCGGCTCACTGTAAGCTCCGCCTCCCGGTTTCACACCATTCTCCTGCCTCAGCCTCCGGAGTAGCTGGGACTACAGGGACACGCCACTGCGCCCTGCTCATTTTTTGTATTTTTAGTAGAGATGGGGTTTCACCGTGTTAGCCAGGATGGTCTCGATCTCCTAACCTCGTGATCCGCCCGCCTCGGCCTCCCAAAGTGCTGGGATTACAGGCGTGAGCCACCGCGCCCGGCCAGCAGTTTCAAATACTACATCTAATTTTATTCTCAAAAACCCCACAGGGCTGTGTATTTTTATCATGATCTCCAATTTTTAGATCCATGTTATTCAAATGTGAGGTGTGTCTTGCAGATGATCTTGGGATGACTTTAGGTGGCGACCTTACATGACATTCAATGAGGAACTATGTGACAAAGGAGATATCTTATTTACAATTCTCTTTCAGGACTTTGTGTAAGGAGAAAATTTCAGTTTGGTGCTGATATTTCTATAAAACCTTTAGAACACATCTCCATTTTCATAAAAACATAACAGACTTTAAGCCTCAGAACTTTTGTCAGGCAATAATATCCAGACAGAGTTTATTACATTGTTTTTAAGTATTATTATAAACTTTATTGTCACCCTATTTTGGGGAACTACTATGTTATTAATTTTCCATTTATGGCAATATGTAAAGTTTCCTTTTTACATAGATTTATTTAAATAAAAAGTGAGCCAATTAAAGAAAAAATATTTTTAAATGGTATAAGTGGCACAAGGAAATGACAAAAATTGTGCAGGATACAAAATAACAAATGCTGTTTTAAGCAAAGAAAGTCAGTCTCAGAAAAGACAAGTGACTTAGGAAGCTCACATAGCAAAAATGGTAAGCCAAGCCTGAAGCGACTAGGATTCAGATGGGTTAAAGGCCTTTGTGATAGGTCATTGGTGATGGGCTTCAGACAAGACTGACTCCTAGCCCTGAGCTATTTAGGCTTTGAGGTGGCTTTTCTTATGGTTTATTTAAAAGTCTTAATGTCTTCCTACCCCATCCCCCAGCCCCATTACATGAGACTCTAGGCACCAAAATAGGCAATTAAATTTTCTTCGGATTTTAAAAACAATAATGAGAACAATAATATATTTAATTTTTACTATGGGCCCAGGTACTATTTTATATATTTCATATGTACTATATTTAGTAATTCATTTACTTATTAAACTTAAATACTTATCATTATACTTAATTTACTAATTCATTTAATCTTCACACTAAATTCCACAAGAGAGGTATCTCCTATGATTTTTCAAGTACAAATCCCTCAAACCTCACCTGATTGGTTGTACCTCTAGAATAATTTATATGACACCAGGTTAAAAGACTGAAGACTCACTTTATGTCCCATTCCTAATACAGATTTCAAAGCTTATATCTTTTTGGTTCCATTTTGTTTTGTTCTGTTTTGTTTTTTTTATGTTAAGTTCTGGGATACATGTGCAGAATGTGCAGGTTTGTTACACAGGTATACATGTGCCATGGTGGTTTGCTGCACCCATCAACCCATCATCTACATTCGGTATTTCTCCTAATACTATCCCTCCCCTAGCCCCCCACTCCACCCCCCACAGGCCCCAGTGTGTGATGTTCCCCTCCCTGTGTCCATGTGTTCTCATTGTTCAACTCCCACTTATGAGTGAGAACATGCAGTGCTTGGTTTTCTGTTCCTGTTTGCTGCGACTGATGGCTTCCAGATTCTTCCATGTCCCTTTATTAGATTATTTTTAAGTGGTCTGAGAGAAGAGAGACAGACCCTCTCATATTGTTTTATATTGTTCTACACTCAGAAAAAGAAAGAGAAGCAAAACTAAAGGCAGGTAGCCTGGTGCCTACGAACAGACCCAAAACAAAGGAACCAGACCTGAAACCAGGCCTGGGCCTGCCTGACCTAAGTCTGTTAAAATTTGACCCCTGACCTAGCAACTGATGTTATCTATAGATTCCAGACGTTGTATGGAAAGACATTGTGAAACTTCCCGGTCTGTCCTGTTTCACTCTGACCACCGGTGCATGCAGCCCCTGTCACGTACCCCCTGGCTTGCTCAATCAATTACGACCCTTTCATGTGAAACCCTTAGTGTTGTGAGCCCTTAAAAGGCACAGAAATTGTGCACCCGACAAGCTTGGATTTTAAGAGGCTAGTCTGCTGATGCTTCCAGCTGATTAAAGCCATTCCCTTCACTATCTCCATGTCTGAGGGGTTTTGTATGCGGCTTGTCCTGCTACAGTCCATAACATTTAACACTAATTGAAAAAGTATTTATTAGCACAACAAATATGCAGCAGACATTGTGATGGCCACTCAGGACAACATTGGTGAGCAAAAGAGTGAGGACTGCCTTCCAGAACTCATAGTTTGATGGGAGAAATAGACCTCTTTAAACAATCACACACTACATATGACCATACAATTAATGGTATAACAGAAACATACATAATTAGCATAAAAGAAACATACGTGGCCTGTAAGAATGTGACTCAATTTAAATTGGGCCAAGAGGATCAGAAAAGCCTTTGAGAAATTGACATATTGGCTGAGATATGGTGGATGAGTAAGAACTGAGTAGGTGCAGGTGGGAGTTCAGGTAGAAGGAGGAGTATTAAGGCAGAGGAAAGAGCACTTAAAAAGACCTTGGGCAAGAAAGAACATGGTGACTGACAGATTGAAAGACGGCCAAGATGGCTAGTGCTTGAAAGATGGCCAGGATGACCAGCAGGTTGGGGGCAAACTTCAGTGGATGGAGGAAATTGATAGACTATGATTAGGAGGGGAGAGAAGTACACAGGGACAAGGTGAGGCAAAGCCTTGTATGTGTGTTAAGAATTTTGGTCTTTTAACAACAATGGAGAATGACAGAGATGCGGTCAGATTTGCATTTTGAAAAGATTACTTTGTGTAGCTATGTGAGAATTGAAGCTTTCCTTTCTTATTCAAGGTAAGCGTCCTGCTCATCTTCCCAAATTGCCACAATTTCTATTATTTTCATATAAATAAACATTTTAAAAATTAGAGAAAAACTTCTCCTTGCAATAAAAGCAAACTGCTTTCCTTTATCCTCTTTTTGGTCTTCTATATTAACAGTGTTTTTCCATTTCCTTTTATATCTTCTGCAAAACAAAACTTAGAAGTTATTTTGGCTCTCCTGATTTCATCATCCGCATCTTATAAAATTCACGTGCCTCCAAAATAATGCCATCTATTTTTTATTTCTTTTTCTATCAGCATATAGTGAAAATCAGACTGATTTCATTTTAGCCAATGGAAGGCCTAAGAAAAATTAGCAAGTAGGCCAAATTTTGTTTGCAACACCCTCATCTTCCCTGATGGCATTTTTTCTCCCATTCATGCTTCTCTGCCTCTTGCACTCCAAGTCTGAACACTACCTTAGATTTGAATCTTTCCTATTCTCTCATCAGCTCACATGCCCCTGGTAAGACCTAGAGTTATATTTGCACTGAATCACAAGAGGACACTGATGTCAGGATAACACACCACAAAGCTTATATACCCTGTGCTTCAAAATGACAGGACAAAGATTTGGCAAAGTTGATAATTTTTTTGGAAAAAGTTATAAACAAATGGGCAGGGTACTAGAGAAAGGGGAGGCATATCTAAGTTTGGGTCCTGGCTCCTCTGAAGCTATGTGACATGCAACTCCAAGTAAGTCGGTTTCACTCTCCAATACTGTCTCCTCATTTGGTCATTTCTCATTTGTAACTTCTGTAATTCTATAACACTGTTTTGTTGGCTGATCTCATCTCTTCCTGAAGAGCTTTCGCCCATGAGAATTACTTAAATTAAGTGGTTAATAAATTTGAAACATCAGCGTTACTAGTGAAAACGCAAAGCTGGGATGAAGATACTTGGAAAAGATCCTAGTAAACCATCATAGAGAACATCTATTTTGCAATAAAAGCAGGGAAAGGATGGAGTTTTACATCTAAAGCCATTATTTAGTGTCTAGTTTAATGTTAGTCTAAAATAAGCCATCCTTATTATCCCCTCAAGATCACATATTGTAAGATTGTATTTTTACCATGTCTTATATCTGCTTTTTTATTTTTACTCTTTGGCTTCAGTGATGCCCTTCACCAGCATGTGTGAAGACACAAATACTCCCATTTGGGAACATGCGGTGCTACATCCTTCTTAGTAGTGTTTTCTGTAAAAATAGTTTCTCTTGATAAACATTGTGGATAAAAATGTAAAAACCTAACAGCCAGTATCATCTTTAGCAAACTGAACATAACAACCTTTCTGTGATAAAAGACAAATGTAAATTTTAAGAGCCGGGGGACCTGTGTGTGGGTGTAGTTCAAGATCAGCCTCCATTGAAGGCCAGGGACCTCCAGAGGGAAAACATTGATTAAAGGTCCCTCATGTGAAGAAGTATAACTAATTTAGAGTTTTTCTAGACCTGTTCTCTGCTTGCAACATAGAGAGGAAATTCTTCCTTGCCTCAAGTAATTAAAATGTTTAACAGATAACTATAGACAGGGCAGAAATCAAGAGAGGTTTCTCACAGGCATCCAGGAATATAATCACAGGCATAGCATAATTCACCTTTTAAAAAATTAACTAATTATTTTTTAATTGACTAGTTAAAATTTTGTATATTTATTGTGTACAACATGTTTTAAAATATATATACATTGTGGAGTAGCTAAATCAAGGTAATTAACACATGAATTACCTCACATCCTTATCATTTTTGATGGTGCAAAAACATCCTTCACAATTTTCACAAAGACAATACATTATTATTAACTATAATCACCATGTTGTAAAATACATCTCTTTAAGTTATTCCTGCTATCTCACTGAAATTTGTATCCTTAGACCAATATCTGCCCATTCACCTAGCCCCTCCAGGCCCTTGTAACCACCATCCTTCTCTCTGCTTCTATGAGTTTGACTTTTTTTTACATTCATATATAAGTAAGATCATACAGTATTTGTCTTTCTGTGCCTGTCTTATTTCACTTAACATAATATCCTCCAGATTCATCCATGTTGTAGCAAATGAGAGAATTTCCTTTAAAGTCTGAATAATATTCCATTGTGAGTATATATACCATATTTTCTCTATCCATCTTTTCATTGATGAGCACTTAGGTTTATTACATATCTTGGCTATTGTGAATACTGCTGTGATAAACATGGGGGTACAGATGTCTTTTTGACATATGATTTCATTTCCTTTGGATATATACTCAGTATTTCTATTTTTAATTTTTTGAGAAACCTCTATACCATTTTCCATAATGGCTGTACTAATTTACATTTCCTCCAACAGCACCAACAGCATATAAACGTTCCCCTTTCTCCACGTCCTTACCAGCACTTATCTTTCATCTTCTTTTATAATAGCTATTCTAATAGGTGTGAGGTGTTTTCTCACTGTGGTTTTTATTTTCATTTCCCTGATGATTGGTGATGCTGAGCATTTTTTCGTATATCTGTTGGCCATTTGTATGTCCTCTTTTGAGAAATGCCTATTCAGGTCCTTTGCCCATTTTTAAATCGAGTCATTTGTTTTCTTGCTATTTAATTGTTTGAGTTCCTTATATATTTTGAATATTAACCACTTACCAGATGTAGGTTTGCAAATATTTTCTCCCATTCCACAAGTTGTCTGCTTACTCACTGATTGTTTCCTTTGCCATGCAAAATCCTTTTGATGTAATTCCATTTGCCTGTTTTTGCTTTTATTGCCTATGCTTTTGGGGTCATACCCAGAAAAATTATTGCCCAGACTAATTCACAGAGCTTTCCCCTCATGTTTTCTTCTAGTAGTTTTACAGTTTCTGGTCTAATGTTTTAAGTCTTTATTCATTTTGAGTTGATGTTTGCATGGACTGGTTCATCTTTTTTTATATATTTTTATTATTATTATCATTTTTGACTTGGAGTCTGGCTCTGTCACCCAGGCTGGAGTGCAGTGGTGCGATCTCGGCTCACTGCAACCTCTGCCTGCCAGGTTCAAGTGATTCTCCTGCCTCAGCCTCCTGAGTAGCTGGAATTACAGGCACCTGCCACCATGCCCAGCTAATTTTTTGTATTTTTTTTTTTTTTTTGAGACGGCGTCTCGCTCTTTCGCCCAGGCTGGACTGCAGTGGCGCTGTCTTGGCTCACTGCAAGCTCCGCCTCCTGGGTTCAGGCCATTCTCCTGCCTCAGCCTGCTTAGTAGCTGGGACTACAGGTGCCCACTACCACGCCCGGCTAATTTTTTTTTTTTTGTATTTTTAGTAGAGACGGGGTTTCACCGCGTTAGCCAGGATGGTCTCGACCTCCTGACCTCGTGATCCACCCACCTCGGCCTCCCAAAGTGCTGGGATTACAGGCATGAGCCACCGCACCCGGCCAATTTTTTGTATTTTTTAGTAGAGATGGGGTTTCACCATGGTGGCCAGGTTGGTCACAATATCCTGACCTCAGGTAATCCACCCACCTTGGCCTCCCAGAGTGCTGGGATTACAGGCGTGAGCCACCACACCCAGCCTGGTTCATCTTGTTTTTACAGAGCCATGTTCTGGTTGTTGGCCCATTCATGAATTGACAGGCTGGGCCAATTACCACACTTGGTTTAATTATCTAGAACTAGAGGAGGACTCATACATCACATAATTCAAAACAAACAGTAGCCTAATGGACTGGGAGAGGCTGTTCTCCTTAGAATGACAGTGAACATGATTGATACAATGTATAAGACAGAGATATTTTTGAGACAGGAAATGGGTTCTACTTACCTGCCTCTTGAAATTAGAAGAAAACAAAGGCTATAATTAGTACAACAAATAGTAGCTGCTAAAAAGGATAAAGTCGGGCAAAGGAAATGAAAAAGAAGGCTCAACAAAGAGAAGATTGTAGAAATAGTCATTTGGAGGAAAGAGGTAAGGAAAGGGGTGAAGAGAAGGAGGAGGTAGGATTAGGAGAGCAAGTCTCAGAAGGAGGTGGGAGATAGGAGTCAAGGTTACAGAGGAGTTAAGGCAGAGGGAAGGAAGAGTGTGAGTTTTCCAGCAAAGTCTGAGCAATCTTAGGGGTAAGTGTCACACATCCCTGCTGCTCTCTAGAACTGGACTAATCACAGTAGTTATAACCAGTACAATTGCCTTTTAAAATCCAAATTGAAGTCTTACAATGCTTGTCATACACTGCTAGCAGGGCTTAATATCGCAAAGCACTTTGCAAAACAGTTTGGCCTGACCTAGTAAAGTAGAAGATGCACATATCTATGGCTCAGCAATTCCACTTCTACATCAACTGGAGAAACATGGGCATATATGCACTAGGATACATTTTTCAAGAATGTTTATAGGAACATTGCTCCTAAATGCCAAAAACTAAAAATTTCCTAAATGTCCATCAATAATAGAATGGAGAAAATTTGGGTATAATCACACAATGATTATAATAAAATTGAATGAACTTCAGCCGTGTATAAAAACATGCATGAATCTTACAAACATAATGTTAGTAAAAGGATGCAGAGACAAGAGAATATATACACGTAACTGCATTTGTGTAAGTTCCAAAATTAGTTAAATCAAGCTATCTTGTTTAGAGACATACACTTAAATGGTACCAAGAAGTAAAGGATACTTTTATCCTGAAATAAAATTGTCTGCTTGTGCCAGCATGAGAAAGAAGACAATAACAAGAGTGCACAGTAAGTTTAGAAGGTCTATGGGGAAGTAATACTTTATTTTCCTTCATTTATACTAATTCTAAAGCATGTGTTTGAAAGAAATAAAGGTTTTAAAATGTTGACAAATTTGACTCAGTCTTGATAGATAAAAATGTATGAATTTTTTTTTAACAGAAAATCATATGTGGGGAATATAGAAAGTAAAAGTGGAATTTAGTTTTTATTATGTTAAAGTAAGAAAATAATTTTTGAGTGTACAGGATGTTCTTAAGTAGTATAAATCATTCTGGTCATATATTCATCTGCCCCTGTAAAAATTCATCTTACCACCAAAATTGTTTTCAGATGAATAAAAGACAACCACGGATATTTACAAAGGCTGTGAAAATATAATTGTCAGGCCTCTGAGCCTAAGCTAAGCCATCATATCCCCTGTGACCTGCATGTACACATCCAGATGGCCGGTTCCTGCCTTAACTGATGACATTCCACCACAAAAGTGAAAATGGCCTGTTCCTGCCTTAACTGATGACATTATCTTGTGAAATTCCTTCTCCTGGCTCATCCTGGCTCAAAAGCTCCCCTACTGAGCACCTGTGACCCCCACTCCTGCCCACCAGAGAACAACCTCCCTTTGACTGTAATTTTCCTTTACCTATCCAAATCTTATAAAATGGCCCCACCCCCATCTCCCATTGCTGACTCTCTTTTCAGACTCAGCCCACCTGCACCCAGGTGAAATAAGCAGCCTTGTTGCTCACACAAAGCCTGTTTGATGGTCTCTTCACATGGATGTTAGTGAAATTTGGTGCCGTGACTCAGATTGGGGGACCTCCCTTGGGAGATCGATCCCCTGTCCTCCTGCTCTTTGTTCCATGAGAAAGATCCACCTACGACCTCTGGCCCTCAGACCAACCAGCCCAAGGAACATCTCACCAATTTTAAATCCGGTAAGCGGCCTCTTTTTACTCTCTTCTCCAACCTCTCTCACTATCCCTCAACCTCTTTCTCCTTTCAGTCTTGGCACCACACTTCAATCTCTCCCTTTTCTTAATTTCAGTTCCTTTCTTTTTCTGGTAGAGACGAAGGAGACGCTTTTATCCGTGGACCCAAAACTCCGGTGCCAGTCATGGACTCATGAAGACAGTCTTCCCTTGGTGTTTAATCATGTGGGGATGCCTGCCTGATTATTAACCTACGTTTCAGAGGTGTCTGACCACACAGGGACGCCTGCCTTGGTCCTTCACCCTTAGCGGCAAGTACTGCTTTTCTGGGGGGCAAGAACCCCCAACCCCTTCTACTTCACCCTTAGTGGCAAGTACCACTTTTCTGGGGGGCAAGAATCCCCCAGCCCCTACTCTCCGTGTCTCTACCCCTTCTCTGCTTTTCTGGGTGGCAAGAACCCCCCACCCCTTCTCTCCATGTCTCTACTCTCTCTTTTCTGTGGGCTTGCCTTGTTCACTATGGGCAAGCTTCTGCCCTCCATTCCCCCTTCTTCTCCCTTAGCCTGTGTTCTTAAAAATCTAAAACCTCTTCAACTCACACCTGACCTAAAACCTAAATGCCTTATTTTCTTCTGCAATGCCGCTTGACCCCAGTACAAACTCAACAGTAGTTCCAAATAGCCAGAAAATGGCACTTTCAATTTTTCCTACAAGATCTGAATAATTCTTGTCGTAAAATGGGCAAATGGTTGGAGGTGCCTGACGTCCAGGCATTCTTTTACACATCGGTCCCTCCCTAGTCTGTTCCCAATGCAACTCATCCCAAATCTTCCTTTTTTCCCTCCCGCCTGTCCCCTCAGTCCCACCCCCAAAGCGTCGCTGAGTCTTTCTAATCTTCCTTTTCTACAGACCCATCTGACCTCTCCCCTCCTCACCAGGCCAAGCTAGGTCCCAATTCTTCCTCAGCCTCTGCTCCTCCACCCTATAATCCTTTTATCACCTCCCCTCCTCACACCCGGTCTGGCTTACAGTTTCCTTCTGTGACTAGCCCTCCCCCACCTGCCCAGCAATTTCCTCTTAGAAAGGTGGCTGGAGTTAAGGCATAGTCAAGGTTAATGCTCCTTTTTCTTTATCCCAAATCAGATAGCGTTTAGGCTCTTTTTCGTCAAGTATAAAAACCCAGCCCGGTTCATGGCTTGTTTGGCAGCAACCCTGAGATGCTTTACAGTGCTAGACCCCAAAACCTCAAAAGGCCAAAAGGCCATCTTATCCTCAATATACATTTTATTACCCAATCTGCTCCCGACATTAAATAAAACTCCAAAAATTAAATTCCAGCCCTCAAACCCCACAACAGGACTTAATTAACCTCACCTTCAAGGTGTACAATAATAGAAAAAAGTTGCAGTTCCTTACCTCCACTGTGAGACAAACCCCAGCCACATCTCCAGCACACAAGAACTTCCAAAAGCCTGAACCACAGTGGCCAGGCATTCCTCCAGAACACCAGGATCTTGCTACAAGTGCCAGAAATCTGGCCACCAGGCCAAGGAATGCCTGCAGCCTGGGATTCCTCCTAAGCCATGTCCCATCTGTGCGGGACCCCACTGGAAATCGGACTGTCCAACTCACCCAGCAGCCACTCCCAGAGTACCTGGAACTCTGGCCCAAGGCTCTCTGACTGACTCCTTCCCAGATCTTCTCGGCTTAGCAGCTGAAGACTGACACTGCCGTATCGCCTCAGAAGCCTACAGGACCATCACAGGTGCTCTGGGTAACTCTCGCAGTGGAGGGTAAGTCCATCCCCTTCTTAGTCAATACAGAGGCTACCCACTCCACATTACCTGCTTTTCAAGGACCTGTTTCCCTTGCCTCCATAACTGTTGTGGGTACTGACAGCCAGGCTTCTAAACCTCTTAAAACTGCCCAACTCTGGTACCAACTTAGACAATACTCTTTTAAGCACTCCTTTTTAGTTATCCCCACCTACCCATTTGCCTTATTAGGCTGAGACACTTTAACTAAATTATCTGCTTCCCTGACTATTCCTGGGCTATAGCCACACCTCATTGCCGCCTTTTCCCCCAGCTCAAAGCCTCCTTCACATCCTCCCCTTGTATCTCCCCACCTTAACCCACAAGTATAGGACACCTCTACTCCCTCCTTAGCGACTGATCATGCACCCCTTACCATCCCATTAAAACCTAATCACCCTTACCCTGCTCAATGCCAATATCCCATCCCACAGCATGCTTTAAAAGGATTAAAGTCTGTTATCACTCACCTGCTACAGCATGGCATTTTAAAGCCTATAAACTCCCCTTACAATTCCCCCATTTTACCTGTCCTAAAACCAGACAAGGCTTACAGGTTAGTTCAGGATCTGCGCCTTATCAACCAAATTGTTTTGCCTATCCAGCCCATGGTGCCAAACCCATATACTCTCCTATCCTCAATACCTCACTCCACAACCCATTATTCTATTCTGGATCTCAAACATGCTTTCTTTACCATTCCTTTGCACCCTTCATCCCAGCCTCTCTTTGCTTTCACTTGGACTGACCCTGACACCCATCAGGCTCATCAAATTACCTGGGCTGTACTGCTGCAAAGCTTCGCAGACAGCGCCCATTACTTTAGTCAAGCCCAAATTTCTTCCTCATCTGTTACCTATCTCAGCATAATTCTCATAAAAAACACACGTGCTCTCCCTGCCGATCATGTCCAACTGATCTCTCAAACCCCAGCGCCTTCTACAAAACAACAACTCCTTTCCTTCCTAGGCATGGTTGGATACTTTTGACTTTAGATACCTGGTTTTGCCATCCTAACAAAACCATTATATAAACTCACAAAAGGAACCCGGCTGACCCCATAGATCCTAAATCCTTTCCCCATCCTCTTTCCATTCCTTGAAGACAGCTTTAGAGACTGCCCCCATCCTAGCTCTCCCTGACTCATCCCAACCCTTTTCATTACCCACAGCCAAAGTGCAGGGCTGTGCAATTGGAATTCTTACACAAGAACCAGGACTGTGCCCTGTAGCCTTTTTATCCAAACAACTTGACCTTACTGTTTTGCCTAGCTCTCAAGTCTGTGTGCGGTGGCCACCACTGCCCTAATACTTTTAGAGGCCCTTAAAATCACAAACTATGCTCAACTCACTCTCTACAGTTCTCATAACTTCCAAAATCTATTTTCTTCATCACACCTGACACATATAATTTCTGCTCTCCAGCTCCTTCAGCTGTACTCACTCTTTGTTGAGTCTCCCACAATTACCATTATTCCTGGCCTGGACTTCAATCCGGCCTCCCACATTATTCCTGATACCACACCTGACCCTCATGACTGTATCTCTCTGATCCACCTGACATTCTCCCCATTTCCCCATATTTCCTTCTTTCCTGTTCCTCACCCCGATCACACTTGGTTTATTGATGGCAGTTCCACCAGGCCTAATCACCACACACCAGCAAAGGCAGGCTATGCTATAGTACAAGCCACTAGCCTGCCTCTTGGAACCTCTCATTTCCTTTCTGTTGTGGAAATCTATCCTCAAGGAAATAACTTCTCAGTGTTCCATCTGCTATTCTACTACTTCTCAGGGATTATTCAGGCCCCCTCCCTTCACTACGCATTAAGCTTGGGGATTTGCCCCTGCCCAGGACTGGCAAATTGACTTTACTCAACATGCCCTGAGTCAGGAAACTAAAATACCTCTTGGTCTAGGTAGACACTTTCACTGGATAGGTAGAGGCCTTTCCCACAGGGTCTAAGAAGGCCATCACAGTCATTTCTTCCCTTCTGTCAGACATAATTCCTCAGTTTGGCCTTCCCACATTTATACAGTCCTATAACAGACTGGCCTTTATTAGTCAAATCACCCAAGCAGTTTCTCAGGCTCTTAGTATTCAGTGAACTAATAGTCTTTGAAAAACACACCACACCAAGCTCAGCCACCAACTTAAAAATGACTGGACAATACTTTTACCACCTGCCCTTCTGAGAATTCAGGCCTGTCCTCAGAATGCTACAAGGTACAGCCCATTTAAGCTCCTCTATAGACACTCCTTTTTATTAGGCCCCAGTCTCATTCCAGACACCAGACCAACTTAGACTGTGCTCCAAAAAACTTGTCATCCCTATTATCTTCTGTCTAGTCATCCTCCTATTCACTGTTCTCAACTACTCATACACGCCCTGCTCTTGTTTACACTGCTGGTTTACACTGTTTCTCCAAGCCATCACAGCTGATGTCTCCTGGTGCTATCCCCGAACCGCCACGCTTAACTCTTAAAGTAAATAAATAATCTTTGCTGGCAAGCCTATGCTGAACCTCCTTAGGCATTCTCTAATTAGATGTCCTAGGTCCTCCCAATTCTTAGTCCTTTAAGACCTGTTTTTCTCCTTCTTTTATTCCATTTAGTTTTTCAATTCATGCAAAACTGTATCCAGGCCATCACCAATAATTCTACAAGACAAATGTTTCTTCTAACAACCCCACAATATCACCCCTTACCACAAAATCTTCCTTCAGCTTAATCTCTCCCACTGTAGGTTCCCACGCCACCCCTAATCCCCCTCAAAGCAGCCCCAAGAAACATCGCCCATTATTTCTCCATACCACCCCCCAAAATTTTCACCATCCCAACACTTTACCACTATTTTATTTTTCTTATTAATATAAGAAGACAGGAATGTCAGGCCTCTGAGCCCAAGCTAAGCCATCATATCCCCTGTGACCTGCGCGCACACATCCAGATGGCGGGTTCCTGCCTTAACTGATGACATTCCACCACAAAAGAAGTGAAAATGGCCTGTTCCTACCTTAACTGATGACATTGTCTTGTGAAATTCCTTCTCCTGGCTCAAAAGGTCCCCTACTGAGCACCTGTGACCCCCACTCCTGCCCACCAGAGAACAACCCCCCTTTGACTGTAATTTTCCTTTACCTACCCAAATCTTATAAAATGGCCCCACCCCTATCTCCCTTCACTGTCTCTTTTCAGACTCAGCCCGCCTGCACCCCGGTGAAATAAATAGCCTTGTTGCTCACACAAAGGCTGTTTGGTGGTCTCTTCACACGGACACAAGTGAAAATAATAGTAGCACGAAAAATTATTATTTTTTTAAATGACTTTTTTTCTCTAGGTTTAAAATACCCTTGTCAGTTGGTGACAATCAGAACCTGCACTCATAGCACATTCTTGGGGGATAAATTAGAAAACCCCAGAAACTTACAGTGACCTCACTCTCTACAATACATTTTATTTTCAGGATAGTTAGTGACTGAATCCCTAGAAATAACTATGTATATCTCAGTAGAGGATTTCACTGTCCTGCATTCTGATATTGATGGTTATTGCAGTAACTTAACAATAAGCTATTCTGCCTTATTGATAACAGGGCATCTTTTCCTTTCATTCACACTTGCCTCAAGTCCCCAGTTACAAGTCTCATGGCAGAAACTGAGTTTTCTGAAAGAAACATCAAGAGAAGCTCAGTAAAAGACTTTCGGGTACTTCTGGCTATTGATCCAAAAGGGTATGGATTCAAAGGTGCAGGCATCCCAGAATAACCTGGCATTGTTACCACGAGTAAAAGCCTCTCAGACAGAATTTCCAGAACACTTCTATTCTAGAAGTAGAAGACTTTGTGAACATGAGCTGCTCAGTTCCAGGCCAGCAAAACAAGATTAGTTACCTACAACTGCATTAACCTCATGTAATTGTAGTTAACATTCCATCTTTTTTAATTAGACATACTGTATAAGAAAATCTCCCCCTTCTTTTTTTCTTTTTCATTTATCACTAACCTTACTTTAACAGGCTAGACTTGTACAAACTGGAATAATATGCTTTTAAAATGCTATCTTCTTCCCACTGACTCCTCAAAATTTAGGGAAAAAAAAGATGTATAATAGGTATTCTCAAGCCAATAAATCATCAGGTAAAATTATTATATAAAGAATAATATATGATAATTCCCCTTGTAACATTATTCAGAATAATGGTTAAATATTTTTAAAGTGCCTTTACTGAATTCCTTTACTTTTCACAACCACGCAGTTATTTGCAGAGGTACAAAAATTTAGGTAAATTCAAAATTGCAACATGACCTTGCCAGAAATGTCATGTTTAAAGACAAATTCCATTTGATTAGGTTAAAAACTCAACTATTAAAGAACAAATAATAAACATTTTATGTGGTAATGGTACACACAATTTCCTTCAAAGAACCCAGCTGGCAACCTGCTACTTTGCTTACAGTCTTAGTTTTACAGGTGACAACAGTGTCATTTCCTGACACAGGGATATTTACAAAGTTAATGATACCACTACAGTTTTAGGAGGTGCACACAGAATCTGTATAGAAGAGAATTGGAAATCAGGGGCTCCCAGATTTGAAGTAAGCAAATTGAGTTGATGAGAACCATGCAAATTTGTCTGCCACATGAAAGTAATAAAAAGGATGACCCTAGGGGCTTTACCAAACTCCCACACAGGGGTTAACTCTCCAGCTTTGGTACCATATGGCTCTAGTTTTGTAAAACATACAATAAGAAGTTCCTTGTATATTAATACCTCTTGTTACAACTATGTAAATGGAATTGGCCAGATAAAACATCAAATTAATAATATTGAATCCAAACAAAACAAGACAACAGAAAAAACAAAATATTTGTTTAAATCCGTATTCTAAGGGTGGAATATGACCAAAAGGAGGGACTGTGAGAGAAAAACTGACATGAAGACACGAACCTTACTTTTATTATTAGTAAAATAATGTGCACATCATGTCCCAACTCAAGGAGAAGAAAATGCTTTGCATCCTGAAATTCCCACTCTGCCCTCCCCTGCAAAAATAAAATCAAACAAAAATCCAACAAGATCACTCTGTCTAGTGAGCCATTTTCTGTAAATGACTAACTCCTTGATAGAATGATACCCCTGACTTAAAATACTGATATATGTTCCTATAAGAAAATAGCTGCTTTCTACCAGGAAGAGACTATAAACTTAGAAACTTTAGTAATTTGGGGTCTTTTCTTTAAACTATCTAGTGAGTTTTTTTTTAATTTGGTGAGAAAAGTTAGCAACTAAAAATCCTCTCTCTTTGTAATTCTTCCATGCCTGTGTCTTCTTAATACAGTTATTATCCTGTAAAGAAAACCAAAGAACTAATTATGGTAAAAGTTAGGACGACTTTTAGTGAGAGAGTGAGTTTTGCTTAGGAGGGAGGAATCACTGGAGATGTGGCTTAGTGAAAGAAGAAAGGTAAAATAATACATATTTTCACCTTAGAGGAAAGGTGAAAATACATATTAAAAAAGGAGAGAAAAATAAATAAAATCTACACAAAAACAAGAACAACCACCACTCATATGGAGCCCTTGCAGAACTTGCAGGATCCTGGCCTGTGATGAGGGTCTATACTCTGGGCTATTTGCCTGACAAGAAGAATATCAGGACTGTAATGATGAAGGAAACAAGCCGATGTGGAAAAACGTTGATTCCTAAACACTGTGACCATCTGCTGGCCAAATGGCAAGATATACTTTGTTCCATGGCTGGGAACTGTTTGTAAAAAAGGTTACGTTGTGAACAGATGTTGTAAGTCTCTTTTTAAGAAACTAAAATTCAGGGGCAAAATTAGCTGGAATCAACTTTAAAAACAAGGCTTTAAAAAGCTGACATAAAACTCTAGGACCAGTAGCTAGCAAAAATGTGATTAGAACAGCTGTCTGGGACATTCCACCAAAATACCCTCACCCCAGAGGAGAGGCCTAACTCATTTTTGGAAATTGCAAAGGTGGATGAAACAGGCCTCAAGAGCAAGAGAAATTTTCTGTTTTTCTCTCTCTCTCTCTGCCCCTCCTCCTTTCTCTCTCTCTCTGAGTATTATTTTAAAAATGGATGTCATTTTTGTCTTATTCATAACTTATCTATGTTTGTTTTACTATAAATGTCTTAAATTACTTGCCATCAAGTTGGGGTTATGTTCTAAGAAGATTGAGAAAGTGTTTTTGTTTTGTTTTTTGAGACAGAGTCTTGCTCTATTGCTCAGGCTGGAGTGCAGGGGTGTGATCACAGCACACTGCAACCTCCACCTCTGGGGTTCAAGCAATTCTCCTGCCTCAGCCGCCCAAGTAGCTGGGACCACAGGTGCACACCACCACTAATTTTTGTAGTTTTAGTAGAGACGGAATTTCACCATGTTGGCCAGGCTGGTCCTGAACATCTGGACTCAAGTGACCTGTCCACTTGGGCCTCCCAAAGTGCTGGGATTACAGGCATGAGCCACCCTGCTCAGCCCAGAGTGCTCCATTTTTAAGCAGTGCCCCCCCTTGATTCTGAAAAGTCTGGGGTTGGAGCAAGACCTGGAACATCCATTTCCTTTCTCACTAAATATGGGTTCTGCCTTAAAACTCAGAGAGATGGGATTTTTGTCATAAAATTCTACTAAAACCCTCTTGTTTTAAATGAAAGAAAAACAGAGTTACAAGATTACAACATTAATTTGGCCACAAACCAAAACTGTAGTTCAGCTTTCCTAATTCCTACCTCAAATTATGTTCTATTCCATTATTAGACAAGCCCTGACAATTTCCTTGCATGTAGCCTGCTTCTCTGCTCAATTGTGCCCAGCTCCTAGCACAGAATCTAGCTCCTAGCACATAGTAGGTACTCAATAAATATTTGCTGAAAGAACAAATATTCAAATTTATATTTTTATGTGTGCAGTTGCTGAGTCACAAGAGTGTGTATTTTATGTTTTTATGGATGTTGCCAAAGATTGCTTTAAAATGATTCTGCAACTTGATCCTCCCACAAAAAATATGTGAAGGTGTCTGGGCAGCTACACTCTCACCAGCAATGACTTTCTTCATGCTTTAAATTTTTACCATTGAAATATTAAAAACTGCTATTTCTATGTTTTGATATTCTTGTTGTTCAATTATGTGAGAGGATGAACATCTTTCATCTGCTTTTGGGCCCTGTATTTCTTTTCCTGTGAATTACCTGTTCATATCCCTGTCCCTTTTATTATTGATTTGTTAATTTTTTAATCCTAATTTAAAGTTTTTTTTAGTTAAGGAAATCAGCTTTTTTTTCTGTCAAATGAGTTGCAAATGTTCCTCTCCATAGTTTTTACTACTTTTACTATAACTTCTTTTGATTCAGAAGTTTAAAATTTCTACATCAAGTTTATCAGTCCTTCTTTTGTAATTTATGGTTTTATATAATATTTAAAAGGCTTTTCCCTTGCAAGATTTCTTTTATATCAACAACATTTTTCTAGTGCTTTTGTTATTTAAGTTGATATATTGATTCTCCAGAAATATATTTTGATGGCAGAGGTAGGGATCTAGCTAACCAAATATTTGGGAACTGTTCAATCATTTAAAAAGTGCAGATACTTCAGAAATAGCTCTGATTGGGTCAGTGGTGACAACAGTTGGTGTCCAATCCAGCTTTGCCTTGGAGAATTTACATTTGGTATTCATCAATTCAGATAATAATATAAGGAGCACCACTTCTTTCCTCCCAATTCCTGAATGTTGTATCTCTTCACAAGTCAATTGCCAAGCTATGTGTTTTCATTACACGCTCATGCTCTTAGACTTTAAACCAGGAAATGTGGGTTCTCATCCAAACTCTGCCTGATCTTGTCATTTTGAGAAAATCTCTTTACTTCTGTGGATTTGTTTCTTTTTCTACACAATGATATATTAGATGATGACCTCCAAGATCTGTCCAGAAATAAAATCCTACAATCCTATAATGTCTCCCAATTCTGAATTCCCACACAACTTCACATCTGCCAATACTATGATCCACAATTGGATACCCGTTGGCATCCAAGAAGTATTCAATTTATACTCATCCCCTGTATTCCTCACCTCATAGAGCTTTTGCCTTGATGTTCCCTCTGCCTAGAATGCTTTTCTGACAATTATCTGCACATTTCTTAGCCTCTCTTTCTTCAGGTCTGTGATCAAATGCAACTCTGGCAGAGAAACCCTCTCCTACTACCTTAATAAAACAGCATATTTGATTCCCTAACTGTCATTCTTTTCACTTTCTCCTGCTTAAATTTTTGGAATGGAACTTTTAATACCCGACATATTTTTTATTTATATGTCATTGTATCCCGAAATAGTGTGTGTGTAAAACAGTTTTGCTGCCACAAAAAACAACGCCAATATTCCAGTAGCTTGTGGCAACAAACATGTCTTTCCTTATTTCATGTGAAGGCTGTGGGTAGGCTGCAGCTTTTCTTGGTTCTACTGTGTACAGCTAGGCTCAGCTAGGCTTGCTTCCATTTCAGGACTGAAGAAGAAAAAACATTGCTTCTCTAGAAGAAACTGTTCATACGGGAAAGGGGAGGAATACAAGGGTGACAGAGCCAAACAAGGAAATCTCATTTAAGAATTATGATCAGTTGTGACAGTCACATCTTCTCAAGTTCCACTGGCCAAAGCATGTCATGTGCTCAAGTGCAAAGTCAAAGAGTCAAATAGAATATACAGATGCTCCTTGACTTACAATGGGTTTATGTCTTGATAAATCCATTGCAAGTTGAAAATATTTTTAGTCAAAAGTGCATTTAATACACCTAATCTACCAAACATCATAGCTAAACCTAGCTTAACCTTAAACATGATCAGAACATTTTTACATTAGCCTATATTTGGGCAAAGTCATCTAACTCAAAGCCTATTTTATAATAAACTGTTAAATCTCACATGTAATTTAGTGAGTACTGTACTGAAAGTGAAAAACAGAATGGCTGTAGGGCTAGTTGAAGTATGTTTCTACTGAATGTGCATCACTTTCACACCATCATAAATTCAAATCATTGTTAAGTCAAAGACTGTATAATTCTTTAACAGAAGTCAAATGACGGTAACTAGGGTTCTCATTAGGTGAAATAATCCTATTGTTAGAAACAATAATCCAATCTATCAAGAAATATAAACTCTATCACTTAGTTCTTCTGCAGTATCCCTAAGATCTAAAATAGTAGGCATTTGGTAGAAACTATTTGAATGAATGAAAAAATAATGACTCTCATCCTTTGTAACTCCACTCTTACCGCTATAACTAACCTCCATTTGGCATCTGCTCTCACAACTATGGCTTTGTTGTGACATTAAGAGATGAGATGGATTGAATAATCTTTTAAGGTTCCTGGAATAATGAAAAACACTTTCCGCTCAGTAATAAAATGCTTTTATTTTATTAGGCCTTTTAAACAATGTATTTTTCTCACAAATTTTAGAAGAAGTATTGATATGCTACTAATGTAAATTTGGGATGTGGCAGCAACTTAGGCCTGCAGCATACTTGCCACTGCTAACTCCATTGGCACCCTCCACCACCCCTCCCACTCGGCACTGCTAACTCCATTGCCTCCCTCCCACACCCCTCCCACTTGGCACTGTCCACTCATGGCACAGGGAAAAACAGACATGAGTGAGGCTGGGAAGACAAAACCTTATATTCTTCTCCCTTGGTGAGGTAAAACAGCTTTTGGGATAAGTTATCTCATGGAGGGAATTCACACCAAAATATGTGTGATATCTAAATAATTCTGTTGCCTTTTTACCTGAGTTGCTAAGGCTGAATATCATTAGTGGCTAGGAGCTTGTGTTCTGGAGCAAAACAGACTGGGTTTAAACTCCTGGTGCCTTTTTTAGCTGTTTGACTTTGGGTTTGTTACTTAACTTTTCTAAACCTCAGCTTGAAATTTTGTGAATTTACTTGAAGAGTGGTACCTGCTTCATGGGTTGTCATAAGAATTTAAAAGGTGATGTTTCAAAGTGTTTAGCACAATGGTGGCACAGAGTAAACACCTGATAAATATCATATGTTATTTTCCAAAGGACTTGAATACGTACTGACTCATTATAGTCATAACATTACCCTTCTCTTAGACTGAGGAGGAAAAGAGAAGTAAAATAATTTGCTCAAAACCACACATTCAGGGCTGAAACTCAAGTTTCCTGACTATTATTACTCTGTTATCTGGATATAAAAGCTAGAACAGATGGAATCATATTAAACTGTTTATCAAGTTCCTATTTATTAATATATATTGTGAGGCTTCCATCCTCCCTCCAACCTCTGGTGCTATTTCTCAGAGTAGATCCACTGGACACTGGTTTCTCAGGTTCTTAATCATTGTTCCAGGAGAAAGAATCTGTGATCAAATTAGCTTAAGGCTGGATGTAAAAGGTTAAGCAGTTTTTATTTCTCTAGAGCCTTCAGTATGCTAATGTTCATTTTGAATCTCAGAAAAAGTTGCAGAACATAGTTGTATTAGTCAGGGTTCTCCAAAGAAACAGAACCAATAGGATATATATAGCTATACATGAGGAGATTATGGGAATTGACTTAGGGTTATGGAGGCTGAGAAGTCCCATAATATGCTGCAGTTTGCCAGCTGGAGAACCAGGAAAGTTGGTGCTGTAATTCAGTCTTTCTGAAGGCCAGAGAACTGGAAAAGCCAATGGCGTCATTCTCAGCTCAAGGCTAAAGGCCTAAGAACTGGGACTGGTTGGGAAGGCCCTATGGTGTAAGTCCTAGAGTCAAAAGGCTCACGAAGCAGGATCCCTGATGTCTGAGAGCAGTAGAAGATGGATGTTCCAGCTCAAGAACAAAGAGTGAATTTGCCCTTCCTTCACCTGCTGTTATAGCTGGGTCTTCAATGGGTTGGACGGTGCCTGCTCATGCTGGTGAGGGTGGTTCTTTTTCACCCAATCTACTAATTTGAATGCTAGTCTCTTCTGGAAACACCCTCACAGAGACACTTAGAAATGTTTTACCAGCTATCTGGGTATTTGTTAACCCAGTCAAACTGACACATAACATTAACCATCATAACAGTATTTCTCATTATTATTTGACCGCATCATGTCTCTGACATCCTCACTCCAAAAAAAGAGAACCTTCTGCAACATTCTTTTTGCAAGACACTCTAAGGGTAATTTAAAATGGAAACCAACACAAAAGAAATGCATGAAAACGTAGAGGGCACACTAATGACTGGATGTATTATACAAGTCTACCAACTAAGTAAACAAATACAAACTCAACTCCATGGAAGTTGATAGAGAACATGTTGTAGAGTGGCAAATTAAGTCATGATGAGATTGAGTAGAGCCAAGGGATACTAACTTCATTTCATGTGGCTTTAACAATAAACAGCAATGTTATCAGATTTCCAATGACACAGGGAGGTGTTTTTTTTGTTGTTGTTTGTAGGATTATGTTCTTCATATTCTTGGTGATAATGGTTGTTCATATTTTATGTCTGGCAGCTTATCTAATTATTCTTTTTCCTCTCCTTTGAATCCTTTTGGCTCCTGGCATTTTGCTCTTATAATTAAATTAGTTCAACACTCTGATGTTATGAAAACCAGGATCTATTTGGAGCTCTGGATTCAGTTTAACTGATTACTTAATGAAGATTCTCCAAGGACACAGTCACCATCTAATGAATGATGGGTCTCTGTATACATAAAAATAAAGCTACTACAGATTTGATTCTTTTCCTCATTTCAGTTTCTTTAATATAATATTTAGCAAGATGCCCAAGCCAAAGCATAACATAAAATTTCTCGGTATTTTTTAAGTCTGTAAACAGCAAAAGCCTTTTTATTTTTTCAAATTGTATTATCTCACTTGAGTCTATAAACATCCATGAAAGTAGTCAGTAAAGGCATTATTGGCCCCATCAGACATTAAGTCAGAGACAGTTCCACAGTAATGACTTCCTTAGCTCTCTTCTCCCCATGAGTACATGAGTACATTATTAACTTTGTCGATGGATGTTTCTTTCAAAAGTTATTTTAAAGTGTCACAGTCTCACAAAGCCCTAAAAGACCAATTAATGCCATCCTGAGCCACAGTCTTGTGCCATTTTTCAACTAAGGATATGGAATTTGCATAACATCTGCCAGTGGGATATTTTAAGTGAGTCACAAACAAAAGCAGTTAACTGACTTCCAAATTATACCTCCAGCCCAGAAGCTACCTCAAGCTTCACATTCATTTATCCAAATGTCTGCTAGGTATTTCCACTCAGATGTCCCAAAAGTACCCCAAACACATGTCAGATGTTGAACTCTACGGCTCCCTTCCTACCTTTACCTCTTTCAGTCTTGGTTTTAGCACCCCCCTTGAAGTCTTGGCTTTTCCCTCTTCCTTACTCCAATATCAAGTTTAATCACCAATTTATATTGCTTTCTCTTCTTCAAGTTTTCTCTAATATCTTCTTGCCTATCCCTTTACTTATTAGGTTTAGCCTCAACTGCTACCTACAGGCTAATCTCACTGCTTTCATTCTTGTCCCTTCAAACTTCCCACACTGATAACTCCCAGAGATGCTTATTTAAAACACAAATCTGATCATATCATTAACCTGTTTGAAAGTCTTCATTAACTCCTCATCCATCCCTAATAGGATAAATGCCAAGCTCCTGAGCATGGCTCACAGGACCTTCTGTGTGTGGTTCAACTTGACTCTCACCCCTGCTCCTTCTGCCTCCTGCTGAAGAGTCATGGTCCCAGAAACCCTGAAACATTTGTATTTTGGCATAAATGCCATACTGTTTCTTACCTCCATGTGATTCTTTTCTTACAATCTTCTTTCTATTAGTAATACAATTCCACTCTCATCCTTTCCTTTCATTTACCTCTTTTTGTTAGGATTTTGCCATTGTAGAAATCTATTCAGGTATCGCAAGCTGTAGGAAACGTCCCTGTCTTCCCCTCATTCAATTCACCCAGATCAGATTAGGCTTTTCTCCTGATCTGTGAAAATCACAATGTATGAGTTTGCCACACTACTGAACAATTATTTAATGTGTGCTAGTCCCCTGCATTGGGCTGTGAGTTACTTGAAGGTAGGGACTGAGTCTTAAATGTTTTTGTTTCTCAACCCCTGGCACAGGCCTTAGCAGAAAGTAGGGACTCCAAGAATATTTGCTAAATTGAATGAATATTCAAAGATATCAGTTACTTTCAGAAAATGTTTCTGTAAATTTATATGAAAGTTTACCTATTGGCAACATAATTTATGAAAGATAATGTCCAACTGAAAGACAGATGATATGTAGGCATATTTAGAAGGACTATAACAGTTTATATGGCATTGGAAAAACTCCAGATCTATGTGAAGAGTCTCTCTTTATAAAAATCTGGATCATATATTCCCACCTGTGTAAAGGATGTTTCTTTGCTCTGATGAGAGACAACTGGTTAAAAGGTGTGTGCCTATTTGGGAGGCTGAGGTGGGCAGATTATGAGGTCAGGAGATCGAGACCATCCTGGCCAACATGGTGAAGCCCCGTCTCTACTAAAAAAAAATAAATAAAAATTAAAGATTAAAAAATTAACCAGGCATGGTGGCACATGCCTGTAGTCCCAGCTACTTGGGAGGCTGAGGCAGGGGAATTGCTTGAACCTGGGAGGCGGAGGTTACAGTGAGCTGAGATCACGCCACTGAACTCCAGCCTGGTGACAGAGCGAGACTCCAACTCAAAAACAAAAAAAAAAAAAAAAAAAAAAAGGTGTGTACATCTGGAATGAGGTTGAGAATGCCTGTTTCTCTCTGCCTCAATCAATGTGGGCACCTGCAAATAAAGAAAATAAGTCTTACTCTTTTCTGCTCTCTTCTCCATTCTCTTCCCTAACCCATCCTATCCTCCAGGTGCACCTCTGAGAAAGGCGTTTCAAGTGGTTTGCATTTCTCTCACGTGTCAAAGCAATTAAATGTTCTTACTCTGACTATCTTGCTCATATGTAAGTGACAGTCTTTGGGCACTTTTCTGGCAAGAAGGTAGTTAGACTCCTTTTATGTAAATGTTACTCAGGCTCTAAAATGTCATACTGTCCTTTTCATTGCTAAGTTCTTTTTGTCTGTGTGGTTTATTTTCTCCTTTAAAGAGTATTTTTTACACCCTTGCTGTGTGTTGGCGCTACGGAGGACACAAGGAAATGCAGGGTTCAGGCTCTGTCCTTGAGGACCCAAGACTCTCTGGCTGGGTAGAAAATACACACAGCCTTGTTGACCAACTGTGCTGTATATATTCAAGGGTGAGAGGGCTATCTCTTGGCCGCTGCCGTCAGAATTGCAATCTTTTCCTTCACATTATTAAACAGTTGGACCTTACGTGCTGACCCATATACAAAAAAGAATGAGGAGAAAATTGCTGCTGCCATGTTACTGTTTCTAGATAATTATGGAAAGTTGTAATTATTGTGTTCTCTCCCTCCCATTTGTTAATAGCAAAGTAGGGCTATAATTCTTTTTTTTTTTTTTTTCTGAGATGGAACCTCGCTCTGTCCCAGGCTGGGGTGCAGTGGCGTGATCTCAGCTCACTGCAACCTCCACCTCCCGGGTTCAAGCTATTCTCCTGCCTCAGCCTCCCAAGTAGCTGGGATTATAGATTTGTGTCATCACGCCCAGCTAATTTTTGTATTTTTAGTAGAGATGGGGTTTCACTATGTTGGCCAGGCTGGTCTCAAACTCCTGACTTCGTGCTCCACCCGCCTCAGCCTCCCAAAGTGCTGGGATTACAGGTGTGAGCCACTGTGCCTGGCATATAATTCTTAAAGATATGTTTGCACAATCATACAGACCTGTCTTAGAAACTCAGCAAGTGTTTATTATTCTGCACCTTCTGATTTAGCACTGGAGATGTCTCCGTTAAATGCTACATCTTTATAATTATTTGTCTTTAGTCGTTGCACAACTTACGTATTACTGAGATGCTCTTTTTAAATTACTGGTGTTCATTATGAGAACTAGACTGTTGGAGTAGCCTCTGTGCCTCCTATTTCTCCTCTCTCCAATCTGCTCCTCACCTTATTCTGCTGACATCCTCTGGCTGCCCATTGCTTTCTGTCCGTACCCTATCAGTGGCTCCCCATAGTCTACATGACACGCCCTCAGCATGGCTGCTGTGGTGTACCTCCTTTCAGGCTCCCCCTCCCTGTTGACCTCATCTCCCTCTTCCTGTTCTCAATGCATGCTCAACCTCAACTGTCCCCCAAGTCTGCTGAGCCCTTCACTGGCTCTTTTGCTTTTCTCTTGCTTTCCTTTCCCTAAGATGATCTCACACCTACCCACAGGGAAGCACAATAGAAAAACAAATTTGGCATCGCATAGATGCAGAGTGAATTTTTCTGCTCCCTTAAAACTCATGTAAAGTTGGAAGAGTAATTGAGCAATCTGCATTTCAATATTCTCTTAAAAATGAAGATTATATGGCTTGCTTGTAGCATTGTGAAGATTAAAGGTATATATAAACATATTCCTTTATAATATATATTATTACTATATATATATAGTTGCCACATAGTAAGGTGCTTATCAATCAATAGCCTTTTTTACTAAGTTCCTTAATATCTTTCTTAAATATCTCCAACTGACTGTGGTTCATTGAACTTTCATTCACTCATTTATTCAGGAAATGGATATCAATTAAGTACCTACTATGTATAAGTACTGAGCTAACAAGAGGTATTCATCTCACCTTGTTATAACACTCTGTTGATTCTTCTTATGGTACTTATAAAATCTTGTGCTATAATGAGGATGAGGTACATCTGTCTTTATTTATTTATTTAATTTTTTCGAGACAGTATTGCTCTGTTGCCCAGGCTAGAGTGCAGTGGTGTGATCTCAGTTCACTGGAACCTCCACCTCCTGAGCTCAAACCATCCTCTTACCTCAGACTCCCAAGTAGCTGGGACTACAGGTGCACAGCACCACACCCAGCTAATTTTTGTATTTTTTTTTTAATAGAGATGGGGTTTTGCCATGTTGCGCAGGTTAGTCTTGAATTCCTGAGCTCAAATGATCCACCCACCTTGGCCTTCCAAAGTGCTGAGATTAGATACTTGAGGAAAATGGCAGATAGGAGGCAGGACTAAATTGAAGCTCCCACTTGGATATACAGAGCAGCATGTGGATACTCACATAGTGAACTTTTGCTCTAAGAACTATGCAGAAACATACCAGGGAAGCCCAGAGAATACATACACCCTTTAAAGGAAGTGGATTGCTCCTGAAGGCCCTGGAAGACAGCCAAAAAAAACTGTGAGTGCCCCAAGTATGAAAGTGTGAAAGGGGGATTGTCTGTCCCCAAACACACACCCTCCCTGAGTAACATGAAGGTCCAGAGCATGGGAGAAGGATTTAACCTTACCTAGAGCCTAGACAAATTTAGAGAGCCAAGTGAAATACAGAGGTAGGAGAAGCAGTGGGAAGAGCCCTGTGGGCTCTCTCAGTCCCCAGGGAAGCCACTTCTGACTGTCTCACACAGGTGCTTGGGGAAGGCTACCAGAGGAACTGGGAAAAGACCATAGGGAGAATGAAACTCCTAGCTGAACTTTGTAACAATTTCAACCAAATGCAAAGTTTCCTGGAGAGAGCTTGGGGAAGGGGTGAATTGGGAGGGTAGACACAACACAGAAGCCACAGCAGGTGGGGAGGCACAAAACCTGAAAGCCCTGCTTGGTTTCTCAGCTGGGAGGCTGGTAGCCTGGGGCAAGTTCTCAGCCCTGCTCATCTGCTGCCTAGAAATAAACTTGATTCTTTTGGGAGGCCACAGTTGGAATGAGACTGGCCTTCTGGGCTGCCTGAGAGCTGGGTAAGGCCTGTAACTGCCTGTTTTCCCCCACTTCCTTGGCAACATGCTTGACACAGCAGAGGCAGCCATAATTCTCTGGGGAACATAAGTCCATTGACCTGGGAACCACACCTTGATCCCCCACAGCAGCCACAGCAAGCCCCACCCAAGAAGAGTCTGAGCTCAGACACACCTAGCCCTGCCCCTACCTGATGGTCTTTCTCTACCTGCCGTGGTAGCCAAAGACAAAGAACATAACATTTTGGGAGCTCTAGGGCTCCACCCCTACCAGATCCTTTCTGTACTATTGCAGCTGATGCTTTCCTGAAAGCGCCACTCCCCAGCAGGAGGCCAACCAACACAAAACTAGTGCAATAAACAAAACTACAACTAAGGAAACTCACAGAGTCCATTTCACTCCCTGCCACCTCCACTGGAGCAGGTGCTGTTATCCATGGTTGACAGACCTGAAGACGGATCATATCATAGGACTCTGTGCAGATACCCCCCAGTACCAGCTCAGAGCTTGGTAGCTCCCCTGGGTGGCTAGATCCAGAAAAGAAATAACAATCACTGCAGTTTGGATCTCAGGAAACCCCATCTCTAGGGGAAAGAGAAGAGCACTGCATCAAGGGAGTGCCCATGGGGCAAAAACAAATAAACAAACAAACAAACAAAAAAACTGAACAGCAACCTTGAGCCCCAGGTCTTTCCTCTGACATTGTCTACCCAAATGAGAGGAAACCAGAAAAATAATTGTGGTAATATGACAAAACAAGGTTCTTTAACACCCACAAAAGATTACACTAGCTCCCAAACACTATCCAAACCAAGAGGAAATCCCTGAATTTCAAGTAAAAGAATTCAGAAGGTTAATTATTAAGCTAATCAAGGAGGCACCACAGAAAGAAGAGAAAAATCTTTGGTGAAATAGATAACATAAATAAAAATAATCACAACTTCTGGAAATAAAAGACATATTTAGAGAAATGCAAAATACATTAGAAAGTCTTAGCAATAGAATCAAACAAGCAGAAGAAAAAACTTCAGAGCTCAAAGACAAGGTTTTTGAATTAACCTAATCCAACAAAGACAAAGAAAAAAGAATTTCAAAAAATGAACAAAGCCTCCAAGAAGTCTGGGACTATGTTAAATGATCAAACCTAAGAATAATTAGCATTCCTGAGGAAGAAGAGAAATCTAAAAGTTTAGAAAACTTATTTGAGGGAATAATCGAGGAAAACTCTCCAACCCTTGCTACAGATCCAGACATCTAAATACAAAAAGCTCAAAGAACACCTGGGAAATTTGTCATGAAAAGATTCTCACCTAAGCACATAGTCATTAGGTTATCTAAGGTCAAGAGGAAGGAAAGAATCTTAAGAGAATCAGGTAACCAATAAAGGAAAACCTATCAAATTAGCAGCAGATCTCTCAGCAAAAATGCTACAAACTAGAAGGAAGTGGGTTCCTATCTTTAACATCCTTAAACAAAACAATTATCAGCCAAGAATTTTGTATCCAGCAAAACTAAGCTTCATAAATGAAGGAAGGATGCAGCCTTTTTCTTTTTTTTTTTTTTTCGAGATGGAGTCTCACTCTCTCACCAGGCTGGAGTGCAGTGGCATGATCTCAGCTCACTGCAACCTCCACCTACTGGGTTCAAGCAATTCTCCTGCCTCAGCCTCCTGAGTAGCTGGGACTACAGGCACATGCCACCACATCCAGCTAATTTTTGTATTTTTAGTGGAGACAGGGTTTCACCATGTTGGTCAGGCTGGTCTAAAGCCCCTGACCTAGTGATCCACCCACCTTGGCCTCCCAAATTGCTGGAACTACAGGTGTGAGCCACTGTGCCCAGCAGATGCAGTCTTTTTCAGATGAACAAATGCTGAGAGAATTTGCCACTACCAAGCCAGCACTACAAGAACTGATAAAAGGAGCTCTAAATCTTGAAACAAATCCTAGAAATAAACCAAAATAGAACCTCCTTAAAGCATAAATTATACAGTACATACAAAACAAAAATACAATGAAAAAACCAAAGTATTCAGGCAACAAATAGCAAGATGAATAGAATAGTACCTCACATCTGAATACTAACGTTGAATATAAATGGCCTAAATGCTCCAGTTAAAACATACAGAATGGCAGAATGGATAAGAATTCACCAATGAAGTATCTGCTGTTTTCAAAAGACTCACCTAACACATAAGGACTCACATAAACCTAAGCTAAAGGGGTGGAGAAAGATATTCCTTGCTAATAGACACAAAAAGCAAGCAGAAGTATCTGTTCTTATATCAGACAAAATAAACTTTAAAACAACAGTAGTTAAAAAAGACAAAGAGGGACATTATATAATTATAAAAGAACTTGTCAAACAGGAGAATGTCACAATCCTAAAAAAATATGCACCTAACACTGGAGCTCCTAAATGTATAAAATAATCACTACTAGATGTTAGATATGAGTTCTAGATTTCTCTTCAAAGAATCAATATGTCAGCATGTTCAATGCTTTACCTTCTACTTTTAAACTTAACTTCCTTGTAAAGAAACCTTTTCTGATTACCTGCTCCACCCTGACTCATTCCGATTATCGGCTCCACTCTGACTCATTCCTATTACCTGCTCATTCTCCACCCTGACTCATTCTGATTTCCTGCTCTGCCATAACCACTTTTCCTGCCAAACCACTCACCCTGTCATTCTCTTTAAATTAGCCAAGCGGAATTAGTTTAGCCTGTGCTGTCTAACCCTAGCCAATAGGGGAATGACACAGCAGCAGAGGCCATGTGCATCAGGGATAAGAACACTTTCCCCTCCTTTTTCCAGGTGTGCACTCACCATTGCTCCATCTGTAAGCAAGCACCCTTCTATAGAATTACATTGCCTTGCTGAGGATTGAAAAGAAAATGTTATATTCGAGTGCTACTTCTTTTGTGGCACCAAAACTTTGTTTATAACATAGACCTAAGAAATAAGATGGACAAGAACACAATACTAGTGGGGGGTGGAATTCAATACTCCACTGACAGCACTAGACAGGTCATCAAGACAGAAAGTCAACAAAGACACAATTGATTTAAACTATACTCTAGAACAAATGGATTTAATGGATATTTACAGAATATTCTGCCTAATACCTGCAGAAGATACATTCTATTCATCAGCACATGGAACAGTCTCCAAGATAGACCATATGACAGGCCACAAAACATCTCAAATTTAAGAAAATGAAAATTATTTCAAGTACTCTCTCAGACTACGGTGGAATAAAATTGGAAATCAACTCCAAAAGGAACCATGAAAATACGTGAAAATTAAATAACCTGCTCCTGAATGATTGCTGGGTGAACAATGAAATTAAGATGGAAATTAAATAATTCTTTGAACTGAATGATAATAGTGACACAACCTATGAAAACCTCTGGGATACAGCAAAGACTGTGTTAAGAGGAAAGTGTTCATAGCCTTAAATGTGTATATCAAAAAGTCTGAAAATACATGGAAATTAAATAACCTGCTACTGAATGATTGTTGGGTGAACAATGAAATTAAGATGGCAATTAAATAACTCTTTGAATTGAATGATAATAGTGACACAACCTATCAAAACCCCTGGAATACAGCAAAGACTGTGCTAAGAGGAAAGTTAATAGCCTTAAATGCCTACATCAAAAAGTATGAAAGAGCAAAATTGGCAATCTAAGGTCAAATCTCAAGGAACTGCAAAACATGAATGAATCAAACCCACGTCCAATAGAAGAAAAGAAATAAGAAAGATCAGAGCACAACTAAATGAAATTGAAAGCAATAATAAATAAATATATAAATAAATAAGACAAGACATGAATGAAACATAAAGTTGGTTCTTTGAAAAGATAAATAAAATTGATAGACCATTAGTGAGGTTAACCAAGATAAGAAGAGAAAAGATCCAAATAAGCTCAATTAAAAACAAAAAGGGAGATATTACAACTGATATCACAGAAATACAAAAGATCATTCAAGGATACTATGAACACCTTCACATGCATAAACTAGAAAATCTAGAGGAAATGGATAAATTCCTGAAAATATGCAACTCCCCTGGATTAAACCAGGAAGAAATAGAAGCTCTGAACAGACTAATAACAAACAGCAAGATTGAAGTTGTAATTTTAAAATTGCCAAAAAAAAAAAAGTCCAGAACCAGATGGAGCCACAGTTTAATTTTATCAGACATTCAAAGAAAAATTTGTACCAATCCTATTGACACTATTCCAAAAGATAGAGAAAAAGGGACTCCTCCCTAAATCATTCTATTAAGCCAACATCACCATAATACCAAAACCAAGAAAAGACATAACAACAAAAAACTATAGACCAATATCCCTGATAAACATAGACTCAAAAATCCTCAACAAAATACTAGCAAATTGAATCCAGCAGCATATCAAAAAGATAATCCACCATGATCAAGTGGGTTTCATACCAGGGATGCAGGGACAGTTTAAAGTACTCAAGTTAATAAGTGTGATACACCACATAAACAGAATTTTTAAAAAATCACATGATTATCTCAATAGATGCAGAAGAGCATTTAACAAAATCCAACATCCACTTATGATTAAAACCCTCGGCAAAATCAGCACTGAAGGGACATACCTTAAGGTAATATAACTCATTTATGACAAACCCACAGCAAACATAATACTTAATGGAGAAAAGTTGAAAGCATTCCCCCTGAGAACTGGAACAAGACAAGGATGCCCACTTTTCCACTTTTATTGAACACAGTACTAGAAATCCTAGCCAGAGCAATCAGACAAGAGAAATAAATAAAGGGCATCTAAATCAGTAAAGAAGAAGTCAAACTGTTGCTCTTTGCTGATGATTTGATTGTATACCTAGAAAACCCTAAAGATTCATCCAAAAAGCTCCTAAAACTGATAAATGAATTCAACAAAATTTCAGGATACAAAATTAATGTACACAAATCAGTATCTCTTCTATAAAACCACAGTGACCAAGATGAGAACCAAATCAAGAAGTAAACCACTTTTACAATAGCTGCAAATAAAATAAAATAAACATAAAATAAATTACATATTTAGGAATATACCTAACCAAGGATGTGAAAAACCTCTACAAGGAAAACTATAAAATACTGCTGAAAGAAATCATAGATGACACAAACAAATAGAAACACATCTCATGCTCATGGATGGGTAGAATCAATATTGTGAAAATGACCATACTGTCAAAAGCACTTTACAGATTCAATGCAATTCCCACCAAAATACCACTATCATTCTTCACAGGACCAGATAAAAATTCCTAAAAATTCATATGGAACCAAAAAAGAGCCTGCGTAGCCAAAGCAAGACTAAGCAAAAATAACAAATCTGGAGGCATCACATTACCTGACTTCAAACTATGCTATAAGGCTACAGTCACCCAACAGCATGGTACTGGCATAAAAGTAGGCACATAGACCAATGAAACAGAATACAGAACCCAGAAATAAACCCAAATACTTACAGCCAAGTGACATTCAACAAAAACATAAAGTGGGGAAAGGACACCCTATTCAACAAATGGTGCTGGGGTAATTGGCAAGCCACATGTAGAAGACTATAACTGGATCCTCATCTCTCACTTTATACAAAAATCAACTCAAGATGGATCAAGGACTTAAATCTAAGACCTGAAAAATTATAGAAGATAACATTGGAAAAATCCTTCTAGACATGGGCTTAGGCAAAGACTTTGTGACCAAGAACCCAGAAGCAAATGCAACAAAAACAAAGATAAATAGATGGGACTTAACTAACCTAAAAAGCTTCTGCACAGCAAAAGAAATAATCAGGAGAGTAAACAGACAACTGATAGAGTGGGAGAAAATCTTCACAATCTATATATGTGACAAATGACTAATATCTAGAATCTACAAGGAACTCAAACTAATCAGCCAGCACAAAAACAAATAATCCCATCAAAAAGTATGCTCAGGAAATGAATAGACAATTCACAAAAGAAGATATACAAATGGTCAAAAAACAGGAAAAAAATGCTTAACATCACTAATGATCACAAAAATGCAAATCGACACCACAATGCGAAGCCACCTTACTCTAGCAAGAATGGCCATAATCAAAAAAATTACAAAAAATAGATGTTGGTGTGGATGTAGTGAAAGGGAACACTTTTGCACTGCTGGTGGGAATGTAAACTAATACAACCACTGTGGAAAACAGCGTGGAGATTCCTTAAAGAACTGAAAGTAGATCTACTGTTTGAACTGGCAATCCCACTACTGGGTATCTACCCAGAGGAAAAGAATTCATTATATGAAAAAGACACTTGCACACTCATTTTTATAACACCGCAATGAGCAATTGCAAAAATATGGAACTAACCCTAATGCTCATTAATCAGAGTGGATAAAGAAATTGTGGTATACCAATAACAAACAAACAGAGAGCCAAATCCTGAGTGAATTCTCATTCACAATTGCTTCAAAGATAATAAAATACCTAGGAATCCAACTTACAAGGGATGTGTAGGACCTCTTCAAGGAGAACTACAAACCACTGCTCAATGAAACAAAAGAGGATACAAACAAATGGAAGAACATTCCATGCTCATGGATAGGAAGAATCAATATCACGAAAATCGCCATACTGCCCAAGGTAATTTATAGATTCAATGCCATTCCTCTCCATCAAGCTACAAATGACTTTCTTCACAAAACTGGAAAAAACTACTTTAAAGTTAATGTGGAACCAAAAAAGAGCTCACATTGCCAAGTCAATCCTAAGCCAAAAGAACAAAGCTAGAGGCATCACACTACCTGACTTCAAACTATACTACACGGCTACAGCAACCAAAACAGCATGGTACTGGTACCAAAACAGAGATATACACCAATGGAACAGAACAGAGTCCTCAGAAATAATACCACACATCTACAACCATCTGATCTTTGACAAACCTGACAAAAACAAGAAATGGGGAAATGATTCCCTATTTAATAAATGGTGCTGGGAAAACTGGCTAGCCATATGTAGAAAGCTGAAACTGGATCCCTTCCTTACACCTTATACAAAAATCAATTCAAGATGGATTAAAGACTTAAACGTTAGACCTAAAACCATAAAAACCCTAGAAGAAAACCTAGGCATTACCATTCAGGACATAGGCATGGGCAAGGACTTCATGTCTAAAACTCCAAAAGCAATGGCAACAAAAGACAAAATTGACAAATGGGATCTAATTAAACTAAAGAGCTTCTGCACAGCAAAAGAAACCACCATCAGAGTGAACAGGCAACCTACAAAATGGGAGAAAATTTTCGCAACCTACTCATCTGACAAAGGGCTAATATCCAGAATCTACAATGAACTCCAACAAATTTACAAGAAAAAATCAAACAACCCCATTAAAAAGTGGGCAAAGGATATGAACAGACACTTCTCAAAAGAAGACATGTATGCAGCCAATAGACACATGAAAAAATGCTCATCATCACTGGCCATCAGAGAAATGCAAATCAAAACCACAATGAGATACCATCTCACACCAGTTAGAATGGCAATCATTAAAAAGTCAGGAAACAACAGGTGCTGGAGAGGATGTGGAGAAATAGGAACACTTTTACACTGTTGGTGGGAATGTAAACTAGTTCAACCATTGTGGAAGACAGTGTGGCAATTCCTCAAGGATCTAGAACTAGAAATACCATTTGACCCAGCCATCCCATTTCTGGGTATATACCCAAAGGATTATAAATCATGCTGTTATAAAGACACACGCACACATATGTTTATTCTGGCACTATTCACAATAGCAAAGATTTGGAACCAACTCAAATGTCCATCAATGATAGAATGGATTAAGAAAATGTGGCACATATACACCATGGAATACTATGCAGCCATAGAAAATGATGAGTTCATGTCCTCTGTAGGGACATGGATGAAGCTGGAAACCATCATTTTGAGCAAACTATCACAAGGACAGAAAACCAAACACCACATGTTCTCTCTCATAGGTGGGAATTGAACAATGAGAACACTTGGACACAGGGTGGGGAACATCACACACCGGGGCCTGTAGTAGGGAAGGGGAAGGGGGCAGGGATAGCATTAGGAGATATACCAAATGTAAATGACGAGTTAATGGGTGCAGCACACCAACATGGCACATGTATACATATGTAACAAACCTGCACGTTGTGCACATGTATCATAGAACTTAAAGTATAATGAAAAAAATTGTAGTATATATACCATGGAATACTACTCAGTCACAAAAAGGAATGAAATAATGGCATTTGCAGCAACCTGGATGGCATTAGAGACCATTATTCTAAGTGAAGTAACTCAGGAATGGAAAAGCAAACATTGTATGTCTCACTCATACGCGAGAGCTAAGCTATGAGGATACAAGTTCTTAAGAATGATACAATGGACTTTGGGGACTTGGGAGAAAGGGTGGGATCGGGGTGAGGAATAAAAGACTACAAATAGGGTACATTGTATACGGTTTGGGTGATGGTTGCACCAAAATCTCAGAAATCACTACTAAAGAACATATTCATGTAACCAAACACCATCTCTTCTTCAAAAACCTATTGAGATAATAATAATTAAACAAACAAACAAACAAACAAAAAAACCAAAAAAACCTCAAAGTGCTGGGAATACTGGGAAGAGCCACTGTGCCTGGCCTCATCTGTCCTTTTGAAATATCCATTTCTGCTCCCTAATTGAACACTTAAGTTCTGTGAGAATAGAGGCTATATTTACACATCTTTGAATTCTGAGGAGTACATAGTTATGACATAACATCCACAACTACTCCCTGAAACTGGGAGATTTTGTTTACTTAACTTTTTAATGATACAGACTACAAAAATTAAAATGCAAATGAAATCAAGTTATTCCAATTTCAAAGAAGCATAACATTACAAAGTCTTTTTTTCTTTTTTCTTTTCTTTTATTATTATTATACTTTAAGTTTTAGGGTACATGTGCACAATGTGCAGATTAGTTACATATGTATACATGGGCCATGCTGGTGTGCTGCACCCATTAACTCGTCATTTAGCATTAGGTATATCTCCTAATGCTATCCCTCCCCCCTCACCCCACAACAGTGCCCAGAGTGTGATGTTCCCCTTCCTGTGTCCCTGTGTTCTCATTGTTCAATTCCCACCTATGAGTGAGAATATGCAGTGTTTGGTTTTTTGTCCTTGTGATAGTTTACTGAGAATGATGATTTCCAATTTCATCCATGTCCCTACAAAGGACATGAACTCATCATTTTTTATGGTTGCATAGTATTCCATGGTGTATATGTGCCACATTTTCTTAATCCAGTCTATCATTGTTGGACATTTGGGTTGGTTCCAAGTCTTTGCTATTGTGAATAGTGCTGCAATAAACATACGTGTGCATGTGTCTTTACATCAGCATGATTTATAGTCCTTTGGGTATATACCCAGTAATGGGATGGCTGGGTCAAATGGTATTTCTAGTTCTAGATCCCTGAGGAATCGCCACACTGACTTCCACAAAGTTTGAACTAGTTTACAGTCCCACCAACAGTGTAAAAGTGTTCCTATTTCTCCACATCCTCTCCAGCACCTGTTGTTTCCTGACTTTTTAATGATTGCCATTCTAACTGGTGTGAGATGGTATCTCATTGTGGTTTTGATTTGTATTTCTCTGATGGCCAGTGATGGTGAGCATTTTTTCATGTGTCTTTTGGCTGCATAAATGTCTTCTTTTGAGAAGTGTCTGTTCATGTCCTTTGCCCACTTTTTGATGGGGTTGTTTGTTTTTTTCTTGTAAATTTGTTGGAGTTCATTGTAGATTCTGGATATTAGCCCTTTGTCAGATGAGTAGGTTGCGAAAATTTTCTCCCATTTTGTAGGTTGCCTGTTCACTCTGATGGTAGTTTCTTTTGCTGTGCAGAAGCTCTTTAGTTTAATGAGATCCCATTTGTCAATATTGGCTTTTGTTGCCATTGCTTTTTGTGTTTTAAACATGAAGTCTTTGCCCATGCCTATGTCCTGAGTGGTAATGCCTAGGTTTTCTTCTAGGGTTTTTATGGTTTTTGGTCTAATGTTTAAGTCTTTAATCCATCTTGAATTAATTTTTGTATAAGGTGAAAGGAAGGGATCCAGTTTCAGCTTTCTACATATGGCTAGCCAGTTTTCCCAGCACCATTTATTAAATAGGGAATCCTTTCCCCATTGCTTGTTTTTCTCAGGTTTGTCAAAGATCAGATAGTTGTAGATATGTGGCGTTATTTCTGAGGGCTCTGTTCTGTTCCATTGGTGTATATCTCTCTTTTGGTACCAGTACCATGCTGTTTTGGTTACTGTAGCCTTGTAGTATAGTTTGAAGTCAGGTAGCGTGATGCCTCCAGCTTTGTTCTTTGGCTTAGGATTGACTTGGCGATGTGGGCTCTTTTTTGGTTCCACATGAACTTGAAAGTAGTTTTTTCCAATTCTGTGAAGAAAGTCATTGGTAGCTTGATAGGGATGGCATTGAATTTATAAATTTCCTTGGGCAGAATGGCCATTTACACGATATTGATTCTTCCTACTCATGAGCATGGAATGTTCTTCCATTTGTTTGTATCCTCTTTTATTTCATTGAGCAGTGGTTTGTAGTTCTCCTTGAAGAGGTCCTTTCCGTTCCTTGTAAGTTGGATTCCTAGGTATTTTATTATCTTCTAAACAATTGTGAATGGGAGTTCACTCATGATTTGGCTCTCTGTTTGTCTGTTATTGGTGTATAAGAATGCTTGTGATTTTTGTACATTGATTTTGTATCCTGAGACTTTGCTGAAGTTGCTTATCAGCTTAAGGAGATTTTGGGCTGAGATGATGGGGTTTTCTAGATATACAATCATGTCATCTGCAAACAGGGACAATTTGACTTCCTCTTTTCCTAATTGAATACCCTTTATTTCCTTTTCCTGCCTAATTGCCCTGGCCAGAACTTCCAACACTGTGTTGAATAGGAGTGATGAGAGAGGGCATCCCTGTCTTGTGCCAGTTTTCAAAGGGAATGCTTCCAGTTTTTGCCCATTCAGTATGATATTGGCTGTGGGTTTGTCATACGTAGCTCTTATTATTTTGAGATACGTCCCATCAATACCTAATTTATTGAGAGTTTTTAGTATGAAGTGTTGTTGAATTTTGTCAAAGGCCTTTCCTGCATCTATTGAGATAATCATGTGGTTTTTGTCTTTGGTTCTGTTTATATGCTGGATTACATTTATTGATTTGTGTATATTGAACCAGCCTTGCATCCCAGGGATGAAGCCCACTTGATCATGGTGGATAAGCTTTTTGATGTGCTGCTGGATTTGGTTTGCCAGTATTTTATTGAGGATTTTTGCATCAATGTTTATCAAGGATATTGGTCTAAAATTCTCTTTTTTGATTGTGTCTCTGCCTGGCTTTGGTATGAGGGTGATGCTGGCCTCATAAAATGAATTAGGGAGGATTCCCTCTTTTTGTATTGATTGGAATAGTTTCAGAAGGAATGGTACCAGTTCCTCCTTGTACCTCTGGTAAAATTCGGCTGTGAATCCATCTGGTCCTGGACTCTTTATGGTTGGTAAGCTATTGATGATTGCCACAATTTCAGATCCTGTTATTGGTCTATTCAGAGATTCAACTTGTTCCTGGTTTAGTCTTGGGAGGGTGTATGTGTCGAGGAATTTATCCATTTCTTCTAGATTTTCTAGTTTATTTGCATAGAGGTGTTTGTAGTATTCTCTGATGGTAGTTTGTATTTCTGTGGGATCGGTGGTGATATCCCCTTTATCATTTTTTATTGTGTCTATTTGTTTCTTCTCTCCTTTCTTCTCTGTTTGTCTTGCTAGCGGTCTATCAATTTTGTTGATCCTTTCAAAAAACCAGCTCCTAGATTCATTAATTTTTTGAAGGGTTTTTTGTGTTTCTATTTCCTTCAGTTCTGCTCTGATTTTAGTTATTTCTTGCCTTCTGCTAGCTTTTGAATGTGTTTGCTCTTGCTTTTCTAGTTCTTTTAATTGTGACGTTAGGGTGTCAATTTTGGATCTTTCCTGCTTTATCTTGTGGGTATTTAATGCTATAAATTTCCCCCTACAGACTGCTTTGAATGTGTCCCAGAGATTCTGGTATGTTGTGTCTTTGTTCTTGTTGGTTTCAAAGAACATCTTTATTTCTGCCTTCATTTCGTTATGTGCCCAGTAGTCATTCAGGAGCAGGTTGTTCCGTTTCCATGTAGTTGAGCGGTTTTGAGTGAGTTTCATAATCCTGAGTTCTAGTTTGATTGCACTGTGGTCTGAGAGACAGTTTGTTGTAATTTCTGTTCTTTTACATTTGCTGAGGAGAGCTTTACTTCCAAGTACGTGGTCAATTTTGGAATAAGTGTGGTATGGTGCTGAAAAGAATGTATATTCTGTTGATTTGGGGTGGAGAGGTCTGTAGATGTCTATTTGGTCCATTTGGTGCAGACCTGAGTTCAATTCTTGGGTATCCTTGTTAACTTTCTGCCTTGTTGATCTGTCTAATGTTGACAGTGGGGTGTTAAAGTCTCCCATTATTATTGTGTGGGAGTCTACAACTCTTTGTAGGTCACTCAGGACTTGCTTTTTGAATCTGGGTGCTCCTGTATTGGGTGCATAGATATTTAGGATAGTTAGCTCTTCTTGTTGAATTGATCCCTTTACCATTATGTAATGGCCTTCTTTGTCTCTTTTGATCTTTGTTTGCTTAAAGTCTGTTTTATCAGAGACTAGGATTGCAACCCCTGCCTTTTTTTGTTTTCCATTTGCTTGGCAGATCTTCCTCCATCCTTTTGAGCCTATGTGTGTCTCTGCACGTGAGATGGGTTTCCTGAATACAGCACACTGATGGGTCTTGACTCTTTATCCAATTTGCCAATCTATGTCTTTTAATTGGAACATTTAGTCCTTTTACATTTAAAGTTAATATTTTTATGTGTGAATTTGATCCTGTCGTTATGATGTTAGCTGGTTATTTTGCTCATTAGTTGATGCAGTTTCTTCCTAGCCTTGATGGTCTTTACTTTTTGGCATGATTTTGCAGTGGCTGGTACTGGTTGTTCCTGTCCATGTTTAGTCCTTCCTTCAGGAACTCTCTTAGGGCAGGCCTGGTGGTGACAAAATCTCTCAGCATTTTCTTGTCTGTAAAGTATTTTATTTCTCCTTCACTTATGAAGCTTAGTTTGGCTGGATATGAAATTCTGGGTTGAAAATTCTTTTCTTTAAGAATGTTGAATATTGGCCCCCACTCTCTTCTGGCTTGTAGAGTTTCTGCCGAGAGATCTGCTGTTAGTCTGATGGGCTTCCCTTTGTGGTTAAGCTGACCTTTCTCTATGGCTGCCCTTAACATTTTTTCCTTCATTTCAACTTTGGTGAATCTGACAATTACGTGTCTTGGAGTTGCTCTTCTTGAAGAGTATCTTTGTGGCGTTCTCTGTATTTCCTGAATCTGAATGTTGGCCTGGCTTGCTAGATTGGGGCAGTTCTCCTGGATAATATCTTGCAGAGTGTTTTCCAACTTGGTTCCATTCTCCCTGTCACTTTCAGTTACACCAATCAGACGTAGATTTGGTCTTTTCACATAGTCCCATATTTCTTGGAGGCTTTGTTCATTTCTTTTTATTCTTTTTTCTCTAAACTTCCATTCTCGCTTCATTTCATTCATTTCATCTTCCATCACTGATACCTTTTCTTCCAGTTGATGACATCAGCTCCTGAGGCTTCTGCATTCTTCATGTCGTTCTCAAGCCTTGTCTTTGAGCTCCATCATCTCCTTTAAGCACTTTTCTGTACTGGTTATTCTAGTTACACATTCATCTAAATTTTTTTCAAAGTTTTTAACTTCTTTGCCTTTGCTTTGAATTTCCTCCTGTAGCTCAGAGTAGTTTGATCATCTGAAGCCTTCTTCTCTCAACTCGTCAAAGTCATTCTCCATCCAGCTTTATTCCATTGCTGGTGAGGAACTGTGTTCCTTTGGAGGAGATGCGCTCTGCTTTTTAGAGTTTCCAGTTTTTCTGCTCTGTTTTTTCCCCATCTTTGTGGTTTTATCTACTTTTGGTCTTTGATGATGGTGATGTATAGATGGGTTTTTGGTGTGGTTGTCCTTTCTGTTTGTTAGTTTTCCTTCTAACAGACAGGACCCTCAGCTGCAGGTCTGTTGGAGTTTGCTGGAGGTCCACTCTAGACCCTGTTTGCCTGGGTATCCACAGTGATGGCTGCAGAACAGCGGATTTTTGTGAACTGCGAATGCTGCTGTCTGATCGTTCCTCTGGAAGTTTTGTCTCAGAGGAGTACCCGGCCATGTGAGGTGTCAGTCTGCCCCTACTGGGGGGTGCCTCCCAGTTAGGCTGCTTGGGGGTCAGGGGTCAGGGACCCACTTGAGGCGGCAGTCTCCCCATTCTCAGATCTCCAGCTGCATGCTGGGAGAACCACTGTTCTCTTCTAAGCTGTCAGACAGGGACATTTAAGTCTGCAGAGGTTACTGCTGTCTTTTTGTTTGTCTGTGCCCTGCCCCCAGAGGTGGAGCCTACAGAGGCAGGCAGGCCTCCTTGAGCTGTGGTGGGCTCCACCCAGTTCAAGCTTCTGGGCTGCTTTGTTTACCTAAGCAAGCCTGGGCAATGGCGGGTGCCCCTCCCCCAGCCTCACTGCCACCTTGCAGTTTGATCTCAGACTGCTGTGCTAGCAATCAGTGAGACTCCATGGGTGTAGGACCCTCTGAGCCAGGTGAGGGATATAATCTCCTGGTGCACCATTTTTTAAGCCCATTGGAAAAGCACAGTATTAGGTTGGGAGTTACCCGATTTTCCAGGTGCTGTCTGTCACCCCTTTCTTTGACTAGAAAAGGGAACTCCCTGATCCCTTGCACTTCCTGAGTGAGGCAATGCCTTGCCCTACTTTGGCTCATGGACGGTGCACTGCACCCACTGTCCTGCGCCCACTGTCTGGCACTTCCCAGTGAGGTAAACCCAGTACCTTAGATGGAAATGCAGAAATCTCCTGTCTTCTGCGTCGCTCACGCTGGGAGCTGTAGACTGGAGCTGTTCGTATTCGGCCATCTTGGCTGCCTACCACAAAACCTTAATTAAGAATGGTTTTCAGGACTGCTTGCCTGATTTAAAATCTTAGCTCCAACAATTGCTTGTCGCATAACCTTGTGCAACTGACTATCTGTGTGACTCAGTTTCTCAGCTGTCAAATGGAGGGAGGTGTGAGATAACAATGCCCACATCATTGGATTGATGTGAGGATTAATAGAGTTAATACATGTAAATTCAATTAGAAAAATATCAGGCACATAATAAAAATGCTGTAAGTGTTAGACATAATTATTATAATCACTTTTAATGTTTGGTTTGCTTCTTCTATGTTGCTCATTAAAATACAAAAGACTTCATGTGGAGGCTGGGTTGTGGACAGTTAAAATGGTTTGATAGTCTAATTCCTTTTTCAGTTTCTCTTCCTCTGCTCTTTTCTTTTGCGTGAATCTGGATCTCTCCATAGACATTCACCTTTCTTCTTGGATAACTCACACCTTTAGTACTTGTTCTGATGAAAGGACAATTGGTTAGGCTTCTTTAGGATTGTGCCACTTAGAATTAGGAAATTCTATTCCCTCTCTGAAAGTTAGTTCTTAACTTTTTTATTATGTTCCAGATTCCATAGGGTTTGGCAGGTTTGCTTGGTACTTTGTGGCTATGTTTGTCTACTTTATATAAAAGTGTGCACAAAAAGGAACTATTTGAGTTTCTGTTCTCATCCAGACCCTAAGACAAATGTTAGAACACTACTACATGATGTACATAATCACTAGGAGGACTCACAAACAAGGTGGTTGTCAAAAGCCAATACTTTTCAACTTTTAGCTAACCACCCACATCAGCCTTTAAAAAACTTAGAAAGAGCAATTAAAAAATGCATAATGGATAGGAGAGAATTTGTGGAGGGAATTGTTAGTGTGCTGTGATTCTGAGTTTTGCCCCCACTCCTCCCAATAAGTATGAGAAGGGAGGACCTATCCCTCTGCAAGCCTAGGGAAAGGGCAGTCAGCAGGCCCTCTCACATTCTCTGCACTTTGAGCAACCAGGGGACTGGTGTTTGACTCATATCTTATGACATCTGAAGGGTGAGGGATTCTGGCAGGGTGCACTGAGAGCAGGGCAAATGAATGAGAGAATTGCAATGGCACAGCATAAGCTGCCAGAGTTTATTGGAGCTGTGATGTCTGAGTGTCTCCATGGGCCAGATGCAGGCCATAAATGAGAGATGGCAAGGATAGCTTTTCTTAGACCTAGTTCAAGACAGCTGTCTATGAGGTGAGGAGATCTTAGTGGCAAGAACTGGAAGGATACCACAGGGTAGACAGCGCCTAGGAGAGACATTAACAACTGGAGTCAAGATACATTTGTTTGATCAAGGAGGTAATAGATAAAAGACCTTCAGAAATGTAACTAAAAATTGGATTCCTGAAAGTTCCGTTTGGGATTAAGAGTTGGTTTTAGATGCTTGCCAGGACCAGAGAGTAGCTGCACCAGACAATACTGATCCAGTAATATCTTTCCTAGACATTTATTTTCTGTCATCTTTACTCTGATCGTTACAGGCAGAAGACATGGAAAGAAGAGGAAAGAGGGAAAAAGCCAAGGCAGAGATAGAAAGGAGTGGTGCTTACCCTTTACCACTATAGATGCCTGCCTGCAGCTGGCTTGAGTTTGCTAGAGGGAGAAAATTTAACTTTGGATGAAGATGAGCTTTCAATACATTGAGGTGGAGAAATTATTAGTTTGTTTTTACACTTTCCTAAAGTTATCAGACACTTGTAATTCTCTGAGAATGACTAGAAGAGCCATGGGTTCATTTTCATTCTTATCCAAGGGGGCAGGGAAGAATTTGGCCTGATAATTGAGCAGCAAAGAGACAAGCAGGTCTGCTTTCAAATTGAGCTCCACTTGTAAAATGTTAAGACTACATTCATTTGAATGAAGATAGATCTTTTTCCCCGTTTTTACTGCCTTTTTGTGGATGACTTTTGAAGTAAGAAATTAAAATATGTTTACCAACATTAAGTAGAGAATTCCTATATTAGTATGTAAGAGAATATTATGATTAAACATTTAAAAAATTATAAACATTAAAAAAACATTTAAAAAATACATCAAAGGGAATGTATAAAATAATTTTAATAAAACCTGTTGGTTTTTAGGTTAGGAATGGGAGAGATACAGCTATTTACTACTAGTTGGATTATATAAAGAACTAAAAAATAATTTGGTTCTTTGTAAATTTTAGAATAGACTTAAATTTATATAAAAATTGCCTGACAGCAGAGAGTTCCCCTATACCCCATATCCAGTTTCACCTCTTATTAATATCTTTACTAGTATGGTACATTGGTCACGACTAATGAGCCACTATTAGTGAACCATAATGAATGTATTATTGTGAACTAAAGTCCGTATTTATTCAGATTTTCTTAGTTTTATCTAATATTCTTTCTCTGTTCCAGGATCCCATCCAGGATACCATATTATGCTTCATCATCATGTCTTCTTAGGCTCCTCTTGGCTGTGACAGTGTCACAGATTTCCCTTGCATTTGATAACCCTGACATTTTTGAGGAATACTGGTCAGATATTTTATAGAATGATTCTATTTTATAGAATTCCCTTAATTGGGATTTGTCTGATATTTTTCTTATGACTAGACAGGTGTTACGAGTTTTGAGAGGAACATCATAGAGGTTTAGTGCCATTCTTATCACATCAAATTAAGGATACATTTTACCCATATGACTTCTTACTGTGGAGGTGAACTTTGGTCAGGTGGCTGAGGTAGTGTTTGTCAGGTTTCTCCACTGTGAAACTATTCTCCTCTGCCCCCACACATATTAGACTCTTTAGAAGGAAAGTCATGAGGTACAGAGCACATTTAAAAGAGTGAGGAGTTATGTTCCACTTCCTTGAGGGCAGAGTATCTGCACAAATTATTCAAAAATTTTCTGCACTGCAATTCTCCCCTTTTATTTATTTAATCAATCATTTACTTATATCAGTACGGACTCATGGATATTAATTTTATGTTTGCGTAACAATCTAATGCCATGTTATTTATTTATATTAGAAGATCTTTCAGTTGGCTTCCGTGTTGCTTTGAAATATTCCCCACCATTACGGAATCTTTTTGTTGGTGATGCTAGTAGGTCTATTTATTTATTTTCATTTATTTAAAGCACGTTTTTCTTTTGGGACTGCAAGATGTTCCAGAATTATCTTGCATATTTTCTGTCTCAGTCCTAGAATCTACCATTTCTCCAACCTGCTCCTGAATGATTATGGGGTTAACAATGAAATCAAGATGGAAATTTAAAAATTCTTTAAAAGAAATGATAATAGTGACACAAGTTATCAAGACCTCTGGGATATGGCAAAAGCAGTGCTAAGAGGGAATTTTATAGTGTTAAATACCTACATGAAAAAGTCTGAAAGGTCACAAATTGACAACCTAATATCACTCCTCAAGGAACTAGAGAAACAAGAACAAACCAAACTTGAAGCTAGCAGAAGAAAATAAATAACAAAGATCAGAGCAAAACTAAATGAAATTGAAACGAGAAATTACAGAAGATCAATGAAATAAAAAGTAGGTTCTTTGAAAAGATAAACAAAAGTGGTAGACCATTAGTTAGATTAACCAAGAAAAGATAAGAAAAGATGCAAATAAGCTCACTTAGAAATGAAAATGGAGGCATTACAACCAACACCATAGAAATACAAAAGACCATTTGAGAGTATTATGGATACCTTTATGCACACAACCTAGAAAATCTAGAGGTAATAGATAAATTCCTGGAAACATACAACCTCCTAGGTTAAATCAGGAAGAAATAGAAATCCTGAATAAGCCAATAACAAGCAGTGACGTTAAATTAGTAATAAAAATATGCCAACAAAAAAAAGCTCAGTGCCAGATGAATTCACAGCCACATTCTACCAGACATTCAAAGAAGAATTGCCACTGCTCCTACTGAAACTATGCCAAAAGATTGAGAAAGAGAGGATCCTCCCTAACTCATTCTATAAAACTTGTATTGCTCTGATATCAAAGCCAGGAAAGCATGTAACAACAACAACAAAAAAAAACCAAAAACCAAAAAAAACTCCACTACAGATCAATATCCTTGACTAACATAGATGCAAAAATTCTCAACAAAATATTAGCAAAACCTAATATAATAGCACATCAAAAAGATAATTAACCATGACCAAGTGGGTTTCATCCTAGAGATTCAGGGATGGTTCAACATATGCAAATCAATAAACATGATTCCCTTAATAAACAGAATTAGAAAGAAAAACCACATAATCATCTCAATAGATGCAGAAAAGGAATTCAACAAAATCTAGCATGCCTTTATGATAACAACCCTCAACAAACTAGGTATAGAAGAAACATACCTCAAAATAATAAAAGCCATATATGACAAACCTACAGCCAACATCATACTGAATGAGGAAAAGTTGGAAGCATTCCCCCAAGAACTGGACCAAGACAAGGATGCCCATTTTCACCATTTCTATTCATCACAGCACTGGAAGTCCTAGCCAGAGCAATCGGGGAAGACAAAGAAATAAAAGGAATTCAAATTGTAGAAGAGGAAGTCAAACTATTTCTGTTTGCCAATGATATGATTGTATACCTAGAAAAACCTAAAAGCTCCTCCAGAAGACTCCTAGATTTGATAAATGAATTCAGTAAAGCCTCAGGTTACAGTATCTATGTATATAAATCAGTAGCACTGCTATACACCAGCAACTACCAAGTTGAGAATCAAATCAAGAAATCAATCTTTTTTACTATAGCTGCAAAATAAAATAAAATACCTAAGAATATACTTAACCAAGGAGGTGAAAGACCGCTACAAGAAGATCTACAAAACAATGCTGAAAGAAATCACAGATAACACACAAAAATGGAAATATATCCCATGTTCATGAATGGAAGAATCAATATTACTAACATGACCATACTGCCCAAAGCAATCTACAGATTAAATGCAATTCTGACAATGATCCCAAAGTCATTTTTTACAGAATTAGAAAACACAATCCTAAAATTCATATGAAACCAAAAAAGAGCCTAAATAGCCACAGCTGTCCTAAGCAAAAAGCAAAAACAAAAACAAAAACAAAACAAACAACATCTACCAAAAAACCATAAAGCTAGAGGCAGCATAGTACTGGTATAAAAATAGACAGATAGATCAGTGGAACAGAATGGAGAATCTAGAAATGAAGCCAGATACTCACAACGAACTGATTTTTGACAAATTGTACAAAAACATAAGCTGGGGAAATGACACCTCATTCAATAAATAGTGCTGGCAAAACTGGATAGCCATACATAAAAGAATGAAACTGGATCCCTATTTCTCGCCATATACAAAAATTAACTCCAGATGGATTAAAGACTTAAATAAGACCTGAAACCATAAAAATTCTAGAATAAAACATAGGAAAAATTCTTCTGGACATTGGTCCAGGCAAAGAATTTATGACTAAGACCCCAAACGCAAATGCAACAAAAACAAAAATAAATAAATGGGACCTAATTAAAAAAAATCTTCAGTACAACAAAAGAAATAATCATCACAGTAAACAAACAACCTACAAATTGGGAGAAAATATTTGCAAATTATGCATTTGGCAAAAGACTGATATCCAGAATCTATAAGACAATCAAACAAATTAGCAAGAAAAATAATCCATCAAAAAGTGGGAAAATGATATGAATAGACAATTCTCAAAAGAAGATATACAAATGGCCAACAAACTTATGAAAAAAATGCTCAAAATTACTAATCTCCAGTGAAATGCAAATTAAACCACAATAAGTTACTATCTTACCCCAGTCAGAATAATCATTATTAAAAAATCAAAAAACAATAGATGTTGGTATGAATGTGGTGAAAAGGGAACACTTACACACTACTGGTGGGAATGTAAATTAGTACAACCTGTATGGAAAACAGTATGGACTTCGGGTTATCTCAGAGAACCAAAAGTAGATCTACCATTCTATCCAGCAATCCCACTACTGGGTATCTACCCAAAGGAAAATGAGTAATTATATTAAAAAGACACCTGCACACAAATGTTCATGGAAGCACAATTTATGTTTGCAAAAATATGAAACCAAGCTAAATGCCCATCAACAAATGAGTGGATAAATAAAATGTGGTATATATATTCACCATGGAGTACTACTAAGCCATGAAAAGACTGCAATAATGTCTTTTGCAGCAACTTTGTTGGAGCTGGAGGGCATTATTCTAAGTGACGTAAATAAGGAATGGAAAATCAAATAGTGTATGTTCTCACCTATAATTGGGAGCTAAGCTGTGGGTACACCAAGGCATACAGAATGGTATAATGGACATTGGAGATTCAGAGGGGGTCAGGATGGGAGGGAAGTGAGGGATAAAAAAACTACATATTGGATACAATGTACACTATTTAGGTGATGGGTGCAATAAAATTTCAGACTTCACACTATACAATTAATCCATGAAACCAAAAATCGCTTGTACTCCAAAACTATTAATAACATATATATGATATGTTTTATGTGTGTGTGTGTGTATACATATAGATATATGTATAAAAAATGTCTTCAAGTTCCTGATAAATTTACTCAGGGTCATCTCACTTAGTTAAGTGTTTGCTGATACACCTCATTCAATAAATAGTGCTGGCACCATTTATCCTGGAAAAGGTACTCTCCTGGGCTGTGTATTCCTGAGTGCACTTCAGCTCTTGCCACCATCTTGGTCAATCACTCACTACCCTGAGCTTTCGTTTCCTTGTCTATAAAATGAAGAGGTTGGATGGGGCCATCTCTAAGGTCCCCTCAAGTTCCAAAATTCTGAGTCTATAGCATATTTGAATAAATAACCTTTCTGGGTGGTGTTCACTCATGAGAGGATTATAGATATTCATGAATATGGAGTCAGGTGGACTTGGGTTACCTTGGCAATGTAATCTCCTTTAGTTTCAGTGTCTTCATTTTAAAAAGTAGATGCAGGTTGGGCGCAGTAGCTCACATCTATAATCCCAGCACTTTGGAAGGCCGAGGTGGGCAGATCACCTGAGGCTGGGAGTTCGAGACCAGCCTGGCCAACCTGGCAAAACCCTGTCTCTACTAAAAATACAAAAATTGGCCATGCATGGTGGCAGGTGCCTGTAATCCCAGCTACTCAGGAGGCTGAGCCAGGAAAATCGCTTGAACCCAGGAGGCAGAGGTTGCAGTAAGCCAAGATCATACCAGTGCACTCTCCAACCTGGGTGACAGAGCGAGACTCAGTCTCAAAAAAAAAAAAAAAGTAGATGCAATGCTTTCTCATAGGATTGGTAATAAAGATTAAAAGAAGTAATGTTTGCAAACATAGCATAGTTGTTAACAAGTATTTGACCTCTATAAATGGACCTAGTTTTTGTCATTGTTTTTATTTCACATGAAGATAGTGATGGATTTACTAGTTCAAGTTTCAAGCTATTAACAAATACATCCTTTGTAATCTAAAAATTTTAAGGCACCTGGAGTCATGAGTCTCATTGGATTAGATTTAGTGGAAATCCTGTTTTCTTCTTTCTATAAATGATGGTTTAACTCTGAAACCCCAGTACATTGGGATGAACACCATAGAATAGGAGAGAGGTCTTCTTTGCTCACTTGCATTTGTTCTCTCTACTGTAACAACTCTGTCTCTGGAGCTTTTTCATTGTTTTCAGTGGTTATCGGGGAAAAGAAACATTTTAGTAAGGAAGTAATTGCTAAATCTTGATTGCTTTCATCTGCAGAGATTATTCCTTTCATAAGGGTAATTCATAAAAAGGATTGGAACTAGGGATATATTCTAATTTGCAGCCTAGCTCACCAAAGGCCTGGCTTAGTAGCTTCTGCCTGGTCACTCACTAAGGTCTCAGTAATAGGTTTCCCTTGGCCCAATTTCCTTGGCAGGAAGACGAGACTGCTGAACTACTTCTCACTCTCTCTCTCTCTCTCTCTCTCTCTCTCTCTCTGTCACACACACACACACACACACACACACACACACACACACACACACACTTGCTGATGCTCCTGTGAATGCTCAGTATGGATAGGGAACAAGTAGCTCCCTCTTCCTTTACTGGTTGTTACCCTCTTACACAAAGATCTTTCATCAGTGGTGGGAAATAACTATCACTGCTTTATTGGATGTGATCAACTATACAAGCTTCCATCAAGGATGCAGTCTTCTGTGTAATTCTCATTCCCATCTAGCCTAAACTTATCCTTTCTTTCAGAGCCTATAGCTGACATTTATTACATTGTTCTCCTTGTTTCGCAGGTTTATTGAAGTTGTGACTTTCATGGTATTTTGCATTTAAAACACTTGGAAGGGAAAAAGCAATCATACACACAAAAAAATGCAAAACTCTGAGGCAGATTGGGTCCTTCACTCACAAGACTAGGGTTAATTCATTTTCTCAATGGAGAAATGATATACAAAGCTAATTATTGGAATTAATGAAGTAACAGAAACTTTGTAAGAGTGAGCATTCCCTCTTGTACAGGGAAACAAGATACAAGAAATTTCAGGTGTGGTGACCTAATACGGAAGTTATTAATATCCTAATAAACAGTGCTGATTGTATTGACACACAGAGAAGGGGTTTTTCTTTGCATTTCAGTTTGTGCAGAAAATATGACTTTTCTTTGGAAGGTACCACTATATTTTAAACCTAGAGATTCCAAATATAGCCTATTAGAAGAGTAAGAGTATTGTAATGTGAAAACTTTTATCATATTTATTACTTTTAATTTGTCTTCCAATATTCAAATGTCAATTCTTAAAATAGTTGTTGAAAATGCATAAGGTATTGATTTCATTTGTCAAGATAATCTTTATTTTTGGGCTCTGGAGGGAAAGTGGAATTTTGAGAAAGTCCTCATCTTGGCGGGAACAAAAGATATATTTGAACTTAATCCATTTACTTTAACACAAAATGATAGACACTTCTAAATGAACCCTAGACTTCCTGTTTAAAATATCACTTTGAGGACAAGAGTTGATCATGCTTGCCCACCTGCCATTCTCTGTCCCAAAACTCCATCAAAATGATGGAAGAATAAATCCATAATAACACTAAAACAGAAGAAGTTGCCATCAATGGACTAGACATTTTGATACATTTCAGCTGTCATTGGATTGATGGAGAAATCAGAGTAGAGAAAATTATAGCATATGACATCAGAAGTTTTGTGGGCAAGAGGAAAAAAAAAGCATAGCAGTGTCTGATTAATTCCAGACTTCGAAAAAGAGGGAGAAAGATAAAAGGGGAAAAAGGGAGGGGGGATGAAAAGAAATAAGCAACTCCACCCACGACTAAAATAATAACTAAGTACTCCACTTCTGGAGCGAGATTCTTCCTACTGTGGCAGTGGTGAGGATCCCCATACTGCCTTTCTGTCACCCATTATTTTGCCTTGAGGAAAACCTGCCCATGAAAGTGCTCTATCCAATCACACAAAGCCTTTAGCAAGCCTACTTAGTCAAAAGAAGGATTCATTAAGAAGATGGATTTACCAGTGTCTTAGAAAACTCTTTCTAGCCATTCATACTAAGGAACATAGTTCTTTATTCAACATGATTTAATCACCAAGGATCTCCAGACCTTTAAGAGAAATCAGTAGCATGAAAAATGAGCCCTGAGGTGAACAAACAAGGTAAAAGTCAGGTACGAGAAGTGAACTTTTAAAAAAGCCTATTCCCTGCAAAATTCAAAAGACTGTTATATTCATAAAAGCACACCACTATTTTAAAATAATTATTGGATTGAATAAATTATTAAATTAAATTTATTAAATTCACACATTTCATTGCTGATCTGGTAAATCGTGATCTAGTAATATGGACGACAGGTTGAAGAAAATCTTCCATGATCTAGAACAAAAAGTCTTAGAAATAGGATTCCTAAGAGACAGTAGATGGAATGACATAATCAAAGATATAGAAGAAGAAAATGTCCCTGCTTTTTAATCTAATGAGAAAAAAGTATTTAAATTGTGGGTAGAAGATTGCGTTTTTTAAAAAATTTGCTTTCTCGATTTTTTTGGCATTCATTTAACAAATATTTATTGGATGCTTAGTGCATACCAAACACTGTGTAAGGGATGGTGACTTACTACAGTGAACTTGGTTTTTATTTAAATCTGTGATAAAAATATAATAGATATTTTATTTAAAAATATTATTTCTTTACTTATTGCAGAATCCCATCTTTATTTAAAAAAACAACATAATTGATACAGTGTCTGAGATTCTATAGTATTTCCTAGGGAAATTTTTTTGTAGTTGATGATGACTGGCATTCTCATGGCGTATTACAGCATTCCTCACCTGGTGGTACTTATCAGCATTTCAAATACTATGCTTCCAATGTATCATCAACCTATAGATCTTGACTTGCAAAGGTAAGGTGGAAAGTAGAAGTGAATATTTTTAGGAGGTAATTCTTAGAGAAACAGTATGGCATTGTTCTTAAAAAAACATTGACTTTGTCACCAGACTGGCACTAGAATGCTAGGCTAGAATCCTAACCTCTCTATTTCTCAATTTTTTTATATGTACAAAATTAGGTAGTAATATTTTCTACTTTCTAGGGTGACTGTGGAAATCAAACAAGCTAAAATTAGATTAGGATAGTGCTGGCCACATAGCTAGTACTCAATAACTGTTAGCTATTTAATTAGACAGATGGAGAGAAATAAGTTCCAAATGTAAAGACAATAAAGCATATGGAAGATCACACTGGAAAAAACATCAGGGAGGACAGGAAGGCCCTGAAGAACAGTACAATTGAGATATATTTCTGATGGACAAAGGGACAAAGGTTGAAGTCGGAAATGGGGATAGTGCTTGCTAGGGACAGCACAGAGACAGTGTGAGGACACCAGAGGGCCTGGCTGCAGTATTTAAATCTTGTGTAATGATGACACAGGCCGAAGACAGCTGTTTTCCATTTGCTTTTTTTTTTTTTTTTATCTATCCCACTCCCAGTTCATAATGTTGACAAGTAGATTCCTTGTGACAATCACAGAAAATTACTTGAAACCAAAAAACAGAACTTCCTGAAATGTACCTGGTGAATGACAGTTAGTGCAAGTCACTTGATGTAAAATAATTATCTCCCTGGGTCTTTAGGAAGCATTCAGTTAGTCTCATACATGCTTTTCAGCCATTTGTTAGATTATGTCTGTAAATTGAGAAAAAGAAAAAACTGACCTTTTCCTCTAGAAAGCTGGAATCCTTTAGAGTCTCCGTCTCAGTTCTTCTACCTCAGATCATGTTACCATAGACTCTATGTATAATAAATAATTCACTTAGAAGACCATCAAGCTTACAAAAATGCAGAGTTAGATGACTAAGGGGAATAGGAAAAATATTACTTAGTGTGTTATATCAATGAAGACTCAAGAAAATAAACACAAAAACTAAGTTCCATTACAAGTTCCATTCAAGTTCCATTACAATTTTGGCATAGCTAATATTTAAGCAGACAGAGCGCTGTCCTATGATGCCAACCAGATGCATGTCCTGAACCCCCAGAGAAATATGTTTTCTACTGTTGACATATGGAGATGTCAGGGTAGTGAATTACCCATGTGTGTTGTACCCACTTATTCTGTGGAGTAACTGAGTCATGACATATATGTTTAGCTATGTAGACATGCAAACCAAAAGGAAAACACAGAGGCAAGTGTATGGCGGAACACAATCTGAAAACAAGTTTAGGAAAAAGCAAACTCTGTCTAACAACCTGAAAAACAAAGAGTGAGGACCAAAGGAAGATGAAGAAACTGTAGAATGATATTAAAAAGAAAGGTAGGTAATCCCTCAAGAAAAATTCAGGTCTTTTTAGGGGCTTGAGGTGACAGGAGAAAATGGGAAGGCGGAACCTGTGCTAGTTGATGTTTCAGATCTCAGATATGGAGAGGCAAACCTCTCTGAGTCTCTCTCATCTGCTCAACCTCCACCCTGAGCTGGGTAATGGATACTGTGCCAGGCCATTTGCTACCAGAAACATACTATGAACAATTCTTTCTTGTTGTTAGAGGCCCACTGCTAAAATTTGTTAATATCCCTTATGGCATGTTATTGCATTTTAGAAATACAGATGAAGTATGAAAATTCATTCAAGAGCATTTTCCCAGACTAGCTCAGAGACATTGGTAACTTTCAGGTTACAAAGCAAGGTGTAATATCCGGTTATTTAGAATATGATTGGGTCTTCATTTGGAAAAAAAATAAAGTCACATTTAAAGCTCAAATTATACAGACAAATAAATTCCAGGTGGAATAACTGTCAAAACAAAATGATTAAGTAATAAATAACAACATACAGAATATTTTTATAATCCTGGGTTGGGGAAGGCCTTCCTAAGCAATATACAAAATTCAGAACCAGATACAAAATGTTTAACATATGTGGCTGTGAACATATTGAAATTATTTTGATGGCAAAAGATTCTGTAAACAAAATGGAAAGACAAGTGACAAACCAAGAGAAAATATTTGTAATATACATAAAACATAACATAGTTTTAAGGTTGTACTAACTAATAAGAAAAAGGATATATCCCAATGGAAAATAATGATCAAATATGTAAATTGAAAGTTTGCTAAAGAAGAAACACAAAAAACTAATAAAGATACAAAAATTTCCATTCCACTTTACTAATAACCAAAATTGTCAATTTAAACAACAAGATAATCAAAATATGAATGTATTGAAAGTAAGTACTTTCAATTAATGTATTGGAAAGTAAGTACTTTCAATACATTAAGTTCCTGAAAGTTCCTGAGGATGTGGAGAAACAGGCACTTCTGGTCGATTACATGTTGATGGGAATACAAATGGATACAACCTTTATGGAGGAAAATGTGACAATATCTAGTAAATTTTTTAAGTGTTTATAAGCACTTTACCAACCAATTTAATATCTAGAAATTTCACCACCTAAAACAATATATGCAAAAATGTGTGTATGAAGATGTTCACTACAGCATTCTAATAGCAATAAGTTGGAAATAACCTAATTTTCCATCTGTATGGGGGTTGAGAGACAGAGAGAGAGAGAAAAAAAGAGAGAGAGTGCATATGTGCATGAGAGCAAGCACCATATAACTGAATGCTATGCAGTCATTAAAAATAATGGATTAGATGTGGAAATGTATAAAGAAAATAAATGTAAATTGCAGTATCATATATATATGATATACATATATATATACACACACAGAGACACCATGATCTCATTTCATAAAACTGTGTGTTTGTATATCATTTTATAATAATATATATAATTATGTAAAAGTGTGTGTATGTGAAATTACAGTTTTAGAATTATATACATAATTTTATGAAATGAGATCATGACATATATGAAATTCTACAACTTACATTTTAGAAAAAATTAATAGACTTAGCAATTTATAATAACAGTTACCTCTGAAGAGCTGGGTTGATTGATCTTTTTAAATAACAATTATTTAATACCAATAAAAGAAAAAAAGTTACCTTCTTAGAATTAAAGTTTAGAGTTAGAACAAGCTTAAGGAATAATTTAATCTATATATCTCATATGTCAGATGAGATGCCAGAATTTTAGAGGGGTATGACCGGGTGTCCAAGATTATGCACCAAGGTAATGGTAGAACTAAGGATTTGAACGCAGAACTGGTTGCATTTAATCAGTGCTAAGCATTGCTCTAGATGCTGGGATGGCCTGGTCATAGGCCAGGCTTATGAACTAGATACCATGTTGTATTTAGATGCTGGGATGGCCTGGTCTAGATGCTGGGATGGCCTGGTCAGAGTTATGGGGCTCTCAGTACTTTTTTCATTTCATGAAGATGCAACAGTCACTTTTATAAAGATGATAATTAATGAGAAAAATATTTTTTATCAAGTACCTACCATATACTAAGGCATTGGGACAGACATTTTTCAAGCATTATCTACTGTATTTAAAGTTTGCCTTGTGAAATAGGTTACTTATTTTGTAGCAAAGGAATACTTATTCCTTTATCTTTGAGACAGTTTGGAAACCTCTCTCTGAAACCGTGATATCACTGTTCTCACTGTGGATTTTGGATCCTTCCAGACTCAGCCTACAATAACTATTTCTCCATCTGCCCACCAGTCCCCTTTCTCAGCTCTCCAAATTTCAATCACACCCTTATTTGTATCAGATCTACCGTCATCTCTAGTTTGTGAGCTCCTCTGAGAACAGATAGACTCTTGTTCTTCTCTGTATCACATAGTGCTGAGCTCAATGCCTTGTGCACATGGGTCTCAACAATATCCTCAGAGCTCATTTCTTAAAAGCAGAATCAAAAGGTTTGAATAACACCTTTCAAGGGCATGTCCTTTTGTACTCAGAGTAAAGGTAGATTTCCATTTATTTTAAATGAACATATAAGCAGAAAACAATGAAGTAGAAATTACTACAGTATCTAATTTGCAAATAGAATTTTACTAAAGACAATTTTACTCTTTTTTTGGTGCTAGAAAATGAGAATTGGGGAATGAGAAACAAGAAACAAGATAGCTAAGAAATCAAGGGAGAATTGAGTGGGATCAGGACTAGCTACATGATTGGAGGGCTCAGTACAATGAGAAAATACAGGGCCCCTTGTACAACGGTTATTAAGAATTTCAAAATGGTGACAGTAGAGCATTCAACAAAGCACAGGACCCCTCTGAGCATGAAGCTCTGTGTGACTACAGAGGTCACACACCTGTGAAGCCAGCCCAGATTAGGATTCCAAACTAGATACCATCAATCTCTATGATAAACCAGGTGCTTACTCTTTCACATATCCATGTTTCTTTCATTTTCTCTGTCACCTCAAAATCCCATATCTTTCATCATTTTTTGTGCCCCAGTCTGGTTTACACTCAGATTTTAGAAGTCTGCTTTATTCCTAATTCAAATGATTTAAATAGTAAAGGAAGTACATTTAAGTGTGTGTGTGTGTGTGTGCGTGTGGATGTGTGTTTTTCTTCACTCTGTTGATTGCCATCTGTGCAACCAGCTCAGAGTAGAATGCTTTTTTGGAGGGGTGGGGAGCTTACACAACTCAATGTTAGAAAGAAAAAAATCCTACTTCTATCCAAAATTTTCTTAAATCTGATATGACACCTTTTGGAGAAAGAGGTCATCAGAAAAATCTTTTCTTTAAGGGAAAACTTGACAATGTAGAGATATAGGAGGCTAGAAGACTTCCTGTTACAAAAGCCATAAAAGCATGTATTGGACAGAAAGCAAGAATGGCAGGGGTCTGATTTTTCTCTTACAGTTCTTCCCGTGACTGGACGTGGCTTATTTTTATTTCAGGCAAAGAAAAGACCCATTATTTATAAACTTAGGCTATTTGAGAACTAGAAAAATAAATAATATGAAGAATTAAGTCATACTAGCACTTTTTTTTTAACTGAATCCAACAGTGTGACAGTTGTATATGTGCTTTAAATGTTTACAAGAATTTTGTTTATATAGATTGAGTAATACAGGCACATATGCCCTTCTCCCTTGATATTGGGAATAACATGCATGGAAGTGCTGATTTTTAAAAAGCATCTTAAAATATATAAATTTAAGAAGCCATGATAATGATTCTCAACAAACAGAAATCAGAATTATTGACTAGAGATGTAGCATCGGCAAACTGAAAGGGTTGTTGGGTGAGAACTGGTGAGCACTGGCAAAATCAATAAAATAGTTTTCTTTCTTTAAAATAATGTACATGGTATTCCAGATTTTAACATATGTGACAACTAAGTCACTAAATAAAGCAACAGACCATATATAAAAATCCATTTGATTGGGAGGCCTAAGCGGGCAGATCTCGAGGTCAAGAGATTGAGACCATCCTGGCCAACATGGTGAAACTCCGTTTCTACTAAAAATACAAAAATTAGCTGGGCATGGTGGCACATGGCTGTATTTCCAGCTACTTGGGAGGCTGAGGCAGAAGAATCGGTTGAACTCGGGATGCGGAGGTTACAGTGAGCTGAGATGGTGCCACTGCACTCCAGCCTGGTGACAGAGTGAGATTCCATCTAAAAAAAAAAAAAAAAAAAAAAAAAATTCCATCTGAGTGTGTTTTTTATTCTATTCTGTAAGTTAGAAATGACGCCCTATCTACTTAGACGTGTATGATGTCTCTTTCCATATGTTCTCAAACCACCCCAAGCCATGTGCATGTACTTCACAGACAATAATAATGACTGGTTGACTTACAGTGTAGAATACAGGTAATAGTTTTCCTTTCTCACTTGATCTTAAACTCAAGATCAAACTCTACAAAACACACTCTCCAAATATCTGAGCACTTAAAGATATGGATAGAGAGGTGTGCTTCACTGATGCTGTGGTAGAATAGAGATGATCAATTTCAGAAACCTAACCATTTTGGTTTTGTATTTTCCAGGACTCATGGTTGCAACTTGGAAACCCAAGTCAAAGTGGCCTAGATATAGAATGGAATGTATTATGGATGTAACTGATGTTGATGAAAAGAGTCAAACTCTGTAAAATATTTGAAGAGGTTTATTCTGAGCCAAATATGAGTAACCATGGCCTGTGATACAGCCCTTAGGAGTAGGAGGTCCTGAGAACATGTGCCCAAGGTGGTCAGGGCACAGCCTGGTTTGATACATTTTAGGGAGGCATGAGACCTCAATCAAATACAATTAAGAAATACATTGGTTTGGTGAAGAAAGGTGGGACAACTCAAAATCCGGTGGGGGTACGGTGGTGGGGAGAGCTTCCAGGCTATAGGTAAATGTAAACGTTTTCTGGTTGACAATTGACTGAGTTTATCTAAAGACCTGGGATCAAAGAAAGGAAATGTTCAAGTTAAGATAAAAGATTGTAGAGACCAAGGTTTGTTTGTTTGTTTGTTTGTTTTTTGGTACATGTGCACAATGTGCAGGTTTGTTACATATGTATACATGTGCCATGTTGGTGTGCTGCACCCATTAGCTCGTCATTTGCATTAGGTATATCTCCTAATGCTATGCCTCCCACCTCCCCCAACCCCACAACAGACCCTGGTGTGTGATGTTCCCCTTCCTGTGTCCAAGTGTTCTCATTGTTCAATTACCACCTATGAGTGAGAACGTGTGGTGTTTGGTTTTTTGTCCATGTGATAGTTTGCTGAGAGTGATGGTTTCCAGCTTCATCCATGTCCCTACAAAGGAAATGAACTCATCATTTTTTATGGCTGCATAGCATTCCATGGTGTATATGTGCCACATTTTCTTAATCCAGTATATCACTGATGGACATTTGGGTTGGTTCCAAGTCTTTGCTATTGTGAATAGTGCCACTATAAACATACGTGTACATGTGTCTTTACAGCAGCATGATTTACAATCATTTGGGTATAAACCCAGTAATGGGATTGCTGGGTCAAATGGTATTTCTAGTTCTAGATACTTGAGGAATTGCCACACTGTCTTCCACAATGGTTGAACTAGTTTACAGTCCCACCAACAGTGTAAAAGTGTTCCTATTTCTCCACCTCCTCTCCAGCACCTGTTTTTTCCTGACTTTTCTATGATCGCCATTCTAACAGGTGTGAGATGGTATCTCATTGTGGTTTTGATTTGCATTTCTCTGATGGCCAGTGATGATGAGCATTTTTTCATGTGTCTATTGGCTGTATAAATGTCTTCTTTTGAGAAGTGTCTGTTCATATCCTTTGCCCACTTGTTGATGGGGTTGTTTTTTTTCTTGTAAATTTGTTTGAGTTCATTGTAGATTCTGGATATTAGCCCTTTGTCAGATTAGTAGGTTGCAGAAATTTTCTCCCATTCTGTAGGTTTCCTGTTCACTCTGATGGTAGTTTCTTTTGTTGTGCAGTAGCGCTTTAGTTTAATTAGATCCCATTTGTCAATTTTGGCTTTTGTTGCCATTGCTTTTGTTGTTTTAGACATGAAGTCCTTGCCCATGCCTATGTCCTGAATGGTATTGCCTAGGTTTTCTTCTAGGGTTTTTAAGGTTTTAGGTCTGATATCCATGCAAACAGGGTCTGGAGTGGACCTCCAGCAAACTCCAACAGACCTGCAGCTGAGGGTCCTGACTGTTAGAAGGAAAACTAACAAAGAGAAAGGACATCCATACCAAAACCCCATCTGTATGTCACCATCATCAAAGACCAAAGGTAGATGAAACTACAAAGATGGGGAAAAAACAGAGCAGAAAAACTGAAAATTCTAAAAATCAGAGCATCTTTCCTCCTCCAAAGAAATGCAGCTCCTCACCAGCAACAGAACAAAGCTGAATAGAGAATGACTTTGACGAGTTGAGAGAAGAAGACTTCAGATGATCAAACTTCTCCAAGTTAAAGGAGGAAGTTTGAACCCATTGCAAGGAAGTTAAAAACTTTGAAAAAAGATTAGATGAATGGCTAACTAGAATAACCAACGTAGAGAAGTCCTTAAATGATCTGATGGAGCTGAAAACAACGGCATGAGAACTATGTGACAAATGCACAAGGTTCAGTAGCTGATTAGATCAACTGGAAGAAAGGGTATCAGTGATTGAAGATCAAATGAATGAAATGAAGGGAGAAGGGAAGTTTAGAGAAAAAAGAATACAAAGAAATGAACAAAGCCTCCAGGAAATATGGGACTATGTGAAACGACCAAATCTACATCTGATTGGTGTACCTGAAAGTGAGGGGGAGAATGGAACCAAGTTGGAAAACACTCTGCAGGATATTATCCAGGAGAACTTCCCCTGTCAGATTCACCAAAGTTGAAATGAAGGAAAAAAATGTTAAGGGCAGCCAGAAAGAAAGGTTGGGCTACCCACAAAGGGAAGCTCATCAGACTAACAGCTGATCTCTCGGCAGAAACTCTACAAGCCAGAAGAGAGTGGGGGCCAATATTCAACATTCTTAAAGAAAAGAATTTTCAACCCAAAATTTCATATCCAGCCAAACTAAGCTTCATAAGTGAAGGAAAAATAAAATCCTTTACAGACAAGCAAATGCTGAGAAATTTTGTCACCACCAGGCCTGCCCTAAAAGAGCTCCTGAAGGAAGCACTAAACATGGAAAGGAACAACCAGTACCAGCCACTGCAAAAACATGCTAAATTGAAAAGACTGTCAATGCTAGGAAGAAACTGCATCAACTAACGAGCAAAATAACTAGCTAACATCATAATGACAGGATCAAATTCACACACAACAATATTAACCTTAAATGTAAATGGGCTAAATGCTCCAATTGAAAGACACAGACTGGCAAATTGGATAAAGAGTCGAGACCCATCAGTCTGCTGTATTCAAGAAACCCATCTCGCCTGCAGAGACACACATAGGCTCAAAATAAAGGGATGGGAGGAAGATCTACCAAGCAAATGGAGACCAAGCTTCTTTTGAAGTCTTACAGTTGTTGTCCTTAGGGACAAAAGATGACAAATGCTTCCTATTCAGACCTTTAAAAGGTCCTAGACTTTGTGTTAATCTCTTTAGGATTGGGAGGGCCTGGAAGAAAAAGATCTAGCTACATAGTAGAAATTTTTTATAGATGGAAATTTTCCCCCACAAAGGATAGCTTTGCAGGGCCATTTCAAGATATGGCAAAAAAAATATGTTTTGGGGTAAAATATTTTGATTTTCTTCCTTGTCTTGCAATGTTATGCCACAGTCAGGTTGGAAAGTAAGTCATGATATATAGCGTTAAATAAAACCCATCTAATGAGAATTTATGATTTGTAGGACATGACTCCCCAGACTCTTTAGATAGAAATTTGGGCAAGATAAAAAAATCAGAGTTTATTCCTCACTGATGAGAAGATGGGTTTTAGGCATTGCTATAGCCAAGGGTTCAAATAGTATCTTTAAAATTATGTTTCTTTCTTTATCTTTTCTCTGCTTTCCTCAATGTTGTTTTCAATCTCATGTATACTTTCTTTATGGAGATAAAAAGATAAAACCTAGAAGCTTTAGGATCCATTATTCTCATTTGTCCTAATATCAAAACAAAAAACAAAACACAGAGAAAACCTCACTCTTAAAGGGTATACATAAACCTATTCTGCAAGAACTCTGATTGGGTTTCCTTGAGTAATATAACAGGTGTATGTCTAGGGGAAAAAGTCTCTAACTGGCTCAAGTGGCCTAGATGCACACCTTTGTAGGAGGGAGTCAGGGTCTTTGTCTGACAGACTCATAAGAATGGCAATGAATGGGGAAGGGGCAGTCCCTTCATGGAAGTGAGCAGAGGCAGACACAAATGTTTATCAACAGCACAACATTCCCAATATGAAGAGAGAAAACCAAATAAATATTAAAAGTGACATCTGAGAAGGTAGGTAAAGTGTGGTAAGGGAATAGAAAAGTTTTAAGAGAGAATACTGACTCCTTTAATACTTTTATTTTTTTTTTCTTGCGACGGAGTTTTGCTCTGTCTCCCAGGCTGGAGTGCAGTAGTGTGATCTCGGCTCACTGCAACCTCCGCCTCCTAGGTTCAAGTGATTCTCCTGCCTAAGCCTCCCTAGTAGCTGGGACTCCAGGCATATGCCACCATGCCTGGCTAATGTTTTTGTATTTTTAGTAGAGATGGGGTTTCACTATGTTGGTCAGCCTGGTCTCAAACTCCCGACCTCGTGATCTGCCTGCCTCAGCCTCCAAAGTACTGGGATTACAGGCATGAGCCACCATGCCTGGCCCCTTTCTTATTTTTAAGAAGCTTTTCTTTTCATAACGTGTCATAAAAATTTATACAAAAAGATAAATATTTTATAGATAAATGGGCATATTATTCATAATATACAATTCACAAAGGATAAATGACAAATATTAACAAAGTGGAAAGATGCAAACTTATTAGAAACAAATTGAAAATTAAAACAAGATAATGACTACCATCTGACAGAGCAGGAGCATTGCCATCCTGGACAAGCCACTCATTCTAAAGTTCACCTTAATAAAAACCACCTAAATCCAAAGGGCATCAGCCTAATGGCTAAGGTCAGAATAACCATAAACCACAAATAACTCCTCCAACCAGAAACATTCCAAACTCCTCCCTGACCAGAGACATGGTAGCCTCGAGATAACCCCTCTCTGGGCCGGAAATATGTCTGCCCCAAGATAACCTCCTCTCCTTCCAGAGAGTTTCCCAACCCACCATAAACTTCTCCATACATATAAACATTCCAAGCTTGTGATAAGCCCCCTCATCCTAAAACCAATATATACTCTTAGTGTGTAAGAGAAAGTGTTCCTGACCGAAATCGGCCAGAAGCACCTCTCAGGTTTTATCTAAAGAAAACCTGTCTTTAACTGTCGGCTGTATCTTGTGTTTCTTTCCTCTTTCTTTAACTCTTACACCATTTCCATCCAAGATGGGGTATCAGGGATCGAATGTACCCTCCTGTCTCAATAGACTAGAAAACAGAACAAAATATGTAATCCTTTGGAGAAAGGAAACAAATGAAGTGAGCTTTATGATGCCCCAGCTTAGCACCTGGAAAGTTTTCAGGCTGCTGCACAGGAAGCAGGGACCCAAACACTTTCCAGATGTCTTGACAAGGTAAGGAGACAAAATCTAATATAAATGTCAAAAAAAAAAAAAACCAAAAAAACAAATTGGAGATAGGGACTCTCTCTGTTGCCCAGGTTAGAGTACAAAGGCGCAATCACAGCTCCCCATAACTTCAAAGTCCTGGGCTCAAGCGATTCTCCTGCCTCAGCCTCCAGGGTTGCCAGGACTACAGGTACATGCCACCATACCTAGCTGATTGGTTAAAATGTTTATAGAGATGGGGTCTCACTATGTTGCCTAGGTTTATCTCAAACACCAAGCCTCAACTGGTCCTCCTCCCTCTTGCATTAAACTCTTTTTTTTTTTGGCAACAAGATATTGCTTTGTCACCTAGATTGAAGTGCAGTGGCGTGATTACAGCTCACTACAGCCTTGCTTTCCAAAGCTCAAGTGATTCCCCCCACCTCAGCCCCCCAAGTGGCTGGGACTATACTTGTGTGCCACCACACCCCGCTAATTTTTGTATTTTTTGTAGAGATAGGGTTTTACTATTTTCCTAGGCTGATCTCAAACTCCTGGGCTCAAGCAATTCACCCACCTTGGCCTACCACAGTGTTGGGATTATAGGTGCAAGCCACCACTCCTGGCCCAGGATGAATAATTTTTAAAAAGAAATTCATCATAGTACTAGAAGGAGATTCTTCATTCTGACTTAAAAAAACATACTACAGTTAACATCCCATTCAATGGTGAGAGACTGAAAGTTTCCCCATGAGATTAGGCACAAAGCAAGATGTATACTCTTAAATTCCTATTCAACATGGTACTGGAAGTCTTGGCTAGTGCAATAAGGAAGAAAGCAAAAAAAGAAGAAGAAAGAAAAGGAATGAAGATTATATAGGAAGAAATAAAATTTATCCCATTGAGAGATAACATGATGGTTTATATAGAAAATTCCAAAGAATCTACCAAAAAAAAAAATCTTCTAAAAGTAATAAGTGAGCTTATCAGAGCTGCACGATACAAAGACAATATACACAAAAGGTTGTATTTCTCTATATAAGCAATAAACAAATGGAAATCAAAATTTTAAAAACCTCAAATACAATTTGCAACCATTCCTCCAAAAATGAAATACTTAGGTATAGATCTAACAAAACAAGTACAGGACTAGAATTTGTAAGCTACAAAGTGTAGAACTCTGATGACAGAATTAAAGAACTAAATAAGCGAAGAGATATATCATGTTCATGACTGGAAGACTCAATCTATTAAAAACATCAGTTTTTTCCAAGGTGATATCTAGATTTAACATAATAACAATCAAAATACCAACTAGAATTTTTGGATTTTTCTAGAATAATTTGGATGATTCTAAAATGTGTGCAGGAGGGCTAAGGAACTAGAATAGCTAAAACAATTTTGAAACAGAAGATCAAAGTTAGATAAATCATTCTATTGAATTTTAAGATTTGGCGCAGTGGCTCACGCCTATAATCCCAGCACCTTGGGAGGCCGAGATGGGTGGATCACGAGGTCAGGAGATCGAGACCATCCTGACTAATATGATGAAACCCCATCTCTACTAAAAGTACAAAAAATTAGCCGGGCGTGGTGGCGGGCGCCTGTAGCCCCAGCTACTTGGGAGGCTGAGACAGGAGAATGGTGTGAACCCGGGAGGCAGAGCTTGCAGTGAGCCGAGATCATGCCATTGCACTCCAGCCTGGGCAACAGTGCAAGACTCCATCTCAAAAACAAACAAACAAACAAAAAAAGATTTATTATCAAGCTACAATAGTCAAGGTAGTATGGAATTTGTGTCAATGTAGACACACATAGACCAATAGGATATAATAGAAAGTCCAGTTATAGACCCAAGCAAATATGGATATTTGATCTTTTAAAAAGTTTTGAAAGCAACTTAGTGGAAAAAGATAATATTTTCAACAAATGGTATCAGAACAATAGGTCCTTCATATCAAAACAAAACAAAACAAAAGAAACAAAACAATTTAAACCTAACACTTTATACAAAAGTTCACACAAAAATGAGTCAGAGATTTAAATGTAAAGAGTAAAACTATAAAGTTTTAAGAATAATTCTTATTCATTGCTATTGGAAGTGCAAAATAGTACAAGCACCTTGAAAGATGGTTTAGCAGTTTCTTACAGAGTTAAAAATACACTGTATACACTTAACATAAGACCCAGTAATCCCACTTGTGGGTATTTACCCAAGTGAATTGAAAACTAGCATATACAAAACAAACAGAGCAAACAACAAGCAAAAACGATATGCGTGGGCCAGGGGTGGTGTCACACACCTGTAGTCCCAGCTACTCTGGAGGCTAAGACAGGCGGGTAGCTTGAGGCCAGGAGTTCAATGCTGTAGTGCGCCATGATTGTGCCTGTGAATAGCTGCTGCATTTTAGCCTGGACAAGACTTCATCTCTAAAAATAAAATTTATAAAATATTTACATGAATGTTTAGAAACTTTATTCATAATCACCCAAATGGGAAACAACCAAGATATCCTCCAATAGGTAAATAAATAAAAAAACTGTGGTACTTTCATACTTGGACTACAACTCAACAGTGAAAATGAAAGAGCTATTGATTCACACAACAACATAGATAAATTTTAAGTGCATTTTGCTAATTGAGAAAAGCCAGACCAAAAGGCTACACATTGTATCATCTCATTTATAAGATGTTCTGGAAAAGCTAAAACTGCTGTATAAGAATGAAACACAGCAGTGGTTAGCAGGTTTGGGAGAAGGAAGAGTAATGAACTACAAATAAGTTGAGCTGGGGAATTTTTAGGGTTATGAAACTTCTCTGAATAGTATTGGGGTGATGGACATAAAACTATGCATTTGTTAAAACCCATAGTACTGTACATCACAAAATGTGAACTTCAATATATGTATTAAAAATATAACCATAATGTCTGGGAATCCAGAATAGAATATAGACAATGAAAGAAAAACCTGACTGTCTAACAAATACACAATATAACCTCATCAAAGATGTGGGAAAAAAGGATTTGCCCTAAGTAACATTGGAAAACAAGGTTCTAACTACATACTGTAGAGCTAAAGACCAAATAACCAAATGATACTCTTGTTGGTAAACTTGTTTTTCACAGGGTATTTGTGAGTATTTCACAGGTGTTGTTAGAATTTATTTATAGGGTTCAGTAAATAAGTAGATAAATTGCAGAAAATAAGATGCAGTTTTCTCACTGTCAAGGAAAGTTGTTACTAATCAGCATGGGGGGCACCTAGAAAGTACCCTGTGGTGCTGAATTAAAGTTTGAGACATTGGTAGGAACTTCTGTTTATTTTAATATATATGCAGATAGATATCTACAGGAATAATTATAGATGTGTGTATATAATTATAGATGTGTGTATCAAGATGTGTGTGTACACAAAGTATACATGCATGTATTTATTTTCCTGTCTGTTAAGAGGGTCTAAAAGTAGTGACACTCAGTGGCAATGATCACTCTCAGCATCCAGGTCTTGGTTTCTAAATAACACCCTCTGATACAAATCATGCTCATTTGAGAAGTGTCTGATTCTGGGACTGAGTAAATAAAAAAATTACAATATGAGCTGGAGCATTGTGTCATGCCAGAAAGTAAGAAAGTGCAAAAAAAAAAAAAAAAAAAAAAAAAAAGAAAGAAAGAAAAATGAGAGCATGTGGATAGGACACGGAAGTCAACTGAAAGACAGTTCTTTGATCAAGGTTAGAACAATTTAAGCAATAACATTAAAAAATGTAGTATTAGATGTTTCTCAACTTATATTTTAGATTCAGGAGGTACATGTGCAGGTTTGTTACCTGGGTATATTGCATGACACCAAGGCTAGGGGTATGAAGGATCTTGTCACCCAGGTACTGAGCATAGTACCCAATAGTTTTTCAACCTTTGTACCCCTCCCTCCCTCCCTCCCCTCTCTAGTAATCGCAGTGTCTATTATTGCCATCTTTATGTCCATGAGCACTCAATGATTTGCTTATAAGTGAGAAAATGCGGTATTTGGTTTACTGTTGCTGTGTTAATTCACTTAGAATAATGACCTCCAGTTGCATTCAGGTTGCTGCAAAGGACATGATTTTGTTCTTTTTTAGGGCTCATAGTTTCCCATGGTACATATGTGCCACACTTTCTTCATCCAATCCATCATTGGCGGGCACCTAAGTTACTTCCATATTTTTGTTATTGTGAATACTGCTGTGATGAACATGAAAATGAAGGTGTCTCTTTGGTAGAACTATTTATATTCCTTTGGGTAGATACCCAGTCATGGGATTGCTGGGTAAAATAGTAGTTCTGTTTTACCTTCTTTGAGAAATCTCCAAACTGCTTTCCATAGTGGCCAAACTAATTTACATCCCCGCCAACAGTGTATAAGCATTCCCCTTTCTCTGCAGTCTCTCCCACATCTGTTGTTTTTCCTGTTTTCTTTTTTTTTTCCTTCTAACTTATATTTTATGTTTGTAGGGGGAGTTGACGTGCAGGTTTGTTACATGGATAAGTTGCATGTCATTGGGGTTTGGTGTACCAATGATTTCATCACCCAGACGGTAACTATAGTTCCCAATAAGAAGTTTTTTGATATTCGTCCACCTTCCACTGTCTACCTTCAAGTAGGTCCCAGTGTCTGCTGTTCCCTTCTTTGTGACCATATGTATTCATTGTTAAACTCCCGCTTATAAGTGAGAACATGTAATATTTGGTTTTTCTGTTCCTGCGTTAATTCACCTAGAATGATGGCCCCCAACTGTATCCATGTGGCTGCGAAGGACATAATTTCATTCCTTTTTATGGCTGTATAGTATTCCATGGTGTATATATACCACATTTTAAATTATCTGGTGCACCATTGAGGAGAATCTAGGTTGATTCAATGTCTTTCTTATTGTAAAAAGTGCTGCAATGACCATAAGCATGCATGTTTCTTTATAGTAGAATGATTTACGTTCCTTTAGGTACCCAGAGATAGGATTGCTGGATAAATGGTAGTTCTTTTTTAAGTTCTTTGAGAAATTGCTGAACTGCTTTCCACAGTGGCTGAACTAACTTACATACCCACAAGCAGTGTATAAACATTCCCTTTTTTCTGCAAAATCACCAACATCTGTTATTTTTTGACTTTTTAATAACAGTCATTCCAACTAGTGTGAAGCAGTATCTCATTGTAGTTTTGATTTGCATTTCTCTGATGATTAGTGATGTTGAGAATTTCTTCATATGCTTATTGACAAAGATGTCAAAAGCAATTTCAACAAAAACAAAAATTGTCAAGTGGGACCTAATTAAGCTAAAGAGCTCCTGCATAACAAAAGAAACTATCAATGGAATAAACATACAGCCCACAGAATGGGAGAAAAATTGGAAACTATGTATCTGACAAAGGTCTAATGTCCAGAATCTGTAAGGAACTAAATCATCAAGCAAAAACAAAAACCACATTAAAAAATGGTCAAAGGACATGGACAGACATATCTCAAAAGAAGACATACATGCGGTATCAGATTTTTAACCAAAATAATAAGTAAATATCTGTGAATTTCCTTCCAGATATAAGCAAATGATTGAACAAATAAATAAATGGGAGAATGGGACAGATCTTTTTTTACAAAAATAAAAGACTTTTAAATAATATTTGTAAATAACCTCTCCCTTCCATAGGTGGAGCTTATTTTCCCTCCCCTTGAGAGTGAGCTGGTCTTAGTGACCTACTTCCAAACAATGTAATAGGAAAAGGGAAAGTCAGTAACTTTGCAATGAAGAAAACAGACAGATATCAACTTCACAAAGTGATCAAAGTTAACATCACCAGTGAAAAGTCATGTATTCCCTGATAGGCTATGATGAGAAGGGCATCTCATTTTTATGGTGCTCTTCCCAGAAAGCTATAATCTCAGTCTAATAATGAGAAAACATCAGACAAACCCACACTGAAGAACACTCTACAAAATATCTGACCTTACCAGTACTCTTCAAAAGTAGTAAGTCTACAAAAAACTCCCCCCAAAGCCCCCAAAAAACAAAGAACAACAAAAAAGGAAAAGCTGAGAAACGGTCACATATCAAAGGAGACTAGAAAGATCTGACAACTATGATATGTGAACGGTACTCTTAGTACTCAGATAAAGTTTGACAAAATCTTCATAAATAGGAAGAACTCCCTATTAATTATCTTCTAGAACCTTAGGGATGAAATAACATTAAGCTTCCCATGATTTCTATGGGAATCATCAGCTATGCTATATAAGGAACAGGACAATAAATAAAGGTCTATAGAGGTATTCGAGGTCTTAATAAAAAAATATCTTAGTGAGACAAAAGATAACAGAGGAAGCAAAACATAGGTACAACTTTTCCCTGTAGAAGCAAAGGAAGTTATAATACAAATATTTTATCAACAATAGGAAGTAACCTTGGTATAGCTAATAGATATAATTGATCTGGAATAATTGGAGAATGGGAGTTCTGTCAATTTAGCATTTTATTAACTGAGTTATTCATGTTTACCAATTATGGACAGCCAGTTTTTTAAAGGGCTAGGAAATGTCAATGCTCTTCAGCTAAAGACCACTGAGACCCCTGCAGATATCTTACAAGGAAGAATGCTCACTATGAGAAAACTGTAAGTTTTCTTACTAAGAATGTGTAAGAAAGAAGCTATTACAGAATTTGGGCTTTGGCTGTGTAACTTGGGGAAGGGTATAGGGAAGTAGGGGCTTTCTCTAGATTGGGGCTACAAGAAGGCAAAGCAATTTTATGATTGAATGTCTGAATGAATCTTATCTATAGGGAGGGTAGATTAAAATGGGGATAATGCTGCAGTCGGTATTCAGAAGTAGCAGTTACTCAGCTAAGAAAGAGGGATGTTTGATATTTCATGAGCTGCATGATGATTTTGTTTTGACTTATTTTATCAAGGTGTCCAAGCAACCTTATTGAGATACTGTGCGTTTATGTCCAACAGGAAAACAGCCTGGCCTGACTGTGAATGTCAGACCAGTTTCCAGCAATGAGGGGCTCCTTTTTGCTTTCTCAGAAACAAGAAAAATACCTCTTTTTGACATGTAATCTTTGGTTGCACGTGTCTGTTATGGAACTTAAAACTGCTGTCACTTACGTTACTTTGCTGTGTGTTGCCTAAACAATGATCACTTTAGTGGACACCATTAACCACTTGCTCTTCTTGAGACACTCTCCTCTTGGCTTTATTGACATGGTGCTTCTCTGAGTTTCCTCTGCATCTCTGGTCCTGATTCTTAGCCTTCTTTCTCCCTGATTCTTCTCCCACTCTGAATGTGTGGATTCCCTGGGGCTTACTCCTAAGCCCTTCCATTTTCTGTTTCCACTCTCTCCATTACTGATTCCACCCATTCATATAGCTTTATGTGCTGTCTCTATAGGGAAGTTCCAAATTTATATGTTTACCTTGGATTTCTCCTTTGACTTCTAGACTCATTTATCCAACTGTCTACTTGATATCTTCACTTGAAATTTCACAAGAATCGCAAATGTAAAGTCTCTGATATAGTTTAGATATTTGTCCCTGCCCAAATCTCATATTGAAATGTAATCCTCAGTGTGGAAAGTGGGGTCTGGTAGGAGGCAACTGGATCATGGTTGTGGATTTCTCATGAATGGCATTCTCTTGGTGCTGGCCTCATAATAGTGGGTGAATTCTAGCAAAATCTGGTTGTTTAAAAGTGTGTGGCACCTCTCCTCCTCTCCCCCTCCCCCTGCTTTCTCTGCTTTTGACATGTGATGTGCCTGCTCCCTCTTCATTTTCCATCATGACTGTACATTTCCTGAGGCCTCCCCAGAAGCTGAGCAGATGCCAGCACCATGCTTCCTATAAAGCCTGTAGAACTATTAGCCAATTAAATTTCTTTTCTTTTCTTTCTTTCTTTCTTTCGTTCTTCTTTCCTTTTTTTTTTTTTTAACAGGGTCTTATTTTGTCACCCAGGCTGGAATGCAGTGGTGCCATCATAACTCACTGCAGCCTAGACCTACCTTGCTCAGGTGATTCTCCCATCTCAGCCTCCTGAGTAGCTGAGACTACAGGCTTGAGTCACCATGCCTGGCATTTTTTTTTTTTTCCATTTTTTGTAGAGGTGGGGTTTGGCCATTTGCCCAGGCTGGTCCTCAAGCTCTTGGGCTCAAGCAATCTACCAGCCTTGACCTCCTAAAGTGCTGGGACTACAAGCATGAGCCACTGAGCCCAGACAAATCTCTTTTCTTTATAAATTACCCAGTCTCAGGTATTTCTTTGTAGCAATGCAAGAATGACCTAACAGAGTGTGTAAAGAGGATTTTATTGATTTTATGCCTGAAAGTCATTCCTCCTCTGGTCTTTGGTGTCTCAATAAATAGCCCCACAATCTATCCAGATTCTCAAAGTTGCAACCCGGGGGTCAAATGTAATTTGTATGTGCCCTCATATTTGATCTATCAGCAAATCTTGCTGCTCCTACCCCAAAATTTATCTCACATCTCTCTACTTCTTGTCTCCTCCATGGTCCAGTTCTAGTCCAAGCCACAGTTATCTCTTCCCTTCATGAGAACAGCTTTGTTATTGAACTCTTGGCTCCAACCTTGAGTCTTTTTCCTCTATTCTCATGAAAGCCAAACTCTTCTTTTGAAAGCACAAATATGATTAAATAACTTTTCTATCACCTTAACATTCTTCAATAACTTCCCATTGCACTTTAAAATAAAATCTAAACTCTTCCCCATGTGCCCCACTTGACATACACTAATCCTGCCTATCAGGCTTTTCTCATCTGAGACACCTTCTCTCCCTCGCTCATTATGCTCCAGTCGCAGGATTTTTCAAAAAAATTATTATCCAATTTTTCAAGCTCATTCCTACCTCAGGGCCTTGAGGTTGCCCTCCTTACCATTTAATAGAATTCATAATTTTCTACTTTTTAGATAATGTAATATCTATATTTCCTGCAAGACTGAAAGTTCCAATAAGGCAAGAATGATATGTTTTGTTTCCTACTCTGCAGTTCTGCATTTAGCACATAAGCAGCACTCTGCAAATATCTGTTAAACATATGGACATATTAATGCATTGTCAGTCACTATTCCCTTGGAGTAAACTAGGTTTGTTCTCACTGGCTTCAGAAACACTACATGAGTGAAGCAGAGCAGCTAAAAATGTGGAAATCATCAAAGAATGTAAAAATGGACTCTGTGTCTGCAGGAGGTAGAGGATGAACAGAGGTGATGGGATTCAGCCATGGGAAAGGAGAAAGACTACTGCACTTGGACTCAGAAGACTGAAGGTCTGGACCAGATGCAGGAAGTTGAATAATTCACTTAGGCTCTGTGTTAGACTGAATAAGTCCCTCCAAAGATGCCCACATCCTAATCCCTGGAACCTATCAATATGTTACCTTACATTACAAATGAGGCTTTGCAGAAGTGATTGAATTAAGGATCCTGAGATAATCCTGGATTACCCAAATGGACCCAGTGTAATCACCAGGGCCCTTGTTAGGCAGGAGAGTCATACTTAAGATGAAGATGTGAGGACAGAGCAGAGCAATGTGGGGCCACAAGCTAAGGAATGCATGTAGCACCTAGAAGCTGGAAAAGGAAAGGAAATGAATTTTCTCCTTGAGCCTCCAGGAGACACTCAGCCCTGCCAACCCATTTTAGATTTCTGACCTCTACAACTGTAAGACAATAAATTTGTATTGCTTTTAAACCACTAAATTTGTGATAATTTATTACAGCAGCAATAAGAAACTAACATAAGCTCTGAGACTCATCTCTAAAATCTGTCTTATTTACCTATTTGTTTGTTTGCCTTTGTTGCTACTATTGTCTCTGCAAACTAAAATTAAAGTTATGTAATGGAAGAGGCTATATCTCTGTTGTCCACTGTTTTATTTCCAGGATCAAGAACAAAGCCTGACACAGAGTAGGCTTTAAATAAATATTTGTTGAGTCAGTGAGTAGATGAACACAGATTTCTATCCAGTGGGGTAATTGTGCAGACCAAACATGCAAATATAAATTATAGACTATTTCAACAACTGAGCAGAAGTCATTCCTCCTATTCTCCCTGTGATTTCCTCTTCTTTTTAAACACATTCATTCCATCTGTTGCCTTCCCATGGGGTCTCCTTTACTCCTCTCCCAAGTTCTTCCTCCATCATTTGATGTCCTTTTACCTAATTCTTCCCTTAGGCTCTCTACCCTTAATTATATTATGTAATATCTAACTGTCTTGCTTGGGGATCCAGATGTGACTGGATTACATAAATACAGAGATAGCCACTTCTGATTTACATGTATGGCATACATGCATCCCTATGACTTTGATTAAATTTCATGTTTCATTTTAATGGATTTGAATAAATCACTTTAACGAATGTTGTATTCATTTACCTTAATTTGATTAGACCATTGCATATGAGAGAAATCTGTTCTGAAATTGCTCATGTTAATCACAAAATTGCATCCTAATGTAGTGACTAAAAGCACGTTTTCTTTTCAAAAGACAATTATGTCACATGCCATTTTAATCAAATTAGGCAGAGCAATTCCTCTGTAGCAAGATAGTGCTGAAAAGCAAGTTTGTGACCCAGCTTTCCTTCTTTTGCAGCCTGCTGGATGACTCACACTGTCATATGCTCTGGTTTACCAGGCACTGTCTATGAGTCTTTCTGGGTTATAGATTCCAATCAATATCATGCAAAAAAAAATTATGTGTGTGTAAAAGAGGGGGAGAGAGGGTAAGTGAGGAAACATACTGAGAATCTGACAGCAATACAGAGGGCTCTAACTTTTAAACCTGTGGTTTGTGATTTCAAATATTCAACATGTGTTAAGTGAAGTCATGCAATCTTCCTGAGGAAAATTGTTGACTGAGAGAGGTGGATGGTGTACCTCTGCAATGCTTGTCATCATGGTTTTCTTGAAATGCAGATGTAGGGGAGATGTTGGTGAGGGAGGTCGGGAGGACAGAAGGTTGATTGTGGTAAAGTCTTCATTAGGCAAGGACTCCAGAAGCCTCCTCCATGTCAAAATATCTCCTACTCACATTCAAACAGACATTCACTTGGGTGAACAGGCTCCTACTCCAATTTTTTGCTATCTAAATTTGTGAATATTTTCCTTTCTTGAAGATAGCAGCCTCACTGATGTGTTTGTACAAACAGGCTTACTTAGCCTTCTCACATATATGTATGTATATGTGTGCATATATATACAGTATACATGAACAGTATATTATATATGTGCATAGATATACACATATATAACTATATGAATACACACACATACACACATATACCAAAGAGGTCCTATTCTCTATTGAACAGAGAAAAATTACAAAAGTCAGGAGGGGTGTTCTTAGATAAATGCTTCTTGAGTGATTAATTCTAATATTCATTTGTAACTTTATTAACTTCAATTATATAATAAAAGCATCATTTATGTAAATCAATACACAAGGAATTATTTCAAAGTTTTCTGTATTTATCATTGACTTTGCATGCATGTGTTTCCTTGTTCAGCAAACCTTCATTGAGCCTCTATTGTATGCCAAGCTCTATGCTGATTTCTGAAATTGTAGATATGAAAAAGAAATCTTCTTGCCCTTATAGACTTCATAGAACAATGGAAGAAGGAATATAAAACAGGCATATTGCACAATATTGTGGTAAGAGTTGTAACTGAAAAAAGGGACATAAAATAGTAAAAGCCTGAAAATTATCTAAACTTTCACTATTTCATTTTACTCATCTGATCTAGAAAAACATATAATAAGACATTGAAGTAACTTTTAATTCTTATATTCTGACACTTTAAATTATAATTGTCAAAGAATAATTTTTCCAGACATTTTAGTCAGCAGTATCAGACTTCCTAGAGATTTATTCACAAAATTTCTAGGTAGATCAATGATCTGTAGTTAATCTACAGAGTAACAGGATTAGATTGAACAGCACTTCCAGGTCTTTCCCACATAGTTTTGTCCTGGAGACTAGCCATGAAATCAAGGAATTTCAGAGTGTATATGTGGCGAGGGAGGCAGTGGGTAGTAGGGAGTCTGTGGATACTATTATCGTCCCCATTTTACAGATGCATGCCAACAATAAAGTCAAGAGAAGTTTAATAACTTTTCAAGAATACACAACTAATGTATGGTTAGGCTGAGAAGTGAGTGTAAGCAATTCAGATCCAGACACTGCTGCGGTAGATATCTCTCACACTCTTTGAAGTAGAGGAGACTAGAATTAAAAAGCTCAGTAGTTGTATCTTGCTGCAAATTTAACGTGAGTTAACAAGTGGCCAACAAAACAGTTTAAATAATAGCTTTGCTAGTAAGAATATATCTATTTATATTAATAATTACTGCAAACCAATTACTCCAAAACTTAATAAACACACTATCAACACACATTTATTATTTCTCAGTTTTGTGGTTCAGGATTCTGGGTGCAGCTTTCTGGATCCTCTGGCTCAGGGTATCTGACAGGCTGTGATCAAAGTGTCAGCTAGGGCAACAGAAGGCTCAAAGCTTGACTGGGGTGGGTTCACCTCTCAGCTCACTTGCATGTTCACTGGCAGGATTCTGTTCCTCTAGTGCTCTTGGACTAAGGACCTTAGTCCTGATTAACTGTTAACCTGAGACGTCAGTTCTTTGCCACATGGTGCTTTTTATAGAGCTACTCATAACAGACAGCTGGTATCCCTCAGAGCAAGGGCTCTGAAAGAGGGCAAAAAATAATGAGAGAGATTGAGCAAGACAGAAGCCAGAGTGTTTTATTTTAATGTAATCTATCCTCAGAAGTGATATCTAATCATATTTACCATATTCTATTTGTTATGAGAGTCACTAGGCCCAAGCAACACACAAGGGGAGGTGATTGCACAACGTCATGAATACCCACAGGAACAGATCATGGGGGCTCATTTTAGAGGCACCTACCACACTGTTACCAATACCAGGAGAAATTTACCTAACGTCATGACTTCGGGACAGCTGAAGTAATCAATATGCCAAATATATAAAATATATTTATATAAGATATACAGAAATAAAGATAGTTGTAGATCTACATATACACAGTCAGATACATATACATAGAAATATAAGAAGCTACAAAAAATAAATTAGTTATCTAGATCGAGGATCTTCACCATTTCAATTTCCACACAAACACTGTCATGTCAAGAAAGTTTTATATTTTTCTAGCAAAAACTCATTCAGATAGAGAAACGCTTTCATAAATGTTTCACAAGCCCTCGTCTCAATTCAATCCTTTTCTCATGGTCATGAAAGCCTGTAAGCAAATGGATATGAAAAGTTGTTTATTTTGTCCCATGGACAGTTTCCTGCTATTCTAAAAAAGCTTTGACCAGTTCTCCTTTATACCCCATCACATTAATCAAAAATCCTAGATTACCTATATCTTCTCTGTGCTGGTGACCTGCTCCCTGCTTGGAGTCAGTGCCAAATTTTACTTTTCTGCCTCAACATCGTGAAAATGACTTCAGTCTGGTAACCTACACTTGACTTCACTCCTTGGAGTACTGTTTAACATTTTGAACCTGAATAACAACCTCCACCCATTGGAAGGTTGTTCTTATATTTTTTAGTTTTAAATCGGGGGTAAGGGTTCAAGTTCTTGTCATTGATATTCAGAAAGTATCTATGTGGACAAAATTACCACACATTTCATCATGATAGCTGATGAAGCCTGCTTTTGCTATACTATATAAATCTAAGTCACGCTATAGCCCTCCTATTAGCTTTTAAAAATATGTGTGTAGTTGAATTTATCTTCATGTACAGAGAGCCCTTCATTGATTTAGAAATTAAGCTATGTAATTACCTAATGGGTAATTTTTGGTACTAACATATTTCTGCAGAGATCCTCTATCATTTGTTGACATGAGAAGCTAAATTTTTCCTCCTGAGTTATATTTGCCTCAGATGTTTGAAATAAAATCAACTGAGTCCTGATTATAAACATATAATCATAGGATCATACAGAGGGTCACAGGATTATGGCATTTTAGACACACTTTTTAATTAGGCTAGGTTTCCTAAAGAGAAAAACACAAAAGTTTAAATAATCAATTTATTTATTCAAGCAATATTTATTGAGTGCCTGCTATGTTTCATGTACTATGTTAAGCACTGAGAATACAGTGTGAAAAGACAGAAAAGACTGATCTTTTGGAATTTAATGATAAAAAATCTCACAGAAATTGTATTTTTAAAATCAATTATCTCTTAGGAATTTGGTGGCTATTTCAAAATATTCCAAAAATAAGGAATCCAATTGTAACCAGAGAGCATGTGGCTTGTTGCCCATGCCTCCACTCAGTAGAAGAACTAAGATTCATTTATCATTTTAGTGCCAATAGTTGACCATATGGGTGGGTTTTGGAGAGACCATAATAAACCCACATCAGGTTCCCTTCCCCATGAGGTTTATAAAAACTTTTTGTTGCTCTCCTGTTGATAGCATAGGCATAATACATATTTGACAACATTCATTGTCCAAACAGAAAAATATGCTATAATAAATTAATATGTATTTTTAAATTTATTCAATCAATTATATATATACATATATTATATATATACATATATATAGAGAGAGAGAGCTAGATGGAATTAATATTGTTTTGATCAGGTAGGAATTGAAAAAACTATTCTAAAAACGTCATAAGGCACTCTGGCTAAGGTATCTATAGAATTATAGCCAGAATTTATTAAGGTGAACGATATATAAATGAGATCTTTGTACACTCTTACTGATGTCAGAAAAAATGTGCATGTGAGATAGATATTGTTAGCCCCATTTTGTAAGCCATTTGTTAAACACAGTCATTACTAAAAATTAAGTTGCACAAACTTAAAATTAAAAACAATCAATACTCAATAGAACTTACTACATTTTAATCAGTTCACTAAATTTTGCCATTACCTGTGATCTTGAGGTTATCTATGTTTATTGTGTCTTTATGGTAAAAATACAATATAGTGGTGTGCTACGCAGCATACCTCTTCCCACTTCTGTGTTTAATGATGTCAAACATGGTAGGAACATTTATACCACCAAAATAAGCTAATGATAGAAATCAAAGCCTTTTATTTTTCTGAGCTAGTTCTTAAATATATGCCAGCACACCACTGGATACTCTCTTAGAGAAAGCATTCCTTGCTCTGAGCCAGCAGTTGATTTAAGGTGCTATTGTTTTTTCTATAGACTGAATATAAGGCATCCAGAAACCTTAGAAGTGAGATGACAACCCTTATTATTATACCTAATGACCTGCTCAAAGTTTTCACGTCACTTCCCTACAACTGTGTCTTTACTTGATTAGATATTTTAGTATTCAAGGAGAAATGCTTTCATCAGGGGAAACATAGAAATGAAAGTTGGTACTGACACTAAGTCACTTTGAGATTTTTAATACCACTGGAAAAATGATCATAAAAACAAGAAATGAAAATTGGTTAGAGATGATGATCTTGATTATCAAGGGGATATCATTTTGTTGCTTGAGCATCAGGGAGAGATCATAGGACATAAACTCAAAACATTTTTTGAGTTGCCTCTTGGTACTGCTATGCCCAGTGGTAAAGTTAATGGAGACTACAATAACCCCATACAGGTGAAACTATCAAGGTGCACACTTTTCAATAAAGAAGGCTGGGTCACACCACCAGACAGAGAACCTGAACCAGATGAGTTTCTGGCTGAGGGCAAAGGAAACATGAATGAATGAAGGGTGGGGAAAAAGTTGTAAATACCATGTAGAACATCATTACCAGTTGCAGAAAAGAGGACTTTAGTAGTTAATAATGTTTTTTTTTACTCTGTTATTCACATGTTGATATAATTTACCAGTTGTTTTTCTTCTCCTCTCCCACTTCCATTTGATAAAGTGATAAAATATATTAGTTCATATATTACAGGAATCAATAAATAATTCCAATCAGCCTAGAAGTAGAATGAATATCACAAATGAGATTTTGGGTCTTCCCTTTTGGGGAAAAGATGAGAGCATATTTATTTGTAAGAGAAATGTTTGCTTTATATTAAGTGAGAGCATGTTGTAATTTCTATATAATTGTTTAGAAACTCAAACATGGGAAGAAGAGTGTTGAGTAACCAAAGATGTGGACGTAGCGGATACTGTGAATTGTTTCACTCAACACTTGCTTTAATACCTTTCTAGCTTGTCTCCTGAACTAAAAATAACAGAAACAGAGGAAGAAGAGGAGGAGGAGAAAGAGAAGGAGGAGGAGAGAGGAAGGAGGAGGCCTGATTCCTTGAAGGTAGGTTTCTAGTATGGCTTTGATTTTGCCAAGCAGATACAGCTTTGTTAAGACTTAGAAGGAGGAAATGACCAACATGAGAAAGTGGCTGCCACAGTGCTGTTGGATCTTCTTGCAAGCATGTTAGTGGCAGGATCTGTTCCTTTAAGGTAGCAGTAGAGAAGATTTCAATGTCCAGCCTTTATGTCATAGACTTTGAAGTGTATGAGATGGTAGCAATAGGGCTACCAGAATAGTTCTGTATTGTAGTTGGGCATTTCTCCTTGTTATTCTTTTTCCTGGCCATATAACTATATACTTTCCTGGACATCAAGGAAATTCTATAAGCTAACTATATCTTTTAATAAACCCCTTTCTGTTTAAATTAGCTGTAGGGGATTCAATCATCTGCAACTAAGAGTTCTGACTGATACATTATTTGGACATGCCATCTCTAATAGTAATCTCAATTACTGACTCACATATTATTACTGCTATAGAAAAGGCCAAGCACAACAAAATTAAGGGTGTGCCTTCTTAGATTTTGGTCAAAGGAAATTCCACTAACATCTATCATAGTAGCACAGTTAGAAGACAAAGTAGTATAACACTATTTAGCACAGCTCAGATAATCAACTACTTGGGAAAAGAGATCATGCCTTATTTATCCTTTTCATGTAACCACTCAACATCAAATACTGTGTTGTACTGAACCTGAAAGTAGGCTGTTCAGTGGAAGAGGGTATGCCACTCAATGCTCACACCAAAGCCAGTGAATTCATGGAGTTCACATTCTGGCTTTAGAGATTGTTTTCACTATAATTCATAATACATCAAATATTCTCTTTCTGGCTCAAGTGTTTTATCTGTAGATGTTGAATAGCAACACCTGACTGCTACCTCCTAATAGTACCATGAGTAGTAATAATTATCACAAATAGAAATTCCTAGGCATTTACTATGTACTTTTTAAAGTATTTTACATTTATAAATTTATTTAATCTTTATAATCACCTTATAAACTACATATACTTATCCCCATTTTACAGATGATGGAACTAAGGCAAGTCAAGGTCTTATATATAAGATTCTAGAATTCAAATCTAGGCCACCTAGAGCCAGAATCTATACTTTTCACCACTTTCTTGTAAGCAAAATAAAAAAATTATTATATGGTGCACCAGAGATAGAAGGAATAGAGTAATGCAATGAGAGCAACATGGGAAATGCAGATTTTAATGGCTGGAAGCTATGTAAGTGACATTAAATAATTTTGAAAGAATTTATGGTAAAGCACTATTTTTTCTTTTAGGCTCTATGGATAGTTAGGAAATCTAATTTTTTTATTACTGGTATATACATATGTTCTCATCTCTATATTAGAAGCTTGGAGTTGGATCTAGAGGCCCTATTAGGATTAAATGTGAGTATAATTTCTTAAAACATTTACATTTAGATAGGAAGACATATATGTATGTATATGGAACATATATATGTATATAGAATATATACATATATATGGAACAACAGTAAGCTCCTGAGGGATAGCATTCATATATTTTCTTGAAATCATTATATTTCCAGTCCATAATGCTTGGACCTTAATAAACAACAATGTTTGTTAACAGAATATACACCAGTCACCATGTTATTATATGTTATAGGAATTTATAGTTGTAATAATTTAATAACACCTGGAATAGCCAAGATTTCAGGAAGAAAGTAAAACTTGAGTCTTAAAGGTTGGCTAAGATTTTGATAAAGGGGAAAAGAAGATAGGGTATATCATGTGAGGAAACAAAGTAAGTGAAACTATGGTGGTGGAATGAGTAATATAACCATACAGAGCAGCCGCTGTGGTGTCCTGTGGGCAGCCCTTCATTTGTGAGAAGGCCAGATGGGCAGCAGGATGTATGGCAAACAATATAGAGAGCTATTATGTAGATACATTGATTTTTAAATGTTCTTTGGAGAAAATCAAGCCAATTTGTAGCAGGTACTTTTAAGCCTCATTAACTGTTAATGGTCAATTTTAGACATTTATTTGTAAAAGTGTGAGAATTGCATGAAAAGTTAACTGTTGAGGCACTGTCAAGAAAAGTATTATCTACTGTATTTTTATTTTATGAAGAAAGAAAATTTGTGGAATATGCTAATGAAAAACATAATTGCCCTGTAGTTATTTTCCTCTCAATGCTACAATGTTGCCAGGGAGATAAATTACTTCAAGAATCTTGATGATTAAATAGCAAGATAAAATGACCGTGGTAGCAGCTGATTTTGATACCTGACTATTCAAATATGGATCAGTTGCATCAGTTACATCAAAAACAATTAGTTACTTTCAGAAATAATTATAAAATGTCTTCAAAGGACTTTTCCCTGCAAATAATCTTTTTAATGGGCCATACTATTTTATTACTGTGTTAGTATAACCCACTAACAAATATTTTTGATTAGACTAGAAATCTATGAGTTTTAAATTAAAATTTTGGAGTGATTGGGGATGAATTCAGGGTAGAGATTACGGAGCGATTTAGGTCCCACCCCCACTCCTTCCTGACGTGACCACTGGTCCTGCAGAGGGTGTTTTCCTCAAGTTATCCAGGAGCTACTTGCACTCCCTATTTAATAAATGATGCTGGAAAAACTGCTTAGCCATCTGTAGAAAGCTGAAACTGGATCCCTTCCTTACACCTTATACAAAACTTAATTCAAGATGGATTAAAGACTTACATGTTAGACCTAAAACCATAAAAACCCTAGAAGAAAACCCAGGCAATACCATTCAGGACATAGGCATGGGCAAGGACTTCATGTCTAAAACACCAAAAGCAATGGCAACAAAAGCCAAAATTGACAAATGGGATCTAATTAAACTAAAGAGCTTCTGCACAGCAAAAGAAACCACCATCAGAGTGAACAGGCAACCTACAGAATGGGAGAAAATTTTTGCAACCTACTCATCTGACAAAGGGCTAATATCCAGAATCAACAATGAACTCAAACAAATTTACAAAAAAAAAAAAAAAAAAAAAAAACAACCCCATCAAAAAGTGGGCAAAGGATATGAACAGACACTTCTCAAAAGAAGACATTTATCCAGTCAAAAAACACATGAAAAAATGTTCACCATCACTGGCCATCAGAGAAATGCAAATCAAAACCACAGTGAGATACCATCTTACACCAGTTAGAATGGTGATCATTAAAGTCAGGAAACAACAGGTGCTGGAGAGGATGCGGTGAAATAGAAACACTTTTTACACTGTTGGTGGGACTGTAAACTAGCTCAACCATTGCGGAAGTCAGTGTGGTGATTCCTCAGGGATCTAGAACTAGATATACCATTTGACCCAGCCATCCCATTAATGGGTTTATACCCAAAGGATTATAAATCATGCTGCTATAAAGACACATGCACACGTATGTTTATTGTGGCACTATTCACAATAGCAAAGACTTGGAACCAACCCAAATGTCCAACAATGATAGACTGGATTAAGAAAATGTGGCACATATACACCATGGAATGCTATGCAGCCATAAAAAAGGATGAGTTCATGTCCTTTGTAAGGACATGGATGAAACTGGAAAGCATCATTCTCAGCAAACTATCACAAGGACAGAAAACCAAACACCGCATGTTCTCACTCATAGCTGAGAATTGAACAATGAGAACACATGGACACAAGAAGGGGAACATCACACACTGGGGCCTGTTGTGGAGTAGAGGGAGGGGGAGGGATAGCATTAGGAGATATACTTAATGCTAAATGACGAGTTAATGGGTGCAGCACACCAACATGGCACATGTATACATATGTAACAAACCTGCACGTTGTGCACATGTATCCTAAAACTTGAAGTATAATAATAATAAAAAAAAGAAAAAAAAGAAAATGTACTTCCAAGCTAGAATTCCGTCACTAATCAAATTATCAATTAAATAGTTGTATAAGAGAAAATATTTAGGCATTCAAAATCTGAAAAAAAGTGTAGTTTCCTGTCATTGTACCTTTTCTCAAGAAGCTACTAGAACACATGCTCTATCAAAATCAGATATTAAAACATAAAAAGGAGAAAGATATGGAGTATGCCATGACAGATGAATACCTGATGTGGAGAATGAGAACAGATAGGAATAGTGTGACTTGGAAAACAAACATGTGGAAGGCTGTTATTCTCAGGATTCCAGCGACCAGTCTACCATCTTTTTACCCTGAGGATAGAGTGCCAAAGGGAGCTTGGCCCAGTTTCTTGGCTTGTTTTGATGTGTGTTGATGACGTTTTGGTTTTCTCTCCCATGTTCTACTGCTTGGATTAGCTAAGTATACTTCCCCAAGATGAGTTCTCTTTGACCTATACTAGAGAATGAGATATAGTCCTCGGTGAACTTAGAAGCAGATAATACCTAGATGCCTATGCCTTATGGTGGGCCATATGGTTTCTAGGGTCCATTCATGACTGTGCCCACTGATTTTTCTGGACAATTATTCAGTAACTGTGCTTAGCTTATCTTCTCCTTGGATCCTTCCAAATGTCTGTGTAAAAAATGGTGCAGGTGCTGAGGCTGAAGATGGAAGAAGATTGAGAAGGCTGTGTGGGGTGCCTGAATGCTAGGGCTGGTTCCCGGCTCTGGTTGGCTTCTTGGGAAGGGGTGAGTGAAGGGACTGGGGGACTATCTTTTCTTGAACCTCTGGGTCCCTAGCTGCAGGAGACCCCACACTTGCCATGGACATTTGAGCTGGCAGAGATATCTCCCTGGAGATTAGACAGAGTCATATCTACAACAGACATATAGCCAGGGACCTTTGTGTGCAAGACAGCTTTGATGAATGCTGGCCATAAGCACCTATCCTCCAGAGTGTCCCATGCCCCTCTGAGAGGCCCTGGCCCCAGGTAACCACCAGATTGGGAGAAAGGAGGGCCAACTTCCCAGCAGAACTGGGGCACATCTGTCCTGCAGGCCCACCTGCCTGCTAGCTGCTCCTGCCTGGCCACCCTGCAGGAGCATGTACACAGTGAAACCTCCACTGCCCAGCCTGGGTGCTTTGTTTTATCTGACTGAGTGCTGATAGCCTGGGAAAGCTTTGGGCCCCCTAATGCAACCTAAATCCAACCCCAGGGGTCCAGAGGAGAAAGCCACAAGCAGGCCCTCATGCTGCAGGGCTGTTGCTTGTTGCTCAGGAGTGCTAAGCTAGGATCTATGCCCAGCACTTGAGCAGGGGAGGAGCCCACACTCTCAGAAAACTGACAGGGATGAGTCATACAGGTTTGCAGAGTGGTGTGGGATCTGCATGTGCCTCCCTCCACAGAACTGGCCCCGCCAGACCTCTGCCCAAGGGAAACTTGTGGTCTATAAGACCTAACAACAGCAACAACAACAACAACAAATTGTGGGCCAGTGATCAAATGTGGCTCCCCAAAGACCCAGAAAAGAAACTGGTGAGGGGGTCACTCCTCTCCTCCTTGCCCCAGAGATCATAGCTGCAAATGTGAGGATACACAAAGGAACTGCACTGCTGAGTAAGAGCCTATCTACCATCCATTGCTCTCAAGTGCCATTTATGAGATTGTAGCCCGAACTACAACACTGATTCTCCCCACTGCACAACCAAGGACAAGAATTCAATCACAAAGACCCTGTACAGAGCCTTGGACCTCTGAAACTTCCAGAAATAAAGCCAACTGACTGTCCTTAATTTATACCACAGTTAAAGGGACACCAACCCTCCTAGATGATAAAGAATCAGCACAAGAACTGGCAATTCAAAAGCCAGAGTGTCCCCTTTCCTCCAATGAGCCTACCAGCTCCCCAGCAATGGTTCTTAACCAGTCTAAAATGTCTGAAATGACAGACATGGAATTCAGGATCTGGATAACAAGGAAGCTCATTAAGATCCATAAGAAAGTTGAAACTCAATTCAATGAAGCCAAGAAATGAAGTAAAATCATTCAAGAGCTGAAAGATCAAACAGCCATTTTAAGAAAGACCCAAACTGAAATTTTGAGCTGAAAAATTTACAAGAATCTCAAATATAATCAAAAGTATTAACAGCAGAATAGACCAAGCTGAGGAAAGAATTTTAGAGCTCAAAGACTGGTTCTTCAAATCAACTCAGTAAGACAAAAAGAAACAAAAAAGAATTAAGAAAAAGAAACAAAACCTCTAAGAAATATGAGATTATGTAAGGAGTACAAATCTATGACTCACTGGCATTCTGAGAGAGAAGAAAAGAGAATAGCAATGTAGAAAATATATTTCAGGATATAGTTCATGAGACTCCCGCTAATTTTGCTACAGAGTTTGACATGCAAAACCAATAAGTACAGAGAATCCCAGCTAAATACTGTAAAAGATAACCATTGCCAAGGCACATAATCATCAGATTCACCAATGTCAATGCAAAAGAAAAAATATTAAAGGCAGCTAGAGAGAAGGGGCAGGTTACTTACAGAGGGAACCTTATCAGGTTAGCAACAGACCTCTCACTAGAAACCTTACAAGCCAGAAGATATTGGAGGCCTATTTTCAGCAGCCTTAAAGAAAAGAAATTCCAAACAAGAACCTACAAAATTAAATTTCTCAAGTGATGGAGAAATAAAATTCTTCTCAGACAAGCAAATGCTGAAGGAATATGTTTCACTTAGACCAGCCTTATAAGAGATCCTTAAGTGAATGGTAAATGTGGAATGAATGAACAACTCCTGCTACTGCAAATACTCACTTAAGCACATAGCCCACAGGCACTATAAAGCAATTGTGCAATTAGGTCTACATTACAAACAGCTAACAACACAATGACAGGATCAAAGTCACAAATATCAATACTAACATTTAATGTAAGTGAGCTAACCACCCCACTTAAAAGACAGAGAGGGGCAGGCTGAATTAAAAGATAAGACCTGACTATCTATTGTCTTCAAGAAACCCATCTCACATGTAACGACACCCACTGGCTCAAAGTAAAAGGATAGAAAACAATCTATCATGTAGACAGAAAGCAAACAGCAAGAGTTCCTATGCCTATATCAGATGAAACAGATTTTAAACCAATAAAAATTAAAAGGACAATGAAGAGCATTATGTATTGATAAAGGGTACAACAAAACAAGAAGCCTTAACTATCCTAAGTATATACACACCCAACACCAGAGCACCCAAATTTATGAAACAAGTTCTTCTTGGCCTGCAAAAAGACTTAGACAACCACACAAGAATAGTAGGAGATATCAGCATCCCACTGACAGTATTAGATCACGAAGGCAGAAAATTAACAAACTGTGGACTTAAACTCAACACTTGACCAATGGACCTGATAGACATCTACAGAACACCCTACCAAACAACCACAGAATATACCTTCTTCTCATCTGCTCATGAAACATATTCTAAGATCAAACACATGCTTGGTCATAAAACAAGTCACAAAAATTTTTTAAAAAATGAAAATTATACCAAGCACAGACTCAGACCACAGCATGATAAAAATATAAATCAATATCAAGAAGATCTCTCAAAACTACAGAAATACATGGCAATAAAACAACTTGCTCTGGAACAACTTCTGGGACAGCATTAAAATTAAGGCAGAAATTTAAAAAATTTTTGAAATTAACAAAAATAGGGAAACAACATATTAAAATCTTTGGGATACAGCCAAAGCAGTGTTAAGAGGAAAGTTTGTAGTTCTAAACACCTTCATCAAGAATTTAGAGAGATCTCAAATTCACAATTTGACTTTGCACCTAAAGAAAGCAGAAAAATGTGAACAAACCAACCCCAAAGCTAGGAGAAAAAAACTAACTAAAATTAGAGAAGAGCTTAATGAAATTGAGCTACAAAAATCCATACAAAAGATCACTGAAGTTAGGTTTCTTGAAAAAATAAATAAAATTGATAGACTACTAGCTATATTAACCAAGAAAAAGGAGAGGATCCAAATACGTGCAATCAGAAATGATAAAGGAGATATTACAGTTGACCCCACAGAAATACAAAGATCATCAGAAACTATTATAAACAGCTCTATGCATGCACATTAGAAAATCTAGAGAAAATGGATAAATTCCTGGAAGCACACAATTTCCCAGGAATGAATCAGGAAGAGAATGAACCCCTGAATAGACCAATATCTAGTTCTGAAATTGAATCAGTAATAAAGATACTACCAACCAAAATAAAACCCAGGACCAGGTACATTCACAGCCAAATCCTACCAGATGTGCAAATAACTGATACCAATCATACTGAAACTATTCCAAAATATCAAGGAAGAGGAGCTCCTCTCTAACTCAATCTATGAAGCCAGAATTAGCCTGATACCTGAATCTGGTAATGAAAAAAGAAAACTTTAGGCTGACGTCCCTGATGAACATAGATGCAAAATTCCTCAACAAAATATTAGCAAACCAAATCCAGCAGCACATCAAAAAATTAATACATCATAATCAAGTAGGCTTTATTCCTGGGTTGCAAGGTTGGTTCAACATATACAAATCAATAAATGTGATTTGCCACATAAATATAATTAAAAGCAAAAACAATATGATCATCTCAATAGATGCAGAAAAAGCTTTCAATAATATCCAACATCTCTTCATTATAAAAACCCTTAGGCCAGGTGCAGTGGCTCATGCCTGTAATCCCAGCACTTTGGGAGGCTGAGGAGGGTGGATCACGAGGTCAGGAGTTCGAGACCAGCCTGGCCAACATAGGGAAACCCTGTCTCTACTAAAAATACAAAAATTAGCTGGGCATGGTGGTCCATGCCTGTAGTCCCATCTACTCAGGAGACTGAGGCTGGAGAATCACTTGAACCTGGGAGGTGGAGGTTGCAGTGAGCTGAGACCATGCCATTGCACTCCAGCCTGGGTGACAGAATGAGACTCCATCTCAAACAAAAACAAAAACAAAAACAAAACCCTTAACAGGCTATTCATTAAAGGAACATTCTTCAAAATAATAAGAGCTATCTATGACAAACCCATAGCCAACATTATACTGAATGGGCAAAAGCTCAAACCATTCCCCTTGAGAACTTGAATAAGACAAGGATGCCCACTCTCACCATTCCCATTCAATATAATACTGGAAGTCCTAGCCAGAGGAATCAGGCAAGAGAAATAAATAAAAGACATTCAAATAGGAAAAGGAACTCAAACTATCTCTCTTCACTGATCATAGGGTTATATACCAAGAAAATCCTAAAGACTCTGCCAAAAGGCTCCTAGAACTGGCAAAATGACTTTAGTAGAGTTTTGGGATACAACATTACTATTTAAAAGTCAGTAACATTTCTATAAACCAACAACGTCCAGGTTGAAAATGAAATTGAGAACACAATCCCACTTACAATAGCCACAAAGGAAATGAAATATCTAGTAATACAGCAAGGAATACAGCTAACCAACGATGTAAAAGATCTCTACAAGGAGAACTACAAAACACTGCTGAAAGAAATTAGAGATGACACAAATAAACAAAAAAAATTCCATACTCATGGATTACAAGAATCAATATTGTAAAAGTGGCCGGACTGCCGAAAGTGATTTACAGATTCATTGCTATTCCTATCAAACTACAAATATCATTCTTCACAAAATTAGAAAAAACTATTATAAAATTCATATGGAAACAAAGAAGAGCCCAAATAACCAAAGTAATCCTAAGCAAAAAGAACAAAGCTGGAGGCATCATGCCACCTGGCTTCAAATTATATTATAAAGCTACAGTAACCAAAACAGCATGGTACTGGTACAAAAACAGACACATAGACCAAAAAGAACAGAATAGAAAACTCAGAAATAAAGCCACACATGTTATACCATCTGATCTTTTACCAGGTCAACAAAAACGAGCAATGGGCAGAGTACTCTCTATTAAGTAAATGGTGCTGGGATAACTGGCTAGCCAGATGCAGATTGAAGCTGGACCCCTACCTTTCAACATATAAAAATATTAATTCAAAATGGATCAAATATGTAAACTCAGGACCTCAAACTATAAAAATCCCAGAAGACAACCTAGAAAATATTCTTCTTGTCAAAGAATTTTTGGCTAAGCCCCCAAAAGCAACTACAATTAAAAAAATTATGCAAGTGGGACCTAATTAAGCTACAGAGCTTCTGGAACAGCAAAATAAACTATCTACAGAGCAAACACACCCTATAGAATGGGAGAAGATATTCAAAAATTATACATCTAACAAAGCCCTAATCTCTAGAATCTATAGAGAAAAATCAACTAGCAAAAAACCTCATTAAAAAGTGGGCAAAAGACAAGAACAGGCAATTCTCAAAAGAATACATACAAGTGGCCAGTAAACGTATGAAGAAATGTGCAGTATCCCTAATCATAACAGAAATGTGAATAAAAACTGCAATGGGATACCATCTCACACTAGTCAGAATGGCTATTATTAAAAAGTCAATAAACAATAGATGCTGATGAGGTTGCAGAGAAAAGGGAAAACTTATACACTGTTGGTGGGAATGTAAATGAGTCCAGCCACCGTGGAAAGCAGTCTGAAGATTTCTCGACGAACTTAAAACAGAGCTACCATTCAACGTAACAATCCCATTATTGGGTATATAACCAAAGGAAAATAAATCATTCAACAAAAAGGTACATGCACTTATATGTTCATCATTGCACTATTCACAATAGTGAAGACAGGGAATCAACCCAGGTACCCATCAATGGTAAACTGGATAAAGAAAATGTGGTACATATAAACCAGGAAATACTAGGCAGTCATAAAATTGAATAAAATTATGTCCTTTACAACAACATGATACATCTGGAGGCCATAATCCTACGCAAATTAATGCAGGAACAGAAAATCAAATACCACCTATTCTCACTTATAAGTGGGAGCTAAACATTGAGCATACATGGACATAAATATAAGAACAATAGACACTGCAGATAACCGAGGGGGCATGGGTTGAAAAACCACCTATCTGGTACTATGCTCACTACCTAGGTGACAGGATCCATACCCCAAACCTCAGAATTATGAAATATTCCCATGTAATGAACCTGCACATGTACCCCCTATATCTAAAATAAAAGTAGGGAAAACAAAACAAGGAAATTATTAACTCAAAAGTAAGAATAGTGGTTACTGCTGGAGTAGAAGGAGGAAGAAAGGTGCAAAGAGAGAGGAACACATGTGGGCTTCTAAGAAACTGATAATATTCTATTTCTCAGTTTCGATTAGTGATGAGTATAAGAATTTTATTGTCAATATTTGTTAAATTTAAGACACATATTTCATATGTTTATCAGTTAGGGTTCAAAAGGAGAAGCAAAACCAGTAGGATATATATATATGTGTGTGTGTGTGTGTATATATATATGTCTGTGTATATACAAATACATATTCCAAGAAATTGGCTAATGCAATAGCAGGGGCTAATCAAAGTCTGTTGGGCAAGCAAGGAGAAAGGGAAAATCATGAGCAAACCAGAATCCCAGGGAACAAGAGAGAGCTTCTTGTCCATAGGTTTCAGTCAGGAAGAAAGATGAGAGAGGGCTTTGGAGGGAGAAAAGTTGCAAGTCCAGCTGCCATTTGAAATCTCCGAGTTCAGGGAAGGCCTAGGCCCTGTTTTTAAAAAATCCCAACTGATTAAGTTATGCCTACCCAAGATAATCTCTTTTTTGATTAATTTAAAACCAAATGACTCAGGACTATGATCACATCTACAGAGTCCTTTCACAGCAGAGCCTAGATTAGTGTTTGGTTGACTAATAGACAGTAGGGGTGTTTATGCCTCAAACTGTCAGTGCCTCACTTCAGTCCTCCAACTCTCCTGGGAGATGATCCCTTGTAGCCCACCCCAACAGGAAAGCGACTAGAAATGTAATTCTAGGGATTGTAATTCATCCTAGTCAAGCTGACCCACCAAAATGCTATCACAATAAACTATTCCTCATAGGTGACATATTTCACAATTAAAAAAATTAAAACTAAATTCAGTTATTTCCTTCCAGATAACAAAATAAAATGACTAGGTAAACTCCTGCAAAGAAGTCCTTGGAAATATCCATCAAAGCTGGCTTTTCTTGCTAGCACATTTCTTGCTGGGGTAATTCAAAATAACAGTGGTAGTATAATTTTGGAAAAGTGTTCTTAAGGAGGCTTGAATGGATACCTTAAATTACTTTAATCCTAAAAAGAAACATTAAATATGAAATGAGAAAATCTATTACATTTTAACATGTTTGAAAACAGGATTGTGCATTATGACATAATTATTTTCTTTTTTTTTTCTTCTTGGGACACAGTTTCACTTTGTTGCCCAGGCTTGAGTGCAGTGGCATGATCTTGGCTCACTGCAACCTCTGCCTCCCAGGTTCAAGCGATTCTTGTGTCTCTGCCTCCCAAATAGCTGAGATTACAGGTGTCTGCCACCACGCCTGTCTAAATGTGTTTTGTACTATTAGGAGAGACAAGGTTTCACCATGTTGGCTAGGCTAGTCTCAAACTCCTGACCTCAAGTGATCCACCTGCCTCGGCCTCCCAAAATGCTGGGATTATGGGCCTGAGCCACCGTGCCCAGCCTGACATAATTATTTTACTAAAGTGATTTGAGAAACATAAGCTGTCTTCTACCACAAACTATTGCTACCCTTCAATGCCACTTAAGCTTTTAGAAACCCTCCAAAAAATGTCATCATTGTTAGTGTATTATTATTTTAATTTGGGGGGTTAAGCTTGTTATAGCACCCAACAACAGCATATTCATTAGTTGAATAGAGACAATCCACAAATTAACAGTAACCAACTCATGAGTAAAGGAGTTGTTTTCAAAGAGGTGATAAATGATTATAAGTGAAGCCAAAATTTTCCATATCACTCCAAGAGTGGAAATTTATGGGAAGAGAAACATTAGCTCAGGAAAAGGATAAATTTATTGACAAAGTTACCTGGCAACATAATGCGCATCCTCCATGATTCTCCACCCTTTGAAGTGTTCAAGTCTAGGATGGCAGGCTTGCTGGGGGAATTGTGTCACGATTCAAACCTTGGGCTAGACACTCAATCCAATGGATATACCACATATTGTCACATTTTTTCATTCCTTATTCCTGGGCTAATCACCTACCACTACCATTTAATTTTTCAAATAACCAAATTGTTTTAAGGGAACGACACTTCTGGGAGAGTTCTGCCCAAGAACCTTCTTGACCCAGAATTTTCTGCATCACTCCTTTTCTTTCTGCTTAAACTGATTTTACCTATGCTGGACCCTCCCATTTTCTTCTTTTTTAGTTCTTAATTCATTAAATTCCACTTTCTCAGCCATATAAATCTTAATGCTTTCTTTAGCTTTTTGCCTTCCTCTTCCAACTTATTTTAAAGGAAGATCTTTCTCCCTCTCCTCATGTTGCCTGTGAGTAAAGCAAAAAATTTATTTGTGACTGTTACAACACCAAAATCAAGGACAAGGAAAGCCCTGAGTTTTGAAGTGAAATTGGACACAATAATGAATTCAAGCTAGTCTTTAAAAAATTAAAACAGTCACAAATGTGCAATCATAATACTGAAATTATGGTATTGGAAAAAAGTCTAATACAGATTTATTTCATTCAAAAAGCATTTGCTGAATCCTTACCATGTCTGGTTGCTAGGTGCTAGGGTTAGAAAATGGAACGTCAGTGTTTTTCAAAGGATGGTGTGTGCAGTTCTCAGAGTGAAAATCCCCTAGAGATTTTGAACTTGGATAGGCCAGGAACTGTGTCTTGCTCTGTTTGTATTACTGTTTATCACTAAAAAAAATTTTTGAAGAAAAATGATTCCCCCTTTTCAATTAATCAAAAATGCAGATGATTATTAAGTGCACACATTTGACTATATCATAAAGTTCTTTATGAACAAATCTGTGAATATTATTTTGCATTTTTCAATTCTATTTTATAGAAAAGATAAAATATTTGAAAAGATAACTGAAATGGAAATTAGGCAGCACCACTGTCCTGCTGCTTTGGGGAGTAGCATGAACCAGGCAGACATGGATTCAAATCCAAGCTCCTTACATTTATACACTATGCGGCCTTGCTTTTCCAAATCAGTTTGTTACCCAAAAGGGAGGAAAAATAATAATAATGAAGGTGTTATAAATAATAAGTATATAAGAGAATATACATTACTAACATTCAGGATTTATAGTTTTCCTATCTCTCCTGCTCTCTGAGGATAAAAAGACAAAAATACAAAATGAAGAATCATGGAAGGAAAGCAGTCAGGCTCTATGAAAAAAAAAAAAATCCCAGGATGTTGCACATGGAGGGAGAAATATAACCTGGAAGGGGATGCATTATGAGGAGGGGATGGTCCAGAGTGGTGTGTAAACAAATACCATGCTGGAAAGACACATGTGGATGAGAAAGAAGTCTCTCTTGGGATAATACATTAAGAGTATATTGGGAGCTTGGGGGTACACTTTATTATTTTAAGCCAGTATGTTGGTTTAAATTTGTTATGCAGCAATAAATAACTGATAACATAACCAAAACACCTCTTATTGAAAGTTAGAATCATTAGATTTATTGACCTACAATATTCTGTTCCATAGAGCACAGAGGATTTTAATAAGCAGAGATTTTAATAAGTAGAGCAGAGAGGATTTTAATAAGAATTTCTGTGTGCTCTTTAAATGTTTGAGAGAGCAGTGAGTGAGGAGTCGTCTTTGGACTGTGTCTCTTTAAAATCAGGACGATACAGGAAAGGAACAATGATTGTTAAGGAGATTGCTATTCTGAATAATTTCAAAGCTAAGGTGAGACTCTACCTGTACTTGACATAAAAATAATTGTCCTAAATACGAGTCAACATGCTTTTTCACTGTGAATGTCAAAACACTGAACGTTCATATAAAAGGGATAATGAGGACCTAACACAAGCAGCACTGAGACAAAAGCAAGATATTGGAAACATGTTTTATGACATTAAATTGAAGAAGTCTAAGAAAAAAAGTCCTTGCCAAATTACTACTTGGGAATTTCCATTTTAATGTTACCTTTAATAGACTCCCAATTGCTCATGAATTAGGAGTCCTGTCTGCATGGGACCAGAGAGTTACTGGTGAAAACGGAGACTAGATCCATTCTGTATTTTGTCTCTGCTTGGGTACTTGATCCTGGCCCCTAACTGATGTTTTGGGAGTAGCAGTGCTCAGGTATGGAAACCAACTATCTGACCAATTTCTGCCAGAAACTGGAGACAGACTTAAGCATGTTTTGCTAATGGACTAAAGGGGACTTTGAGTAACGGTTAGGACATGCCTCAGCCACTGCAGGAATGACCAGATTGAAAGGTGGAGATGGCAACCACTTAAGGCCCTTCAGAGATTCAGCTCATTTGCATCCCTGCCCCAGAGTCTGCTATGGAGAAGGAACTGGAAGTCACGTGCCACCTTAAAACCGTGCATCAGTGAGCAATGTGCTTCTGACTTCATGTCCTCAGTAGAAAAACACTTACTATATAGCATCTACCAGGAGCTCTAAAATGGGGCTTGCAAGCTTAGAAGTATGTCTAATCATATTTCCCAAGAAAGACAAAGAATCAGGAATTAATAAAAACAGATGTCATTTCTTCGCTGAGGAGGCTTCTAAATATTCTCCTTTGGCCATTTTGTCAAAGCATGGAGAGGAAAGGAAACAAACCTTGCAGCCAGAAAGATTAAAGACATCTAAAAACCTTCAAGGATGACCTGGTGGGTAGAGGTGAGCAGGGATATCTTCACACCTTGAAGACCAACTCCCAGGCCCAGTCTTAGAGGGCTCCCTACTCAGACTGGGGAAGCTTGGAAACTAGGCTGGGGCCTAAAGGGGAGACCACAGTCCCTATTAAGTTTCCAATGTGCCAGAGTGAGAAACAGCCATGACCACTGGACTCATTTAGCCACTTTCTAAATTTCTTAGATCCTACTGATCTGTCAGTGGCATGGATTCCAAAAGGTAGAGGCTAGAACTGGTCCCATCTTTGTTTTAGCTGATGTAGAAGAGGCAACTGGTGGCTGTTTGCCCAGGATGGATCTTTCCTTCTCCATTTAAAATATGGGGTCCTGTGCTTTGGATAATTTCCTAGCTCTCCATTTGCACATTTTCTAGAAGAAGCTGTGATAAACTCCATCAGGCTTCATCTGGTTGTACATCCAGAGGCACCTGAGCATTAGGTATATAATGGCCTTAACAGCAGGGATTTCCAGCTTTTTGTTTTTCTAAGAACCACTAATCTAACTTGCAATCAGGTACAGATGCTCAATACTGTATATATGATTAAATATTTCTAATAAGAAAAAAGGAGATAGGGGAAGAATTATTAAAGGTGGTAGTATGTGAACTAGCCCCAAAATATAAAACACTTGTAAATGTGTCTCAAATACATAGTAGAAGTAAATGTGTTCAGCTTTTCTCTCAATGTGTCCAGCTTCTGCTATATGTGTATTCAGGTGCTATGAAAAATTCATTTCAAAGTGATGGGATCAAATTCAAAGAGATGAACACAAGGAACTTGCCAAACAATATTTTTAAAAAGAATATGCACTCATGAAATGTTATTTACCACATAACATTTCTGTCAGTGACAGACCACATATATGACAGTCGTCCCATAAGATTATAATGGAGTTGAAAACTTCCTGTTACCTAGTGACATGGTAGTCATCATAACATCATAACACAGTGAATTACCTTTTCTAAATTTAGATATGACTAGATAACACAAATATTTACCTTTGTGTTACAATTGCCTATAGTATTCAGTCCAGTAACATGTTGTATGGGTTTTTGGACTAGAAGCAATAGGCCATACCATATAGCCTAGTTGTGTAGTAGGCTATACCATTTAGATTTGTGTAAGTACACTCTGTGATATTTGCATAATGATGAAATTGCCTAATGACATATTTCTCAGAATGTATCCCCCTCATTAAGTGATGCAAACTAAATGTTGTGTCTATATTTCCACTGTCTAGAAACTTAAATTTTTGACTATGGTTCAGACAACAGAAAATAATGAGCTTCATGCTAATCATTTCTTGTTTGCCTGTCACCCTCTGCAAAAGAGACAAACATATCTGTGACTTTGGTTGTGGAGTGGGGGGAGGGGGGAGGGATAGCATTAGGAGATATACCTAATGCTAAATGACGAGTTAATGGGTACAGCACACCAACATGGCACATGTATACATATGTAACAAACCTGCACGTTGTGCACATGTACGCTAAAACTTAAAGTATAATAACAAAATTTTTTAAAAAAGAAAACATATCATGTGCCAGAAGTTGTTCTAATACATGTAAAGAAATTGGTTTACATGTATTGACTCAGAATTTCATTTCTATTTCCAGAGGGCAAGAAATAACTGATCTGGCACTCACAGAACAACTCATTGGACCTTTGGATAGAGCTAATTACATTTTATATAGTAATTTCCCATAGGAGAAGCAACACGTAAAAAAGAAACAGATAATTATCTATTACCTGATTAAAAATGGCCATTAATAACGTAATGAGATTCTGTTAACAAGATAAATCTATTGGTGACATTATTCATTCATTGAGAAGCAGCCAGAAATGACCCAGTTATGATAAGAGATTACCAAGAACATATCAATGGAAGGTTCTCCTTTCAGAGCATGGTTATAAATTATTCCATTTCAGGACATAGTTAAGGATTCTACAGCAGGAATCAAGAGCTTGAGAAAATTATCATCAATAAAAAAGTATGTTGTTTGCACATCTTGATTCAATTTGTGATAATAATAATCATAATCAACTGTAATGTGTTTTCAAATGCTTCATGGATAGGGTTAAGTCCAATATTGTTTACTTCCCTAGGATATAATTGAAGCAGCTGCAGAAGAACTTAATACTATTCATTTTCTTAAAGTATATAATTTCTACTAATTCTTAGATTACCATATGTATAGATTACAGCATCATAATGCCAGTGGACTTTAGGCAAAATTTCAATGCAAATTGCAGTACAAAGCCATGATTATTGCATTTAAAATGACAAACACTGAAAAGAAAAATTAAAACAGAGATTTTGTTTGTTCAAGCAAAAGGTTCAGCTTGATCAACATGGTATTTTTTTTTTTTTTTAAGATGGAATCTCACTGTGTTATCCAGGCTGGAGTGCAGTGCTTGGCTTACTGCAACTTCTGCCTCCTGGGTTCAAGTGATTCTTGCATCTCAGCATCCCAAGTATCTGGGACTTCAGGAACATGCCACCATGTCTGGTTAATTTTTGTATTTTTAGTAGAAATGAGATTTTGCCATGTTGGCCAGGCTGGTCTCAAACTCCTGACCTCAAGTGATCCACATGCCTCTGCCTCCCAAATTGTTGGGATTACAGACGTGAGCCACCACACCCAGCCCTTGATCAACAGTTTAGAGTAAATTTTGTTTTGTCTTAATACAGAGTTACATAGTTTTTTGAACAGAAAATTTAGAAAATATAGTTCATTAACAAGAAGAAAAAGAAAATCATCTGTAAGAACACTTTTGAAAAAGTCATTGCTTCAGATTTTTAAATTTTCTTCCATGCTTTTGAAAAATGTATAAACATAAGCACATACATAATTTACTTTTACAAAGAAGGGATCATGATATACATTCTATTTTTAATCACTTATATATATTGTGTAACTATAATCTCCTATCATATTATCATATTTTATAATGCATAATTATTCATGTTTATCATAAATTACATAATCAATCCCATCTTATTGAACATTAATTTTGTTTCCATTTTTTTCTTTGTAATTGTGATGGTTAATCTTATATGTTAACTTGACTAGGTTAAGGGATACTCAGATAGCAGGTAAAATACTATTTCTGAATTGTATGTGAAGGTGTTCTCAGACCAAGCTGAGGGTCAGGCTTCTATTTCTCATGGCCCAATAATGAGATGCAGATGAACTGGGGAGTAAAAGAGTTTGTATTTCCACAACTGCTTATAGGGAGAAGGCCTGGGAATTATTACCAGACCAACTCAAAATTACACAGTTTTTCAGAGCTTATATACCTTCTAAGTTACATGTCTATGTGTAAGTATGCATTCATCTAAAGACACAAGTGATTAACTTCTTTTAATCTATAACAAAGGTCTTAGACCTGAAGACTTTTCTCTGAAGCCTCAGTAAATTTACTTAATCTAAATGGGTCCAGATTAGATCTGGGGTGATTACCCTTATCTTGCCTCCTGCCAAATCACGGAGGTTTGGGGAGTTCCTTCGGACCCCCAATAAACTTGTTTGTGGAGGCCTGGGAAGTTTCTTCAGACCCACAATAAAAGTCCTGTTAATAATTCCTTCATTATTTTATCATGCTTTAAGGCCCAGGAAAGGCCTAGGCAAAACTCTTGGTGGGTTTTTGTGACATCCTAGCCTTTGTAGAAGGGCACTGGCTTTTAATATTTAACTTAACCAGTCAGTAGTAAAACAGTTGTTATTCAGGCTTGTGTTAGTGAGAACTGGCCTGCCACAAGGGTGTTTCCAGAAGTAATTAGCATTTGAATAGGGAGACTAAGAAAAGAAGACCATTTTCCCCAATGTGGTCAGGCATCCTTCAAACCATTGAGGGACAAAATAGAACAAAAAGGCAGATGAGGAGTGAATTATATTTCTCTCTCTCTCTCTCTCCCCTCTGCAGGAACACCTATCTTTTCCTGCCCTTGGATGTTGGCACTTCTGGTTCCCCAGCCTTTGGACTCAGACTGAACTGCACTACAAGATTTGTGGTTCTCCAGCTTGCAAATGGCCTATCATGGTACTTCTTGGTGTTCAAAATTGTGTAAGCTAATTTTTATAATAAATCCCTTCTTCTATATCTCTATATATACTACCAATTCTGTTTCTCTGAAGCACCCTAATACAGCAACTATAAGCAGTGCTGTGATAAAGGTTCTTGACACAATGTCTAATAATATGTATAGTTTCTTGGAATACATTTTTGCAATTTATTGTTACCTGATGAAATAAGCAAGACTTCAAAACCAAATTGCCAGAGGGAGGTAGAGCAAGACAGCTGAATAAACCCTCCAGTGACTGTCCCCATCATAGGAAGACCAAATTGAACAATTATCCACACTAAAAAAAGCACCTTCATAAGAACCAGAAATCAGGTGAGTGATCACAGTACCTGGTTTCAACATCATGTTACGGAAAGAGGCACTGAAGGTGGTAGGAAAGACAGCCTTGAATCACCTGTAGCACCCCCCCAATCCCCAGGCAGCAGCCCTATGCTGTGGAGTGGAGAAATAATCTGTGTGCTTTGGGAGGGGGAGAACAGTAATTGTGGGACTTTGCATTGGGACTCAGTGCTGCCTTGTCAAGGGAAAGCAACACAGGGCAGAACTCAACCAGTGCCCATGAAGGGAGCATTTAGACCTGTCCTAGCCAGAAGGAAATTGTTGGTCAGAACCAAGGTTCTGGTAAGTATTGCCACAGTGGGTTAAAGTGCTCTGGAGTTTATTGGATACTAAATTGGATACTAGCTCAGCCACAGTAGAATAGGGCACCAGGCAAGTCCTGAGGCCCCCATTTCAAGCCCTGTCTTCCAGATGACATTTCTAGACACATCCTGGGCAAGAAGGAAACCTGCTGTCTTAAAGGGAAGGGCCCAACCCTGGATTCATCACCTACTAACTTAAGAGCCCTTGGGCCCTGAATAATCAGCACTGATAGCCAGGCAGTACTTCCTGCAACCTTGGGTGAGACTCAGAACCATGCTGCCCTTAGGAGTAACCCAGCATATTCCTAGCTATGGTAGCTATGGAGAGATACCCTATCTGTTTGAGGAGAGGAGAGGAAAAATTAAAGGAACTTTGTCTTGCAGCTTGGGTACCAGCTTAGTCACAGGTTGGTCACCAAGCAGGCTCCAGGGGTTCCCAATTCCAGGCCATGGACAACATTTCTGGACTTGCCCTGGGCCAGAGGGGGCCCATTGTCCTGAGGGGAGAGACTCAGGACTGGCAGCATTCACCGTGAGTTGACTGAGGAGTCATTGGGCCTTGCATGAACATTGGTGGTAGCCAGGAAGCACTTGCCACAGGCCTGAGGTGATGGTGGAAATCTAGAAAGACTCCTTTGTTTGAGGAAAGGGGAGGGTAGGTGGGAAAGACTTTGTCTTCCAGAATGAGTGCCAGCTCAGCCACAATAGAATAGAGCACCAGGTAGATCCCTAAGTTTCCTGACTCTAGGCCCTAGCTTCCAGATGGTACTTCTGAACCTGCCTGGGCCAGCAGGAACCCAATAGCTGGAGGAAAGAATAAAAGCATGGCTGGATTTGCCACTTGTTGACTGTAGACCCCTTGGGTCTTCATGAGTGAACATAGGCAGTAGTCAGGCAGTGGTCACTGCAGGTCTTGGGTGGAACCCAGTGCTATCCTGGCTTTGGGTCTGACCCAGTGCAGTCTCAGTGGTGGTGACTACAGGGGTGTTTGTGTCACCCTTTTCTCAGCTCTGGGCAGTTCAGCACAGACAGTCTGTATTTGTTTGGGAGAAAGTAAAGGAAAAGAACAAGAGTATCTGTGTGGTAATCCAGGGAATTCTTCTGGAACTTGCCTAAGACCACTAAGATAGTACCTCTATATTTGCAGTACCACTGCAAATGTCACAGTGTTTCTAGGCTTAGTGTGCCCCCTAAGGCAGATATGGCTGCAGTGACAAAAGACTTACATCACCACACTAAAGATCCTTTGAATAATTGGAAAACCTTTCCAAGAAGGACAGGAACAAAAAGGCAAGTCTGTGAAGATTAAATAAATATCTAACCCTCAGATACTCAGGCAAGGATGAACATCCACAAACATCAATATCATCCAGGAAAATATGACCATATCAAATGAATTAAATAAGGCACTAGTGACTAATCCCAGAGAGACAGAGATATATGACCTTTCAGATAGAGAATTCAAAATAGCTGTTTGAGGGAGCTCAAGAAAATCCAAGATAACATAGATAAAGAATTCAGAATCCTATGAGATTAATTTAACAAAGAGATAGAAATAATCAAAAAGAATCAAGTAGGAATTCTGGGTCTGAAAAGTGCAATTAAAATACTGAAGAATGCGTCAGAGTCTCTTAATAGCAGAATTAATCAAGCAGAAGAATGAATTAGTTAGCTTCAAGCAGGCTGTTTAAAAATATAGAGTCAGGATGACAAAATAATGAAAAAAGAAAAGAATGATGCACACCTAGAAAATAGCCTCAAAAAGACAAATCTGTTATTGGCCTTAGAGAGAAAGTAGAGAGATAGAAAATGGAGTATAAAGTTTACTAAAAGAGATAATAACAGAGAATGTCCTAAACCTGGAGAAAGATGTCAATATTCAAGTACAGGAAGGTTACATAACACAAAGTAGATTTAACTCAAAGAAGACTACCTCAAGACATTTTATAACCAAACTCCCAAAGGTCAAGGATAAAAAAGGATTCCAAAAGCAGCAAGAAAAAAAGAAACAAATAACATACAATACAACTGAGAGTAGACTTCTTCATGGAAATTTTACAGGCCAGCAGAGAATGGCATGACATATTTAAAGTGCTGAAGGAAAATTTTTTTTTATCTTAGAATAGTATATTCCATAAAAAGAAAAACTTCAAAGTTGAAGGAGAAACCAAGACTTTCCCAGAAAAACAAAAGCTGAGGGATTTAACCAACACCAGACTTGTCCTACAAGAGATGGTAAAGAGAGTTCTTCAATATGAAAGAAAAGAACGTTAATAAGCAATAAGTAATTATCTGAATATACAAAACTCACTGGTAATAGTATGTATGGAGAAAAACAGAGAATAATGTAACACTGTAATTGTAGTGTGTAAACTTCTCATATCTTGAGTAGAAAGCCTAAAAGGTGAACCTATCAAAAATAATAACTGCAATTTTTCAAGACATAGAGAGTATACTAAGATATAAGTAGATACAACAAAAAGTTAAAAAGCAGAGGATGAAGTTAAAGTGTAAAGTTTTTATTAATTTTCTCTTTGCATGTTTGTTTGGTTGCTTATGCAATTGGTGTTAAGTTGGCATCAGTTTAAAATAATGGGTTATAAGATACTATTTGCAAGCATCATGGTTACCACAAATCAAAAAGTATAGCACGGATACACAAAAAAGCAAGAAATTAAAAGATATTACCTGAGAAAATTACCTCCACTAAAAGGAAGACATGAAAGAAAGAAGAAAATACGTAAAACAACCAAGAAACAAATTAAAAATTGCAGGAGTAAGTCCTGACTCATCAATAATAACGTTGAGTGTAAATGAACTAAACCCTTGAATCAAAAGACATACAGTGGTTGAATGAAGAAAAAACATGACCCAATGATCTGTTGAAGACAAGAAACCCTTTACCTGTCAAGACACATATAGACTGAAAATAAAGGGATGGAAAAAGATATTCCATGCAAATAGAAAGAAAAAAAAAAGCAGGAGGAGCTATGCTTATATCAAACAAAATAGATTTTAAGACAAGAGCTATTAAAAAGACACAAAGAAGGTCATTATATAATGATAAAGGAATCAATTCAGCAAGAAGATATGACTATTATAAATATCTGTGCACCCAACACTAGAGCACCCAAATATATAAAGCAAATATTATTATACCAAAAGAGAGAGAGAGAGAGAGACTCCAATTCAGTATTAACTGGAGACTTCAACACTCTACTTTCAGTGTTGTACATATCATCCAGACAGAAATTCAATAAAGAAACAATGAACTTAATATGCACTATAGGCTAAATGGACCTAACAGATATTTACAGAACATTTCAATCAATGGCTGGAGAATACATATCCTTTTTCTCAGCACATGGATTATTCATAAGGGTATAACATGTGTCATGTCAAGGCCACAAAACAAGTCTTAAAACATTTAAAAAAATAAAAATTATATCAAGTATCTTCTCTGACCACAAAGGATAAAAACTAGAAATCAATAAAAAGAGGAATTTGGGAAACTATACAAACACATGGAAATAAACAATATGCTTCTGAATGACCATGGATCAATAAAGAAATTAAAAAGGAATTAAATTTTTTTCAAACAAATGAAAATGGAAACACAACTTTCCAAAACCTATGAGATGCAGCAAAAGCAGTAATAAAAGGTATTGTTATAGGAATAAGTACTTACATCAAACAAATAGAAAAACTTCAAATAAACAACCTAATGATGTCTCTTAAAAAACTAGAAAAGCAAGAACAAATCAAACCCGAAGTTAGAAGAAAAAAATAATTAATATAGAGAAGAAATAAATGAAATTGAAATGAATAAAGAAAACCAAAGATCAACAAAATGCGAAGTTTTTTTTTTTTTTTTTTTTTTTTTTTTTTTTTTTTTTTTTTGAGATGGAGTCTCGCTCTGTCGCCCAGGCTGGAGTGCAGTGGCGGGATCTCGGCTCACTGCAAGCTCCGCCTCCCGGGTTCACGCCATTCTCCTGCCTCAGCCTCCCAAGTAGCTGGGACTACAGGCGCCCGCCACTACGCCCGGCTAATTTTTTGTATTTTTAGTAGAGACTGGGTTTCACCGTTTTAGCCGGGATGGTCTCGATCTCCTGACCTCGTGATCCGCCCGCCTTGGCCTCCCAAAGTGCTGGGATTACAGGCGTGAGCCACCGCGCCCGGCCAATGCGAAGTTTTTTTAAAAAAAAGTATAAACAAATCCACAAACCTTTAGCCAGGCTAAGAAAAGGAGAGAAGAAACAAAACAACCAGAGATGAAAAAAGAGACATTACAAGTAATGTCACAGAAATTCAAAGAATCATTAGAAGCTATTATGATAACCTATATATCAATAAATTTGATAATTGAGAAGAAACAAATAAAACTCTAGACACATACAATCTACCAAGAGTTAACCACAAAGAAATCCAAAATCTGAACAGACCAATAATAACAAATAACAGACCTGAACAGGTAATCAGATCAAAACTGTAACAAAATGTCTCTCAGCAAAGAAAAGCCCAGCACCCAATTTTGCTTCACTGTTACATTTACCTATCACTTAAAGAAGAACGAATATCAAACCTACTCAAACTATGCTGAAAAATAGAGGAGGGAATACTTCCAAACTCATTCTATCATACAAGGCCATTATTACCCTGATACTAAAACCAAGCAGATAAAGATACATCAAACAAAAGAAAACCACAGGCCAATACCTCTGATGAACATTGATGCAAAAGTCCTCAGGAAAATATTAGCAAACTGAATTCAACAACACATTAAAAGATAATTCAACGTGACCAAGAGGGATTTATCCCAGAGATGTAAAAATGGTTCAACATATGCAAATCAATCAATGTGATACATCCTATCAACAGAATAAAGGACAAAACCATATGATCATTTCCACTGATGCCATAAAAGTGTTTGACAAAATTCAACATCCCTTTATGATAAAAATCCTAAAAAAACTGGGTATAGAATAAATATACCTCAATATGATAAAAGCCGTATATGACAGACCCAAAGGTAGTATACCAAATGGGGAAAAAGTGAGAGCCTTTCTTTTGAGATCTGGAACAAGACAAGGATGCCCATTTTCACTACTGTTATCTGACACAGTACTTGAAGTTCTAGGTGGAGCACTCAGACAAGAAAAAGAAATATCCAAGCCAAATCAAAAAGGAAAAGTCAAATTATCCACGCTTCCAGATGATATAATCTTATATTTGGAAAAATCTAAAGACTCCACCAAAAAACTATTGAATGGATAAACAAATGCAGTAAAGTTGTAGGATACAAAATAATATACAAAATTTAGTAGCATTTCTATTGCCAACAGTGAACAATCTGAAAAAGAAATAAAAAAGTAATCCCATTTACAATAGGTGCAAATAAAATAAAATAAAATACCTATGGATAAAATTAACCAAAGAAGTGAAAGATCTCTACAATGAAAACTAAAAAACATTGATGTAAAAAATTGAAGAGAACACAAAAAAGGAAAGATATTCCCTGTTCATGGATTGGAAGAATCAATATTGTTAAAATGTCTATACTACCCAATGCAATCTATAAGTCCAGTACAATCCCTATCAAAATGCCAAGGACATTCTTCACAGAAATAGGAAAAAATCCTAAAATATATGTGGAATTACAAGAGAGCCAGAACAACAAGAGTGAAGATATCACATTATCTGACTTCAAATTATACTACAGAGGTAGAATAACCAAAACACAGGCACAAATCCATACATCCATAGTCAACTCATTTCCAACAAAGGTGCCAAACACACATTGGGAAAAGGACAGTTTCTTCAATAAATAGTGCTAGGAAAACTTGATATTAATATGTAGAAGAATAAAACTAGACTGCTATCTCTCAGTGTATACAAAAATCAAGTTAAAATGGATTAAAGACTTAAATCTAAGACACAAAACTATAAAACTACTAAAAGAAAACTTTGGAGAAACTCTCTAGGACATCAGAGAGTCCTGAAGCTTGGGCAATCAAGGCATAAATAGACAAGTGAGAGCATATCAAGTTAAAAAGCTTCTGCCCAAAGGTAACAGTTAACATAGTGAAGACACAACCCACAGAATGGGAGAAAATATTTGCAAACTATCCATCTGACAAAGGACTAATAACCAGAATATATGAGCTGTTCAATCAAGTCTATAAGACAAAAATCCAATAATCTGATAATGAGTGGGTAAAAGATCTGAATAGACATTTCTCAAAAGAAGACATACAAATGACAAACAGGTATATGAAAAGATGCTCAACATCATTCATTATCAAATAAATGCAAATAAAAAGTACAATGAGATATCATCTCATCCTAGTTAAAATGGCATTTATCCAAAAGACATGCAATAATGAATGCTGGTGAGGATGTGGAGAAAAGGGAATTTTCATACATAACTGGTGGGAATGTAAATTAGTAGAAGCACTATGGAGAAGCACAGTTTGGACATTTTTCGGAAAACTAAAAGTAGAACTGCCATATGATTCAGCAATTCCACTGCTGGGTATATACCCCAAATAAAGTAAATCAGTATATTGAAGAGATATCTGCACCCTCATGTTTATTGCAGCACTATTCACAGTAGCCAAGATTTGAAAGCAACCTAAGTGTCCATCAACAGATGAATGAATAAAGAAAATGTGGTACATATAGACAACAGAGTACTCTTCAGCCATGAAAAAGAATGAGATCTCGTCATTTGCAGCAACGTGGATGGGACTATAAGCCAGGCACAGAAAGATAAACTTTAAATGTTTTCACTTATTTGTGGCAACAAAGACAATTAAAATAATGGATCTCATGGAGATAGAGAGTAAAATGATGGTTACCAGAGGCTGAGAAGGGTATTGTGATGTGGGAGTGGGGATGCAATGAGTACAAAATATAGTTGGATGGAATGAATAACACCTAGTATTTGAGAGCACAATAGGGTGACTATGGTCAACAATAATTTATTATACATTTAAAAATAACAAAAAGAGTAAAATTGGATTGTAACACAGAAAAAGGATACAGACTTGACATAATGGATACCCCATTTAGCCTGATGTGATTATTATGCATTGTATGTCTATCAAAACATCTCGTTTCCTATATAAATATATGTATCTATTATGTGCCCACAAAATAAGAATAAAAATTTTAATAGATAAAAACAAAATCAAATTGTCCACCATAAAAACTAATTTAAATCCTGAACTATAATTTAGATAATCAAAGTATGGTAATAGATATTTCACAGAAAAGTATATAAAATGTTCAACAAACATGCAAAATATGCTTATCTCATTAGTAGTCAAAATAGGCAAAATATAACAACCACAAAATACCACTTCACATGCTTTTAGGATAAATGTTTACAGAGATAAAAAGTTTTTAAGTTCAATGTTTCATGTTGTTGAAGAGAACAGATAGTTTTATCCACTTCTCAGGAAAGCAAAAGTCAATGCACCCATTTTGGAGGTCATTAGGCATATCCCAAATGGAAAATATGAATATCTTAGAACCCAGTAATTCCACTTCTTTATCCTACAAAAATAGTCACACATGTCCAGCCTGGGTCATGTGCCCACCCCTATACTGGATAGACAGGATACAGGGATTGAGAATCCCACCAGGACATCATTGAGTAGGTGACTAGCACTTCTCCAATGGAAGGATAACCCAAAGTACCATCAACATGTATCCACTCTAAGAGTCAAATAAATCATTTCTTTGTATTTTAAAATTAATTACATATGATCTTATTTGGGTAATTAACATAAAATCTCAAATTCCTCAGAAAAGCTGTAATTTGTTAATGTTGACTTGACACATCTAGCTGTCATCAAGCCAAGAAATACAGTCAGGGGCCCTTGGTAAAATTTTGGAGTAGAAATACATCTTTAGCACTTTCCAACTCTACTTTTAGTCCCCCTTTTCTCCTACGAGCAAATCTATGTTCCAGAGTAAGGACTCATTAGATACAATCCCGAGTCACATTTTTCTGGTGTGCATAAATATCTGTTAAGGAAGGAATTAGTTGGAAATTAAGGTGTTAGCACCTTAGTTTGCAACTTGGCTGCAGATTACAATCTCCTGAAGAGCTTCAGACTAATTCAAACCATATCTGTGACTGTGGCACCTGAGGATTTTAGCAAAGAAATTGAAATGTTATAAGATTGTGTCTTAGGATATAGTAATTTTTTATTATCAAGGAGTTAAGTTCTCAGAGATTAGAGCTCAGATGATTGACAGAAAATGGTTTTGTAACTGGCACTTGAAAAAGAAAACAAAAAGTAAGACAAATATGAATGTTTTTAGTGCATTCCTCAGGTACACATCTAGCTATGTGGCCTTCACACATTCTGTGCATACTATCTGTAGTGAGAAATTATGTAGAGTGTAGGGGATTGGTCAGGGTGGTGGAGAAGCTGTAAGAAAAGACGTAAGCCTTCTTGAAAGGTGGGAAGGTCTTGCAAACACTTCAGGAGAGAATAAAGCTGAAGGCAGATAATTCTGTTACCCTGAGGCTAAGGACGAGGATTAAGTAACAAGGGAGTGTAAAAAATCTATCTAGATAAGTTTATTTACTGATGTCATCCAGAGACCAACCTTTGGTCATCCGTGCATAAGACTGCTACCTGCAAGGGGGGGATGACAATGTTAATTACCCACAGATTGTGTTGGCTCCAGGTCTTTGACATTATACCAGTACTGAATAAATAAAAGTGGCCCCAGCTCATTGGGACTGCTAACTCTCTTTGGCCCCTAGTGCTGGCAGTCCCCTAGCCCACTCTTTCACTGGATGCTTGTGTCTGAGTACTCCTTTCATCCATCACTCAGCCAGGGTCTGTGGGATGGACCCGGCAGCTGGTGCCCTGTGTGAGGAACACTGCAATAAATCATGACAGAATCCTCAAAAATGAAGGAGAAGAGACTGCGCAGTCCATAAGTCACTGGTGCCCACTCGGGATTTCCAAGTTCGAGGGAATTTTCAAGCTAGGGTTTCATCATGGGACAACAGTTATCAGCTCAACAGAAACAGTATATAAAAGTGTTCAAACAGCTTCTTAAAGCTAGTGGAGCCTCAGTTTCTCAGGCTCAATTAAGGGACCTAATACAAACTGTTGTTCCCCATAACCCATGGTTCTGGAAAAAGGCATTCTAGACCTAGAGCTCTGGGAACAAGTGGGGAGAAAAATCTTAAACAACATGATGTGCAAGGACAACAGGTCTCAGTAACATCTTTAACATTATGGGCCTTAGTCAGGCCTGCTTTGGCCCTGTTCTACACAAAAGAGCCTAAAAAGGGAAGGGAGGAGGAATCATCACCTAACTTACCACCTCCTCCTCCTCCCTCAGCCCCACCATTACCAGGTAAAGATACAAAAGAGAACACAGAGGTTTTTTCTGAACCCCCTCCTCCAATAAACTGGGAAGAAGACAAGGAATATACTACAGTTATGGAACCCTGTCTTAGCCAAGCATCATTAGAAGGGGAGCTCTTGGCCTACCTGTGATGCAAGATCAACAAGGCAATCAGGTATATAAAGCCATCATTTTCAACACCTATAAGGAGATAAGGAAAACTATTAGAGAAAATGAAGCCACTAGCCCATGTATGAAAGGATTAATTGAGACCATAGCAGACAACTTCTGTATAACCCTATGGGACTGGTCAGTGATAACTAAAACAACTTTAAAGAGCAGTCAATACCTCCTCTGGATGGCAGAATTTAATGGATTATGTGAACAGCAAACCTCTTTCTAATAATAGCCACTGTTATTCCTCCCCTACCCCCGAAGTGGCTCTCTCAAAATCCTATTTGGATAGAGCAGTAGCCTTTAAAGGGAGAGACATTACAACAAGCCCATGAATTAGTTGAGGAACAATTAAAAGCTGGCCATATACAACCATCAAACAGCCCTCGGAATTCACCCATTTTTGTCATTCCCAAGAAGTCTGGTAAATGGAGACTTTTGCATGACTTACGTGCTATCAGTGCTAATTTGAAACTTATGGGGGTCCCTTCAGCAGGGGCTCCCTTCCCCCATGGTGATTCCTCGAGATTGGCCTATAGTCATTATTGACTTAAAAGACTGTTTTTATACTATTCCCCTTGCAAAACAAAACAGAAAAATTTGCGTTTACAATACCAGCTATCAATAATGAAAGGCCAGCTTGCCGATTTCATTGGAAAGTACTTCCTTCAGGAATGCTGAACAGTCCTACCATGGGTTAGTATCATGTAAATGAGGCTTTGCTCCCCAGTAAAAAAGAATTTCCTAATTGTAAGATTATTAATTTTATGGATGATATATTACTGGCAGCTCCAACAGAGCCAATATTTTTAAATTTATATGACTCTGTCAAAAAGAATACACAGTTAAGAAGTTTAATCATAGCACCTGAAAAAGTACAGATGTCCTCTCCTTGGAAATATCTTGGATGCCTACTAACTCCCTGGTCAGTAAGACCCCAGAAGGTTAAATTAAATACTAACATCTTACATACCTTAAATGATTATCAAAAATTACAAGGTGATACTAACTGGCTTTGCCCCAACTTAGGCATAACTACTGATAAGTTACACAACTTGTTTTCTATCCTAAAGGGCAATATGACCCTAGGCTCCCCCAGGTATTTAACCCATGCAGCAAAGAGGGAAATTGAGGAAACAGAGCAAGCTATTTCTCAGAGGAAACTAGATCGCTTAGACCCACGACATTCAGTCCAATTATTTGTTTTTTCTACTAAACATTCCCCAACAGGATTAATAGGACAGATAGCCCCAGGGCTGTGCTTTCTAGAATGGGTTTTTTGCTTATATACCAGGACTAAAGCACTATCTCCCTATATCCAGCTAGTTACTAAAGTCATCTATACAGGCTGCAGATGATGCAATCTGTTGCTAGGTTATGACCCTGGTGTCATAAAAATTCCCTTGAATAGAAAACAATTCAAAGCAGTCTTGCCCTTATCTCTAGACCTGCAGATAGCACTCTCAGATTATGCAGGCCATATAGAATATGCCCTTCCTGCTGACGAACTACTTCAGTTCTTATCTCATATTCCTATAGTTATGCCTACAAAAGTAGTTCACTCCCCCATACCTAACGCTTTAATGCTTTTCACTGATGGCTCTGGTAAAAATGGAAAAGCAGCTGTCTGGTAGGAACTGCATGACTCCCTCACTCAATCTGGATTTACTAGCACTTAGAGAGCTGAGATTGGAGCCCTAATAATGGCCCTAGAAACCTTTTCCACTCAACCCATCAATATTGTTAGTGACTCTGCTTACTTCATTTATTTATTGCAGAACCTTGAGACAGCCCTCATTAAGTCCACTCTTGAGCCCACACTGTGTTCCCTTTTTCTTTGACTTCAGTAATTGCTGGATCAATGTACACATCCTATTTTTATCACACATAGTTGAGCCCACAGCTCACTCCCTGGCCCACTGGCTTATGGCAATGATCAAGCAGACCTGCAGGTTATGACATCACTGCTCAACCAAGCCACCCAATTACATCAATTTTTCCACCAAAATTGGAGAAATTTACCTAAACAATTACAACTTACCCAAAGACTAGCTAAACAAATTATTTTACAATGCCCAGATTGCCAGCTCACAGGCACATCCTCTCCTTCAACAGGTGTTAACCCTAAAGGACAAGAACCTAATCAGTTATGGCAAATGGATGTTACACACATCCCTGAATTTGGAAAAGTAAGATGTATACATGTATCTGTTTATACCAATTCCCACTTAATTAGCACTCATATTCTTCCTGGAGAGTCTGCCCTATATGTCATTAAACATGTTCTCTTAACCTTTGTGTTTATGGGGTGGCCCACAAAAATTAAAACTAATAATGGTCCAGCTTATGCCAGATCACAATTTCAACAATTTTATCATACACGGAACATTCAACATTCCACAGGTATCCCTTATAAATTTCAAGGACAGGCCATAATAGAATGTGTCCACTCCACCCTTAAAAATATGCTCAAAAAACAAAAAAGAGGAAATACAAGTAAGGACCCTGAAATACTATTGGCACAAGACTTATTTGCCCTTAATTTTTAAAATTTAGTGACAAATTTCAATCAGTCATACAAAGGCATTTTACTAAAGCCCCTCAAAACATAAAACCTGCGATTTTATGGAAAGATGTAAATAGTAATGTTAGGTGTGGTTCAAATGATCTGCTAACATGGGGAAGAGAATATGCTTGTGTTTACACCCCCTCAGGCCCTCTTTGGATTCCAGCATGATGCATCAAACCACACCATGGTGTGGCTAGGACCCAACCTGGTACCAGAAATGAAGGAAATAACCCTGCAGGACCCATGGCCCCAGACAATGCAGCTTCCTCAGACAACACAGGTCCTGAACATTATGCTGAAAAAGAAAACTCAGAGGACTGAGTGAATCCTGCTCTGGACACAGATACCATTAGCTCCAGATAATTTGTTCCTTGCTATGCTTTATTAACCTTTTTAAATTCTCACTTTGCCTGCTACCTGTACCTGCTTCTCTCTATCAGGCCCATCTTCTAGCTCTGCCTTTCTTCCACCCTGTTACTTGGGTTGACACCCGCTTCTCAGCCACTAATAATGTAACTACTTGGCTAGAAGGGATTGACATACCCCCAGTGGGGTTTCTTAGTAACAGCATACATTAGACTGAGGTGCCAAGTAACACTACATGTCACTTCTTGATTGGAAAAGAATATGACTAATTATACTCATGTTTATCTCATGTTATTTACTAATTCAAGGATGTAAAGCTGGAAAACGAGATGTAACCACTATGCCTGACAAACCTATTGCTGCACCCATCTGTACTCTTCAATCAACAAAACCTGATGCAAAAACAGAAAAGTGGGAGATATAGGAGATCAATCCGTGTGGTGGGAGAAGGTACAAGGGAGTGTAAAGAAACCTATCGGTGCGGAGCCAAGATGGCCGAATAGGAACAGCTCCAGTCTACAGCTCCCAGTGTGAGTGACGCAGAAGATGGGTGATTTCTGCATTTCCAACTGAAGTACTGGGTTCATCTCACTGGGAAGTGCTGGACAGTGGGTGCAGGACAGTGGGTGCAGTGCACAGTGCATGAGCCAAAGCAGGGCGAGGCATGGCCCCACCCAGGAAGTGCAAGGGGTCAGGGAATTCCCTTTCCTAGTCAAAGTAAGGGGTGACAGACGGCACCTGAAAAATTGGGTCATTCCCACTCTAATACTGTGCTCTTCCAATGGGCTTAACAAACAGCACACAAGGAGATTATATCCCGAACATGGCTTGGAGGGTCCTATGTCCACGGAGCCTCGCTCATTGCTAGCACAGCAGTTTGAGATCAAACTGCAAGGTGGCAGCAAGGCTGGGGGAGGGGCGCCTGCCATTGCTGAGGCTTGAGTAGGTAAACAAAGCAGCCGGGAAGCTCGAACTGGGTGGAGCCCACCACAGCTCAAGGAGGCCTGCCTGCTTCTGTAGGCTCCACCTCTGGGGGCAGGGCACAGACAAACAAAAGCAGCAGTAACCTCTGCAGACTTAAATGTCCCTTTCTGACAGCTTGGAAGAGAGTAGTGGTTCTCCCAGCATGCAGCTGGAGATCTGAGAACAGGCAGACTGTCTCCTCAAGTGGATCCCTGAACCCTGAGTAGACTAACTGGGAGGCACCCCCCAGTAGGGGTGGACTGACACCTCACACGACTGGGTAATCCTCTGAGACAAAACTTCCAGAGGAACAATCAGGCAGCAGCATCTGCAGTTCACCAATATCTGCTGTTCTGCAGCCACTGCTGCTGATACCCAGGCAAACAGGGTCTGGAGTGGACCTCTAGCAAACTCCAACAGTCCTGCAGCTGAGGGTCCTGTCTCTTAGAAAGAAAACTAATAAACAGAAAGGACATCCACACCAAAAACCCATCTGTATGTCACCATTATCAAAGACCAAAAGTAGATAAAATCACAAAGATGGGGAAAAAACAGAGCAGGAAAACCAGAAACTCTAAAAATCAGAGCGCCTCTCCTCCTACAAAGGAACAGAGCTCCTCACCAGCAACAGAACAAAGCTGGATGGAGAATGACTGTGATGACTTGAGAGAAGAAGGCTTCTGAAGATCAAACTACTATGAGCTAAAGGATGAAGTTTGAACCAATGGCAAAGAAGTTAAAAACCTTGAAAAATAATTAGACGAATGGCTAACTAGGAAAACCAATGCAGAGAAGTCCTTAAAGGACCTGATGGAGCTAAAAACCATGGCATGAGAACTACGTGATGAATGCACAAGCCTCAGTAGCCGATGCAATCAACTAGAATAAAGGGTATTAGTGATAGAAGACGAAATGAATGAAATGAAGTGAGAAGAGAAGTTTAGAGAAAAAAAGAATAAAAAGAAAAGAACAAAGCCTGCAAGAAATATGGGACTATGTGAAAAGACCAAATCTATGTCTGATTGGTGTACCTGAAAGTGACGGGGAGAATGGAGCCAAGTTGGAAAACATTCTGCAGGATATTATCCAGGAGAACTTCCCCAGTCTAGCAAGGTAGGCCAACATTCAGATTCAGGAAATACAGAGAACGCAACAAAGTTATTCCTCGAGAAGAGCAACTCCAAGACACATAATTGTCAGATTCACCAAAGTTGAAATGAAAGGAAAAATGTTAAGGGCAGCCAGAGAGAAAGGTCAGGTTACCCACAAAGGGAAGCCCATCAGACTAACAGCGGATCTCTCGGCAGAAACTCTACAAGCCAGAAGAGAGTGGGGGCCAATATTCAACGTTCTTAAAGAAAAGAATTTTCAACCCAGAATTTCATATCCAGCCAAACTAAGCTTCATAAGTGAAGAAGAAATAAAATCCTTTACAGACAAGCAAATGCTGAGAGATTTTGTAACCACCAGGCCTGCCCTAAAAGACCTCCTGAAGGAAGCGCTAAACATGGAAAGGAACAACCGGAACCAGCCACTGCAAAATCATGCCAAATTGTAAAGACCATCAAGGCTAGGAAGAAACTGCATCAATGAATGAGCAAAATAACCAGCTAACATCATCATGACAGGATCAAATTCACACATAACAATATTAACTTTAAATGTAAATGAGCTAAATGCTCCCATTGAAAAACACAGACTGGCAAATTGGATAAAGAGTCAAGACCCATCAGTGTGCTGTATTCAGGAAACCCATCTCACATGCAGAGACACACATAGGCTCAAAATAAAGCAATGGAGGAAGATCTACCAAGCAAATGGAAAACAAAAAAAGGCAGGGGTTGCAATCCTAGTCTCAGATAAAACAGACTTTAAACCAACAAAGATCAAAAGAGACAAAGAAGGCCATTACATAATGGTAAAGGGATCAATTCAACAAGAAGAGTTAACTATCTCAAATATATATGCACCCAATACAGGAGCACCAAGATTCATAAAGCAGGTCCTTAGTGACCTACAAAAAGACTTAGACTCCCACACAATAATAATGAGAAACTTTAACACCCCACTGTCAACATTAGGCAGATCAATGAGACAGAAAGTTAACAAGGATATCCAGGAAATGAACTCAGCTCTGCACCAAGCAGACCTAATAGACATCTACAGAACTCTCCTCCCCAAATCAACAGAATATACATTCTTTTCAGCACCACACCACATCTATTCCAAAATTGACTGCATAGTTGGAAGTAAAGCATTCCTCAGCAAATGTAAAAGAACAATAGTTATTACAAACTATCTCTCAGACCACAGTGCAATCAAACTAGAACTCAGGATTAAGAAACTCACTCAAAATTGTTCAACTACATGGAAACTGAACAATCTGCTCCTGAATGACTACTGGGTACATAACCAAATGAAGGCAGAAATAAAGATGTTCTTTGAAACCAATGAGAACAAAGACACAACATACCAGAATCTCTGGGACACATTCAAAGCCGTGTGTAGAGGGAAACTTATAGCACCAAATGCCCACAAGAGAAAGCAGGAAGGGTCTAAAACTGACACCCTAACATCACAATTAAAAGAACTAGAGAAGCAAGAGCAAACACATTCAAAAGCTAGCAGAAGGCAAGAAATAACTAAAATCAGAGCAGAACTGAAGGAAATAGAGACACAAAAAACCCTTCAAAAAATCAATGAATACAGGAGCTGGTTTTTTGACAAGATCAACAAAATTGATAGACCACTAGCAAGACTAACAAAGAAGAGAGAAGAATCAAATAGACACAATAAAAAATGACAAAGGGGATATCACCACCAATCCCACAGAAATACAAACTACCATCCAGGAATACTATAAACACCTCTAGGCAAATAAACTAGAAAATCTAGAAGAAATAGATAAATTCCTCAACACATACACCCTCACAAGACTAAACCAGGAGGAAGTTGAATCTCTGAATAGACAAATAACAGGCTCTGAAATTGAGTCAATAATTAATAGCTTACCAACAAAAAAAGGTCGAGGACCAGATGGATTCACAGCTGAAATCTATCACAGGTACAAGGAGGAGCTGGTACCATTCCTTTTGAAACTATTCCAATCAATAGAAAAAGAGGGAATCCTCCCTACCTCATTTTATGAGGTCAGCATCATCCTGATACCAAAGCCTGGTAGAGACACAACAAAAGAAGAGAATTTCAGACCAATATCCTTGATGAACATTGATGCAAAAATCCTCAATAAAATACTGGCAAACCAAATCCAGCAGCACATCAAAAATCTGACCCAACATGATCAAGTGGGCTTCATCCCTGGGATGCAAGGCTTGTTCAACATATGAAAATCAATAAACGTAATCCAGCATATAAACAGAACCAAAGACAAAAACCACATGATTATCTCAATAGATGCAGAAAAGGCCTTTGGCAAAATTCAACAACTTTCATGCTAAAAACTCTCAATAAATTAGGTATTGATGAGACGTATCTCAAAATAATAAGAGCTATCTATGACAAACCCACAGCCAATATCATACTGAATGGGCAAAAACTGGAAGCATTCCCTTTGAAAACTGGCACAAGACAAGGATGCCCTCTCTCACAACTCCTATTCAACATAGTGTTGGAAGTTCTGGCCAGGGCAATCAGGCAGGAGAAGGAAATAAAGGGCATTCCATTTGGAAAAGAAGTCAAATTGTCCCTGTTTGCAGATGACATGATTGTATATCTAGAAAACCCCATCGTCTCAGCCCAAAATCTCCTTAAGCTGATAAGCAACTTTAGCAAAGTCTCAGGATACAAAATCAACGTACAAAAGTCACAAGCATTCTTATATATCAATAACAGACAAACAGAGCTAAATCATGAGTGAAATCCCATTCACAATTGCTTCAAAGAAAATAAAATACCTAGGAATCCAACTTACAAGGGATGTGGAGGACCTCTTCAAGGAGAACTACAAACGACTGCTCAAGGAAATAAAAGAGGATACAAACAAATGGAAGAACATTCCATGCTCATGGGTAGGAAGAATCAATATTGTGAAAATGGCCATACTGCCCAAGGTAATTTATAGTTTCAGTGCCATCCCCATCAAGTTACCAATGACTTTCTTCACAGAATTGGAAAAAACTACTTTAAAGTTCATATGGAACCAAAAAAGAGCCCTCATCGCCAAGTCAATCCTAAGCCAAAAGAACAAAGCCGGAGGCATCATGCTACCTGACTTCAAACTATATTACAAGGCTACAGTAACCAAAACAGCATGGTATGGATACCAAAACAGAGATATAGACCAATGGAACAGAACAGCCCTCAGAAATAATGCCACATAGCTACAACTATCTGATCTTTGACAAACCTGACAAAAACAAGCAATCGGGAAATGATTCCCTATTTAATAAATGGTGCTGGGAAAACTGGCTAGCCACATGTAGAAAGCTGAAACTGGATCCCTTCCTTACACCTTATACAAAAATTAATTCAAGATGGATTAAAGACTTAAACTTAGACCTAAAGCCATAAAAACCCTAGAAGAAAGGCTAGGCAATACCATTCAGAACATAGGCATGGGCAAGGACTTCATGTCTAAAACACCAAAAGCAATGGCAACAAAAGCCAAAATTGACAAATGGGATCAAATTAAACTAAAGAGCTTCTGCACAGCAAAAGACACCACCATAAGAGTCAATAGGCAACCCACAGAATGGGAGAAAATTTTTGCAATCTACTCATCTGACAAAGGGTTAATAACCAGAATCTACAATGAACTCAAACAAATTTACAAGAAAAAAACAAACCCCATCAAAAAGTGGGTGAAGGACATGAACAGACACTTCTCAAAAGAAGACATTTATGCCTCCAAAAAACACATGAAAAAATGCTCATCGTAACTGGTCATCAGATAAATGCAAATCAAAACCACATTGAGATACCATCTCACACCAGTTAGAATGGCAATCATTAAAAAGTCAGGAAACAACAGGTGCTGGAGAGGATGTGGAGAAATGGGAACACTTTTACACTGTTGGTGGGACTGTAAACTAGTTCAACCATTGTGGAAGTCAGTGTGGTGATTCCTCAGGGATCTAGAACTAGAAATACCATTTGATCCAGCCATCCCATTACTGGGTATATACCCAAAGGACTATAAATCATGCTGCTATAAAGACACATGCACACGTATGTTTATTGTGGCACTATTCACAATAGCAAAGACTTGGAACCAACCCAAATGTCCAACAATGATAGACTGGATTAAGAAAATGTGGCACATATACACCATGGAATACTATGCAGCCATAAAAAATGATGAGTTCATGTCCTTTGTAGGGACATGGATGAAGCTGGAAACCATCATTCTCAGCAAACTATCACAAGGACAAAAAATGAAACACCACATGTTCTCACTCATAGGTGGGGATTGAACAATGAGAACACATGGACACAGGAAGGGGAATATCACACACCAGGGACTGTTGTGGGGTGGGGAGAGGGAAGAGGGATAGCATTAGGAGATATAACTAATGCTAAATGATGAGTTAATGGGTGCAGCACACCAACATGGCACATGTATACATATGTAACAAACCTGCACATTGTGCTCATGTACCCTAAAACTTAAAGTATAATAATAATAAAATTAAAAAAAGATATCTATCTAGATTAGTTTATATACTTATGTCACCCAGAGAACAACTTTTGATCATCTGCATGCAAGACTGTTCCCTGCAAGGGGGTATGACAATGCTAATTACCCACAGATTGTGTTGGCTCCAGGCCTTTGACATTATGCCAGTACTCAGTAAGTACAAGAGGCCCCAGCTTATCGGGACTGCTACCCCTCTTCAGCCCCTAGTGCTGGCAGTTCCGTAGCCTGCTCTTTAATTGGATACGTGTGTCTGAGTACTCCTTTCATCTGTCACTCGGCCTGGGTCTGCGGGATGGATCCAGCAGTAGAGTGGAGGAAGTAAGATGTTGTAATCCTGATAGTTACAATGCTTTTCCTCTATGTTTCGGAGAGAAGTGTGTTAATATGAGGTTAATATAAGATTATCCGAAGGTCTTCCTACAGAATTATCTAAGGAAGCCATAACTACTTAAAGGTCAATATCATTGTTCTAAACCATAAACAATAGCCTTTGTAGCCACAGCTACCCCAGAGGTAAGAGTTACCAACCCAGAATTGAATCCACTGGCTTCCAATCAGTGTTCCCCTTTCTGAGAGGCATCATAACTGCTTGACCACAGGGAATACAAATACCTCAGGGAGAGCCTTTTGTTGGCAGGTAAGTTTTTATAATTATCTTAAGTTTTATAATTTTTAGTTACTCTTAATGAACCAAGGAGTGATCTGAAGGAAACTTGTGACCTGAAATTAGATTGTGCTTCATCTGTTGGTGATTAAAAAAGGAAATCTTAATCATCCTTTGAAAGTGAAAGTGATAATCCTTGAATATTTCTGTAGAATATTTCACTCTTTGTAAATTATGGTAGGCCAATAAATGTGTGAGAAAGAAGGGAGAGTCTCCAGATGCAAGAAGAGAGATCACCCAGCTTAGGACAATTGGAAGTAGCCAAAAGTAGGCAGAAAAGGGAAGGGAAGGTTGCTGTTCAAGGAGGGAGATGAGGTGAGGTGGTAGTTGGGAGCTGGACATGGGTATCCAAAGAAACACCAGTGCTTAGCCCACATTTAGGACTGTCAAACATTCATTCAGAAAGAAAAAAAATTGGGAAATATTTTGGAATACATCCTGCACTCAGGAGTCCTGAAACCCATTTGGGAGAGTGATGGTAACTGGACTATGAATAATTCTTTCTTCCTTCAGTGAAAAGAGAGAAGTTTCTTTAAAAAAAGCCCACTGTAAAGTCAGCTCCTGTTACTGAGTCCATCTCTGTCCAATCAGAATTACAGTAAGAGTTGAAACACTCAGGTTCTCAAAAGAAAAACAAATAATAGAAATTATAAATGTTTTCCGTTTATACCTCAGATGCATGCAACATGACTGACACAACCAATCATATGTCTCAGTTTTTTGCACACAATTCTCCATCCAATCTGTCTTCTGATTTTTTATGTTTGCCTTATTTCCTGTTATTCTTGCCCCGTTCAGCACACTCTGCTCCTCTCCCTGTAGGCACCCATTCTAGGGTATTTAATGTCTTTTAAAAATTATTTACATGGAAATGTATCTATGAACCATACATATTATTGTTTTGGATATTGTGGCAGTTATATCACCTGTAAAACGTGTTAAGATGATGATTAGAGAGTTAAAACTTCATCTGGGAGTAATGCCTGTGAAAGGTAAAAGGGGAGGAAAGAGAACTGGTCAGGGGAAGCCTTCAAAGTGTGATGCAGATTTGATGCCCATGAAAGGAAAAAAGGAGGAAGCTAGAAGGCGTTCAATGAAGCCAACTTACCAAAAAGTGGCCAGCTGTCCTTTGAGATTTAGGGAGTCAGTGTTAACCTCTGCTGTAGACAGGTACAGGAACTCAGAAGCAGTAATTGCTGACCAGCCTTGCTAAGGGGGAATCCCACCATGCATTACATCCTTCTCTGCCATGGAGGCTCCTCTGTTCATGGACCCATCATGCCAGTGCTGGGATAGCCAACAACAAAATTGTCTAATATCTATTGGCCAAGTAATTTCCTCTACTAGCTTGTGTAATTCTTTGCAGATGGATGATTTCTGATGTGTGCTTACATATGATACAAAGATATTCACACTCCGTATTCATTTTCAATGTTCATCCACCTCAAAAACCACTTTGTAGACTTGCCACACCTCTTCCCCATGCCTTCATGTCTCTGGTCTTCCAATCTTTTCCCTCCAAGGCCCCCAACCAGCCAGACAATTCATTCAACTTTGCCCATAAGCTCATATATATCCTTACCTTGGGACCTTTCTCCTTGTGTACCATTGGGGCCCAGAAAATTATATCCCAAAGTATGTTAATTTGGCATGCTTAGTTCTTTGAACTAAAAGAGATTGGAAGGCCTCAGAAGCAGCTTCAGAAGCAGCATCATGAGTAAGTTCTCTCTGATCTTCTTCTGTCCTTCTGTATCGGGGGAATCAGCCCCCAATATTTCAATGTAGTTTCTTTTCTATTTTCCCTAAGTGTCGGTCAGTCTGAGAAATAAAGAGTAGAGTACAAAAGAGAGAAATTTTACAGCTGGGACTCCGGGGGTGACATCACATATCAGCAGGTTCCATGACGCCCCTTGAACCACAAAACCAGCAAGTTTTTATTAAGGGTTTCAAAAGGGGAGGGGTGTATGAATAGGGAGTGGGTCACAGAGATCACTTGCTTCAAAGGCAATAAAATATCACAAGGGCAGAGAGGCAGAATGAGATCACAAGGCCAGGGCAAAACTAGAATTACTGATGAAGGTCCATGTCCTGCTGGGCACACATTGTCATTGATAAACATCTTAACAGGAAACAGGGTTTGAGAGCAGACAACCGGTCTGACTAGAATTTTGCCTGGCTGGAATTTCCGAATCCTAGCAAGCCTGGGGGCACTGTGGGAGACCAGGGCATATTTCATCCCTTATCAAAAACTGCATAAGACAGACACTTCCAGAGAGGCCATTTTAGAGACTTCCCCCTGGGAATGCATTCTTTCCCAGGGCTGTTTCTTGCTGAGAAAAAGGATTCAGCGATATTTCTCCTATTTGCTTTTGCAAGAAGAGAAATATGACTCTGTTCTGCCTGGCCCTGTAGGCAGTCAGGCCTTATGGTTATCTCCCTTGTTTCCTGAACATCACTGTTATCCTGTTCTTTTCAAGGTGCCCAGATTTCATATTATTCAAACACATATGCTTTACAAACAATTTGTGCAGGTAATGCAATCATCACAGGGTCCTGAGACAACATACATCCTCAGTTTATGAAGATGATGGGTTTAAGAGATTAAAGACAGGCATGGGAAATTATAACAGTATTGATTGGGGATGTGATAAATGTCCATGAAATCTTCACAATTTATGTTCAGAGATTGCAGTAAAGACAGGTGTAGGAAATTATAAAAGTATTAATTTGGGAAACTAACAAATATCCATGAAATCTTCATGATCTATTTTCTTCTGCCGTGGCATCAGCCAGTCCCTCCATTCAGGGTCCCTGATTTCCAGCAACACTTCTGGTTTTTTTTGCCCTTCTTTCTGCCCTGAGGCAAGTCATTAAAATAGAATTCCTCTTCCCCAAGGCAGGTCATAGAAACTAGAACTCCCCTCCTCCAAAGCAAGCTATAAAACTCAGAAATATTACTCTAAACTTTCCCTGTTGTTCTGTCTTAGACCTGGTCATAAAGAAATTCTCTGACCTGCCTTGTCTGATAATAGGTCATAAGACTCTCAATCTAGAAGGGTCCTGCCACATACCTGGGAGGAAGGACTACTACACAGAGAGGCCAAGAAGAATTGGAACAAACAGGTCTTTCTGTTCAGATTTCCCCATTAGTCTATTATCATCATACCCTTTTGTCCAATTCCATTTCTACCTGGCTGTCTATTCTTCATTGAACCTGAGCATAAAAATGGACAGTTTTCCCTGAATATTTAGGTCTTCATTTCTAAATGTTCCCGTGTCATGTAAAACCTAGATTAAATACATTTGTTATGCTTTTCTCTTGTTAACCTGTCTTGTTATAGGAGTGTGGGCCATGACTCTTATGATAGGTGAGTAAAGGTATCATACTTTTCTGCCCCTAAAGGAAAAGTGAATGAACAGTGGTTTGTAAGATTTTCCCTCACCACTATCTTCTAAGGCCACAGTTGAGTGTGATTGTGATTCATCTGATTGTTCATTTTTGGTTTACACCCACATAGAAAGCCTATGCCTTCATAAACAAAAGTAGGTTTTTTTCTTTCTGTAGCTGAATATATGGGGAAATTCCCACATATAGATATATGTGTGAACCATGATAGAGAGCTAGTGCAAAAATTGTGGGTAACACAGCCATCTGAACCACTTGCTGAAGTACTTACTTATGTCATCGGATATTACTCAAGTTTGATTTTTGATATACCTTTTCCATGTCACAATAGATTGCTCCTGAACCCACCTAACTTTGAAACACAGAGGCTTCCATAGAATCCAACTCATGATACGCAGTTCCTGGTGCATGGCCAGTTGATGTCCCCTAGTTGAGTATTTCATCTCTACCATGGCCCAGTAGCACACCAAGAGGTAATTTTCAAAAGGCTTGTAACTCTCAGCTGCAAATGACATTGCCTTAGTCCTCAAATTCAAGGTTTGGTATTGTGATTCTCCAGTCATGACTTTTTATAAACTTCATCCTGATCATTTTTTCACCACTGACACCAATGAAAGAAAAGAAAGCAGGAGCAGGATTAGAGAAGAGAGAATATCAGGCAATAACATTCTGTAAAATCCTGATGGGGAGCTTCAGAGAAAACATTGCCCATTAGTGGACCCCCACACTGGGCAGAAATGACTATGTTCTTAGTGTTCCTATCATGCTCAGACATTGTCCAGAGGCTTCCCCAGAAGATTGTAACCTGGGTTTGAAAGCTGAGGGCATCCTCAAATCTGTAATAGCTGAAGGCTGTCAGCTAGTTGTACTCCCAGAAACTGAATGGAAGATTCTTTCTTAAGGGGAGATCCATGTGATGTAACTCAATGACTGCCGCAGAAATACTTTCAATTTTTTACATTAAGTGGTGTGCTATATATAAATTCTGACTCTTTTTATTTAACGTTACTTCCATGATAGTATCAATAAGGAAAATGAACTAAAATGGATTTTACTTTACAATGCAAAGTGACTGTATTCTTTAATTTGCTGAGAGTCCTACTTCTATTTTGTTTGAAAATTACCATAAAATTTTGCCAAGGGTATCAAAGGATTTACTTAATACGATATTGGGAAAATATCTATATCTGCAGTGTGAATGGAGATTTGCAGCTGGTATACGTGTGAACAGCTTGAGATGAGTACAGCACCGACATCTGAACTGTGACTATTGTTAAGGCTCAGAAAACAATACTGCAAAAGTTTGGTGCTTTGCCATGCTGGGAACTTTGAATTAAAATAGGAAGGCCTGAGAAGCTGCCTCAAAACCAAAGACTTTCTAACCTTCTCTTGTTTTTTCCCTTCACCAAGTACAGGGAGGAACTTTCTCTGCAAATTCCTTATCTGACTAAGAAAACTTCATTCTAAAAGAAGTGCAATTTCCTTAAAATCCCCTCCTTAGGAATTTTATCAAATAACCAGGAAAGACTAACCACCAGAGAAGAGACTAAAAGCCCATCAACATGCCAAGATAGACTTTTCATCTATTATTCTTTTTCTTTTTAAAAATTTTAACAGAGTTTCATTGAGCAAACAGCAATTCATGAATTTCTCAGCCCCTGAACTACAATAGTTTCAGAGAAGCTCCAGCAAAGCCATATGATGGAAGATTTATGGAGAGAAAAAGGAAAGTGACACACAGAAGATGGACAAGAGGTAGAGAAACAGCTGGATTGGTTTTAGCTCAGTGTTTTCCTTATTTGAACTCGATTTGAACAGTTGGCCACCCTTGATTGGTCCAAACTTGGTGATTCGCACAAGAGTAGGTTACAGTGTGTTTACACATCCAGTTATGTTACAGTTCTGCAGAAACCTTTAGGTTGAACTTAAAATATGTAAGGAGGTAGCTTTAGACTAAACTTATTTAATAATTCTCCCCTTTTGTTCATCCTTTCAAATGTGAGAGATAGACCAAAATTTTAGGCATTGATATCACTCTATTACCACCATAAATGTTCTTATTTGGTCTTAAGTCTCACTGGGAAATAGCAGAATGATGGATTTTGTGAAGTGGAAACAAGGACTTAAGGTTATTATTTTTTAAAAGGGTTAGAGTAGAGAGAATCTCCCCCTCTCCCATATAAGAATTTCCTTTTTACAGAAGAAAAACATTGGTCTGTTTTAGGATCTGTTTCCTTAAAGTTTCAGTTCAATTATGTTATATTTAGCATGAATGACACTGCTTTGGTTTGTTCTCATATATAGGAGCCTTGTGCATGAGCTCAGTGCAAAACAATGAACTCCCATAATTTTGTTTCAAAATTCCCCACTTTTAGCCAGGTTCTCACTTAGGTGAGAATATGACAATAACTTAGGGCTTTAGTGCTACCCTCAGTTACCATCATTTTGGGTTTCTTGTTTCAGCACATCATTCATAGATTATGGTGTTCTCATGGTCACACATTTCTTTCAGTTTTTGTCATTTAAAGTTGACAAGACACCATCTAAAATTCTAGAGATGACTGCATGCAAACATTGAAAACTTTTGAGAGGATACAGCACACCAGGGAGACTACCCATATGATTCTCAGGTGGATAATACCAGAAGTTTGGAGAATGCTCCTGCCAGTGTCCCCACAAACTGAAACCAACTAAAATCAAGTAAATCAAAGAATGAGCCAGATAAAGAGTCTGCTCATTTAAAACAAGCAGCCTGTTCATTAATTCCTTACAACTGAATCTCTGTAATACCCATTGTATTCTTGCATGTGCAATAAGAAGTATCAGCAACTGCACAGAAACTTTTGTTTAGCCAGAAAGTAATCTAAAACAATTCTATTATATTATTTAGCACAACTTTAGAGAGAATTTGAAGTCTGTTGCATAAACATAGCATTTACACTAGAATCTGCTATTGAGCCTATTATGAGAGATACATTTCTAATTATTGCCTCATTTACTCCAAATCATGAAGAAAGAGACCTAATAAATGATACTCATCTGGAAGAGTGAAGGCCTCCTGGCAATTTTCTCTGTAACTTATGATGTGGGTTAAGAGGAGTGGATCAGTGTTCTGTTTCTGACTGATTATAAAGCAGCAAAGGTAGCATTAAAATTTCTTACCCACATTACCCTTCATCTTTCATCTATCAAGGCATAAGCTTGTCCATGAGTGAGAATGGCTGCAAAATCCTTCACAAATAAACGTATACCCATGAGTGCACAAAAGAAACCTCCTTCTCAGTTGTTCATAGAGGCATAAGCAAGGGAAATAATTGAGAGATAAGAGTCTCATATTGCAGAAATGTCTTGATCTATGATCTTGGGGAAAAAAAGCTGTCCACATCTAAGATGCTGTCTGCTTCTCAGGAGAAACTTCCTTGGTTAGCTTTACCTTAACATCTCCAATGGGCAATTTGGAGAAGCCCTTCTGAGTTATGAACCCAAGGTTCAAGGTCCCAAAGTTTAGCTGCAGTCTGGGTGGCAAGGGCAGTTTTTCTGTAGTGTCATTCTCAGACTGTCCAATCTCTATGTTCTAGGTAGTGAAGGGCTTGATTGTCCCCACTCAATGGACACTGGAAATCTTTCTTTACCTAGTGAAACTACACTTTAGCATAATGCATTAAAGCCTTGTAGCATTTACTTATATCACAGTTTAGAAATGGAAGGTAAATGAGGTTTTATTTTTAGGTGTATAGGACTTCCAGTGACTTTTATAAAAGGTCAACTTATGTTTTCCAGTCTAAGTGGATCTGATTGTAATCTATCTATAACACCTTTGATCAGGGAAATCCAGTCAATTCAGTTAACTTTGCCTAATGCTATTTTATCTGTAGCACTTTAACTGTTTTATAATTTGTCTAGTGAAGCAAGTACCGCTCTTACTAGAGATATCTCCAGGAATGCTCTATGAGGAAAAACACATTTTCCAGTAACGTTTTAGATATTGTTTTAACATCAGCCCTCTTGCATGGGAAAGCTGTTATACAATCAGAAAACAAGCATTGAAAATGACAATTGAATGCAATTTCTCTATAAATGTTTAAATGGTCAATCAGATAGCAGAAATGTACCTAAAGTTTTTATTGTCTTCCCAGGATTATGGGTTTGAAAAAAAAAATTTTGGTCATAACAGTCACCACACCCACCCACCCCCACATATATATTTAATTCGAATTATTTTATCTCTTCTGTTATAAATCATGGAATGCAGAGCTTTTAATAATGAAAGACCCAGGCTCTCCATGAGTCCACAATTAACATTGGACTTAAAGCCTCTTAAATACCAATTTTGTTTATCCAATTTAGGTGCATAGAACTGTTTATTGCATGGGTTGTCATGAGTAATTTGACTTGAACCATGGAGTTAATTCCAATTGCATATCTAAACAATTTCAGTATTGGCTGATTTAGCACAAAAATCCGGCAAAGAATTTTCTTAATATTCAATTAATTTTTGTGCTGTTTGGGTTAGTAGTTTTATAAAGCAATCAGTCTCTTCATTAGGGTTCTGAGAATTCTTACCCAGTTGAAATGATATGATCTTAAAGTTATCAGAAACTTATATTCAAGAGTGCTTGTCAGGCTGGGTGTAGAGGCTCATGCCTATAATCCCAGCAATTTGGGAGGACAAGGCGGGTGGATCACTTGACGCCAAGAGTTTGAGAGCAGTCTGGCCAACATAACATGCCATTTCCACTAAATAATAATAATAATAATAATAATAATAATAATAATAATAATAAAATAATAGCCAGGTGTGGTGGCACATACCTGTAATCCCAGCTGAAGCTGAGGCACGAGAATTGCTTGAACCTGGAAGGCAGAGGTAGCAGTGAACAGAGATCATGCCACGGCACTCCAGCCTGGGTGACAAAGGGAGACTCTGTCTCAAAAAAAGGAAAAAAAATGCTTGTTACAGTTCTTTCTAAACTTTCATGAGCCTCCTTGAAGACACCATACTCTAGGATTTTGCTTGGTTCTAACACCTTCACAAACTGCATCAGAATTAAGCAATTAACTATGGAAATTGACTTCAAATGAGCATAGAGACAACTGACAAAGAAATTGATTATTTCTGTGGCCTACAATAATTTAACACAATTAACAATAATTATAAGTGATACCATATACCCAGATATATCAGAATTTTAGGACTCCCACACAATATTGGCACATATAATATATTCATAAAAATATAACTCAAAGTTTAAACATCATCTTTTGTTTGACAATGCTTCCCATGTAATTTAACATATCAAATAATCCTGTTTATATCTTTTTTTGCTTCAGGGGCCCTCTGTAGCATCCCCAAGTTAAAGGCTGGAAAACAAGACTTAATTTTGAAGCTGACATTTGATTTGTTGAAGCCTGTCAAATATGTCAAAGATTTAAAATACTTGACCAAAATAAAATCACAGGTCACTGTAAAATGGCAGTCATTAATTTAGCCAAAGTGATTATTAACACATTTTAAAAAGCAAAAACCTTTATTCTTTGATAGAAAGGAGACTCAGTTTTCAAAACAATCAAAAGACCTGAGAAAAATATCATGAGACAGAATCTGTTTCTTCTTCTCTCCTATCTTTTGCTCTTTTTTTTGCAGTTTACTCAAAAAGTGAACAAAATATTTTAGAATTTCTTATTACTACCACATGACATTTTTGTTCAAAAGAGAAAACCGAATTTTAATCTTTAAAAATTTTACCTTAGTTATTTATTTAACAGGGTCTCAGTATGTTGTCCAGGCTGGTCTCAAACTCCTGGGTTCAAGTGATCCTCCTGCCTTGGCCTCCCAAAGTGTTGGGATTACAGGTGTGAGCCACCATGCTAGGCCCCAAATTTTACTTTTGTGTTAGTGTATTATCAATAGTAAAGCTAATTTTAATAAAACTTTATAAATAAATACATCACCTTTTGACCACACAGGATTTCCATACATCCTTTATAGTTGTTTAGGGTTTTTTTTTCTCTTCTCAACTTTCTATATTCAGTTAGTTTTATCTGTGTATTTCTATTCCTTCAATTTGAAACAACCTTTAAATAACTCTTAAACTAGACAAAAGTAGTTTTTCCGCAACATGCATTTTCATGCCTTTACAACTTTCTTCACCAAAAGCATATCTTGCTTGCGTTTATATACTCTGTATAAAGAATTCTCTCATTTCTAGTCATTTTGATTGTATCTAATGACAATGATAACTCTTAGGAACCCTAATTTATAGTGAAAACCCTATGAAGATATTTTGAACTGTCTTATACCAGTATTTGTGGATGAAAACCATATTGTAATTATTTAGAAATTATTTGCTTAAACTATTGTTTATTAACAGATATAAATGTTGTGCCCAGACGAGTTAGAGAAAACGCCACACTTTGAGACGAATTAAGAGTCCTTTATTAGCTAGCGACCGAGAGACGGGCTAATGCTCAAAGTTCTCTCAGCCCCAAGGAAGGGGCTTGATTAACTTTTATACCTTGGTTTAGGAAGGGGCGGGGGGTTCTAGTTAAAACAGTTTTACAGAAGTTAAGTAGTCAAAAAGTTAAAAAGATAAATGGTTACAGGAAAGTAAACAGTTCCAGGTGCAGGGGATTTAAGACTATTACAATGTGATAGACACGGGGCTTTGGGCGTTATCAATCAGACAAATTCTTGGGGACTGCGGATATAGCTTGCCACAGTATCTTATCAGTTAATTGCATTCCTGGATGTGCTGGAAGTCAGCTTGCACAAGTTAAGTCCTTGAGGAAGGGACTGCCAGTGAAAGAGCCAAGATGGAGTTTGTCTGGTTCTCTTAGCTAAGGGAGAGTCTATTCAGGTGGAAGCAAGGCTAGGTGAAAAAGGAAAAAACAAGATAGGGTATTACATTCCCCACTTGTGTTTTTGGGGAATCAAATCATTGATTCTTCAGGCATGACAAAGGGGTTATATTGAGTCCTAAGATGCATAAGTTTGACAGACGCTATGCGCTATTTTACAAAATTAAGAAACCAATTTAATATACAAGGCCCAAAAATTAAACTTAATAATATGATGAGGAGAGGTCCAGCTAACCCACTGGTTAAAGTAGTTAGCCAGGGGTTCCAGTTGAACATGCTTTGATACCAGGGGATGTTATTTTCTTGTTCCTGTTGGCACCTATCTAGATTTTCTCAAACTTTTTGGAATGTATCTTTTATGACTCCAGATTGGTTGGCATAGAAGCAACAACTTTCTGCTAGAGCTGCACATAATCTACCTTGAGAAAGCAATAGTAGATCTAAGCCTCAGTGGTTCTGAAGTACTACTTCAGCCAGAGATTCTACCTAGGAGTGTAGTATATCTATGGCAGACTGGAGATTACTTAAATCAGCATCCACCTGTTGAGACAGGGACATTAGTCCAGTCTCTTCTTGAACCAGGGAAGCTGTACCGATGGCTGCTGATCCAGCTATGCTAAGACCAGCCAAGAGGGGAACAAGAAGTGGGGCAGCTCGGTGCTTCCTGGGATGTAGTTCTGGGGGAGTGATGAGGAGTTGTCCTTCTGGTCCACTGTACACGTATACCTGGGGGAAGAACATGAACTAACATGCACAAGAGAGGTCCTGGTTCAGTTCCATAAATGCAGTGAGTGAGACCTGAGGTGCAGGCCAACCAGGTATTGTTAGGCGATTGGTAAGAGACTGAGGTACTTATGGAACTAAGCAGGGACTGATTACACATAGTCTGAAAAGGAGAAGCAGACAAGTTATACCCAGTACTAATCAGACAGGAAGCATTTCCAGACACATCTCCTAGTGTGAGACCTCGGCGTCATGTATGACAAGATAGAGGGCCACGTTTAAGGGTGGCTTCTACTCCTAATCCTACATAATAAGGGGGTTTTGCTTTTAAACATAGACAACAATCTTGGGCTAGTTTAGGCTAGGTGAGGTTAAGGAGATGGTGTACTCCATCTAGTATAATCATAAGGCTGGGTTGAAGATGATGTCCTTGTAGCTGGGGCTTAGGAACTAAGAATGGTGGAGGAACAGTTAAATCAACTTTGTCAGGGTGTTTCTGGAACATAGGGTCACCTAGATTAGTTAAAGGCCCAATTGACTTAGGTGGGCTCCATGAGACCAAAATTTTTTCTTGAATGGTGAACATAGTTCCAACATCGAATCCTGGGATATAAAGCCTCAATCCCCATGACATGCCATAATACCACTGAGCTGAATTAGGGCCATGAATAGTTATAGTAAGAGGATTACAATTCCTTTTAGTACATGATTTAGGATGAGAAGCACGACTTATGGAAAGAGTTGAAGATCTAGTTGATCCCCCCAGAGTAGGTAGCTAAAGTTACACATGTCCAATCAGGGCAGAAAAACTGGTAAGTATCTTGACAGCTAGCATCAGGGTGATTTCCAGGACAGAGGTAAAACTCAACTTTTTGGAGTCCTTTTTCTGCACCTTTGGAGTTTCCACATCCAGTTTGGCTCTCAGAGTGTTCAAATCCTGCTGCAAGGTCGACACTTCCTGCTCCTATGACTGGTAAGTTGTATTGTTCTTCATGGGTGTGAGCTGGCTCTGGGAACAGTGCACATAAATTAACTGCAAAGGTGACTTCCTTGCAAGTACCGGCCCTCCAAGTAGTGTTGGTGAATACACGTCCTGTTGTGAAAGAGGTGAGGAGGAAGGAGTAGGAAGGCACAGAGGACATAATAGGCGAAAACAAACAAGAGAAGTAAATAAAAAGAATTAATCTAACAGTTTCACCTGACTTAGGCACAGTTTTAAGGGGCCTGATCCAGGCTTGGGGGCCCATGTTTCTAGTTGGGCTCTGTTGGCCTTTTTGATGTGGGAGTGATGAATCCAAGCAGGAATTCTGTCCACCTTCAGAGCTGTTGGCATCATGAGGATGATGGTGTGAGGTCCCTTCCAAGCAGGAGTGAGTGCTTCTCTCTGGAACTTTTTAACAAACACCAGGTCACCTGGCTGGAATGAATGGCAGGGCCCCATCTGGTCAGGAACTCGGCTGGGATGGGCTTCTCAAACAAGTGGCAGAATGATATCTTGTACTTGTTGGAGAGACTGTACGTACTGCAATAAATTTGCTTGTGATATTTCTACCCAATGGACATCTCTTAGCTTAGGCAAGATAGGCGGTGCCCCTCGATACATGATTTCAAAAGGTGAGAACCCAGCCCAATAAGGGGTGCACCTTACTCTAAGTAGGGCTAAAGGAAGGAGACTTACCCAATTTTCACTGGTTTCTAAGATTAATTTTGTAAGAGTGTTTTTAGGGTGCAGTTCATGAGTTCTACCCGCCCAGAGCTCTGGGGTCGATAGGCACAATGGAGCTTCCACTGAATGTTTAATGCCCTACTGACTGACTGAGCTATGGACGAGGTGAAGGCAGATCCATTATCAGACCCTATGGCAGCAGGCAGCCCATATCGAGGGATGATTTCATTGAGTAAAAACTTAACTACCGTATTGGCAGTTTCGTTTTTGGTAGCAAATGCCTCATTCCATCCGGAGAAGGTGTCTACTAGTACTAAAAGGTATTTGTAACCAGCCCGGTGTGGCTTTACTTCTGTAAAGTCAATTTCCCACTTCTCTCCTGGTGAGTTTCCTCGGAGACAGTGACCTGGGCTGGGTTTAGGACCTTGCTTGGCATTTACCTGGGCGCAGGTTGTGCACTGGAAAATTGCTTGATCTGTTAGGCCTTGTAGACGGGGGATCTTAAAGTGGCTCCAGAGGAGCTGGGCTAATTTTGTCCCACCTAAATGGGTGGTAGAATGTAGGTGACTGACTAAAGTTTCTCCAAGAGTGCGGGGTATGAAGATTCTAGAGTCAGGAAGAATCCACCAACCTTTCTGATTTTTATTTGCTTCAAGATATGAAGCTAATTTTTCTTCTTCTGTTGAGTACATGGGGTTGTCAGGCAGATCTGGCTGTGGAAAAGAAACTGCAGGCAGCAGGTTGATAGGCGTGACTGAAAGTCACGCTGCTTCCTGAGCTGCTGAATCAGCTTTCTGGTTACCACGGGCAATGGCTGTGTTTTCTTTTTGATGTCCTTTACAATGGATTACAGCCACCTGCTAAGGGAGCCACATGGCTTCAAGCAGGGCTAGAATTTCCTCTTTGTTCTTGACCATTTTTCCTGCTGAAGTGAGTAACCCCCGTTCTTGGTAGTTGGCTCCATGTACATGTACAGTAGCGAAAGCATACCTGCTGTCAGTGTAAATGTTAATACGTTTATTCTTACCCCATCGGAGAGCTTGGGTGAGAGCGATCAATTCAGCTTTCTGTGCTGAGGTGTTCGCTGGTAAAGCCTGAGCCCACAACACATCTGTCTGTGTGGTAACAGCTGCACCAGCCTTTCATACTCCCTGCTCAAGGAAACTGCTACTGTCTGTAAACACAGTGGCATCTGCCTTTTCCAGGGGCACATCCTGAACATCTGGCTGGCCAGTTTCAGTATTTTCTAACAGTTCTTGACAGTCATGGATAGGTATAGTGGAATCTGCATCTGGGAGCAGGGTAGCAGGATTTAAACACCTTGTGGGAGTGAAAGTCAAATGAGGCTGATCCAACAGTAAACCCTGATATTGTAAGATGCAAGCATTTGACATCCATTTAGCAGAAGCACTTCATAGTAGAGTCTCTACAGCATGAGGAGCTGTAAGGGATAAATTCTGGCCCAGAGTTAACTTATCAGTCCCTTGGACTAGGCTTGCTGTAGCCGCCATGGCTCACAGGCAACTTGGCCATCCAGAGGCCACAGGATCCAGCCTCCTAGATAAATAGGCTACTGGGCATCTCCAAGGTCCTAGAGTCTGGGTAAGCACCCCCTTAGCAATTCCCTGGCTTTCATGGACAAACAGGTGAAACGGCTTTGAGATATTTGGGAGGGCTAAAGCAGGGGCTTCAGTTAAAGCCTTTTTTAAGTTTTGAAAAGCCTGTTCTCCGGTGTCTGTCCAAATTAGTGGGCTGCTACTTCTTGTAGCAGTATACAAGGGCTTTGCAATCTCCGCAAACCCCAATATCCAGAGGCGACAGTATCTCATGGCCCTGTCAATCATCAGGCTCCTCCATTGCGGGCAAGGTGAGGAACTTTTCCTTTTCTGATTTTTCTTGTGGCAGTAGTGGGCATTCCTTTTTCCAGTGCCCAGTCTGCTTGCAATAAGCACATTGGTCTTTTTCTAGAGTGGCCTATTCACCTTCTTTACGTTTCTAGTGGGAACCCGAGGTTCCTTGGCCATTTTTCTGGAATGGGGGCCTTTTCTTTCTGCTCTCCTGGAAAGCCATCAACAAGATTTTTGCTTGTCTTTTGTATGCTTTGTCAGCAGCTTTTTCAGCTGCCTGTGTTGCTTGTTTCTGTTTTTCGTACTCTCGATTGTCAAAAACCTTCTGGGCTATTTCTAAAAGCTGAATGATATTTATCCTAGCAAATCCCTCCAGTTTCTGGAGCTTTCTTTCTAATATCTGGGGCTGCCTGAGCCACAAATACCAAATTAATAGCATGGCTATTTTCAGGAGCTGCCGGGTCAAAAGGGTTATAAATCCAATAAGCCTCCTGGAGATGTTCTAAAAACGCTCCTGGTGGCTTATCAGGCCCCTGGACAACTTCAGTTGTCTTAGACAAGTTTATGGGTTTCCAAGTAGCTCCTTTAATACCTGCAAGAAGATACCAGTGGAAATCATCCAAAGCTCTCCTTCCACTTGAGGAATTTGGGTCACAATTTGGCAGGGTAGAGGGAAAAACCTCCTCAAGGAGGTCTCTAGCTTCCTCCTCCGGCCTATTGGCTGATTCAAGGAAGTGCTTTCTGGCCTCTCTTTGGATATGCTCCGTCTCCTCAGAGGTAAAGAGAGTTAAAAGGAGTTGTTGGCAGTCATCCCAGGTGGGCTGATGGGTCCGGAGTATGGACTCCATCAGTGAGGTCAAAGCCTGGGGCTTTTCAGAGAAGGGAGGATTATGGGTTTTCCAATTATACAAGTCAGAAGTAGAAAAAGGGACATAAACCAAGAAGGGGGCTGAGCGCTCATCACCCAGAGGGACTTGTGCCTCTCTCATTGGTAGTAGAGGGGTTATTTCCTCCCACCGTGGCCGCAGTCGAGAGGCAATGGGTGGCGAGCCCACAGGGGATGTTGTCAAGGAGACATGGGATGACCCTAGGGGGGCAGGTTTGTTGTAAGGCGGTGGGACTGGGTGAGGGAAACTCTCCTCTTCTTCAGAGGGAGGCAATACAGGGGGAGATGAACTGGCTGAGGGTCAAGACGCAAACGTGGCCTGGCTCAGGAGGACTTTGGAGGTGGAGTTGCGAATGGCACATGAACAGAGCCATGGAGGATTCCTGACCAAACTTAACCATTGATCTATATAGGGAAACTGATCAGGGTGGCCGGGAGCTTCAGTAACAACCCGTCACATGGCTTGAACAATTGTAGGATTCAATGACCCTTCAGAGGGCCACCCAACTCCAAACTTTGGCCATTCTACTTCACAGAGTGTCTGGAGTTTGCCTTTCTTAAGGCGGACTCGGTAATCCTCTGAGAAAACAAGAGAAAAATTTTTCAGCATACACTGGAGGGGGCTCCAACATTTACAAGGCTGGGATGAGGAGTTTCCCATTTTTTTTAAAGCAATTTAGCAGAATTTGAGCAGAGATATCAGATCCAACACAGACAGAGAAACTCACTCCCTGGGGGGCTGGAGTATCAGAAAAACAGAATTAACATAACCAGAAAGAACAGAAAAACCACAACAGCTAATATCCCTTGCCACATTGCTGTAGCTTTAAAATTGAGGGAGGGGGACTAGGGGCCAGCCAGAGTTCTCTTGGGTCAGTTGGATTTAGGTGTTCTCCCTCTCTTTCTTTCTCTAGACCAGTACCCTAAATACCTTTGATGTCTCCATGACTCAAAGGCATACAGCTCAAATTCAGCTTTTTCTTTTAAGGGTTGAAGGAGTGAGAGCAGAGCCAAGTCCTGGAGACGCTGAACTTGCTGTTGCACCAGAAAACGAGATGTGTGGGGTAGAGGGCAGGGATGAGGGGGAAAGGGACCACTCAGGTCATTTTTAAGATGGGAGAGTAGCCACAGGTGAACAGACTAGGAGTCTAAAGGAAGTAAAGCATGACGTGCATAGGTTTCCCTACACAGTGTTCTATTTAAGGGCACAGGAAAAGTTACAGAATGACAAAAAAGGTGAGCAAGGAAATCTGAAGGTTGGCTGTTTTGAACCCACCACTAGTTTAATCTAGAGTAGGTCCAATCACTTGGACCTGGGGTATGGCAATCTAAATGCCCACAACCTCCATGGTGCCAGAAATTCCAATCAGACGAATGTTCTTCACACTCATTCCCGTAACAACACCTGACTTGCCTCTGGCAGAAAAGACAAGACTGTGGTGGCCAGCCTAAATGACTGATGAGAAATTTAACCTCTTGTGAAAAAAAATCAGCACTAAGGACCTTGAAGAAGTTTTTACCCAGATGTCTTGGGCAATACCGATGTCCTGACATGCAAAACCTTGACAACCACTAAACAAGACAATAAACACTAAACAGAACAATAAACATAAAACAAACAATTTGACCCTAGGGCATGTAAACAGTTTTGACAGTTTTTTCCTTTTTGTTTTTTTATTTTAGACAGACAAGGGGAGGGGGTCCCGTGATGGGATCAGTCAGATGCCCGCCTGGCTGCTCACCCTGAGGGGACTTGGGCTCCTCTTAGCATTGGCAGGCCGGTATAAACCCCCGGCTTGAATCGAGCTATGCCCGGTGCTGCCTTAAGCCTTATGAGGTCACCACGGAACTGCAGGTGGGGGCCCACTCGAACTCCGTAGTTTTTGCCATGGAGCTACAAACTGGAAGACAAATGCAATCCTTTGTCCTCCCACATCCACACACCATTCACACAGAGTTTATAACAGTTTTTTTGTTTTGTTTTGTTTTGTTTCCTCTTTCCCAGAGATTCTCCAGGAAACCTGAACAAGAGAAAGATGAGAGATAGAAAAAGAGAGAGAGAGAGAGAGATTGAGACCGGTCTGCCAGAAACCAAGGTTCAGCTCCCCAGCGTCCTGGGTCTTGAGCTGAGTCAAGGGAGGGTCCTTCCCACCCAAACCAAGACACAAAGGCGCCTACCAGAAAACCAAGGCTCAACCCACTAGCATCCCAGAGTAACGGGCTGAGTCAAAAGAGGGACGCCCTCATCAGGGCCTCTTCCTTCTTACCAGAAACAAAGTCAAATCTGACCTACCTGACCCCGAGGTCAGAAGCTGAGGACTCAGATGTTGAATTTTAGGGCACTCACACTGTAGTCAATCTGCTCTCCTCTGGAAGACAGTCGCTCTTCAGGGACCTGAAAATTCTTTCCTCAGGTGGCACCCCCCCTCCGAGCCAGCCGTCCTTCTGGGGGAGCCCGGAGCAAGACCAGCTCTCGCCTGGTGGTGTTAATATCTCACTGGGGCCTCCAAAATGTTGTACCCAGATGAGTTAGAGAAAATGCCACACTTTGAGACAAATTAAGAGTCCTTTATTAGCCAGCGACTGAGAGATGGGTAACGCTCAAAGTTCTCTCGGCCCCGAGGAAGGGGCTTGATCAACTTTTATACCTTGGTTTAGGAAGGGGGGGGGTCTAGTTAAAACAATTTTACAGAAGTTAAGTAGTCAAAAAGTTAAAAGGATAAATGGTTACAGGAAAGTAAACAGTTCCAGGTGCAGGGGCTTTAAGAATATTACAAGGTGATAGACACGGGGCTTTGGGCATTATCAATCAGGCGAATTCTTGGGGACTGTGGATATAGCTTGCCACAGTATCTTTTCAGTTAATTGCATTCTTGGATGTGCTGGAAGTCAGCTTGCACAAGTTAAGTCCTTGAGGAAGGGGCTGCCAGTGAAAGAGCCAAGATGGAGTTTGTCTGGTTCTCTTAGCTAAGGGAGAGTCTATTCAGGTGGAAACAAGGCTAGGTGAAAAAGGAAAAAACAAGGTTGGGCATTACATAAATATATATAAAAATATATTTAGCTTTTCTATATCATATAAAAATAAGATGTCAAAATATATAAACTTATATAAGCATATAAACTTAATCAATGTTTTAGTATTTTAACTTACTTGCAAATGACTGAGATATTTCATGGTTATCTCTTATTTAATTTAAAGTAAAAGAATTTTGAAACTATGATGCAAGTACCCTCCCTAAAGTCTTCCCCAGTCATCCTGGGTCTCAAGTAGCCATGTGGCACCAAAGATGGCTATGAAGGGCAGGGCCTCTCTGAGTCCTGAATTTACATAACAGATGCAAAACTCAGGACAGACAGCAGAGCTGTGAAGATGAAGCCTGGAAGATCAGACCCAACCCAGAAGACCCAGGAGGCAAAGCTGGGGCAGAGAAGGGACCATATGGGATTTGGGTCTGCCTTGTAGCTGTTCTCACCATGGCCACCTATTCATGTTACCAGTGGAAGGTATCTGAGAACTAGTGGTAAATCTTTATAAGTCTGCAGCAAGCAAGAAAGAATGAATGACTGAGGGGCATAAGGCAGAAAAAGAGACTGAGGCAAGTTTCAGAACAGGAGTGGAAGTTTATTTTAAAAAGCTTTAGAACAGGAAAGAAATGAAAGTATGCTTGGAAGAAACCCAAGCAGGCATGTGAAGGTCAGGTGCAGTGTTTAATCTTGATCCTAGGACTTTATAGGCTGACCCCTCTCCCATGATTCTTCTCTTAGGATGGGCTGCCTGCACGTGTATGCCCTTCTTATGCTTGGGAAATGAGCATATGCAGTTTGTTTAGGAGGCTGTATGCATGTCCATCTGAACCTTTCTTCCCTTTTCTAATGGTGTGTCCCCAGAAGGTCATACTCTGCCATTTTGTCTCTTAATGCACATGCCTGGGAAGTTGCTTCTCCCTCGCATCTGTGTTCAATTAACACTTTAGCACGATAAATGTGAACCATTAGGAAATGGCCTCTTCCTGGCACCACTGCCAATTTATCACTTTTAGAGAGGGAATGTGATAATTGCTGAACCATCACTCAACATTCCTAGTGGGTGGGAGAGAGCTCTGTCCTGCCCCACTCATGCCTGTCTAACTACATGTAACATCCAGATTCCTGAATTCAGAGGCTCAAAACAAAAAACGCAAGCTCACAGTCAAATCAAGAAGTACTGAATTATGTTTAACTGAAAATGTTGAAGTGGTTCCTATTTTACCAACAATTTAAAAACTAGCTTCATTTGCCAAACGTTATCATATGCACATAACACATAGACATAGAGACACAAAGACAGAAGCAGATCTTATAGTTTTCATAAAAGATTCTTATTTGCTGGCTTTTAAATAGTTTTTTTTTCTCCATTCAGACTATCATTCTTCCAATTACATGTTTTATTGCGCTAAACAATTGTCAGAGAGGCAGCTTTAAATTTACGTCTCCAAAGATGGGACTCCTGTGAAACAAGGTAGAATATTGATATCTCAAAGGCACAGAACTTAGATCTGAACAAAGGCAAGGTCTGTTATGTAAACTTTAAATCATTGTCTTCCCCATAGTTGAAGTTCCTAGTGGGTTAGATGCAGAAACAGAGATGCTCTTACAAATGGAGATTTCCTTTAAAGATATAAATTTATTTTACTAAAGGACTTCAAGACAGCTAGGTAAATTCCAGAAAGGTGTATTTTAGTTTATGGGGTCTTTTTAATATAGCTGTTTCTTAACTAAAATTACTGAGTTCAGGGTAGAGTTCTTTAAGCAATAGGGCAGAGAAAGCATTCTCTATGGCTGATTCAACATGGATAGATCTAAGAAAGAAGTAAGCATACTTACCTGAGGGCCTCCCTTTTATAAACACTTTATCTACAAAAGCTTCCTTTTTCCCTTCAAGGCAGGATAGTAACTAGGCCAAAGGATTAGCAGATTTAATTTTTCTTATCAATTAGTCACTTAAGCTTTTTGTTTACCTTTCATAGTCTTTTTTTGAAAAGCAGTAACAGCATTGAAATACTTTTAGAAGCTTCTGCACGTCAATAGGCATCCTTGGATGAGACTAATTTCAGAGCCCTTATTTTCAAATGAACTTCTGAAAGTGCAGTGTTGTTCATTTGAAACATTCCACTATAACTTTAAGTTACCTTTAATAAGATTTCATCATTTCTGTAAGTATTTGCTGCTTCTAGGGCCTAATACGTATGCATCTACAAACTGGTACTCAGTTCTTCAGAAATTAAGGAACTCATTTTTACCTTGAATCTTGACTTTGGTTCTCAGATCCCCTTGATCAAATTAGGCAATGATTTTTCCCTACCTAAGTATGCAAGACAAATAAACAAAGGGAGTAGAACATAAAAATCCCTATGAATTTCCAAAACCTGGATTTTACACGCTCTGCAATATTGCTGTTGACTAGCAGTTTCTGTGTGACCCAGTCAGACATAAGAGGCCCCTAACGGATCCAAGCCAGTTAATTATTGGATCCAGTCTGATTCTGGACCCAGTCCAGCTTCTGTTATGACTTCCAAACCCAGTTTGGATCTCAAATGTGTTCAAACTCAGATAGCTCAACACACAAATCTGTGAAGCTTTGGAATCTGAGAGAGAACTTACTGATGATCTCCAGTTGCTATGAGAAAGCAGTGGACACAATGGTACATTGCTTGGTCACTTGTTGCTCCTAGGGGTTACTAGAAGCTTTATTTCAGATCCCATTTATGATGCCATCTACTAAGAAAAACCTTAGATGAATAACATTTAACGGAGTTGAATTGAGCAAAGAACAATTCAAGAATCAGGCAGTCCCTGAACCAGAATAGGTTCAGAGAGGCTCCTCATCTATTCTTCTGAAAGCCACTTTGAGAGATTACCTAGGAGTCTTTAACTGCATAATAAGACAACCTTCATTCAAAGTAAAGTTTTACTCCTCACTTCTGTGCAACTTCCCTGCCAAGCTCAGAACTTTGTCCCAGGCCATTGTTCTTTGGTTTTATTCATTTTACCTAAAAATTTTTTACTACCCCTCTAAAATTACCAATAGCCCCCAATTTCCTCTTCCCTATGTATAGGGTATTTAGGCTTCAACCATCTAGCTCTTTTTGGAGTAATGTATTTGTGGGACTCCCATGTTCATATGCATATTAAAAAATTTGTATGCCTTGGCTGGGCACGGTGGCTCATGCCTGTAATCCCAGCACTTTGGGAGGCTGAGGTGGGCAGATCACGAGGTCAGGAGTTCAAGACCAGCTTGACCAATATGGTGAAACCCTGTATCTACTAAAAATACAAAAATTAGCTAGGCATGGTGACACGTTCATGTAGTCCCAGCTACTCGGGAGGCTGAAGCAGGAGAATAGCTTGAACCTGGGAGGTGGAGGTTGCAGTGAGCCAAGATTGCACACCACTGCACTCCAGCCTGGGTGACAGAGAGGCTGTCTAAAAAAAAAAAAAAAAAAAAAAAAGGGAAGAAAAGTTTGGGATAAGAGTTTTAAAAAGGCCGGGCATGGTGGCTCACACCTGTAATCCCAGCACTTTGGGAGGCTGAGGAGGGTGGATCATGAGGTCAAGAGCTTGAGACCAGCCTGGCCAATATGGTGAAACCCCGTCTGTACTAAACATACAAAAATTAGGCTGGAGTGGTGGTGCACACCTGTAATCCCAGCTACTCAGGAGGCTGACACAGGAGAATCACTTGAATCTGGGAGGTGAATGTTGCAGTGAGCTGAGATCATGCCATTTCACTCTAGCCTCAGCAATTGAGTGAGACTCCATCTTAAAAAAATTATATGTCTTTCTCTCCTTTTGATCTATGTATTGTCAGTCTTTCAGTGGGTAGAGAGGAAGACTTTACTCTGCACACTATGTAATGGTGGTAATTTCTAAGTGACATTTTGATCCAATAAAGGGAAGGTTATATTGTAGGGTGACCTAGATATGGAGGTCATCATGATTATAATGAGCCCAGAAAACCTAGGGTTACTAGTGATTTCTTAATTATCTTGGCCCTTTGGACCCAAGCCCAGCTGAGAAGGAAACCCCTTAAGGTTGCTTTTCTGATCTTATTTTTTATCTTTACACGTGAGTCACTGAAAGGAATCTTTATTAGGAGCCATTCTTTATTATAGGACATGGAAGGAAATGCTATCTGTTACCTCATGTGCTGTAAACTTCTGCCGGAAACATGGCTCTTGAAAGAGAGAAGCTGAAACCTACCCTTAGTCTGAATTAAGAAAAGACAAAGAGAGAAAGGAAATCAGAAACAATTTTCTGCCTAGGACAAAAAGGAAGAAAAAAGTCCTTAAAATGGGCAACGGTACTCTGGGAATAAAAGCATAAAAGAAGACAACACCTGGGCGCTCAGACAGGGAATAGAATTTTACAGCAGCTATTAGCCCATGCAAAGAAGAGTTGAAGAAGGATTTCAAAAAAAACCCAAAGGCAATATTTTTCCCTTGATATATCCTCGTTATGATTCCATGTGTAGAATATAGTGATTTGGTTTGCGATGTTGCATGCTGTGCTTCCTTGGGAGGTGTGACTCCTTAAGGTAAGGCCAGTTTTGTTGCTGGGTGATTAGGTCTGCCAGGTGTTGCCAGAGGAATAAGTTAATACCATTCATTTACTAAATATTTACATACTCAATAATTTCAAGTTATTGTCTTAAGGATTAAGAACAGATGCACAATTTACATGCTTTTGAGATGATATTAATCTACTATTGACATTGTCATCTGTTTGGGAATCATTTATTTCTCCATAGACTCTGAGTGGTCTTGCAGGATGAAAGACATGGAAAAGTGAATGAGTGTCTATGCAAAGGGCATCTCTTCATTCAGTTCTTTGCTCAAATATCACCTCCTCAGGGATGGCCAATTGCTCTTTATTCTCTTACTCTGTTTAGTTTTGTTGGGACCCAGGACACACTACTCCAAAATACAACTGTAGGAGACCAGAAACCCCAAAATATACTTCTTTGGCATATTTCAAGTTGGTTGTTCTGAGAAACTGCAAATACAGGAGTAGCTCTGAAAAGCCATCCTTTTGTAAATTAAATTTATATCTGTAGAGGAAATGTACATTAGTAAAAGTATCTGTATCAGGAAGAGGACTGCTTAGAGCTAACTTTTCTCACCCAAGAGACTTTTTATCTAATTAACAAGACGATCTTTATCCATCACACATTTCCACCCCTCACCCTCCCATTACTTGTGTTCCTACCACCCCCAGAATCCCCAAACCCCTATTCCTTTCTGTAGCTCAGGCTGATATAGGCTTCACTTATGTGACCCTTCTTCCAGTATCATATTTTCTGGGACTCCAGTGCATACGTACATAATTAAATATTGTTTTTCTCTTGTCAGTCTGTCTTATTTCAATTTAATTTGTAACCCAGACAAAGAATCTAGAAGGGTGGAGGGAAGTGATTTTTCACTCCCCTGCGATTATATTCATAGTGTTTGTCACTATACCAATATATAGGATTTATTAATTTGTGAACTGTTGACCAGAATGTAAACTAGATGAGGAAAGGGGCCTTTCTTGCCTTCTCTTGTGTATCCACTGACTAAAAGAGTGCCTGGCACATGGCAGGCACTCAATTAGTTTTCATTGAATGAATGAAACTAACATCCCCATAGTCTAGTATATTTGTCTTTTCTCATGTTGCTAATAAAGACATGCCTGAGACTGGGTAACTTATAAAGGAAAGAGGTTTAATGGACTCACAGTTCCACATGGTTGGGGAGGCCTCACAATCATGAAGGAAGAGCAAAGGAATCTCTTACATGGTGGCAGCAAGAGAGGGCTTGGGCAGCAGAACTCCCATTAATAAAACTATTAGATCTCATGAGACTTATTTACTACCATGAGAACAATATGGGGGAAACTACCCCCATGATTCAGTTATCTCCACCTGGCCCCACCCTTGACGTGTGGGGATTATTACAATTAAGGGTGAGATTTGTGTGGGGACACCCAAAACCATATCATTCCACCCCGGCCCCTCTCAAATCTCATGTCCTCACATTTCAAAACCAATCATGCCTTCACAACAGTCTCCCAAAGTCCTAGTTCATTTTAGCATTAACTCAAAAATCCACAGTCCAAAGTCTCATCAGAGACAAGACAAGCCCCTTCAGCCTATGAGACTGTAAAATCAAAGCAAGTTAGTTACTTCCTAGAAACAATGGGGTACAGGCATTGGGTAAATACAACCATTTCCAAATGGGAGAAGTTGGCCAAAATGAAGAGGCTACAGGTCCCATGCCAGTCCAAAATCCAATGAGGCAGTCATTATCTTAAAGCTCCAAAATGACCTCCTTTGACTCTGTGTCTTACATCCAGGTCATGCTGATACAAGAGGTGGGCTCCCTCAGTCTTGGGCAGCTCTGCCCCTGTGGAGCTGGGATACAGCCCTCATCCCAGCTGCTTTCCTGGACTGGTATTGAGTGTCTGTGACTTTTCCAGGTGCATAGTGGATGCTGTCAGTGGATCTACCATTCTGGGAGGTAGCCCTCTTCAAACAACTCCACTAGGCAGTGCTCTAGTGGGGTCTCTGTGTGAGTGCTCCCATCTCACATTTCCATTTTGCATTGCCTTAGCAGAGGTTTTTCATGAGGGTTCTACCTCTGCAGCATACCTCTGCCTGGACATCCAGGCATTTCCATACATCCTCTGAAATCTAGGCAGAGTTTCCCAAACTTCAATTCTTGACTTCTGTGCCCTGCAGGCTCAACACCACATGGAAGCTGCCAAGGTTTAGGACCTGCACCCTCTGAAGCCAAAGTCTGAGCTGCATCTTGGCCCCTTTTAGCCACAGCTGGAGCAGCTGGGACACAGGGCACCAAGTCCCTAGGCTGCACACAATAGGGAGGGCCTGGGCCTGGCCTACTAAATTATTTTTTCCTCCTAGGCCTCTGGGCCTATGATGGGAAGAGCAGGAAGGTCTCTGACATGCCCTGGAGATATTTTCCCCATTGTCTTAGTAATTAGCAATGGGCTCCTTTTTACTTACACAAATTTCTGAAGCAAGCTCGAATTTCTCCCCTGAATAATGGGTTTTTCTTTCCTATTGTGCATTGTCAGGCTGCACATTTTCCAAACGTTTATGCTCTTCTTCCTCTTAAACACTGCTGCTTAGAAATTTCTTCCACCAGATAACCTAAATCATCTCTCTGAAGTTCAAAGTTCCACAGATCTTTAGAGTGGGGCAAAATGCCACCAGTCTCTTTGTTTTGTTTTTAATTTTACTTTAAGTTCTGGGATACACGTGCAGAACATGCAGGTTTGTTATGTAGGTATACATGTGCCATGGTGGTTTGCTGCACCTATCAACCTGTCGTCTAGGTTTTAAGCCCCACATGCATTAGGTACTTGTCCTAATAATCTGCCTCCCCTTTCTCTCCACCCCGTGACAGACCCCAGTGTGTGATGTTCCCCTCCCTGTGTCCATGTGTCCTCATTGTTCAACTCCCACTTATGAGTGAGAACATGTGGTGTTTGGTTTTCTGTTCCTGTGTTACTTTGTTGAGGATGATGATTTCCAGCTTCATCCATTTCCCTGCAAAGAACATGATCTCATTCTTTATTATGGCTGCATAGTATTCCATGGTGTATATCTGCCACATTTTCTTTATCCAATCTATCATTGATGGGCATTTGGGTTGGTTCCAAGTCTTTGCAATTGTAAATAGTGCTTCAGTAAACATTCAAGTGCATATGTCTTTATAGTAGAATAATTTATAATCCTTTGGGCACATACCCAATAATGGGATTGCTGGGTCAAATGGCTTTTCTTGTTCTAGATCCTTGAGGAATTTCCACACTGTCTTCCACAATGGTTGAACTAATTTACAGTCCCACCAACAGTGTAAAAGTGTTCCTATTTCTCCACATCCTCTCCAGCATCTGTTGTTTCCTGACTTTTTAATGATCGCCATTCTAATTGGCCTGAGATGCTATCTCACTGTGGGTTTGATTTGCATTTCTCTATAGCAAGAGTGACCTTTAAGTTCCCAACAAGTTTCTCATCTCCATCTGAGACCACTTCAGCCTGGAACTTATTGTCCATTTCACTATCAGCATTTCAGTCAAAGCCATTTAACTTGTCTCTAGGAAGTTCCAAACTTTCCCTTCTGAGCTCTCCAAATCTCTAGGAAGTTCCAAACTTTTCCACATTTTCCTATCTTCCTCTGAGCACTCCAAACTGTTTCAACCTCTGCATGTTATCTGGTTCCAAAGTCACTTTCACCCACATTAATGGGGTAGCAGGACCCCACTACCCAGTACCAATTTACTGTATTAGTCTGTTCTCATGGATATAAATTATCCATACTGGGTAATTTATAAAGGAAAGATATTTAATGGACTCACGGTTCCACATGGCTGGGGAGGCCTCACAATCATAAAGGAAGAGCAAAGGGAAGACTTACATGGTGGCAGGCAAGAGAGGACTTGTGCAGGGGAACTCCCATTTATAAAACCATCAGATCTCATGAGACTTACTTACTAACACAAGAACAGTATGGGGAAATCTGCACCCATGATTCAACTATCTTCACCTGGCCATGCTCTCAACACATGGGATTATTACAACTGACGGTAAGATTTGGGTGGGGACAGCCAAACCATATTATCTAGGAAAGCAAAACAGGCTTGTAACATAAAACAAAAGGTTTGAGAGTGTTAGTGTTAGAACAAAAAGGAAGGACCTGGAAATGAAGCTGATAGAATAGAAACAATGCTTCTGCTCAACTCTTCTGGAGAGATGAAGAGTAGAGAAATTGCCTTGGGCTTAGAGTCTGGAGGCCTGAATGAAAGGTCAAGGGCCTAGATTTCAGCACTCCACCAGATTTCACAATACCTGGTATGGATCTACTTTGGATAAAGTTAATTCTCAATCACCCAAGGCATTGGAATAGTGATCATGCCAGAAAATTTTCTTAGTAAACTGAATAAAGTAGGTCAATAAAATATCATTCAAACTTTTTCCTTTTACATCAGCTTTAGAGAGGCCAGAATTCTTTGGTTCATGGGTTGGGGAAAGACTGCTGTATTAAAAAAAATAACCATGGAAATAATATAAATGCCAGTGGCTACTATTGTAGGGAAAGGAGTAGAACATAGTGGTTAGGAATTAGGCAGCCTAGTTTTGAATGCTGGCTTCTCAAATTACAAATTTCTGCCCTTTGATTTCTTCACCTGTAAAATCAGGAAAAATGATAAGGCCATTAGAAAGATTAAATGAAATAAAATGTGCAAAGTGATTGACACTCAGTAAGATGGAAATAATATTAGCTGTTTCAGGACCTAAGGTCTGAGACAGCATGAGTTTGAATCCTTACTCAATCTTTCCTCATTTTGTGATCTCAAACAAGTTGATAAACATTTTTGTCTTTTAGTTTTAACTAAGGCAAGTAGTAACATTTACCTTATAGGCTTTTTTGGGTTATTAAATGAATCAATATGTGAAGTGCTTGAAAAACACCTGTCCCATATTAAGGACTTAAGAAATGGGAACTATTATTAGTGCTATTACCATTTGTTGAGTATTTGTTTTAGGAAAAGTATTGTATTAGATGCCTGTCACAGCCTGTGACAACAAAGTAGTTCACATTTCCTTCCTATATGTGGATTCTAATAGCAGGAAACCCAACCAGCTTATCTATTGAAAATTAGCTCCCAAAGTGTTGCCCAGTTATTTGCAGAATCTGCCCAGGGATATCTAGCAACATCTAATATGTGCCTATAACCAGATGAGTCTTTAGGAAGTAACTGCATTTTTCTTTTCCTTGGACTCTGATACCCACTTCTTATGAATTCCCTCAAGGTATTTGGGAACTGCTTCTGCCCACCACTAGAATATCAATAGCCATGACAAATTTATTGTCTCCAGAGGCTCCCAAACCTACTCAACTCAGAACATCAGATGCCATGCAGAGGTAGGGAAAATGACCTCTTCTTGAACTCCGGGCCACATTGGTAACCTGGGCCCTAGAGTCACAAATTTCTGCTGTGTAGTCCCGTCAATTTCTCCTTTTTTTATTTTTATTTTTGAGATGGAGTCTCGCTCTCTCGCCCAGGCTAGAGTGCAGTGGTCCGATCTCGGCTCACTGCAGCCTCCGCCTCCTAGATTCAAGCGATTCTCCTGCCTCAGCCTCCCACATAGCTGGGACTACAGGTGTGCACCACCATGCCCAGCTAATTTTTGTATTTTTAGTAGAGATGGTGTTTCACCATGTGGCCAGGATGGTCTCGATCTCTCAACCTCGAGATCCACCTGCCTCGGCCACCCAAAGCACTGGAATTAAAGGCATGAGCCACCATGCCTGGCCTAATTTCTGCTTTTAACTTCACATTCCACAAGGTCTCAAGCCAATGCAAATGACCAGATGGATCAGATACCATTCTATATCTTGTATTGTTCCAATTCCTTCTCTCAGATGTCCAGGCGAAACCAAAGCTCTCACAATTACAAACAAAAGTTCCTAGCCTAGCAATAGATACAATTTGTGTATCTTTTTCCTCCCAGAACAGTGAGTCCTCTCTCAGTAAGGCATGTAACCTTGCTGTGCATTTAATTTAATGTAAATTGCTAAAGGCCTGTAGCAGACATTGCAGGTTATCCATCTAATAGTCGTTCTTATTTAGTAACAGATTTTGTTCAAATATTTAACTGTTATATTTTGGAGAAAGCCGGTTCCCTCCCCAGGTGAGAGGCAGGGAATCTATTGATTAGTCTGTCAGTCAAGACGAAACTATATTCCTCTTGCCAGATATGAGTTTAGGAATGGGTAAGTGATATAATTCAACTTGTCAGATGGGAAGGGAAGTCAGGTGAAAATCAAGGGAAAAAATGCCTCTGGAAAGTAAAGTCTGCAAAGTTGTAAAACTACTAAAGCCATCCTGCAACCAAAAGGAGTTCTTGCCATGCTGAGGATGGCAAGAGTCCTCACGGTATCGTAGAGTTGTTGAATTAGCCAAACCTGAAACTGCCTGCCTGTTTACTTCTTGCTATTGACTTAATAAACATACTTAATATTTAAGCCCTTGCTAGTCAGTGTGTGGTCTGTGCAACAACACCATCAATATCACTTGGGGTTTTGTTGGAAATACAGAATTTTAAGCCCCATCCCAGTCCTACTGAATCAGAATCTGCATTTTAACAAGTGCCTAGGTGGTCCACATACACATTAATGTTTGAGATGCAATGGATTAACCTCCTCCTCCTCCTCTTCTTCTACCTTTTCTTCTTCTCCTTCCTCTTCTTCTTCTCCTTCTTTTTCTCTTCTTCTTCCTCATTCTCCCCCCATCCTTTTCCTCCTCCTCCTCTTCCTCCTTCTCCTCCTCCTCCTTCTTTTCTTCTTCTTCTTCTTCTTCTTCTTCTTCTTCTTCTTGTTCTTCTTCTTCTTCTTCTTCTTCTTCTTCTTCCTTCTCCTCCTCCTCCTCCTCCTCCTCCTTCTCCTCCTCCTCCTTCTCCTCCTCCTCCTCTTCTTCTTCTTCTACTTCTTCTTCTTCCTTTTCTTCTTCTCCTTCTTTTTGTCTTCTTCTTCTCCTCCTCCTCCTCCTCATCCTCCTTCTCCTTCTCCTTCTATCCTCTTCTTCTTCTTCCTCCTCCTCCTCTCATACTTTTTTTCGAGACAGAGTTTCACTCTGCCACCCAGGTTGGAGTGCAGTGGTATGATCTCAGCTCACTGCAACCTCCGTCTCCCAGGTTCAAGCAATTCTCCTGCCTCAGCCTCCCGAGCAGCTGGAATTACAGGCTTGCACCATCATGTCCAGCTAATTATTGTATTTTTAGTAGAGATGGGGTTTTACCATGTTGGCCAGGCTAGTCTCGAACTTCTGACCTCAGGTGATCTACCTGCCTTGGCCTTCCAAGGTGCTGGGATTACAGACATGAGCCACCGCTCCTGGCCTCTTATTATTTTTTAATCATATGCAATTGAAAGCATTCTGGGACAGTTGCACAAGCTAGCCAGTGTCCAAGTTGAAACTTTAAAATTTATTTTTCCTTAGGCCCACTATCTTATGGTTTATGTAATCAATTACCATAGATGAAATAGACAGATGACATTTCTAGATTTTGTAAAAGATGCTTTCTTACTCAGAATGATGAATTTACCTAGACTGGCCCCCAATCCTCCATTCCACTTTGCTTCTGTAGACAGCACAATTGGTGAAGGTTACACATTTGCCATCAATCTGTGCCATGTCTGAAATGACACAGTGTTTATAATTTTTTCATTCTACATTTTTCCCAGTTACAGGACTAGAGAATAGAAACCAAGCCATTCTACTTGTTTGTGTTTTCCCAAACTTTATTTTCTCACTGGACTGCACAGATTATTATTATTATTTTTTACAAACACTCAGTATTTGTCTAATGTTGACCTAGGTTATTCAGCATATTGGTTGACTTTAGTAAAAGATTGCTGTTGCTCACTGAGGGTGTCAACTCAAAATCATGAGATTTATAAATATGGAAAGGAAAGGGTTATGTCTTATGAAGGGCTGCAACGTGCAGCTGGGAAGCAAAACATTCAGCTGAGACTGAAAGCAGGTGCTTTACCAGAAGAGCAATGGGACAGAAGTTTTATGCTACATGAGTTGGCTAAACATACATATTTAACACAGGATATATGAATATTGATGAAGGGAGTTTGCATGCATGCATGGTAAGCAAACATGTATGCTACATATATCCCATGTTTACATTGGGGTGGAAACAACATTAAAATGAAGTAAAATTGGGCTCTGTATATCAAAAAGATGAAACGTAGGACAAAAGATGCTTTGTACGCAGCCTCCGTAAATTGGCCAGAGCTGGTGTACGGTTGGTGGTCATTTATCAGGAAGGAATGCTTTGTGAAACTCTCCCAGTTTTTGTTTTTCAGGGCTGGTTTCTGTTTAACTCTTAGGAAAAAAATCTGGTATCAGTTAGAGAGGAAGGGAATGTACTGAGGCATGACCAAACTCTCTTTGGTCAAGAGCAGTTTGTTCAGTCAGTCAGGGGACTTAAAATTTTATTTTTACTCCACAAGGGCCTGTTTTTGGCAAGCTAACTCTTCAGATCCCAGCTCCACAAAGACCTATTGGAATTCTGTAGCATTTGGCTATCTGCTCTACTCTCTTTTTCATGTCTGCTAATTACATGTGTATTAGTCTGTTTTCGCATGGCTATACAGAACTACCTGTGACTGGGTGATTTATAAAGAGGCTAAATTGACTCAGTTCCACAGACTTAACAGGAAGTATGGCTGGGAGGCCTCAGGAAACTTACAATTATGGCAGAAGCCAAAGGGGAAGCAAGTACTTTCTTCACATGATGGCAGGAGAGAGAGAGAGTGAAGGGGAAGTGCCACATACTTTTAAACCATCAGATCTCATGAGAACTCACTCACTATCATGACAATAGCAAGAGCAAGGGGAAAGATGGCCTCTCATGAGCCAATCACCTCCCACCAGGAACCTCCTCAAATTCAACATGAGATTTGGGTGGGGACACAAATACAAACCATACCAGCATGCAACACTTTACAAACAGCTAAAAAGAGTGGGGAATGCCATGTGTCATATGAGAGTCCTTCTCTTTCTCATCTCCTACTTTTGAGGGCAGATGTCAAATGTTCTCTTGTTACCTTCTCAGACAGTTTACAACATGATATATCCATTAGGCCACACGGAAACACAGAAGAGATCAGATAAGAATCTATTCAGGATACTACAACATTTTTTTCTGTTGACTTAGACAGTCCAGTAAAAGTCATATGCCTTAATAGTAGCACCCAATCCCTCTCTCCTCAATGTGACCATCTAGGGAGGTCAGTTTCTTAGCATTGGCACTGGAGATGTGTGCTTAGGTGAGAATTCAAGGAGTTGTCAATAAAGGCATATAATCAACTTATTTTTTCAGGAAAGGTCAGCTAAAAGACATCTTTTTATTGTAAACTTTTTACTGTGAAACGTATTGTACATAACACACACACACAATATGAATTGAATATTTTTGTTTCCCTAAAATTCGTATGTTAAAGCCTTAATTCCCAATTTGACTGCATTTGGAGGTGAGGCCTTGGGGGAAGTGATAAGGTTGTAGGGGTAAAGTAAACTTTTCTTCTACCTCTGAAGGTTCAATAACATGAGTTTCTGAAAAAAAAAAAAAAAACAAACTTGACAGTAGATACTGTCATGCACGTCCATGTGAAGAGACCGCCAAACAGGCTTTTTGTGAGCAATAAAGCTTTTTAATCACCTGGTTGCAGGCGGACTGAGTCTGAAAAGAGAGTCAGTGAAGAGAGATAGGGGTGGGCCGTTTTATAGAATTTGGGTGGGTAGTGGAAAATTACAGTCAAAGGGGTTGTTCTCTGGTGGGCAGGGGTGGGGGACACAAGGTGCTCAGTGGGGGAGCTTTTGAGCCAGGATGAGCCAGGAGAAGGAATTTCACAAGGTAATGTCATCAGTTAAGGCAGGGACATGCCATTTTCACTTCTTTTGTGATTCTTCTCGTACTTCAGGCCATCTGGATACACATATGCAGGTCACAGGGGATATGATGGCTTAGCTTGGGCTCAGAGGCCTGACAGACACATTAAAAGGAGAAAAGGCATACAAATTTATTACATACATACACACAGGGGCCTCACAAAATATGGCTTAAAGAAGGATTGGATGATCAAAGTTTAAATAGAGTTTTGAGCCTCAGAAAGAAATGGTAGCTTGGGGTCTCTGAGGAGGGGTGGTGACAGGTTATGTGAGATTGAGGGGGGAAAATACATGAGAAAACCTGTCTTGTTATGCAGAAATGTCTCAGGTAGCAGTCCTCAGAAGAATAGGTGGTATTCACCTTTTTTTATTTTTCCTATGAGTTAATCTTTCTCATTTCATGAGATTATAAGGAAGGGGCCAAGACCATTGCATTCCTTCTGGAAGAACTTCCCTTAGTCAGATGAGGGAGCTTCAGAGAAAGCCCTCCCTGGATTTGCTCTTCCCTTGGTGCTATCAGTTTGAAGTCCAAAGTTGCATATTTTGGAGTATCATTTACTAAGCCCCAACAAGATCATGAGGGTGGAGCCCTTATAAATGGAATTAGTGCCTTATAAGAAGAGACATGAGAGAGATGATTTATCTCTGTCTACCATGTGAGAATACAGTAAGAAGGCAGTTGTCTGCAAACCAGGAAGAGGGCCCCACCAGACACTGAATCTGCTGGCCCCTTGATTTTGGACTTCCCAAGCTCCACAACTGTGAAAAATAATTTTTTTAATCAAACAGTGTTTAAGCCACTCTATAAATGATATTTAAATATACATACATACATACATACATATTTTTAAAGAATAAAAATAAAATAAAATAAAGTGCCCATGTACACCAGCCAATTTAAAAATGTAGAATATAACCAGTATCTTTGAAGCCCCATGAGTGTACTCTTCACTGTTGTCTCCCTGCCTCCATCACACCCTACCAGCCCAGGGGTAACCAAACTCTTGTAATTTTGGTTAGTCATTCTCTTGCTTTCCTGTATAGCTTTACCACATATGCATGTATCCCAACACAATATGTCTGATTTTTCTCTATATAATTTTGCACTTTATAGAAATGAATCACACAGTATGCTTCTGTGACTTGCTTTTTCACCAAACATTTTGAAATTCAAACTTACTAATGTATAAGGCTGTAGATCATGCTTTCTCATCCTTAGTTCATATTTTGCTGTGAGTATAATGTAATTTGTTTATCTGTTTTGCTGTTAATGGATACTTTGTGCTTTAATATCCAGTGCTGCTTTGGAATCTGTATGTGATTCCTGGTAATCATGCATAAAACTTTGTCTAGGGAATATATTGTAAGAGCCATTAAGGTTATTCCTGTATATTCTGCTGCTGTTTCCTGTCAAGTTTCCTGTTAGGATTGCACTTCACTGCCCATTTAACTTAGATGTGGCCATGTTGGATTAATGAAATGTGAGCTAAGTGATGTGTGACCTTTCTGGGCAGAAGCTTTGTGAGGCAATATGTGCAATGCTCTTTTCTCTCTTCTACAGTAACTGGAAGTGTTCTGCCTAGCAGCTGCTTCATCAGCATGGGTCCACAAGTAAGGCTGACAAAGACATGGAGCTGAGACTCCAGTCAACCCACAATGACATTATAGCAGGAGTGAAACAGAAATCTTTGTTGTTTTAAGCCACTTTAGGTATGTTGTCCAAAGCATTGTCTAGCTTATCTTTATACAGAAATTAGTATTGAGTGGATTTCCTTGGAAGGCATCTATTCAATTTTAATAAATAATGCCAAGCTGTATTCCAAAGAGGTGGAGCCAATTTTTTTATTACTTACCAACAGTAGATGACAGTTCCTGTTATTTCACAGCCTTGCCAATACTTGGTATTCTTAGACTATACTTTGTTCTGATAACACCTTAGGAAATGCTGTCTATTGTTTTGATTTTTATTTTCCTGAAGATTAGTGATATATTTTTATGTTTATTAGGCATCGAGGTTTCTTCTTCTGTGAAATGCCCATTTAATTTATGCCTGTTTTTCTATTGAGTGACTTTCTTAATTTCTGAGCTGTTAATCATTTTCTTTTAATATAATTTCTTTAAATCTGCCCTCCATGATTCCTTATCCCTTCTTCCTGTCTTATTTTTCTCCATAATATTTATTCACATCTTATAGATTATTTACTTGTTTGTTCATTTATTGTATCTCTCTTAAGCTATGATGGTGGCTCCATGAGGTCAGGGACTGTTTTTCCACTGGTAACTCCTCAGTGCCTAGAGATATGTCTAGCACATAATAGGCATCAAGTTGAATGAATGAAAATGTATGTGACCATTGAGTTTTTTGACCTTGGCCATATAGGTGGGTTTTGTCCTGCAATATGTAGTTCCTTGAGTTTGATGTCTTACTGGCCTAATAGGGACCAGACTGAAGGTGGAGATTCTCACTTCCACAGTCCATTGTGTCACAGCAATTGTTTCTTCCTCCCTTCTGTTTTTTAATTGAAATGTGGCAAATTTAATCTGATATTTTTAAAAGAGGGGGATAACCTTAGATAGGAAGTCCATTTGTGCACATATTATCAAAATCATTTAAAAAACAGATATTCACGTTGATATAATTTTTAACAAGTTCACATAGAGATTTTTCACATAAAATATCACTTTGGATTTTTTCACTTAAAAAATGAAATGAACATAAAGTCTCCTCCTGTGGCCTTTTTTAGCAAACTACCTGCATGACATACAAGTTCACAGAAGTTTTTCTTTAGCTACTTCAGACTCTGTCCTGCTAACTTAGCCAGCACAATAATAGCACACATTTGGTGAAGTTCTCCTAAAGGAGTTTGGTTAAACACTACAAGGTGTTAAGTACAGAGTGCTAGGAAATTTGTCAAGATCTTTATTATAGCGTGTGTTCTTGGAACAGAGCACTTACTCTGGTAACTATGGCTGAGCATGTTGTAAACCAAGAGCTGTAGCCTTGAAAGGTTGAACATGGCAGAAATTTTATCATACTGGAGTCTATGATGAGATCCATACTAGCAAGGGCATCTGAATGCCTCTTGGGGATATTTTTTCTACTCTCCTGCCCTGCCACAGCCTTCAGTAACTGTTACTGCACATGAGGTGAAGACTTCATGTGTCTCATTTAGATATCTCTTCTCTCTCCTATCCCATCCCTAACCTGAGTATCTTGTACTTGATGAAGGTCCATAGGAAAGAGTTGATGAATGGTTGTAGATTCTTCTGTGGCTACAACTTCTAATTCATCATGGAAGACTATATGTAGTCATTTAGTTTCTTCTAAGTTTGACAGGTTCTTCTCTACCTATATATGGGAGATTCCTCCACCTTCTGCTCTTGTGCTAGGGGGGAAAAAGGCCATGGATCTCTTCTCTCCTAGGAAGGTGTAATGTAGGAACCAACCAACATTTTTTGTCACTACTATACTCTCAGCAATCTTAATACCTCATTTTTGACACCAGATGTATGGGAGTCACTTCCACATTAACCAGTTCTCTGACAGCAGATGGATGTCCTACCATTCAACTTAATTCTCCTGGAGATAGCAGAGACTCCACAGGTGAAGGGCTCAGTCCCACAAGACTTCTCCCTGTCTCAGATGCCAATTGCAAGTAGTAAGTTCCTGGTTACCCACAACTTCTGTCTGACTTGGCTACAAATCAAAGATTCCCACAATCCTCTCTGTGTGTTTGATCACTTGCTAGAGTGGCTCATGGAACCCAGGAAAACAGTTTACTTATTGTTGGTGATTTATTGTTACAAAGGATATATTAAAGAATACAAATAAATAGCTGGATAAAGAGATATACAGGGGTAAGTCTATGAGAAGAGGTGCAGAAGTTTTATGCCCTCTTTGGCTGTGCCACCCTTACCTCCATATGCTCAACATCTCAGAAGCTCTTTAAACTTTGTCCCTTTAGGTTTATACAGAGGTTTTATTACATAGGCATAATTGATTAAAGCAATGGCCACTGGTGATTGACTCAATCTTCAACGTCTCCACCCTGATGAGGTGGGACAGGAAAAGCTGAAAGTTCCAGCCCTCTAATCTCAGGATTGGAACCTCTGGCAAGCTGTTCCCATCCTAGGATATGCAGGGACCTCCCCCATCCCCCCAGCTATACTAGCCATCTCACTAGGCTACAGAAAGACACATCATTTTAGAGATCTCAAGGGTTTTAGGAGCTGTGTTCCAGGAAACTGGATGAAGACCAAATATACATTTCACAATATCACAATGAAGGACTCACCACTTTTCAGGAATTAGTTCATTTGGGCTTCTTTAAGTCCTTAGAGCTCTGAATTGATTTTTGTTTTGTTTTGTTTTGTTTTTTAAATTATAGTTATTTGGCTGACATTCTTATTCTTATTGTTAGGGTGTGTATTAGTCCATTTTCATGCTGCTGATAAAGGCATAGCCAGCACTGGGAAGCAAAAGAGGTTTCACTGGACTTATAGTTCCACACGGCTGGGGAAGTCTCAGAATCATGGTAAAAAGTGAAAAGTACGTCTTACATGGAGGTGGCAAGAGAAAATGAGGAAGAAGCAAAAGTGGAAACTCCTGATAAACATATCAGATCTCATGAGACTTATTCAATATGATGAGAATAGCATAGGAAAGACCAGTTTCCATAATTCAATTACCTCCCCCTAGGACCCTCCCAAAACACATGAGAATTCTGGGAGATACAATTCAAATTGAGATTTGGGTGAGGACAGAGCCAAACCATATCATTCTGCCCCTGGCCCCTCTAAATCTCATGTCCTCATATTTCAAAATCAATCGTACCTTCCCAACAGTCCCCCAAAGTCTTAACTCATTTCAATATTAATCCAAAAGTCCATAGTCCAAAGTCTTACCTGAGACAAGGCAAGTCCCTTCTGCCTATGAGCCAGTAAAATCAAAAGCAAGTGAGTTACTTCCTAGCTATAATGGGGGTACAAGTATTGGGTAAATATAGCTATTCCAAATGGGATAAATTGGCCAAAACAAAGGGCACCAAGTCCCTAGGCTGCACACAGCATGGGGACCCTGGGCCCAGCCCACAAAACCACTTTTTCCTCCTGGGCCTCCAGGCCTGTTGTGGGAGGGGCTGCTGTGAAGGTCTCTGACATAGCCTGGAGACATTTTCTCCACAGTCTTGGGGATTAACATTAGGCTCTTTGTTATCTATGCACGTTTCTGCAGCCAGCTGGAATTTCTCCCTAGAAAATGGGTTTTTCTTTTCCATCACATAGTCAAGCTGCAAGGTTTTCAAACTTTTGTGCTCTGCTTTCCTTATAAAACTGAATGCCTTCAACAGCACCCAAATCATATCTTGAATGCTTTGCTGCTTAGAAATTTCTTCCACCAGATACCCTAAGTCATCTCTCTCAAGTTCAAAGTTCCACAAATCTCTAGGGCAGGGGCAAAATGCCACCAGTCTCTTTGCTAAAATATAATGAGTCACCTGTGCTCCAGTTCCCAACAAGTTCCTCATCTCTAGCTAAGACCACTTCAGCCTGGACCTTATTTTTCATATTGCTATCAGCCTTTGGGAAAAGCCATTCAACAAGTCTTTAGGAAGTTCCAAACTTTCTCACATTTTCCTATCTTCTTCCGAGCCCTCCAAACTCTTCCATCCTCTGCCTGTTACCCAGTTCCAAAGTCACTCCCACATTTTTGGGTATCTTTTAAGTAACACCCCAGTCTACTGGTACCAATTTAGTGTATTAGTCCATTTTCACTCTGCTGATAAAGACATACCTGAGAATGGGAAGAGAAAGAGGTTTAATTGGACTTACAGTTCCACATGGCTGGGGAGGCCTCAGAATCATGGTGGGAGGGGAAATGCACTTCTTATATGGTAACAGCAAGAGAAAATGAGGAAGAAGCAAAAGTAGAAGCCCCTGATAAACCCATCAGCTCTCTTGAGACTTATTCACTATCATGAGAATAGCATTGGAAAGACTGGCTCCCATGATTCAATTACTTCCCCTGGGCCCCTCCCACAACACATGGGTATTCTGAGAGATACAATTCAAGTTGAGATTTGGGTGGGGACACAGCCAAACCATATAAGGGTGAGAGCTCTCATCTCCTGTGACTTTCTACATGGAAGTAGAAACTCTGCCATAGATATATGGACAAACATAAGCTTATAAATATTCCAAGTAAATACTGTTTTTCTGTAAATATTCTTAGGATGAGAAAAACCGAGCACCAAAACATTTCCAGGCACATGAAATATCAAAGGATAATAGATGAGAATTAACAACCTTTAACTTTTCAGCTGTCACATCTACTCTCTGATATTAAAAAGTTCTAATTACCCACCAAATGAGACAATACATTGATTAAATTTTATTTCTAATAGAAAAGCAAAAAATATTTATTTAAAAATATGGAGCAATATTAATTCTTTAGAAACCAATATGATGTAAATATCGGGTATAATTTTTATTCAATTTATGAAGCCAGAAATGTTCTATATTCTGCTATATATAAAACAGTAACTTAAATTTTGTTTTGGTTACAAAAGAAGCAGTAATACCTTTTAATGGCATTTCTAGAATTTCCCTAGAGTAGTTTGTTTTTTTCTAATAGTGTCTAGATTATTGTGAGTTTTTGAGCTCTTGCTTTTTTCTTTCAATCATTTTGATATACACAATAAAAATAACAAAACCGTTAGTTTATAATAAGTAAAAATGTTTAAGAAACCCTGAAATTCATTGCCTAATTTTTGCATACAATGTTTCAATTATTCTAACAAAAATCAAATGGAAACATGTATAATATTACATAATGAATGTGTAATATAACTATGTGTGTAATATCTAATATAATGATAATAATAATATACATGGAGGGAGAATCACAGAAATAGAAGAGATCTTAGAAAACACCTGATGCAAAAATACTAATTTACAGAAGGAATTGAGACCCAAAAAGGAAAAGGGATGTGTCTAAACTCAAATAGCTGATTGGTAGCAAAGCTAGGACTAGAAATCAAGTATTGTAGGTTCTAACACAAATTCTCTTTTCCTCTGCAATAAACTGCCTCTCATGGTGTAATACGCAGCTTCTTTAACTATTAGCAGAAGCTAGTTTGAGACTTCATAGCTTTAAGCAGGAGAGGCCTAAAAACTCAGTGACCATCCATGGCTGCTTTCCTCTGAGAAACCTTCCCACCCACAGCAATGACTCTGCTTCAAGCAGCCATCACACTGAGGATACTGACTCGTATGTGAATGGACAACTGACCCAAGCTTGCACAAGTGCTAAGTTATCTGTGTTGGTAGAGCCCTGAGATGAAACAGATAGCACACTTGAATAAGATAATTGAGGAGAGTTCACGGAAAGGACTATTGACATATGAGTGGACAAACTATGTGCCTCATTATTTTGCTCACAAATGCAGGGCTGTGAGTGCCCTTGGGAATGAAGGGGCAAGGCAAGGGAGCAGTTACCAGAACTCAGAATATATGTATACAATGTATATATGTATACAATGTATATATAATGGAATATACAATGTGTATACAAACACAATTATATATGTATACAATGTATATATAAACACAATGGAATATTATTCAGTCATAGAAAGTACAGAAATCCTGTTGTTTGCAGCAATGTGGATGGAACTGGAAGTTATTATATTAAGTGAAATAAGCCAGGCATGGAAAGACAAATATCCCATGTTCTTACTCATATGTGAGAGCTAAACAAAAAGTAAATCTCATGGAGGTAGAAAGTTCTTATTGGCTCTGATGACTGGTTGCTGGTCCTACTGGGTCTTTAGGTGACATATTCTGTCCATCAGCTTCAGCTGGGGTGGTTACCAGAGGCAGAGAAGGGTAAGCAGGAGGGGGTATGAAGAGAGTTTGATTAATGAGTACAATAATATAGTTAGATAGAAGGATAAGGTCTGGTGTTTGATAGTACATAGGGAAACTATAATTGACAACAATTTATCATATATTTCAAAATAGCTAGAAGAGAAGAATTCGAATGTTCACAACATAAAGAAAAAATAAATGTTTAGAATTTAATTATTATACATTACATGCATGTATCAAAATATGACATATGCCTCCCCAAATATGTACAATTACTATGTATCAATTTTAAAAAAGAAAAATGTAAAAGAAAAGTCCATGATAAACTGAATTTAAAAGTTTTCAGATTGACAGAATTGTGGATTAAATCTTATATTCAGAGAATTGGTAATTGCCCTTAGGCCTTTTCTGAACATTTCTTCAATCCAAGAGGCCTCTCTTCCTCATGAAGATACTTGAGTTAGATAAAGAAGCAAGGATGACAGTTGTTTCTGAACAGTGCCAGTGAAGGATGAAGGAAGTTCCACATCAGGGTTGGGAGCCCTGACTGTGCCAAGAGAAAGAACACAAGTTGTACCGACTGTGAAGGCTCCAGGTGAAGCTGATGCAAAGACAGAATATGCCACGTGAAGACCCAGTAGGACCAGCCCCTGTCATCACAGCCAATGAAAAATGGGGGATCACACCAGAATGTTTCATCAGCTGCCTCCTGAAACCTAACACTGCCATAAAGTGGAGTAGGAGGCAAAGCAAGACCCTTCTGAGGAAAACAGCCCCAAGGCAGTTTAACCTCTGAACTGATGCCCTCTAACTGTTTCTTACCTGAAGTGACTAAGTCATGCTGAAATGAAAGATTAAGAGCTGTCTACTCTTAAATGAATAAGATAAATTCAGAGCTAAGTTGAATTCAGTTATGGAAAAATGAAGTTACATTTCTGACTAGCTAGCTCTAAGTGTGAAATTATAAATCTATGAAATTTATAAACTTTGTTATATAACTGTTGTTATCCTTATTACCATGATCATAACTACTTTTAATACAACTTTTATTGCTAAGTAAATCTGTATTCTGTTTGAAAAATAAAAATAAAAATATTCACTGTGTTTAGTCATTTAGGACTAATGACCTCAGAAAGATGCAATGTGGGAACAGGTGTTTGTGTTTATGAAAGCCAGAAGGGAGTGAAGAATGAATGTGTGGAAAAGAAATTACTGGAGTTGGTGGAGACAACTTTCTTGAAAAATGTGTGCTTAATTAGAGTTTTGGTTATAGCTGTTTTAGTTAATACACTAGCAGCTTGATATCATGAAGATGTCAATTCTACCTAAAATAATACTTGTTTTTGAATTTTTGTAAATCTTTTAAATAAGGTTTGATTTATGTACAATAAAATCCATAAATATTAAGTGCACAGTTAGATGCATTTTTAGATATGTTTAAACTATGTAACCACCACCCAGATCAATATATAAAATATTTTCATCATTCCAGAGTTACCCTCATGTTCCTTCCTAGTCATTAGCCTTCCACACAGATAACTACTATTTTGATTTCTGTCACCATAGATGAGTTTTCTGTTCTGCTTTGAACTTTGTATAAATGGAATTATATAGTATATACTCTTTTGCGTCTGATTTCTTTTTCTGATTATAATGTTCTTATTCACATATGCTGTTGTATATATTAATAGTTCTATTTTTCCCTGTTTTTCTTTCTTTTGCTTTGAAGCATCCCATTGTATGAATATGTTTTGATCCATTCTCCTCTTGGTGGACATTTGGGCCATTTCCATTATTTGACTATTATAAATAAAAGCTACTATGAATATGTTTGTACATATCTTTCAGTGGAAAAGCCACAAATTTCTCTTGGTTATATAATTAAGAGTGGATTTGTTGGGTTATCAGGTCATTTGACTCTATAAAATGCTGCCGAATTGTTTTCCCAAGTGGTTGAACAAAATTACTTTCTCTTCAGCAATGTAAGAAAATTCCAGTTTCTCCATACCCTTGCCAACACTACATATTACCAGTTTTTAAAAACTGTGGCTGTCTCAGTAGGTGTGACGTGGTATATCAGTGTGGTTCTACTTTGCATTTCTCTGATGACTAATCATTTTGAGCCATTTTACATGCTTATTGGCTGTGTCTTTTCTGAAGTGCCTGTTCAAGTATTTGCCAATTTTTAAAATTGGCCCTTTTTTTCTTATTAGTTTTAAAAGTTTCTTCAATAGTCTGTATACAAGATCTTTGTACTATAAATCACTTCTTATCTGTGGATTTCTTACTCACATATTTAATAATTTTTCTGAGGTCACAGAAATGGTCTTTAATTAAAGAAGCTTTTTAAAAAAATGCAAATGGTTCCATATTAATAGAATGCAAGTGGGTGTTTGGGCTGGTTGCTGCTTATGGCCACCTCATACAGAGTTCCCAGCATGACATGAAACTAACTCACAAAGCTATCATTATATTGTCAGAGAAACCGTGCTCTATACCATTTTCATTTCGAAGCAGGAATAAAAAGTTTCCTTGTGCATACTGACCAAGAAATATCTTTGATTATGATTAATGCATTATGTCAAAATGTAGGCTAGTTAAACTTTTGTAAAGTTGCCTGGAATGTCATTTGTTAGGTTATAAACACAAGATCTAAATGAAGGGTTTTATGTGTTGTGTACAAATCTTAATTATTTTGAAACGGACAAACTTGTCATTACATTTGTAACCTTGTACAGAGGATTTTTCACTGTGTGCCTAGCTTAGTGTACATTCAGCTAAAATTAAAAAAAAAAGGTGCATGAAGAGTTAAAATCAAATTAAAGTATATGTAGACATGACTATTTTATATTACATGACCCAATCCTGTATTTATTTCTACCCCCTTTTTGAAAGTATTTATAAAACTAGTTGAGGACAGCTGTATTTTTTTGTTGAACTATTTAGTAGAATTGTGCCTTTTTGTCTGTATGTGAGTAAATGCTATACATTTTGCAATAAAAAAGAAATTTTTTATTTTAATAAAGTGTAATAGAATGTTTTTGTTTTCACTTTTATGCTTTATATGTCTTGTGTCTTGTTTAAGAATCATGTTTTACTCCATGGTCATGAAAATATTTTTCTATCTTTTACTAGAGCTTAATTTATTTTTAGTTTTCACTAGGTCTATGTTCTACTTTTGTGGATGGTTTGATATAAGAGTCAAAGGTTCTATTTTTTTTCCCATATGAGTTCCAATTGCACTAGTACTATTCATTGAAAAGACCATCTTTTCTCCTCACTGAGTTAAAGTGGTATTGTTGCATAAACCAAATGACCATATTTGTGTGTGTGTGTGTGTCTATTTCTAGCCTCTCTGTTTTCTATTGTTCTATTTGTTTATCTTTATTTCAAGACCAACGTGTCCTAATTACTGTGGTATTACTAATATGGGCAGGAGGCAGAGAAATACTGGGTAGAAAAGGGTGATCTCCAGTTAGGGCCACGCCCTCAAGCCTGGACCTGCAGCCCAAAGTGAGAACGTGCATTCCTGTCCTCTTGCCCAAATGTTGCCTTTTCCAAAACCACTCTGTCCTGCCCCACTCTCCATCCTGTACCCATTAAAACTCCAGGCCCCACCAATGGACTTGCAGAGCGGTAGAGAAGGAGAGAAGAGAAGCAGCAGCTAGACATTGGGGAGAAGCTGCTTGACTTCAGAGGGATGGCTTGATGGTGGGACCTCGGAGAAGAGCTCAGCCAGGGATGGCCAAACTCCAGGGGAAGACCACCTTCCCACACCATCCCCTTTCCAGCTCCTCATCCCACTGAGAACTACTTCCGCTGCTCAATAAAATCCTCTACATTTACCACCCTTCAATTTGTTCGTGTGACCTGATTCTTCCTGGATGCTGGACAAGGACCTGGATGTGCAAGAGGCTGTCACACTGACCCTCCACTGAGCTGTTTAACACTTAGGCCATCCTCAGATGGCAAAGCTAAAAGAGCACACTGTAACACATGCCCTCTGGGGCACCAGGGGTCACAGGCAACCCCTAGACACTGCCGTGGGCCTGCACAGAGTTTTGCTCCTGCTGGTTGCCCAGAAACGCTCGTCCTGGCCTCTGCACCCACTCAGTTACATGTTCCCCATCTCACAAGGGATCGAGAGCTGCAAGCTCAATAAACAAGTCAACCCCTTTGTGAATCCCATGAAGGGGTCAAGGGAAGTATCCCATTTCATTACAACTTTACAGTAAGTCAGAATCTGGCAGAGGAAAATCTCCAGCTTTGTTTTGCTTTACAACTGCCTTGTCCATCTATGTTCTTTGTATTCTCCTATATATTTTAGAACTATGCCTGCCAATTTTCACCTAAAAAAACCTAATGAGTTTAATTAGGCTTACATTGAGCCCGCAGATCAATGTGGGGAGGATAGACAACTTAGCCATATTGCATCTTCCAATCCATGAATATATAATATCTCTCCATTTATAACTCTTCAGTTAGGTCTTTGATTTCTTCTTTGTTATTTTAATAATGTAAGGGTTTTACAAGCATTTTTATAGATTTATTCCTAGGTATTTGATGTTTTTTATGCTAGCATAAGTGTTACTTTTAAAATTTTATTTTCTAATTGTTGTTGCTATTATATAGAAATACAATTGATTTTTTAAATTTTGACCTTTGTGTGGAAAAAACAAACTGTTTTTTTTCCCTGCTCTCATACCACAACAATCAACACAGAAGACTTCTGTTACCAAATGTGTGGTGGTTTCTCCCCACCAAGCAAGCAATCAATTCTGCTGTGGACATCATTTGGTGTTCTCCAATCGAGTTCAATTCTGACATTATCTACCTAGAAATAGTGTTAGATCCCACAGGTTAAGGGCTCCATCCCACAATACTGCTACCACTGTCAATGCCAATCACAGCCTTCAGATTGTTTACCCATGCTTCTGACTAACTGGCTGTAAATTGGGGTTCTCACACTTCCCCTCCTTGGGTTTAATCCCCTCCTTGGGATTAATTTGCTAGAGTAGCTCACAGAACTGAGGGAAACACATTTATCAGTTTATTATAAAAGATATTAAAAGATACGAATGAAGAGATGCACAAGATGAGGTGTAGAAGAAGGGTGCAGAGTTTCCATGCCTTCATCAGGTACACCACCCTTTAGGAGCATCAATGTGTTCAGCTACCCATCTTCATGAGCCTATGATGAAGACTTCATTGCATGGGCATAATTGAAGCAGGGACAATAGTATAGAAATATTATTGGACAAAAAGGTTATTGTTACAGGTAGTTAGGCATAAGCATGGCAAGAGAGGGCTCTCTCCCTATCCACTTGAATGTTAGGTGATGGTTTGGCAATTATCACATTGCCTCTCTAAAAATAATTCAGCAGCCATCAAGCTCCTGATGGTCCACACCTGTTATCATTAAACGTGTTAAATGAATGCAGACCCCAAGGAGGAAAAGCTTCCTGGACATGAGTGTTAAGAGACAAAAGGGTGAAATAAATGCGATCTTCCAGGTATACTCCACTGAAAAAAGGAAGAAAGCCTCAGATGGTCATGCATATAACTCCCTAAATACACTGCGTGTGCTCACTTCCCAGGTTAAAGAGGGCTCTGCACCTGGGGAAAGCCTACCCTAAAGGAAGAATTATGGAAAAGAGGCAAACTTATAAAAGTCCTAGGATCTTGGTTAAATGGGGCACTTGACCTCTTTTTAACCTTCATGTGCCCACTTGGGTCTCTTCCAAGTGCACCTTCCTTTCTTTCCTGTTTTAAAGTCTTTTTAAAAAAATTTTATTTATTTATTTTTTGAGACAGAGTCTTGCTCTGTTGCCCAGGCTGGAGTGTGGTGGCACGATCTCCACTCACTGCAACCTCTGCTTCCCGAGTTCAAGCAATTCTCCTGCCTCAGCCTCCCAAGTAGCTGGGATTATAGGCACCCACCACCACGCCCAGCTAATTTTTGTATTTTTAGTAGAAATGGAGTTTCACCATGTTGGCCAGGCTGGTCACAAGCTCCTGACCTCGTGATCTGGCCACCTCGGCCTCCCAAAGTGCTGGGATTACAGGTGTGAGCCACTGCGCCTGGCCTAAACTCTTTTTTAATAAACTTCCACTCCTGCTCTGAAACTTGCCTCAGTCTCTTTTTCTGCTTTATGCCCCTCAGTCGAATTCTTTCTTTTGAGGAGGCAAGGACTGAAGTTGCTCTGGACCCATATATATTCACCACCAGTAACTCAGGGTAACTTGGGTCTCTTCCACGGGTAACATTATGATCTAATACTGACAGAGTAAGTGTGGAAATCTGGGAGCAAGACCTGTCCAGATTTTTCTTGGCCTATCTGTGTGGCTTTCCTTCCTCCTGGAGGTGGGACAGGACTGCTTCTGAAATGGAGTTCTTATGACCTACAATCAGACAAAAGAATTTCTTTACAACCAGTTCTAAGACAGAAATGTGGAAGAAGATTAGAGTATATTTTTAGCTTCTATGGCCTGCCTTAGGGAAAAAAGTAGCAGGTGCAAAAGGGAAGAAGAAGGTCAGAGAGAGAGATTCTGATTTTTGAGGCCTGCTCCTGAGGCCTAAAGCATTCCAATATTATAACAATTATAACAAAAGACTGTCTTTCACCTTTATTACTCTGAAGCTTTTCTGAAGCCACTTCAGGAAACAAAGACAAAAGGCCAAATGCTTTAACAAAAGATATGCTTGTTGTTTTAGTCACTTAGGATATAACAAGTGTTATCATAGTTATAAGCCAGAAACTGTGGACAAAAATCAATTTATATATGTATATATATCATAATATCACAACCTTATATTTCTAAATTCACTTATGATTTATAGCAGTTTATAAATTCTATTGGATTCCCCGTGAAACAATCACATTATCTCAGAATAAAAATATTTTCTTTTTCCTTTTTAATCTGTAAGCCTATTGTTTCTTTCTCTTTCATTATTTCCTTGGCTTGTACCTCCTGTTGAGTAGAAGTAGTGATAGTGAACATCCCTGTCTTGTTATCAGTCTCATCAGTTTCAAGGTGAAAGCATTCAATATTTTAACATTAAGTAAGTGTGGAGGTGACTGTCCCTCTGAGACCCTCTTTTAAAGGCCAGGACCTTCAGTGAAAATAAAAATGAAAATTCTTTTCACCAGTATGAAGAACAGTGATAAAGGAATTTTTATCATGGCCACAGCTCTGGGTAGGATGCTTAGAATTTATCGTAATCACATGCCTGTATCATATAAGTTGTGATTTGAAATCACACTACCTACATGGTAGAAATTCCCCAAATAGAAATTAACTTAAAAGTTGGTTTTGGGGACATTTAGCATAATCAAATACAAAGCCTCTCTGGAAAGAAGTATTCCTGGCCCACAGGGCATAAGATTTTCATAGATAAAAGCTCACTGAGGATGAACTCACAGTTTAGAACTACAAACCACAGGAGAAAAATATCCAATATTATCAAGAGTTATTAGACAGAATGAAATAGGATCTTTAGATGTTCAAGAACTATATATTACCTGATGGACACCAAAAAATAAGCATGTTAAAAAATAATATAAATCTGACTAAATCAGCTCATTATGTGTCTCAGGGATAGACAAAGAAATAAAAACACAAAATTTTTCATCTTGAAAAAGCAATGAGTTAGTAAATACTTTTTTCATTTCTGAAATTAGATAAAATCTGGTTTACATATGTTTTTGCAAAACTTAGAAGTTGGTCCTAATAAAATTAAAACAGAATAATGTATATATTCCAAATTACTATTGAAAAGAAGAGCAAATAATAAATAAGAAAATAATGGCTTACTATGTGCTAGTTGCTGTTCTAAGTACTTTATATGAACTAACTCACTTAGTACTCACAAAATCTGTACTATCTGCATTTGACTCATGAGAAAACTGAGGCACACGGTATGTAAATAACTTGTCCAAGATCACATACGATTGAAGCCCAGAAAATCTGAATGTATAACCCGCTCTTGTAAGGAAATGCTGATGCTGCTTCCTAAGAAACTGTTAAGGGGAGAGAGGAGTATCAAATAAAAATAAAAGACAAGAAGCATAAAATCAGAAAACCTATCAAGTATATTGACTATGATTCAGAAACCAGAATGTATTAGTTTTCTATTTCTAACAGATTGCCTCAAATCTAGTAGCTTAAAACATCACATATTTATTATCTTATAGTTCTGTTGGTCAGAAATCTGCCACAGATCTCACTGGGCTAAAATCAACGTGTTAGGAGGGCTGAATTCTCTTTTTGGGACTCCCAGAGAGAATCTGTTTCCTGCTCCTTCGGGCTGTTGGCAGAATTCAGTCTCTTGCTGCTGTAGATTGTAGGCTGAGGCCCCCGTTTCCTTGCAGGAAGTCAACTGAGGGCCATTCTGAACTGCTAGAGGCTCCCTAATTTCTTGATTAATGGTCTACCTCCTCAATTTCCAAGCCACAGTTGAGTCCATTTCAATCTTCAAATTGTTTTTGCCTCTTCTTAGCTTTCATCTTTTGCCTTTTAACCAGATTTCACTGCTATGTATCTAGGAATTAGGGGCTGATTAAATTATGCTACATCCACATGAGGAGATACTAAGTAGCCATTAAGAAATTTTGGCCCAAATTTAGTTTTTTCCCAGTTTTTACAAGCAGTTTTTGTATTTAAGTTCTAAACTACAATATTGACATAATTTTTAAAATTCTGAGATGTTTTGAAAAATATGTTCCTAAATATTGAATATAATTTTAAATAAATAAGCTCACATTAAATACAATGAGTATGGAAGGATAATTTTATATATATATATATATATATATAAATGCTAAAAAATAATAATTAGTTCACTTGGCAATTATTTCAATTTTTCTAGAATGGAAATTTCTTTCTTTATATAATAAGATTATTTAAAGTTATAATTTTAGAATGATGGTGACAGGAAATGCTCATAATATACCATCAAAACTCAAATCAGAAAAGAAAAATGGGTCGTTTTATTTTGTTACACTGGGTGGTCTTTTTGGCATGGATGGTCTTGATTATGACTGGCTTTTATTTTCTGATATATACTCTTTTGTAAAAGAAAATTATTAAATAATCAAACTTGTTAAAACAATATCTACATAAAATGGAGCACGGGTTTGAAAGCATTTTTACTTACATTATTTTCATTTAAGCCTCACAACTCCAGCTATTCCCAGCATCCTATGAAGCCTCACCACAAAATCATGTGCATGTCTTCTTGAGGACTGCTGTCATTCAGGAAGGGAGTTGAAATTGCATCACCTTGGACACCATATTCTTTTAGTAGCCCATTTTTAAAAGAACAAGTGCATGGATCTATCTTAGTCCGTTTAGGCTGCTGTAACAAAATACCACAAACTTGGTATCTTACACACAATAGAAATTGATTTTTCCAGTCCGGAGGCTGTAAGTTTAAGATCTGGAAGATTTTGTGCCTGATAAGGCCTACTTTTGGATCATAGAACAATAGCTTCCTGCTGTATCCTCACATAGTAGAAGGGGCAGGGCAGCTCTCTGGGGCCTCTTTTATAAGGACAGTAAGCTAATTCATGACAGCTCCTCTTCATGACTGAATTACATCCCTATGTCCCCACTTCCTAATTCATCACATTAGTGATTAGGATTCAACATATAAATTGTCAGGGGACACAAACATTCAGACTAGAGCAGCATCTTAAAATTTTTACTATATTCTATTTAAATGGCTTTACAACTGTTATATTCAAATCCATACAAAGCATTAAAAAGCATCCACTAACATGGAAGTATTTCAACAACATAATATTGCATATAAAAAGCAGATGGCAAAGGAACATACATAATACAAAGCTGCCTATGTAAAATTATCTTTCTATGGATCTAGAAAGGCATATGGTGGTATGCACAGAGAGAGGTCTGGAAGAATGCTCACCAAAATGTTGATAGTGATTATTTCTGGGTGGTAGCATTTCCAGAGATTTTTGCTTTCATTTTTATAGCTTTTAAAAAATTTTTATTTAAATGTTTATAAACAGAAAAATTAAAGACTAAAAAAGGCCTAACTCAAATTTTCTTTTTAAGTATTTTATGTTTTTAAAAGGAGTGACTGGTATAAAACACCAGAAGAGCTCTTAATGTTTAATGATGAGATTTAAGCAATTGGTGGAAATTGGGAGCAGCAGCTCGATAGCTTCAAAGGCCTTCTCAAACCTCCACAGCTTAGGCTTCTATTAATATCTCTGCTTGGCTTTGGGAGACAGAAGGTGAAGAAACCATAAACATTTAGAGTTGATAGGGGTATAGAGAAGAAAACAGGATTAATAGGAGATACTATAACCCTGAGAATCCAGGTATGGTGGGATCTCAGCTCCAAGTTGACACAGGAACACAGTTCTCCACAACCAAGCTATGGACAAATCTTAAGACTTCAGAGACCTGAGCAAGCGGAAGTTATCTTAGCAGTGACTGTGTCCAACACTTTCCCATGGTACATGGTCTCCTTAGCAGTGGATCTGGTAAGTGACCATTCAGCCTTTGTTTGAATGCCTGTAGGGATAAAAAAATTCACCATCCCACAAGTATATTCATTTGTTCTTCAGATGGCACAGATTGTTTACATGTTGATTCTTTATGTAATCTGATTTCTGCTCCCTGTGCCTTCAGCCCTCTGACCCTAGATCTGGAAGAAGGCCACATGTCTCTTTTATAGGAGAGTTTTAGATATTTGAAACATACCTCAGGATCCATTTTTCTACCTTGTTTCTGGAACAGAGCCTCATTCTCCAGCTTAAATATCCACCACCATGGTCATAAGTCTCATGCACATAACTCAGTTTATCTTTACTGTCTGTTCAGCACAGAATAGAGTGACAGTTACCTCCCCCACCCCTTTTCTGGAGCTTTGGATTCTAATTCAAACAAAAATCACATTAGTTTGGGGAGAGGGGCAGGCTTTTCACATGACTGATTATTTACACTGACTTTTTCAACTAAAAAAAAGCCTTATAGGCCAGGCGCGGTGGCTCATGCTTGTAATCCCAGCACTGTGGGAGGCCCAGGCAGGTGGATCATGAGGTCAGGAGATCGAGACCATCCTGACTGACACAGTGAAACCCCATCTCTACTAAAAATACAAAAAAACGAAAACATTAGCCAGGCATGGTGGCGGGTGCCTGTAGTCCCAGCTACCCGGGAGGCTGAGGCAGAAGAATGGCATGAACCCAGGAGGCAGAGCCTGCAGTGAGCCGAAATCGTGCCACTGCACTCCAGCCTGGGAGACAGAATGAGACTCCTTCTAAAAAAAAAAAAAACTTTATCGATAAGTGATATTATTCAGTCAACTCTCTCCTACAATTATACAGACAGTTGTTGTTCTTAACTCAGATGCTGGCCTTTCACTTAAATCTATTGAATATTTCATATTAGAATAAGAACATCATTCTTTTGAATACTGAATCTGTCGTCTGATGTTTTCTATATTCCCCAGTTAGAAGACATCTTCAAATTTGTTACTTATGTCCTGTCTTCATCCAAATCATTGATGAAATGTTAAATGAAGCAAAGCCATGAATATATTTCTAAACCATGAATAAATTATTTGACATTTTTTCCCATCTGTCAGCCCATTGGGGATCTACTTGGGCTTATTGCTAATATTGTCCTGAAAGTCTGCATTTCTAACAAGCCCATGGGTCAGTGGTGCTGGTTTGCAGATCACACTTTGAGAAGTAAGAATGATCAGTTGGGTAGTAATGAAATTCACATGTACCTTAAAGCTCCCTATGTCTGCAGCCCTCTGGTGCTATATCTGGAAGAAAGCCACATCACTCTTTTAATAGGAGGGAAGCATAGATCCAGAGCATTGATTCTCAACCTTGCTTATACATTTAAAACACCTAATAAATATTTAAAAACAACACCCAGAGATCCCTGTTTTTAAAAAGCTGACCAGGTGATTCTGATGCACAGTGAAGATTAAGAACTACTGCGGTAAACCTAAATGCATAGCATGATAGCAAATATTGCACTTATAAATAATTCACATTGCCTTTGTTTCTAATTTCACTTAGAAAGGGAAAAGAACCACAAAACAAAAATCGTGACTATTGTGTAGAAAGGCTGGTGCTACAGCTGAAAAAATACAAATCAAGATTCTGATGGGAAGTACACAGGGATTTGAACTAAATTGAGCCACCTGAACCCAAAATCAAATTGGAAATCTCATCAGCATAATTTACCCAATATGATTTCCAAGGCTTCAGGTTAAGTTCTTCAATAATCAACTTAGGAAAGTGTTAGAGGTGACATACATCCCAACTAGAATTGCCTAAGTCTCAACAGACCCAGAGGCCATCAGTCAGAAAAATTTAGGCACACAATCTTTGGAGGCATAGGAGTGGAGAAAGCAATCATCAATTTTTCTTAGTGTTAGCTCCATTACTTCAGAGCAGGACAGGTCAGTCTACATTCAATTTAGGCTGGAAGACTTTGTAAACAATCAAAGGCTGAAAAGTGTCAGTACTTACAGAGTCCTGATGTTAAAATACCATCAATGACTTCAATTATGTCTTTTCTTCCACCATCTGGACAGGACAGTAAATTGATTGGGGTTGGCTGCTGGCTGCATTTCATAGAACAACAGAAAATGCACTGAAGCCTGTGAAAGTGCAATTTTCTTTGTTATGACAACAAGATGGCACAAGGCACATGAAGAGGCAGTTGACCTTGCCATAGCTCTCTGGGTCTCCTTGGGCTGCTTCTTGTGCATGACTGTCTATGGTGAAAGCATGTGAGAAGCCCATGGAAGTCTCTGCTGGGCTTTATTTCTGTGTTACACATTACAATGGGCAGGGCTGGCTCCTTATAAGTAGATGAGATCCAAACATCATGACACAGAAAAGACAGAGAAGGAATGGAAATCTAGAGACCTGGACTTACTTAGACCTAGATCTACTGCCTAGTTTGAGAATGTCAGCACTTCTCAATCAGGTTCTGCTTTTGTAAAATGAAATAAGTAGAAGCCTTTTTGGCCCTAGCATGACATGAGTTCTAATATTAATAATAATGGTAACAATAATTAAGCTAACAATTATTAAATACTTACTATGTGCTAGAAACTACTTTTTTTTTTTTTGGTAGAGATGGGATATCATTGTGTTGCCAGGCTGGTCTCAATCCCCTGGTCTCAATAAATCCTCCCACCTTGACCTCTCAAAATGCTAGGATTATAAGTGTGAACTTCTGTGCCCAACCTATTCTAAATACTATATGGGTATTCACTTACTCAACCATGTTTAGTAGATACCATTTTATGCCAATTTTATAAATGGGAAAACATGGTTCACAGAGGTTAAATGACTTACTCAAAGCCATACAACTCATAGGTAAAAGAGAGACAAGATTTTAACCCAATAACCCAATCTCAGAACCTGAGCCCTTAGCCACTGCATTCATTTTCTCATGCTGATATTTGCATTTACCATTATCTGAACATGGAATTGTGAAAAAAAACTTCCACTTATGATCATATAAAATTCTCTAACTATAGCTAGATAGCATGAGCCCAATTGAGCAAGAAAAGAGGCAGAATTCAGCAAAGGAATCAGCTAAGTTCCTCAATAGAATTGTTTGTTTCCATAGCTCCCTCTCTGTTCAGCTTTCCACCCAGCTCTCTCATGGCAGCTGCTGTCTGATATCACTGATATTCTTCTTTCACCTTCTCTTCATTGCTTCCCTTTCACTCAGCAGGCTTCTCTTCACTCTTTTCTTTTCATTATGGATTTCATGCTCTGTCACATCAACTATTGTCTTACCAACTCCTTTGCCTGTTTTCTTTCCATTGACTCATCTAGGAAAAAAACCCAACCCTCAATGAATCCACGTTCCTAGTTCTTTGAATCCATAGTAGGCTGATGGAGAAAAATCACACAATTTCCTAGATGAGCTTCACTCAAAAATCACAAGCGCCGACTTGATCAGCGCCCTTTGTGCCACAGGCAAAATTTCTATCAATCCCTAATCAACCATTCCTCCATTCACTGAAGGAACTATTTCAGATCTTCTTTACTTTTCACAGCTCTAATTCTGCTTCTTTACCCTTGTCCACAGCAGACAGTCTCACTTCATTCTCAGAGAATATAGAATCCATTAGACTGTACCTTTCTCAACTCCTAGACTAAATCTGCAAATTCATCTGCATCCACACCCACTTTCCTCATTTCCTTCCCTTCAGGAAAATAATGAGTCTCTTTCCCTATGTAACATTAATTCTGCACAGTGTGCTAGTGCCCTGAATTTTGTCTTCCTACTTTCTTGAGGACATGGATCTTTCAGGTACCTACCTCCTTTCCCTGTATCTTCCATATTTCACTCTCTAATGGCTCCTTTCCACTGGCATTTAAACATGCTCAAGTGTGCTCATCTCAAGAGCAGATGAGGAAATGCTCCATCCCTCTATCAAATATTGAATTCCTTAGTCTTAGTCATCCCTCCACTCCTCTTCCTCCTCCTTTTCTTCATTTTTGTCTTCATCTTCATCTTGTTCTGTTTTTTAGAGATGGGGTCTTGCTATGTTGCCCAGGCTGGAGTGCAGTGGCTATTCACAGGCCCAATCTTACTACTAATCAGCAAAGGAGTTTTGACCTGCTCTGTTTCTGACCTGCCTAAGGAGGTTCACCCCTCCTAAGGCAACCTGGTGGTTCTCCGCTTTGGGGAGGTCACCATATTGATGCCAAACACCTGATTGGTATAGCATACTAGAGCCCAGAACTCCTGGGCTCCAGCCATTCTCTCCCTTCAACCTCTCCAGTAGCTGGGACTACATTTGCACCCACTGCGCCTGGACAAACTTCTTGACAGAATTATCCTCCTTTGTTGTTCCCACATTCTTTTTCCTACCTATTCCTTCTCACTGCAAAATGTCTTCTGATTTATTTATTCTTTTCCTTTTCAAGTTTAAAACATGTATTTAAAATATAATTTACAAAAGCTTTATATGCTGACTCAGGAGCCCACAGTGCAGGGTGAGGTGAGGTGGGCAGCTGCTTACTATACCAGCAGAGTAAGACTGCAAGGTGTATAGTGAACCATCAGCACTTCTGGCCTCCCTCCAATGCCCTCTTTTCAGACATCCAAGGGGTCGATGTGCACCTCTGGGATAACACGACCAGAAAACAGGACCCCAGAGGTTTCTTGAGTCTCTGCTTACCAGAAAAGCTGAGTGTGTAGCCCTGCCAACCCATCCCTGAGCAGTGTATCCTTAGATAGGCCAGAGCAGGGTATGGTGGATTCTGGAAGGGGCTTATGGTAGCAGATGTAGTTTTATTTCCCACATATAGGTGGAGATCACCCTGATTGAGTGGGCTGAGAAGGATTGGTCACCAGACCTGGACCACCAGCTCCTTTGCTTATAGGCTGACATCAGAACAGTGGCTCCTGGGAATCAGTTAGCCTGAAGGTCTGAGGCCTGGCTCGTGGGGTTAGAGAGGAGCTGGGGAAAAGGGACAGCAGCATGAAGGCAAATAAAGGGGTGGTAGCCTTAGGCTTCTGCCCCCCATCCCCTTGGAGTTTTCTAAGCTGACGTCTGCAACTTACTAAAAAAAAAAAAAAGAAAGAAAAAGAAAGAAAATTATAAAAGGAAAGAAAAAAAAGTTACAGACTACCACCTCAAGAAAACACACATACAAACACATACACACACACACACAAAATTGAAACTATTTCATCATCTCCCCTCCCACCTCCTACAAAAACAATAGTTTTATCTTTTCTTTTAAAATTTTTGCCTGCAACTTCTCTATCTGGGAAGTCCAGGGAATTACTGCTGGTGGGTGTTGACAGGCACATAGTGGGCAAAACCCCATCTTTGGCCAGAGGGAGATGGGTGTACTAGTCCCTGCCCCATTGTCAATCCGCAGACACCCAACAGCCAGCCTTCTCTTTGGCTCCCTCTAGAGTGGTGGGAGCAAGGCAAAAACAGGTGGTCCCAACTGCTGAGCCATCAGCACTGCTGGCCTTTCCACCTGGTCTACTTCAGCACACTTCTCCAATTGAAATGACAGTCTCGTCTTGGGCCAGAAACTACTCTTACATGAGGGATGGACATTATACATTTAAGATGTGGACACTTGGTCAGTGCAGTGGAACCATAAAGATAGCAGCCAACTTTTTTCCTTGCCCAATCCTGGGGGTCATGCCCCTTCTTACTGACTGAAACTCTGTTCCAGCTCTGCTCATGAACAGTTCCTGGCTTCACACAGTTATAAGGCTGTCCAATGGACTAGTAACTGACTCAACTGGTAGCTGGCCTTTCCTCCTAAGGGGAAGATGTTGTGGAACATGGTTTGCTGGTTTTGGCTGGCCTGCCGTTCCCAAAGGGCAAGGCTGAGAGCCAGGTGAACCAAAGGTGGAGTGAGCTGTGAAACCTGCCCACCTTGGGCACCCTAAATGCTACCCTAATTGCAAAACCACACCAACCACTCTAGAATGTATTTGCTGATTAGGAGTGGGGAAGCCATCTGGCTGGCTAAGGGATAAGGCACAGTGCAAGGGAAGGAATCAGAAAGCCTGAGAGGAGCCAGGTTGTACACACAGAGCTGCACTGGGCAGCTTTCCTTTTAACCTCTTCCACCTCAAGGAGCCAAAGCAAATCTCCAGAAGTCAGGGACAGAGGAGAAACAGCCTCGATTCCAGGCCTTCACTCTGGCAAAAGAGTGAAGGGTAGTCTAGGCCTCTGGAGAACCACTCTGTTATCAATCTGGAGTGCAAAGCTTTGATTTTCTCAATTTTATTCAGAATGGTCTGCTCCCAAAGTACTGATTTCACAGAGGAAATGTGCCAGCTATAGTTACCGAGCTGGGGCCATCAATGGAGATGAAGCACCACAGATCCTTAAGAGTTCAAGCCTTGTTGGAGTCGGAAGATCTATTCACCCTCTGACCATACCAGGCAGATGGCTGAGAGTCCTGGAGCAAGACTCTTCTGGTCTTCCTTGTGCTGACAGTGAAATACTGAACAAGTCTCACATCTTTTTCTTCTAAGCCCAGGAGTGACTTCCCACTCTCTGAGACTTCCTGCTCTTTTCTAGAATTAGTAAACTTGGCTGGTAGAGAACCACCCTAAACAGTATAGGAGGGGGAAGTCTGCTCATTTTCTCTATCTCCCAAATTACCTCCCCAGGCTTTCTTACCCTATAGAACTCACTTTGTCTCTAGGCAAGGCCAAGATGCTCTGGAACTTAGCTGAGGTAGGGAGGTCTAGGCCTGGTGTGCTAATTTGTCTTGGGGCTACAGAGCCCTGCCCCTTTTCTGGGAGGCAGTAGGAATACCGAAGCTAAGCTCACTCAAATACTGTTGGTTAGTGTTTCTAGTGAATTTCCCAAAAACACTTTTAAGTCAACTACCAAACTACCCTTTCTCGATTAAAAATTCATTAAACTGCTAAAATCCCACCCATGCACTTTTTCTTACAAATCAAATATTTGTATGAACAAATGAAAATAAGAAAAAAAAAAAAAAAAAGAAAGGGTGTTTTCAAATGGAACTTTTGAAGTGATTAAGACACCCACTTGGGGGTGAGTGGGCTGGAGTTCATATCTCTGTTTTGAAATCCCAAATTAATGAGCATGATAAACTGTTATTGGTGGCACTGGCTTTACCCCAAGTGGCCAAGTGGCACTGTTTAACTCTCTACCATAAGTCTTTGATAGGTCCCTCCAACCCTTCCCTGATTCCCACCATTTCCCTATCCATTGACTTAGAACAGCCCTTGTAGATGAGCATGTGCCAATCACAGGGGGAAGACGTAAAGGGAGGAGGGCACAGTACATGAGGTTCAAGGTCCCAATGGGCACAACAAGGAGGAACACAGCACAAGTAAGTTAGGTGTTCTCTGCTCTAATCCAGCTGTTTGCCAGGTCAGTGCAGCCTGTGGAGGATGACCTGGGAGGCAGTGAAGTCATAAGGCACCTTTTCTTGCCTTAATTTAACTGCACTGTTTGAAGCCTTGTGACTCATCAGGACCAAAGGGTGCCTGATCACTTTATTGGGCTGGCTCCTGTCTTTGGGTTAGGCTATCCTGGTTGGCCTGTCAAGCATGAATTTCTCCTGTTCCTCCTCCAGCAAGGCCCAGGATCCACCTCTGGACTGCTGTGTGCTCTGTCCCTGCTGTGCCAGGGACTTGACTGGGAGGGCTGGCCCTGCACTGTGCTTGGGACTTGACCAGAAGGGCTGGCCTCTGCTGTGCTGGGGGCTTGACTGGGAGGACTGGCTGCTGATGGAGCAGAGGCTATTGACCCCACCACTCTGGCGGGCCTCTGGAGTATGTGGATCTGTGGAGTGGGCCCCGTGGGAAGACTGTTGTCCTGAATCACCACAGGTACTTTGGGAGAAGATTTGGATTTCCCAGTTATCTGCTGCCTCCTCTCAACTCTCAGTGACTTTCTCATTTTGCATCTACTTGCTGCTTTCTCTCCTCCCTCCATTCTTCTTTATTCATATTTGATTTATCAGTCACTGTGTTGACACTGGAGACCACTGAATCCTCATGAAAATGCTTTTTCCCCCTCATATGTTTCCATGTCACCACCCTCTCATCACTTTCTTCTTAATTCCCTAGCGTTCCATCTCAGTCTTTTCAGAGCTCTGATCTCTTCATACTCTTCCTGGGCTGTCTCATCTCTTCTCATGGCTTCAATTGTCATGTTTATGCTGGTAAGTCAAGAACATATATTTGCAGCTCAGACATCTCTACTGGGCTTCCAACTCACACATCCAACTACTTGGGCATTTCCCCTTAGAAGTACCATACATGCTACAAACCTGCCCCAAATGAAATGGAATTCAATATCTCCTGCCTCAGACCTATTGTTCTTTTGTGTTCCCTAATGGTAATGGCAGCCATCTCAGCAAGAAGCTTCAGAGTGGTCATCATCTCTTCCTTTACCTCAATCACTTACATCTATTAATCAGTCTCCAAGTGTGATTGAATCTATGTCCAGACTCACTTTCTCCATTGTCACTGCTACTACCCCTTTTCAGGTCACCATTTTCACTAACTTGAACAACTGAAACAGCCTGTTAACTTGTTTCCATGCTTCCCATCCTGACCTCCCCTTTGTTTTCCACATTGCAGCTAGATAACATTTTCTAAATACAAATCTATTTTTCTCCTCTTTTTAACACCCTTCGATGTCTGCTCTTTACCTTGGAATAATGTCACTTAATCAAGCATAGATTTTCCTAAAGGAAAGGAAGCAAGAGAAATGTGTCTCTTCTCTTCCTACACAGGCCTATATTTAACCTAATGTGTTTGTCTGAGTGGTTAGATTCCATGGAGATTGGTGCCATAGAAATCAATGAAAGAACCAAACAGTGCAGGCAATGGCACAAGCAGGCAAAGGATGAATAGAGAAAGAAAGTGAGAGAAAGGAGAAGAGAGAGTGAGACAGAAGAGGAGTGATGGAGAAAGAAAGCAAGAGCAAGAAATAGCTAGCAATAGAGGACACAAGAGCAAGTGCCTAAGAATCTTGAAGGTGAAGCGGCAGGGCAGACAGGCAGTGGGGCAGCAGGCTCCTTGGCAACCAGCACCCTCTGGCAGTGGCAGTGCTGCTTATGCAGTCCACCCTGGCCCCATGTATTTCTCTGGGGTGGTTGGGGGGAATTACAATTGGCCTCAGAGCATCTTCAAGGTTCTTAAACAGGTTGTCAGATATGAGTGATCTCACAGCAGAGATGGAACCTGACATATTCCAAACTGCCTCAATCTGTGGTGTAAGTAGGGGAATGTCAGAGTAGGAAATTAAGATTGTTTTTTTTCAAAAACAAAGTATAAGTACTTGAACTGAAACAATAAAGAAATACAGTTAAGGTTATTTTATTCTCAAATTGTCCCAATTTCAAAACATAAATTCAAAGTTTGCATTGAGTACATATGCAGACATAAGAGCACGGACATTTTTCCTTCCAATTAACTACCACAGAAGCATATATCTGTGCCAATGCGACTTACTTGGTCTGCTGAAAATAAAGAAGCAAAGATCAAAAATTGTGGTTTGTTTTTTTTTCCTACAAAACTTGTCAGAAACTAAAACTTTGACCATCCATGTAGTCTTATTCATAAAGGCTGTCTGAAATGAAATATACCATTTTTTCCCTGGCTTCCTCAATGAAAGATGAATCTATAAAGGAAGTGAGGAGGCTGAGGAGAGAGAAAATATTTTAAGCAACAACTGAAGTCCAGTTCTGAAATGTGTACATTTGTAAGTCTGAACTGTCATAGTACATGAAGGACCAATAAAAATTACAAGTATTAGAGGTGTCATTACAGTGCACCTTGTTATAATTCAGATTAAAATCCTATAAGATCTTAATGATACTAGCTACAATTTTTTCAAGTGCTTACTAATGTAGTCGCTGTTTTAAGTGTTGTGAATCACGATTTTATTTGATCCTCTCAACAAACCTGACTTTACCAGTGAAGACTCAAGGCTCAGTGAAGTTAAACAGCTTATACAAATACACACCACAGAAAAAGGTAGGGCTGACATTTGAGTGACTGCAGCCTGACTCCAGAACTCTTAAGTGTTACACCACATCCCTTATCCCCTGAAATATTCTTTGCCTAGGAAATGTGATGTATAATTTGCTTAGCCCATAGAAAGGGTGCTTATGAATTATATTGCCTAAAAGCTGCAAAATAAATAAGTTCCAGTCTTCAAAAAATTAATGTTCATCAAATATTAAAATTTAACTGTGGAATGGGAAGGGAAAGACTGGAAAGATGGAAAATAACTATATAAAGCAGCACATGGAAGGCATTCTGTTGGATATTAGCTTTTTAAACTCAATCCCACTGATTTGTTAGCACAGCTTTTTAACTTTTTAGCTATTTTAAAATTTTTAATTTAAAAAACAGATTTATTAAGATACAATTCACATATTATAGAATTCACCCATTTAAAGTGTATAATCCAGCGGTTCTTAGCATGTTTACAGTTATGGTGATGGTAGCACAGCTTTTTGATAAGAAAGTCTTTCGGATCTCTCCTCCCCTAGAAACAGTATCAAAAGCCGTGACTATTTGCATATTAAATAAATACACAAACAGAAGTTCATTATGTCAGTGTTGTCCATTCTCTAAGCCAAATAGCCTGCTGTTATGACAATTGGATTGGGGTGTGGACTGTCACAGGATTAAAGTGTTCCCAGGTGAGGCTGTACCCTTTCCATGAGTAACAACTAGCATTGATTGTCAGTCAACAGTACTTAGAACTGCTCCCCACATTGCATCAGGTAGTTAGATCACAAGTCATAGGCTTGGTTTTGCCTATGATGAAGTCTACTATTTGTAATCCCGAGTATTAGATCATTTGTTAGATAGTCCTCTGTACCCTTGTCAAAGCACATACTATTAATACTATGATGATAAGCACCTCAATGTGGTTTCTTATATACATTAGGTAAAAAATATTTGTTACATAAATTATGAGAGTCACTACTATTTATTGAATATGTACTTTGCCATGTACTTCACAAATATCTGCAAATCTCAGAGGAATCATGCAAAGAAGGCAATATCATAGTCACTTTTCAGATATGGAAACTAAAGACTCAAGACTAAATGGCTAGTGTCTTGGAGAGCAGGGATTTAAAGCTTATTTGGCTGATCTGGTTTGCTTATTTCTACTATGGAAGGAAAGGAAGGGAGGAAGAGAGAGAAGGAAAGAAAGGAAGAGGGAGAAAAGGAGAAGATCTAAAAACTTTTCTTGAACTTGCACAACTTCAGGATTTCACCGCTGACATGCATTTTGACAACAATTATCAAAAGAGGATATTATAATTTGTGAGTTTTCAGTTAACCAAATTGTTTGCATGACATGCAAAACATTGATCAGACATGCCCATAATAAGTGAAAAGAAACACTGTAGGCAGATGTTTTTCAAAAGGCAAATAAGGGTAGGCAGAGTGTTGAAGATATTAATTTTCATGATTGCTGCCTTTGTTGTTTTGCTTCATTGTTCTTCACCCTGCCTGGTCTAAAAATACAAAATAACATGAGGGAAATTAGTTTTCAGGGCCAGTTATTTTCTTAAAAGAGATCAGAAAAATGAGAATCAAGGGTAGAATTTCTAGAACATCTCTTTTCCCCTATAGTTTCCACACCTGGCTTCACAGTGGGTATATGTGCCTCTACCTCAGCTTGTCCCACTGACAGGCCACTGGCCATCAAATTCGAAGACCAAGAGATAAACTCAAAAGGAATGCAGCCTAAGAACAACTTGATTTTTGGTGTACTCCAAATTTGTTTTCCTCTTAAAAAATGGCTTCCATACATTTCTTTTTTTTCAGTGAACAATAGCTAACTTTTAAAAGAATAAATGTGAGCCTTCTTGGTCAAGAGCTTGGGAAGAAGAGAAGGCTTTGCCATCTGTGAGTAGCACATTATAATAGAATTGCTCTGGGAAAAGTTTGTCTGTGTTGCTTGCTTTTATGAGATGACATTTAAATAAAAGTACTGGTTCACTTTTTATTGATCTTTGTACATTACAAGGCATTTTGAAGGAAAATGTGGTGTGAATAGCAGAATCACGTGCTGTTTGTACAGATGGAGAGCCTCGCAGGCTCTGTGTGCCCATCCGTGGTGGCTGTTAGCTATTGAAGGAAATTGGGATCCTGGGGCTTCCCCCCTATGCTGTTTATCTCACAAAAATTCAACGCACAGATGCATAGTCATTTCCATAGTCTTTTCATATCAAGATCTCAAAAACAAGTTTCTATAGGTATATGTTGTTTGTGGGGGGGCAGCTGGGGTATTAATAATGAGGGAGGGGAGAGGGAAAGAGAAAGAGAGAGCACAAGAGCTCACAACTTCGGGTAACATTTTTGAAATTTAAAGCTATCTAATGTTCAAACTTAAGATTTTCTGGCTGGGTGTGGTGGCTCACTCCTGTAATCCTAGCATTCTGTGAGGCTGAGGTGGGCACATTGCTTGACCCCACTTCAAGGCTAGCCCGGGTAACATGGTGAAATCCCATCCTTACAAAAAATACAAAAATTAGCTAGGTGCGGTTGCATGTATCTGTAGTCCCAGTTACTCAGAGCTGAGGTGGGAGGATCACCTGAGTTCAGGGAGTCGAGGCTGCAGTGAGCCATGATTGAGCCACTGCACTCCAGCCTGGGTGACAGAGTAAGACCCTGTCTCAAAAAAAAAAAAAAAAAAAAAAAAGAATTCCTTTGCCTGGAGATGATGCTGATCTTGATTACCCAGTTTCCTTATAAACTATCATGTTAGGAATACATTCACTCACTTACTAGCTGAAGACATATCTAAGAAAATTATATCCTAAACTGGAAAAAGCTGACCCAATTCATGTAGCAGAAGGCTGCCCCTCCCTAACTTAGCTGACCAAGCTGAATTCCCAGCCATAATAGGAAGAATATGTTTGTCTCCTTGAGTTACTTCTGCCCAGGTTGCTGAAGTGGGACTCTGGTGTTCCTGATAAGAACCTGACCAGATGCAGCAGGCTAAAGACAAGATAGACTCCAGTGTTGACCTTCACCAAATTTTTCCATATTATAATACCAAAATCACACCCAGGGATACAGAATTAACATGCTAATGAGACATGTGACCCACAGAGAAGCATGTGCTAAAAGTTCCCCACCTTTTCATGCCTACACGTTGCTCCTTTTTCTGCTTCAACTTCTTAAAATGGTAAGAGCCACACTTTTCAGAGAGCTAGCACCAGAATCCCATTCCCATGCGCTGCTCTCTTGCATTGCCTGAGCTGCAAGCCTATTAAGCTTTGCTTGAGAAAAATTTCGGTTTGGCGTGGTGTTAATTTCTATTTACATGAGAGCCAAGAACTTAGGGTCCAAACTGTGATAACATAGGTTTTCCTTTCTTACCCAGCCTGTACTCAAACTTCCTTGTCTCTTTTTATATTCTTCCTTTTAGCTTGCAGTTTACTACCCAAGGGTACTCACCTTACTTTTAAAATGGAAGTAGACCATTTGCAATGGGAAATCACGTTTTGCAAATATTAAATAAATGCCCCTTACCTTTCTTTTAGAATCTTAGTATCTTGTAGACTTCTACCTTCTGAGCAAACCTTGAGGTTTAAGTCCCAGGGCAAAACAGTAAGCTTAAATAGCAGGCCAAAGGCAGAGTTTTCCAAATTATTTAGTTTATCAAGAACTAAGCCTTGAGATCTCAGATGATTGAATTGTCTCCCCTAAGGGGGAAGGGACATGGCTACACTAGGCAGTGTAGCTCATAATTAATATGCAAGTGGAGATATTTATAGGGTAACTAAAGGGAGAGAGAGACAGAGAAATGGAGAGACAGAGAAGAAAAGATGAACCTCTAAGAATATGGGGTTTGTTTGAGCCTTTTCTCAAGGTGTATTCATTTTCTTTATGATTTCTATGTAGGCATTCTACAGATCCCTTGGGTTATTCAGGGTAAGATTTAGGACTGTGTATCCATTAACAGACAGAACAAACAAACAAACAAACAACAATAATGATAAGATTAAGGGGATGTAAGGGTAATCCTCTTCCCTTCCCTGAGTTCCAGCATGTATCCTAAAATTAGGAGCTTCCAACTCTTGTAACCTTTTAAGGAGATATTACGAACATAGCTGGTGTGTGACTTCCTGCCCCCATAGAAGGGGTGACAGGCTCACCTAGGGAAACCAGTGAGAGGTTAATACCATTGGGTTGGCATTTCATCTCTGGGCAGGAATGCATTAGCTATCACCACTCACTTGTCACTCTGCCTCTTATAATTTAGCTTGTGCTTCTTGTCCCATGGATCAGCAAGGCTCCAGCTCTCCAGCACCTCTCATTTCCCATGCAATAGCCAGAGCCTTGTGCCTTCCCAATCAGAGTCCAATTTAAGTTGTTTGTCACTACATCCAAACCATTAATGGAGCAGATATTTTGGTCTTATATGGTCCCTTGTGTCTGTTGGTTGTTCAGAACCCAAAAGAGAGATGTCATCAATCAAACCGCCAAATCCCCAAAATGGAGAGCCAGATTTCCACTTTGTTTTTGCAAAAAACTGAACATTTTCTCCCTTCCTAAGGGCTATTTCTAGTGTTCTAATTTCCCTTGGATATGCTGGCAGATGTAAAACTAGATAGGTTAAACCTCTTACGTATTCATTCAGGCTATGTCAAACCCTCAACAAGATGTTCTTACTCTAGTGGGTCCACAGATGGGGTGCAAGGGCCCATGAATCTCTTAAATGCAGGAGCATATATACTTTTTTTCTAGCATATATAATTATTTTTCTAGGGGACAAAACCTTTTCACTGATTCCTAAATACTTCCATAACATAAAAAGGTTCCAATGGGACCCTCGAAGAAGAAACAATTATAGTGTAGGACAGAGGATCCCAGACTTTGTTGCCATTACCATCTCAGTGTTTTGATGTGCCCCTAGGCTAAAAAGTAAAACCTAAATGGTTCAGTTTGTTAAGTAGCTAGGTCCAAGTAAAAGGTAGAAGGAGAACATGTGGTGAGAGGAGGCTGCTGAGTAGGTATGCCGCAGTGTATGCAAGATCTTTTAACTGTGTCAAACAATTTAAACTTTATCTCTTGTTTAGAGGATCCTTTGAAGTGGTCTACAAAGTACAGTGACATGATCAGATTTGAGCATTAGCAAGCTCTGTCTGGCTGTAGAGTAGAAAATGGGCTCAGGGCAGCAACACTGAAGGTGACAAGGCCAGTTAGTCTCCAAGTATGCCAAATAAGAAGCAATAAGTGGGACAATGTAAAAGGGGGGAAAAGAGGAGTACTAAGTCTTTCTCCTCTCTGTCTTTGAACAATTCTAACTTCCAATAACAATAATAAGAATTGCCTGAGTGAAGCCTTATCTATGTGCTAGACCTAGGCAAGGACATTGTACACATTATGGCAAATTCTTACAACAACTGTGCAAGACTAGTATTTTTTATTTTAAATTAACTAATGAGAAAATTAAAGCAGTCCTTCCCAAGTCAACTGGGTAGGGCTTAGTTTTATGAGTAGAGTTGAGTCTAATTTACTCTTGTCTCATTTAGGATTCAGATTAATTTTAGAGCTTTATTGCTGCCAACTTCCTATTCCTTTCATTACTACATTATCATGTTGCATTTCTTACAAAACAACATGAGAAAGTTTTGTAAACTATCCCAGTCAGATATCTAGAAAGTGATGAAGCCAGGATTTAAAGAAAGCCTGCCTGATTCCAAAGCCGGTTCCCATTCTAACACTACATTTCCTCTCAATAATTTTCCTTACATGTTGCTTGAGTCTCATTGGAATGTAAAATGAACTAGGGCAAGATTTTAGTCTACTTTGGCACAATTAATGCCCAGAATAGTATCTGGCACACTGTAGATACTTAATAAACATGAGGTGAATAAATGAGTGTTTTTTATTCCCCCCTCATGAGCTGAGTTCTTTGTAGAGAGCTTGGTAGGTGCTTAATCAATCCTACTCTGAATGTACAACCTTCTCTCAGCTTTTGCTGTCTTTGCTGAAGACATATTTTTCACCGCCTTACCTAAGAAACAGACTTGGAACTACTCCAACTCAAGATTATAGACACTCTGGCTTCTAACATCAGAACCCTCCCTAGGTTCACCAGGCTATTATTATCATAATATTTATCCAAATTTTTCCTTGATATTTCTGGATTAAATAATGTTTATGGCCCTAAAATATACAAATTAGAATATGTCAGGATCTTCTAAAAATTATATGTAATATTATAAATCAGTCCTCCCTATAACTTCAAATGCCAAAAACTAAGGAAGTTTGGCTACCTCCTGGTTAGGAATACTCAATCTGGAAGTGTGCCAATCACCAAATGCTAGAAGCAGAGAAGTGGACTCATGGCATTTGGGTCCATGCTAATTGGCAAGCCTGGACATAATTTGACACTGCTTCCTACTGGCACCATGGCTCCTGTCCCACCCAGCTGGTGACTGGGAAAATGTAGTCATAATAGGCAGAGCAGAGTGTACCCGAAGTATCTCTGTGGAGAGAAGGCTCCATGTTATCAAAGAGTTCATCTGTGCCCAAGGGTCCTGAAATAAGCTTGGCCTTGCTTATTTTGTATTCACTTTAGGGCTAAAACCCTAGGACATACCTCTAGAGTCTTAAGAATGCCAGTATTATCATGGTTTAAACCCAAGTGTTACATGGGTATCAGCAGGGGTGATAAACAGCAATTCAGTTTGTACTACCTGAAGTTGGAAGCACCACCATGAATGTGAGAGGGATGCAGCACTCGCTTAGTGGAGAGAATTAACTGAAGTGCAAACATCAGTGTCCATGCTGAACAAGTAGAACCTGTAGGGAGGGCAGGCAATGTGCTTGCATGAGTTATGTAGCTGGTGTAGGCCAGTGACCTGGATCTTCCAGGCCAAGATCTTCTACTTGTTCTAAATACACCCCTCAACCCCATACATACACATGCACCATGTTTTGGTGCCACTACTACACACTACTTTGCTACTAGAATAATACACACATGCTAGTCTGCTACTAAAATAATTATCTAAATATGCACTTGCTGATTCTTCAGTCCTTCCCAAATCTCCTGGGTAGAGCTTGGTTTGGTGAATGCAACAGTGCCCATTTTGCCCTTACTTCCTTTAAGATTCAAGTTATTTTTAGAGCTTTATTGCTGCCAACTTCCTATTCCTTTCATGACTATATTGTCATGTTGTCTTCCTTACAAAACAACATAATGATGATATTAGCATAATCTTATCTGTTGATTTCAAGGGCTAGGAGTACCTGGTTGACCTTATATGTATTCTTATCCTGGATTTGTGCAGAGAATCATGTAGCTGACTTTGTATCTAAATTCCCTACTCTCTTAAAAATCATCAGTTTAACTCTTCAGGTTCATTAGAACAGTGATTTAGGGGTATTCAGTATAGTAAAAAAAAGTTCATTATGTTTTGGGAGCTAGCTTTTGACTCTGTGATGAAAGTCTGAAGCAGAGTAGTTCAGAATACCAGATAATGTGAGCATTAGTAAAAAAAATGTATAGATCCTGTAGTACAACCTCCTCATAAAAATCTCAGGTTCTGAGGAGAGAGTTAAGTTCACACAGCTGGCTAGTAGATATCTGGGTCTCTAAAATCACCCCAGGCTAGACTAAATATTAAAAATATTTAACAACAGACAGGACACTAGCGAATGACAAAGCCTCTGGAATCTACAGATGGCTGGTAACAATGAGTGCTAGCTGTGTATCATTCATGACCCAGACTGGTGCCTTCTTTGAATCTCAGAGCCACTCCACTCATCATCACACTGCGGAGCTAAGCTGTCCATCATCATTTGGTTCCCATGTTCCTAAAAATCTTCAGGTCTTCTCCACTTCTCCCTGGGTGCTAAAAGGGCAACTACAGAGATTGTGAATTTAACCAGTGTGCCTGAGTAAATTGTTTTAAGGCATTTTCTTTTCCTGTAGTTAGAGTGTCTTTTGTTCAGACCCAGATCCTTGGTATTGAACTAAGACTTCCTAAATTTGGTCCAATTTCTCCTCATTGCCACCTCCCACACCATTTTGCAAATGAAGAATCCAGGGCACAAAAATCCTAGTAAATTAATAGCACCCTTGAAACAGAATCCAGATTTCAGAATCTTCTATCTATTTCTCTTGTCAGCGCTCATATTGTTCTAAGGCTATTTAATAAGATATTATTTGATTTAATACAAAGAATAAAAACAGCAAAGAGTCTCCCTCCCTTCTTTTCAGCATTCCATTTTCCCTTTGTACATCCTCCCCCAAAGAAGTTTTTCTTTTGAAAAGACAAAGTTAACACCCATTTCAAGTGCCCATTAAGAAGAACTTTCCTCCATTGGCTCTGCTAAGCTAATGAAGGGTAATTGCTGTCACCCGCAGACCACAGACTTTAGTACCAGCGAGCCATCAGGCTGATGCTTCCTAGCATAACAACTTACTTCTCTCAAGGGTTTCCCCAGGGAGTCTATAGTGGCACTTGAAAAGCACATAATTAAGAGCAATAAATAGCAAAATCCCCTAGAAAAATATAAATTATTCATAATAATAACTGTGCAGGATGGCTGAAGGAGGGGTGTTTTTATTTCGTGCAAGAATTTTCTGAATCTGCTTAAATATGTTAATATGTTTTAAAATCTCTCATTTAAAAGACAGTTCTTCCTTTAAGCCAAACATAGTCACTCCTCAAGGATCCTTTAAAAGGCCAAAGTATCAAATTTGGTATTGATTTTTTCCTCATTCTTCTTTATATTAGTTCTCAAAATATTTTAATCTTATTATACTACTCAGGTCCTACATAACTATTGTTTATTCTTCAGGTTCAGTAGCACATCTTAGGCTTGGGAAGAAGGATGGGATTTGGAGGAATAAAGTAAATGGCATAACTCATTGATCTGAAGTATAATTCAATTTTTAGTTGGGTTCCCCTGAGCAAGTAACAACTGCTGAGCCTCAGTTTCATCATTGATAATTCTGGCAGTAATCCATTCTTCATCACAGGGCATTGCAAGACTTGAAGGAGATGATATGCATAAGTGTATTTTTAAACAATAAAATGCCAAACAACTAGTTAAATAAAGTGTAACCATTTCTGCTGCTTCTGTGCATTGTGTTCTACAAGTGTCACTGAATCACTTTTGAAACTTAATTTTCCTCATCTTCAAGATCTTCTTGAGAAGTCTCAGTGATTCCTAGTAGCTTAAGAATCTTTATGTGAAGAATTTTTATATACATATATCTTTTCCTCTCTTGATGGGATTGTGGTCTAGATTTGGGATGCAGACAATATGCAATGTTGGGAGACTTGAAAGGACAATCAGTAAAAAAGAGTACAGGTGTTTCTCCAACTGCTTTTGGTATAGATTCTTGCTATTACAATCTTAAAAGTCCTTTCTCAATAATATCCAGGGGACTGGCACCTTCAGGCCATGATTATAGTCTCTGCTCTGAAATGTTCCCCATCTCTCTACTTATGTCAAGGCATCCACTGAAATTTTGGCAGTGTGGAGGAGCTGAGCACAAAGTGTGTTCTCTGCAGGTGGACACATCACAACAAGAAAGGAGAGAGGGAAAGACTGAGCCAGGAGGCATACTCAGATTCTCTCTTTAAACTTTCTAATCAAAGAAGTAAATCCTCTTGCCTTAGGGAGGGCAGCATAAGTAATGAATGTTAAGGGAAATAGCTTTCTTCATGGAAATCAGAAGTAGATGATAAGCACCCCACTCCAACCTTGATCATGAATGAATACAGGATCCAATCTGAACTATTTAGTGATTTTTCTCTAGGCACAGAGGAAGCAGAGAATTGGTTTCATACAAGATTTTGTTTTTAGCAGACAAGGTGACAGAAAGAGAGGCACTTGACCTTAGATTACTGGTAAGAGGGCTGTTGAAATTCTGGACAATGGAATCTAGGTTGGATAAGAGTGGAAGATAAATGCAGTAAGACAAACTTGAAGGAAGAATCAATTGCCTGAAGGTCCTGATGAAGTTGGAGAAAAGTTTCAGTGGGTATAGTCCCACAAATAAGCTGAAAGGAAAGGAGGTTTTATTCAGAAGGCTGAATTAGTGGTTATGAAGGTGGCAGCAATGTCTTGAATGTGACAGTGGGATTGGTAGCAAAGATGAGTGGGTGAGAGGTCACAGATGATGAAGCAGTGAAGGAACTAGGAAGCTTCATGTGCTAGACATTTATTTATCTGTCTATACTTGCCTCTCACTTTCCTTTTCTTGTTATGAAATGAACTTTTCTAGGACCTATGGAGCCAGGTAGAGGTTAATTTTAGCTACCACGTTTTTGTCAAGGTTCAGATGATATAAATTATATTCCAGTTAATTTCCATAATAATTGATATAAAGGTGATCCTTTAAGTGTGTCTTAACAATAGCAAAGCCATTTGAAATCTGGGGCACTGTGAAACGAATATCAATTAATGGCTTTTTTAACTGTTATGAATTATTTATAACACTTGAAATAATATACATTTAATATAAATTTAATGGTTGTGATAATATAACAGAAGAATAAAAAGATGATACATTCTATAATATTGAATTTGAAAGTTATTTTATATTAATAAGTCAATGAGGAAATAGATTAAAGTGGATGAAAGTCTAATTGTGATTCCAAGGACATGTCCTCATAGAAATGCTTTCATAGGTTACCAAACCTCCTGAGAACTATAAGACACTGCTTGACATAGACCGTTGGCAAAAAGGACATCAATTGATAGTCCCAAGAGATTCTAGCAAAGCTAAGATAGCAAAGCATCAACAGAGACACAGGTCTTCAAGAAAGCCACACTTCAGTTCTGTATAAACTCCATCACACCATAAGAACATTCCATCAAAGCCACAGTATAGATACAACACCAAAAGCACGATTGATGAATGAATTGATAAGATAAACTTTATTAACATTAAAATTTCTGCTCAAAGACATCATCAAAAGAATAAAAAGAATAAGTCACAGGCTGGGAGAAAATATTTGCAAAGGACATATTTGATAAAGGACTGGTTTTGTTGTTGTTGTTTTTGTTGTTTTTTGAGACGGAGTCTCTCCCTGTCACTCAGGCTGGAGTGCAGTGGTGTGATCTTGGCTCACTGCAACCTCTGCCTCCTGGATTCAGGCAATTCTCCCTCACCCTCCTGAGTGGCTGGGATTACAAGCACCCACCACCATGCCAGGCTAAGTTTTGTATTTTTTAATAGAGATGGGGTTTCACCATGTTGGTCAGGCTGGTCTTGAACCCCTGACCTCAGGTGATCTGCCTGCCTGGGCTTCCCAAAGTGCTGGGATTACAGGAGTAAGCCACTGTGGCTGGCCAGGACTGTTCTTTAAATATACAAAGAATTCTTAAACCTCTACAATATGAAAAAACAACCAGATTAAAAAATGGGCCAAAGATTTCAGCAGACACCTTACCAAAGAAGATATGCAGATTATGAGTATGCATACTTTAAGAAGCTCCACAATATATGTCATCAGGAAAATGAAAATTAAAATAACAGCGAGATGGCATCACATATCTATTAGAATAGCTCAAATCCAGAATGCTGAGAACACCTACTGCGGGTGAGGATGTGGAGCAATTGAAACTCCAATTCATTACTGGTGAGGATACAAAATAATACAGCCACTTTGGAAGACAGTTTGAAGGTTTCTTACAAAACTAAACATACTCATACCATATGAATCAGCAACTGTGCTGTTTAGTATTTATGCAAATAAATTGAAAACATGTTCACACAAAAAACCTGTACACAAATGTTTATAGCAGCTTTATATTCACAATTGCCAAAACTTGGAAGCAGTCAAGATATCCTTCAGCAGGTGGATGGATGGACAATGGAATATTATTCAGGGCTAAAAGAAATGCGCTATGAAAAAATATGAAGGAAATTTAAATTCATATGACTAAGTGAAAGAAGCCAATGTGAAAAGACTATGCACTGTATGATTCCACCTATATAACATTCCGGAAAAGATAAAACTATGAAGACAGTAAATAGATCAGTGATTGCTAGGAATTAGTGGGTAGGGAGGGATGAATAGATAGAACACAGAGGATTCTCAAGGCAGGGAAATGATTCTTTATATCATAATAATGGATACTTGTCATTACAAATTTGTTCAAACCAATAGAATATACAACACCAAGAATGAACCCTAATGTACACTATAGACTTTGGGTAATAATAATGCATAAATGCATCATTTGTAACAAATGTACCACTTTGGTGGAGGATATTGATTATGGTGGGGGCTTTGGGAAGGGGGCAGGGGTAGAGGGTGTATGGGAAATCTCTGTACCTTCTGCTAAATTTTGCTATGAAGCTAAAATTGCTTTTAAAAATAAAGTATATATATATTATATATATATGTATGTGTGTGTGCGTGTGTGTTTTTTAAATACCCACAGGAATCTGTTAGTCCCTTCTTACTAGCTCTAATCCCTCAGGAAAGATCTCTAACCAGTGGTAACTGGTGACTCACTACTGAACCATATACATGTCTGTAGTTGGTGATGCAACTTTGTGACAATGCTATTAAAAATAGGAATTTCATGTCACACTCCAAAATGTTAAATTGCTTAATTTGACAGAAGTGTCTTTTTGATAGGCAGCTCTGATTTTTCAGCCTTACCTCGGGAGGACTTATCAGATCAATAAAAGGAAAGAAGAAATATTTCTTGTCTGGGTATAACATTTTCTCAAGTAGAGATTACCTTTCTAGAATAGAATGGAAAATGTTTTCTAATTAAGAGGCTTTGAGAGGTTAAAATGTGTGTGGGCAATGAGAAAGGGATGCTATGTGCATCAGGGGCACCAGGATACAGAGTTGGAGATGCTGAGTTCTGTGGTCATGTGCTGAGCAGGTTCAGGTGTTGGTTGGGATTAACCTGATGTGGGTTTTCCAACAACAACAACAACAATAACAACAACAACAACAACAGCAACAACAACAAGTTTTTTCTAAGCCCTGTATGTGCCTTGCATGTTCTCTTATTATTTACAGGTTCCTCATATGAGTACACTTTGAAGAGTAAATGAAGAAAGTTTACATTTCTTTTGGTACTTACTATATGTATATAATATTTTCTCTATTTAAGCTCTATAAAAGTATATAATATTCTTTCTTTAGTGAAGAGAAGCATCAAATCCCCAATGTCTATGTCCTTTTCTACAGATAACCAGTTAATCCAAAAAAAGAGATACTTCTTTACAAATAAGAACAAAAGCAAGAAGTTAAAATTTTGAGGAGCTTGAGGTATGAACGAAAGTGAGAACTATGTGTTGGGAGAAAATGTGATCACTTGATAACATCCATCCTCATCTATTTATTTAATATTTAATATATCCCAAATTTGCATACCACAAAACTCCTTTTTCTTTTCCAGCACAATAGTGGATAGTCTAACAAAAATGTCTATGACAGATAGGTAACCAAACACTGCATATTCTCACTCATAGGTGGGAATTGAACAATGAGAACACATGGACACAGGAAGGGGAACATCACACTCTGGGGACTGTTGTGGGATGGGGGGAGGGGGGAGGGATAGCATTGGGAGATATACCTAATGCTAGATGATGAGTTAGTGGGTGCAGCGCACCAGCATGGCACATGTATACATATGTAACTAACCTGCACATTGTGCACATGTACCCTAAAACTTAAAGTATAATTATAATAAATAAATAAATAAAAGATCAACCCCCCCCAAAAAAAAGAAAAAATTTGAGAAAGATAAAAACCACCCAGCTTCATTTCCTTACTCTAGAATAGCTAGCCACCTATTCACCCTTTCTATTTTTGAGCAAATCAAGCATCCGTTTTATTCGGTATTTACCAGCAGTAAGCTCAGAACTGAAGATTTAAGGCAGTCCTCTGCCTGGATGACCTGCTCCATGAAGCAACTGGTGCTCATCTCTCCGTCGCCCCTCTCCTACTGCCAGAAGTAAGTCTGTTCTCTTCACCTTCTCCCACTACCAGCTCCCCCAGCTCTGCTGCCGGGCCCTTAGGAGAACACAGAGCCCACAGGTTCTAAGTGATCTCTGAGAAGCTCAGGGGCTTAAGGTTCAAGTGATCTCCAGACCAGGTCTCTCAGAGGAGCTACCAAATGGATTAAATAGGCTGTGGAGGCTTTGTCTGGAAAGCTATTCACCAATTATAACATGTGAGTGCCAATAAATGTTTATAACAGAGCTCTTTTTTATATTGGTCATTGCTTTCACCTGCACTTGTTGTGGGACTTTGTCTCTCTGTGGAAGGAACCTGTAGATGAACTTGGGAAGATTCAACTCAGCCAAGTAAAAAGTGTGTGTTAAAATTGCTAATTTTTAATATTAAAGCATACTAAATTCTGAAGGTGAGCAGGAATACTTTGAAATCTCCACTTTCCATTCACTGTCAGGTAGTTGATACTAAACTTAACTAAAATAGTTTGAATGCTAAGATTTCTGCATTTAGACTTTCCCTTAAAAAAATAATTGTCTAGTCACTTACTCTTGATTATCGCTGTTTTTCTCACCTATAGGTCTTTAATCTGGAAAGAAAATCCTAAAAATGTGGACTTCCCTCTAGTATATAAACATTAAGCAACTTTGGGTCTGAAAGGGGTAATGCCAATCTCAATTTTACAAAGTGATGTTCCTCATTAATAAAGAATACATGAGGCCTTAGGGAAGTGCTTGTTATAAGCGAGCCCTCAATCCAATTGTACATGATTTATTCTAATGTGAGCCTGGGTCAAACATACAAATGTGATGTTTGGGACATCTCATTGCTTTTTCCTGCAGTTTTTTGGCTTATCTTTTTGAGGTTAACCTAGAATGCAACATAAACCATATACAGACTGCTGGGATAAAAATTCTGAACTCTTACCTCAGGGCACCTGATGATTTGGGTCAAATGAATCTCTTTCTTTGACATAATTTGTTATAATTTAGGAGCCCCAGGGCACCCAATCTGTCTCCAGTCATGCTGATAGCTTCATCAACTTCCTAATAAGTGTTTACATAGATGTAGTTGTGTAATACTATCTGATGCCACTGAGCACCACCACTCCCTTCTTGAATTCCCTCTGCCTTGAACTTCCAAGTTCCTGCCTCTGGAGTATTCAGGACAGCTCCTCAGTTCCCCTGAGTGTAAAGAGAGGAGGTGGTAATTAATGCAGTGTCATTTCAGGTACACCAGAGAAGTTCCCTGCAAGCCTTCTTAGACTTCTCTTCCTACATTCACTGTCTTGGCATAGCCAACCACTCTAGAGGACTGTTTACTTAGAGTTGAAAGATATAAAGCAGAACACGTATGAAATCTATGAAATATGCACCAAGATAGCAAATGCGTGATATCAGTGGCATAAAGGCCTCCTGACTCCCCCTGGAATACACACAAGCCTCTGTGACCATGACCATCACTGCCTGCCACAGTCTCCTTCTACAGTATGAGATGGGGGTGCTTCCTTCTCAACTTCTGCCCAGCTCAAGGCCAACAGACACTCTGCTTTTGAAAGGATTCTAACTCTTAATCTGTGACCCATTTTCATGTTAGAGTTGATGTTTCTCTCTCAAAGAAAAAAATGATGAAAACAAGTGTGAATGATCATAAAAGTATGTAAGATGATAAGTATTAATTGTGTTAAACCAAAATCTTGGGGAATCAGAGAGCATGCATTTTTCAGTTCTTTTCCCTAATATGCCATTCCCTGTCTCCTATTCAGACAGAAAGACATGGGCAGGCATTTGCTCAAAGGAAATGGTATTTCATTCAATAGTACTTTACTTGGGAAATTCAATCTCTGGGCACCAAGAGTGAGGGGGGAAAAAGGAGAAGAAGTTGGCCCCTCATATTCATGGGTCCTCAAAGGCTGACTGAAAGACTTGAGCATCCATGGATTTTGGTATCCTTGGGGGGTCCTGGAACCAATACCTTGGTGATACCGGAGATAACTGTACAAGGAGATAGTTTAACATGCTGGCCACTGCTTCTCAGTAGGTCAAGAAAAGACACAGGTGTTTATACTCAATCATGCAGGATGACTCCAGACAGGCTATACAAAAATGTCAGAACACTGAACATCCTATTAGTGCAGAAAGGAAACAATGGTGATATGACCTTAAATTCTCATAGAGATTTACCACCCCACATGCTTTTTGGATGCATGTTTCATAGAAGCCATAGAGATTTTCTTCTGAGGCCTGCTATTTATTTGCCTGGATTGCTCCTGTCAACTGTGTCCTATTGGTTAAAGTTTTCACCGTAAGAAACTAACCTTCCCATACTTACAGTTCACAACATCCAGTCCCTTTCCTTTGCTCACCTCTCATAAAGTTAGATCCCACTTCCTAAAGAGTGCTGTAGTGTTAAATACACTTCTGAAGGTGGCAGAAGGAGCCAGAGACTGTAGGAATTTGAAAATTTGTTGGCCACAGCAACAAAGGATAAGAGGGCTGATGTGGGGCTGCCAACTGAGAGTCTATCAGAGAAGTGAAGATGATAAAATCTGACAAGGCACACAACATGTTTCTAAAAGAAATAATTTTACATGTAACTGAGCAAGGAAGACATGCCTGACTACTAAATCCTCACTTCTGCCACTGATCCTGACATAGTTGGTACTTATAACTTTGTTCACCTATTTCCAATTCCATAACCCTTTGCTATCATTCAGTTAAGGTTCTTACCCTAACAAACTAACACAAACCTTCATTCCTGAAGAGTACATGATCTTAGTAGTATTGTCTATTTGAGGTTACTTAAACTTCAACTGTTACAAGTGGACATAAGAATACTAAAAGCCCCCTGACAAGATTCCCTGTGTTCTAGTAGCACTCATTACTATCCCTGTTATGTAGCAGCAACCCTGTTATTCATGATTTATTAGATCACTTCGGCCAAAACTGGATTTTTAAAAAACTGTTTACTCAAATACATGAAGAGGAAGTACAAGTGGTTGAGCTCATGCATAATGTCCTACACAGCTACCATCATGATCCAAATGAACAAGTACTGGGGCGGCTGGGCAGAACTGCTGAAAGACACACATAGCATAGGTTGCCTTTGCTCCCTGATTATCGAGAACATTCTCAGCAGAGGGATTCTTTTGATGAGCATCCACAAACACCCTCTTGACCCATTCAGAAGAGGTTTATCGCTGTCTTCTTTGTCTAATTTCTTCATTGGTCATCCTCCATTATTTTTCGTTTCAAGTCCCTGACCATTCAGGAAAACAATTAGTCATTACCCATGAATTAATGTGCATCCTTACCTCTAGTTATTTCTTTGTGAAGGCAAAGAGGACACTCAGATGTATCAACTCAATATTCTACCCATTAGATGGGTAGAACAACCTTCAGAGCCACATTTTAATGCGCCTGTAAATCTGTAGCAGTTCATTTCTGTGTGGTGCCAGGATATCTACAAAGTCCCCTATAAATGGAAACCAAATTTTTTTTTCTTAGTCAAGTGATCTTAGAGAACTTCCCATTAGTCAGTAAGTATGGGTCAAGGAGAGTTGGTAATGTGTCAGGATTAGGTGCACTAGAAGCATTAACCACCAGTTCATGCACTTATTTGTGACCCTAAGACTTCTCCAAGCCTGATAATGTTTATGTCACTTCCATTTTACAACAGAATACTTTCAGGAATCTCAAATTATTGATGACATATTGGATAACGTTTCCTGCGTGATGGAAAACTCAAGTCAAAGATCACTTGCCATTTTTTTTTCACTGCCACGCATGCTATACCAAGATCTAGTAGCAAATCAAGAGAATATTTTCTGAAAAAGCCATGGCTTTGTTTTAAAGCTCTAGAACCTCTGCTGTGATTATTCTATTATGACTGCTATTGGATCCATACAGTGCATCAAACTCTCTCAGACATATTGAGCAACATTGACTTTACTGAGTCATAAGGGCAGACTCAGTGTACTGCAACCTGCATAACATTTTCTTGCTTGGAGCACACCCAAAGCTAGTGATCTTACAGATTTAAAAAGTGGATCAGAGAAGTACAAATACACTCTGGAAAGTGACATATATTACCTCCCAAACAGAAAAGAAGAATATTCATTAAACAGCGTGCCTCTTTTTTTAGGTCAAAAAGCATAAGATGCAGTGACTTATGTTTCACTTTGGAGGTGATATTCCAATATGTTCTAAATAACTCTACATGCAGAAACTGTCCTGAAGTGGCATTCCCTTGAATTCTCATAGAGCAGTTTTTGTTTGTTTTTACCTACACCCTGGATGCACGTATCTTACAAGCCATAGAGAAATCCTCCCAAGTTAAACTCTCCACCAGATCTTAGCAATATGATTTCATTTAAGTTATTATATAGTATTATATCTTGTGGAATAATGTAACGTTCTTGGTTCCTGTGGACCATTATAACAAAGAGCCATAGAGCCGATGTAGCACTGAGGCAAAATGTGCATTGCTGAACCTTTCAGGTAATGCCGCTGGATCTGGTATTCTCTGACTATTGAATTAGGGAAAATAATAATAATGTTTGTCAGATCTATAGCTGCATGAGAATTGTCAAATGATTTGTCTATTTGTGCTAGCAAAGGCATGACATCTGAGACAGCAACTGTAACTCAAGCCACCAGCTAATTAGACTTCTGGAATAAGTTGTTATTAATCCTACAATTTTTGCACAGGTCAAATGAGTAGGCAAAAAAAGAATGTGATGACAATCACTGTTTCCTCTGTTCCATCCCACATGTCTTTTCAATTTTGTTATGAGGTTCAGAAGATGTCAGGAACTTCCATTTGAACTTCCATTTGGCATGCTATACTAAATCCATAGGTTAAAGAACAAAAATAGGGATGCTGTGGGCCAATGAGCATAATCATTAATTGTATACCCAGGAACACAGGATGGTCTCTTGGACCCACTCCATCCACTTGAAGATGCTTCTCATTACAGATGAGAAAACTCAGGTAAAGTAACTTGCCAAAGTCTAAGCAAGCAGTGGCAGCCAGGATGAGAGACCATGTCAGCATTTCCCAGAACAATGCTATTAAAAACTACCCTAAAGTGATTTCTGTGATTTAAAATAGTTATTTGTTTAGTTTGTGGACTGTGTTGTGCTTTTGAATGTTTCAAAGTGTTTGTCCTGCTCCTGAGAAGTAAATTCCCTTCACAGCTGTGGCTCACGGAAACAAGAATAGTTTAAAAGAGAATATGCCTATCAATGGAATATTGCATTAACTTAAGAAGCACTAAAGTGATGCAGTCTAAACAAAACAAGTTAACATTGTCACTAGAAGTCATCTGTGATTTGCTTAGACTGCAACACTTCAGTGCTTCTAAAGTTAATGCATTCTCTGTCACTTCTCTGCACTAACATATAGTCATTCTAGTAATCACAGGGACAAGGATATTATCTACCTTCTACTATCCTCTTGGTACAACTAATATATCATCAGACTGGAAATCTTAAGTTTCATGGTGCATATCAAAACTTATATTAAACTGCATAGTATTCCATGGTGTATATGTGCCACATTTTCTTAATCCAGTCTATCATTGATGGACATTTGGGTTGGTTCCAAGTCTTTGCTATTGTGAATAGTGCCGCAATAAACATACGTGTGCATGCGTCTTTATAGCAGCATGATTTATAATCCTTTGGGTATATACCCAGTAATAGGATTGCTGGGTCAAATGGTATTTCTAGTTCTAGATCCTTGAGGAATCACCACAATGTCTTCCACAATGGTATGTCCTTTCTAGGGACATGGATGAAGCTGGAAACCATCATTTTCAGCAAACTATCCCAAGGACAAAAAACCAAACACCTCATGTTCTCACTCATAGGTGGGAATTGAACAATGAGAACACTTGGACACAGGAAGGGGAACATCATGCACTGGGGCCTGTCATGGGGTGGGGGGTGGGGGGAGAGATAGCATTAGGAGATATACCTAATGTAAATGACGAGTTAATGGGTGCAGCACAGCAACATGGCGCATGTATACATATGTAACAAACCTGCACGTTGTGCACATGTACCCTAGAACTTAGAGTATAATAAAAAAAAGAAGAAAAAACTTATATTAAACTCATTTCTAGAGATGAATATCATTTGGAGCTTGTGAAAAAGCAACATATTCTGTTCTCAATCTTGGTATGCTTTAAGCATTTTACAAAGCCTTTTCTCTTTCTGTTATTGGCCTGAATTGTCTTTATAATTTCAAGGGAATATTATTTATTTATCCATTAATTTCAATATCTGCATCAAGTTTTCATTCCAGTAATTTCATACTAACAAAGTAGATGAGAGGCTGAAAAGGCAAGAGTCACAACCACTCAAGTTCATGTCTGGAGAAAAGGACAGCTTCTGAGGCATATGGGAGATGTCACAATGACACAGTCTCAATCTCCATGCCTGGAGCTGCCTTCCAGGACCATACGAACCTGCCCCACCCCTGTGAGTCTCTTCTCTGTCTTAGATATTGGAGAATTTAGCTCAGTCTTTATAAAAACCATATTTACCAGCTCCTTATGTCCTTGAAATAATGAGTTCATGAAGATGCCACAGAGATGAGAACAAGTTGGATATCAGACTTATCCATCTTAATTGCCCCAAGATAGCTTTATTCACTGTGTGATCTTTTAAGTACCACATTTAAACAAAGGACAGCAGGAGAAATATGAAATGGGAGCAAGACTAGAGGGTCAGACTAGTAGTTACGCATAATTTCTATCAAGTATAAACTTCAGAACAAAGAGAAATATAAATCTCCACAGTCTTGTGATTAACAATTTGAATCTCCAGCACCATATTATTTCTGCTTTATGCTACTTCTTTCTTATTACTCCCTCTATAATTCTTCTGCCAATGGGGAAAATTCCAAGAATTACCCTAGGCTGGTGTTTCTCAAACTATGATGTACATATAACTCACCTGGGGATCTTATTAAAAACCAGAATCTGATTTGGTATTCAGGTAGGATCTGAAATTCTGCATAACAAGCTGCTAGATGATGCTGATGCTGCTGGTCCACAGATCACGGGCCACACCTTGAACAGTGAGGTAGGGGACAAACTCCTGGGGAGAGGGAAGATGCTTTTCTCACTGCTGTCTCCACTTTCCTGCTCACCCCCTACCCCCACCCCAGGCCTCAATACCAACAAATAGCTCAGCTAGTGTTTGTTAGCTCATCAGGCAACAGGCAAACATTATGCATAGTCATAGCTTTGGGGCATAGTAACATCCTATTGGATGTAACATCTGTCCAGCTGCACATCAAGTCCTGGCAATTCTCTCTTCTAAATATCGCTTACATGTTCTCTCCTTTGCATCTGTACTACACACCAGTTTTTTGACTGGTTTTCCTACTTTTCCAGCCTCTCTTCCGTCTAATCAATTCTCTTCACTTCTGCCAGAATGATAATCCAGAAACTGGATTCTCGCTGCCCCCAAGGCAAACTCTAAGCTCTCTACCCCTATAGTTTGAAAAACCCCTTTTCCTTCTGGGCGACGTCCAGACTTCCAGGCTGATAGCACACAACTGCCTCACTGCCTCACATAAATCCTGGGTCCCTGCTATCTGAAAAAGTTTATGGCTCCTAGAAGAGGCCATGTTCTTTCCCTGCTTTGTACATGCCTTATTTTCTCTCTGAAAGGTTCTTCCCTTCTTTCATCCCTTCTTTTGATATTAAACACTTCCTTCAAAACCCAGCTCCAATGTCGTCTGATTATTAAGGCTTTTCTGAATTTCCTTCTACTCTCAGGTATGGTACCGTTGTGTATTCTCTCCTGTATGCCCATGCTAAACCATATGTGTCCTTCCAAACACACATTTTACAGTGCTCTATTAGATTCCTTTACCTAGAGGTCCATCTCCACTAACACTGTGGGTTGCTTGAATAGAAATGGTGTCTCATTCATCTTTTCTCCTGCTAAAGTAAAAAACAGTGCTTGTTATATAGTAGCTGCTCAATATATATATATATATTTTTTGCTGTGTAAATCAGTGTGGAGCTACATAACTGTAGAAACACATACCAACAACTTTCTCACCTAGGGGCTGGGGGCTGTAGTGAAACCTGCTTCCCTACCATGATTTCCTCTCATAGCACTTTGCCTGGCCTCTAGCATGGAGAAGACCTTCAGTGGTGGGAAGAGGAAGGAGTATAAAGAAGCAGGGGCCCATGAAGCTCCAGGCTTCACATGAATGTTTGGGTGTCTCATCTGGAAATGTAATTGAGGACAGTTTCAAAGATGTCACACCAAAATTATTTTCAAGAGATTAAATTTGGAAGAAAGAAAGAAAAAGGAAGAAAGAAAGAAAGAAAGAAAGAAAAGAAAAAAGAAAAGAAAAGAAAGGAGGGAGGAGAAGAGGGATATGAGAGAGGGAGAGAGAAAAAAAGAAAGAGGAGGAGGATAAGAGGGAGAGAGAGAGGGATGGAGGAAGGAAAGAGGGGCTGAAGGGAAAGAGAGGGCATGAAGAGAGACAAGGAGGGATAGAATGAAAAAGAGAAAAAGAAAAAGAAAAGAAGAAAGAAAGAAAAGAAAAGGAAGAAAAAGAAAGGGTGGGAACAAAAGAAGAAAAAAGAAAGAGGGAGGAGAGAGAAAGAAAAGGAAAAAAGAGAGGGAGTCATGGAGGAAGGAAAAAAGAGCAGGCAAGTGAGCAAGTGAGCTTAAAAAGTAAAGATTTATTCATTTTTTCCCCCCAAACACGATATTTGCAATCTTTGTGTGAGATGTGGGAGGCACTTCACAGGACTTATCTATGACTAATGATTATGTTCTCCTCTAGGAAAGGTGTGATGCATGTAGAGTGGGTTCAGCCTCCTCTGAAACTGTCATTTCTCAGTTGGATTTAAATTCCCACACTCCTGATGGAGCTCCCTCCTTTCTCTGCTCTCGGCAGACTAGAATGTGTGCTGGGTGCATAGCCACAGCTCATTCCACTGTGGATCTGCCATGAATTCCTACAGGAGAGGCCTTTTCACTCAGTGCCCAGGGGAATTTCTTTTCTTGAAGGACTTGTTCTGAGTGGGAAAGTTCTCTTGACTGGTTCTGGCACTTGTTTGGGTGTCTCCGCTTATCTCACTTCCCGTAATCCATGCGAAAAACACATCTAAAACAGACAGCATTTAAGTATAATTTATTTTCAATGCTGTTCAATTGCAATTTTTTTCTTCATACCAATCAGGTTATTAAAAAATAGACAACTTAGGCCAGGCGCGGTGGCTCATGCCTGTAATCCCAGCACTTTGGGAGGCCAAGGCGGGCAGATCACAAGGTCAGGAGATCGAGACCATCCTGGCTAACATGGTGAAATCCGTCTCTACTAAAACTACAGAAAAAAAAAAAGCAAAAAAAAAATTAGCCAGGCATGGTGGCGGGCACCTGTAGTCCCAGCTACTCGGCAGGCTGAGGCAGGAGAATGGCATGAAACTGGGAGGCAGAGCTTGCAGTGAGCCAAGATCGTGCTACTGCACGCCAGCCTGGGCGACAGAGCGAGACTCCGTCTAAAAAAAAAAAAAAAAAGAAAGAAATAGACAACTTAGATTTGCTCTAAGGAATCTCCTCATTTTGTGGATGAAGTGACAGACCTAAAGAAAGAGGATCTGAGAGAGGTGACTCTGGCTGGTGACAGGGCTAGGACTAGAATCCATATTTACTGAGTGCTGGGCAGCCTCATCTCTAATGTGTAGAATCTATTGTGTACTTTTTATTGAACTATGTAGTTTTGTAGTTTGGAGTCAGAAGACCTGTGTTTAAACCCAAGACCTATGATTTTCTAGTTTTTCCAGTTCTTATACTGAATCCAGTATTCTCTTCTATAAAACAGGTATAACAGTTACTATTCCCACAAGGTTATTGAGAGAAACAAATGCAATTATGAATAAAGATTCACTTTATAAAGACATCATATAAACGCTAATTATTGTTACTTCTAACAGTTTGCTAAATTTTTGCATAAAGATTCTAATATATTTTTGTGCCAGCCACAACACTAATACAAACTGATTTTAAAAGTACTTAAAAGTTCAAAAGTGCACCTGTGCCCTATATAAGATGATGGAATTTCTTAGTGAGCTACAAAGTTGTCCTTAGTATGTCCTTTTTACAGATGGCCATGCCTCAACACACCTCGTAATCAGTGTTGAGTATGTCATTTGTTTTGAGAATTAGCCAGCATGTTCCAGACACTGGTTCTTGTCATCTTACCCTACGTCATTTTTCCCCACTTTGGGACATTTAATGCCAAACAGAATTCTAAGATTTTGTCAAAGAAATGATCCATGGGAACTTCCCACACCAAGTTTCCTTGGAATTCAACAATTCAACAGAAGAAGTTTATCAAGTACCAACTGTAAGAATGAAAATTCACACTTGCATAGGCTCTAACAATACGTAGTCTGCTCTGGCTGCTATAGCAAAATACCACAGGCTGGATGATTTAAGCAACAGAAATGTATTTTCTCACATTTCTGCAGGCTGGAAGTCTGTGATCCAGGTACAGGCAAATTCATTTCCTGGTGAGGGCTCTTTTTCTGACTTGTAGATGGCCACCTTCTCACCATGTCCTCACATGGCCTTTTCTTGGCACATGTGGAGAGAGCAAGCTTTGGTGTCTCTTATAATGACATGAATCCCATCAGATCAGGGACACACCCTTATGAGCTTATTTAACCCTAAGTACTTTCCTAGAGACCTCATCTCCAAATGCAGTCACACCAAGGATTAAGGCTTCAACATGTGAATTTGCAGGGACACAAACACTCAGTCCATAACAATCACTAACAAAGCCATCATCCCTACATTCTGCAGAGATCACAAACATCTTTTCCCATTTCACGGAGACATCTCAGTGATGTTAAGTAACTTCTTCAGGTTCCTTGGCGGCAAGTTCTGATGCTAAATGCAATGTGTTTCTTATTTCAACACAAACTGTTGCCTGTGGCTATTCCTAAGGTTTAAAAGAAATCATAATACCTTGCAGATGCAGTATCCAATTCATGGGTACAAATAAGGGTGGGAGAAGTTCTGTCATTCTGAGAACGCTTTAGTCCCTAATTTGTAAATCCTTATACAGTATATTATATGTAAGACTATTAGCATCCATGCTAAAGCAAAACAGTCAAATGAAAGACATTAAGGATAGCTGGTCATTATAGTTGTTTTTGTGTAATACACATTTCTCTGTGATGTGTTACCATGAAGGAAGGAGGAAAGTGCATATTGGTGTTTCTTTCAGCCTCCACAAGGACAGGCTCAAAGTTGGAAGCTGAGGGTGGGAAGCAAAGGACATTTTGCCTGTGAATCTCACTCTATTTGGCAGATGTGGGCAGAGAGAGCTGTGAAGTTTAGATGTAGTTCGTGATAATGCTTGCCAGCTGCTGCTCAGATGGGATACACTTCCAACCTCCAATAATATCTTTGTTTTCCTGTCTCATGGCCTCCATTTACCCTGGGGTTGACATAGCGAAAGCATCATGATCTTGTATTGCTTTAGACATCTGGTGCAAAGAGAAATTTTCCCTGGGCTACTTGAAAACACACAAGATGTAGTTTGGCTGACCATAAGAGTTTGGAGCTAAAGTTCAGCAATAAAAGTATAAGAAGTTGACAGAATGGCAGGAAATACCACAGCTCAGACACTGCACATCACACATACCTTGTTCTACCAGCTGTCAGCACTTGTCCTTTCTTCTTCCAGGGCCATTTCCTACTCCTCACAGGAACCATAAAAGGGCCAGAAAATGGACTAGGAAGCTTCACTGGGAATCACATGGCCTTGAGACTTGTTAGTGTCTTCATCAAGGCAGTCCTCAAATATCCACCTGGGCTCCATATAACCTGGCCTGGTCCTCACTTTAATGAGCATCCTCTAGTTCATCTGAGCTAAATTCAAAATCAGTGACTCCTATTCCCTTCCTGATTTTAAGCTTGCCCTGTTGCTGAAGATTTCTCTTCTCTATCTGGGAGAAGCAGGCCTGGCTATACAGCTTGCATAGTCCAGGGCAAAATGAAAATGCAGAAACCCCCTTTTCCAAAAGCAGGAAATAAAGTATTGTGAAAAGTACTAGAATATAAATATATTTATTTCTGTCTCTTTCCGTTTATCATGGTGTGTTTTTTTTTAATATTTAATGTTATTCTAAGTAGAGAAAAATTAATATTTTAAATTATTAGCTTGAATGTTACCATTCATCTTTTTATTATACAATGCTAGTTTTAAATTCAAGGATAAGACCATTTAACTCATTTGTGGATCATCAAAATTACACAATTTATATTTCATGACATATACATGTGTATCTTTTTTGTTCTTTCCAGAACAGTGGAAGCACTGCACAAAGCCAAATCAACTGTTCTTCTTTTACTTCTTTGTATACATACATTCTACCTAGCCTCTTTACCCTCAGCTTACTAATGAGAAAGAAAGAATGAAATAAGAAACTATAGATTTCCTTATCTTTCCCTTTTCTTGAATGTCATCATTAAAGAATGAAATAAGAAACTATAGATTTCCTTTTCTTTCCCTTTTCTTGAATGTCATCACTTTCAGCATCAGTGATTGACTAATCCAAGGAAGTAACATGAGTAAGAAGGAATATGATGGAGTTCCTTGATCATTCCTGTTTCCGAAAATGCTATTGCCTTCCTTCTGCATTTGAAGCAAGTTCTGATTAGAGTGGAAAGTGTGATCTATTACAATTGTCATATCTGCCCCTTAGTAATTGCTGTGGTTTCTATCTGTGTCTCTGCCTAAATTTCAGGTCAAATTGTAATCCCCAGTGTTGGAGAAGGGGCCTAGTGTGAGGTAATAAGATCATGGGGGCAGAGTTCTCACTAATGGGTTAGCACCATCCTCTCTGTACTATTCTTATGATAGTGAGTGAGTGAGTTATCATGAGATCTGGTTGTTTAAAAGTGTGTAGCTGACCCACTCTTCGCTCTCTCTTATTCCTGCTACAGCCATGTAAGATGTTCCTGCTTCCACATGGCATTTCACTATGATTGTAAATGATATGGTTTGGCTGTGTCCTCACCCAAATCTCATCTTGATTTGTAGCTCCCGTAATTCCCATGTGTTATTGGAGGGACCCAGTGGGAGATATTGAATCATGGGGGCAGTTTCCCTCATTCTGTTCTCATGGTAGTGAATAAGTTTCACGTGATGTGATGGTTTCATAAGGGAGAAACCCATATAAGATGTGCCTTTAGCCTTCTGCCATGATTGTAAGGCCTCTGTAGCAAAGTTGAACTGTGAGTCCATTAAACCTTTTGTTTCTTTATAAATTACCCAGTCTCAAGTATGTCTTATTAGCAGTGTGAAAATGGACTAATACAGTAAATTGGTACTGGAAGAGTGGGACCCTGCTGTAAAGATACCCAAAAATGTGGAAGCAACTATGGAACTGGGTAACAGGCAGAGGCTGAAAGAGTTTGGAGGGCCCAGAAGAAGACAGGAAAGTGTGCAAAAGTTTGGAACTCCCTAGAGACTTGTTCAATGACTTTGACCAAAATGCTGAGAATGATATGGACAATGAAATCCATGCTGAGTTGGTCTCAAATGGAGATGAGGAACTTGTTGGGAACTGGAGTAAAGGTGACTCTTGCTATGTTTTAGCAAGGAGGCTGGTGGCATTTTACCCTGCTTTGAACTTGAGGGAGGTGATTTAGGGTATCTGGTGGAAGAAATTTCTAAGCAGCAAAGCATTCAAGAGGTGACTTGGGTGCTGTTAAAAGCATTCAGTTTTAAAAGGCAAACAGTGCATAAAAGTTTGGAAAACTTGCAGCCTGACAATGCAATAGAAAAGGAAAACCTATTTTCTGAGGAAAAATTAAAGCTGGCTGCAGAAATGTGCTTAAGTAATGAGAAGACAGATGTTAGTTGCCAAGACAATGGGGAAAATGTCTCTAGGGCATGTCAGACACCTTTGTGGCAGACCCTCCCATCACAGGCCCAGATGCCTGGGGAAAAAAATGATTTTCTAGCCTGGGCCCAGGCCCCCTATGCTGTGTGAAGCCTAGGGACTCAGTGTCCTGCATCCCAGCTGCTCTAGCCATGGCTAAAAGGGGCCAAGGTACAGCTCTGGCCACAGCTTCAGAGGGTACAAGCCCCAAGCCTTGGCAGCTTTCATGTGATGTTGAGCCTGTAGATGCACAGAAGTCAAAAATTGAGGTTTGGGAACCTCTGCCTAGCTTTCAAAGGATGTATGGAAATGCCTAAATATCCAAGCAGAAATTTGCTTTAGGGATGGGTCCCTCATGAAGAATCTCTGCTAGGGCAGTGAAGAGGGAAAAGTGGGGTTGACACTGCCACACAAAGTCCCCACTGGAACTGCCTAGTGGAGCTGTGAGAAGAGGCCTACCATCCTGCAGACCACAGAATGGTAGATTCACCAATATCTTTCACTGTGCATCTGGAAAAGCTGCAGACACTCAATGCCAGTGAGTGTTAAAGCAGCCAGGAGGGGGGCTCTACCCTGCAAAGCCACAGGGGAGAGCTGTTCAAAACCATGGGAACTCACCTCTTGCATCAGCAGGACCCAGATGTGAGACATGGAGTCAAAGGAGATCATTTTGGAGCTTTAAGATTTGACTGCCCTGTTGGATTTCAGACTTGCATAGGACCTGGATCCCCTTTGTTTTGACCAATTTCTCCCATTTGGAATGGCTGTATTTACCCAATGCCTGTACCCCCATTGTATCTAGGAAGTAATTAACTTGCTTTTGATTTTCCAGGCTGATCGGTGGAAGGGACTTGCTTTGTTTTGGATAAGACTTTTGGACTGTGACTTTTGAGTTAATGCTGAAATGAGTCTCTGGGGGACTATTGGGAAGGCAGGACTGGTTTTGAAATATGAAGATATGAGATTTGGGAGGGGCCAGGGGTGGCATGATATGGTGTGACTCTGTGTCCCCACCCAAATATCAACTTATAACTCCCATAATTCCCACTTGTTATGGGAAGGACCTGGTGGAAGATGATTGAACCATGGGTTGGATCTTTCCTGTGCTGTTCTAATGATAATGAATAAGTCTCACAAAATCTGATGGTTTTGTGAAGAGGAGTTTCTTCGCACAAGTTCTCTCTCTTTGCCTGCTGCCATCTGCATAAGCTGTGACTTGCTCCTCCTTGCCTTCTGCCATGATCGTGAGGCCTCCCCAGCCATGTGGAACTGTAAGTGCAATAAATCTCTTTCTTTTGTAAATTGCCCAGTCTTGGGTATGCCTTTATCAGCAGCATGAAAACAGAGTAATACACTTGGGTATGTCTTTATCAGCAGCATGAAAATTGACTAATACAGTAAGTTTCCTGGTGCCTCCCCAGAAGCTGAGTAGATGCCAACTTAATGCTTCCTATACATCTTGTAGAACTTCTCTCTTTTATAAATTATCCAGTCTGTTAGGTATTTTTTATAGCAGTGCAAGAATGGACTAATACAAAAAATTGGTACCAGTAGTGGGGCATTGCTATAAAGATACCTGAAAATGGGAAAGTGGCTTTGGAACTGGGTAATGGATAGAAACTGGAAGAGTGTGGAGAGCTCAGAAGAAGACAGGAAGATTAGGGAACATTTGTAACTTACTGGAGACTTGTTAAATTGTTGTGACCAAAATGCTGATAGCAATAAGGACAGAGATAGCTAGGCTGATGAGGTCTCAGATGGAGATGAAGAACTTCTTGGGAACTGGAACAAAGTTAACTTTTGTTATTTGTTAGTAAAGAACCTGGTGGCATTGTGCCTCTGCCCTAGTTATCTGTGGAGCTTTGAACTTCAGGGTGATGATTTCGGGTACTTGGTGAAAGAAATTTCCAAGCAGCAAAACATTCAAAAAGTGATCTGGCTGCTTCTAATTACCTATGATCATTTGCATGAGCAAATAAATGATCTAAAACTGGAACTTATATTTAAAAGAGAAGCATAGCATAAAAGCTTGGAAAATGTTCAGTGTGGCCTTGTGGTAGAAAAGAAAAACCCATTTTCAGGGAAGAAATTCAAGGCAGCTAGAGAAGTTTGCACAAGTTAAAAAGGAGCCAAGTGCTAACATCCAAGAAAACGGGGAAAAGGCCTCCAAGACTTTTCAGAGACCTGTGTACAAAGCCCCTCCCATCACAGGCCCAGATGCCTAGGAGGACAATGATTTCATGAGCCATTCCCAGGGCTCTGCTGCCCTGCACAACCTTGGGACATGGCTCCCTGCGTTCCAGACATTCCAGCTCCAGCTACGGTTCCAAGGGGCCCAGGTACAGCTCAGGTCACTGCTTCAAAAGATGCAAGCCATAAGCCTTGGTGGTTCCCGTGTGGTGTTAAGCCTGAAGGCACACAGAGTGCAAGAGTTGAGGCTTGGGAGTCTTTGCCTAGATTTCAGAGGATGTATAGAAGTGCTTGGATCTCCAGGCAAAAGCCTGAAGTAGGAGCAGAGCCCTCATGTAAAACCTCTACTATGGCAGTGCAGATTGGAAATCTGGGGTTGAAGCCCCACACAGAGTCCCCTCTGGAGCACTGCCTAGTGGAGCTGTGAGATGAGGGCCATAGTCTTCCAGACCCAAGAATTGTAGGTCCACTGACAGCTTGTACCTCATGCCTGGAAAAGCCTCAACCACTCAACACCAGCTCTTGAAAGCACCCTTAGGTGGGGAACCCTGCAAAACCACAGGGCAGTTTCCCAAGGCTCTGGGAGCCCACCTCTTGCATCAGTGTGCCCTGGATAAGAGACATGGAGTTAAAAGAGATTATTTTGGAACTTTAAAATTTAATGACTGCCCTGCTGGGTTTCACACTTGTAAGCGCTTTGTTTTGATAAATTTCTCTTTTTTGGAATGGGAGTATTTACCCAATGCCTATATCCCCATTTCATCTTGGAAGTAACTAGTTTTTTATTTTACAAACTCATAGGTAGAAAGGACTTGCCTTGTCTCAGATAAGACTTTGGGCTTTGGACTTTTGAGTTAATGCTGGAATGAGGTAAGACCTTGGGAGACCGTTGGGAAGGCATGACTGTATTTTGAAATGTGAGAAGTACATGGTATTTGAGAAGGACCAAGAGTGGAATGATATGGTTAGAATCTGTGTCCCAGCCGAAAACTTATGTCACATTTTAATCTCCATTGTTGGAAGAGGGGCCTGGTGGAAGGTAATTGGATCATGGGTGTGGAGTTATCACTAATGGTTTAGCACTATCCCCTTGCTGCTGTTATTGTGATAGTGAGTGAGTGAGTTAACATGAGATCTGGTTGTTTAAAAGTGTGTAGCAGCCCCCACTCCTTGCTCTCTCTTGCTCCTGCTCTGGCCTTGTAAGACATCCCTGCTTCCCCTTCACCTCCTGTCATAATTGTAAGTTTCCTGGGGCTTCCAAGTAACTTCCAAGGCCAACCAGGTGCCAGCATCTTGCCTTCTATACAGCTTGTGGAACAATAAGCAAATTAAACCTCTTTTTTTATTATTATACTTTAAGTTCTAGGGTACATGTGCACAATGTGCAGGTTTGTTACATATGTATACATGGTCCATGTTGCTGTGCTGCACCCATTAACTCATCATTTACATTAGGTATATCTCCTAATGCTATCCCTCCCCACTCCCCCTACTCCACGACAGGCCCTGGTGTGTGAAGTTCTCATCCTGTGTCCACGTGTTCTCATTGTTCAACTCCCACCTATGAGTGAGAACATGTGGTGTTTGGTTTTCTGTCTTTGCAATAGTTTGCTGAGAATGATGGTTTACAGCTTCATCCATGTCCCTACAAAGGACATGAACTCATCATTTTTTATGGCTGCATAGTATTCCTTGGTGTATACATGCCACATTTTCTTAATCCAGTCTATTTTTGATGGACATTTGGGTTGGTTCCAAGTCTTTGCTATTGTGAATAGTGCCGTAATAAACATATGTGTTCATGTGTCTTTATA